>NC_000002.12:164989618-166239618 GCF_000001405.40 Homo sapiens
AAATGGACTAAGACAACATGCATGTAATTAACAAATGGGTCTTCAGTATAAGCATGAAGGAGATAGCTTTCCAGTTTGCTAAGAGATGTCTAAACTGGACATCCTTAACAGCTGCCCCTCCACCCATAACCATTGCACCAGTTTCTATATAAAAGGTCAGAACTCTGCCTTTTACTTCGAGAACTTCTTTTCTGGAAAGGTCTAACAGCTTACTATCCATCCCATTATAACTAGCTATAATATTCTGTCAAATTCCTTCAAATTGATTTCTCTGTCTTAGACCACCATACCCATCATAATTCTGAAAGCTGAAATAGGATGAGCACCCTCTTCTCTACAGATAGCCCTATATGGAACCCTTGGCTTCTGCTGAGATAAGATTTGAGATAGGAGAAAGAGAAAAGCTAGTTTGCCAACCAGAGGGAGGATGATGTGTTCAGTTTGCAAATGGTAAGATTTAGATGTTCTGTAGACAACTAGAGGTATTGGAATCCAGGCTTGGATGAGAGGTTTGGTTTGGTACATCAATTGAGTAGTCATTAGTATAAAAATGACAACTGGGCTGGGTGTGGTGGCTCATGCTCGTAATCCTAGCACTTTGGGAGGCCGAGGCGGGTGGATCACCTGAGGTCAGGAGTTCGAGACCAGCCTGGCCAACATGATGAAACCCTATCTCTACTAAAAACACAAAAAATTAGCTGGGTGTGGTGGTGGGCACCTGTAATCCCAGCTAATCGGGGGACTGAGGCAGGAGAATTGCTTGAACCTGGGGGGTGGAGGTTGCAGTGAGCTGAGATCGCACCACTTCACTCCAGCCTGGGCAAAAGAGTGAAGCTCTATCTTAAAAAACAAAAAACAACAACAACAAAAAACCATCTGGTGCTAGAAGGCAGGATTGGTAGGCAAAGGGGAAGTAAGTGGAGAGAGATTGGGATTGAGGACCCAGTCTTGCAGCAAGAAGAGGAAGCAAGTTATTGAAGGAGATGTGAAAGCCAGGTAGAGAGGTAAGAGAAACCTATTACAATGGCCCCATCACAGCGGGCCTTCACAGTCACACAAGCTTCACATTTGGATCTCTAAATGAGATCATGTCTCTATATTTTGTGAATATGTATTAAACTTTTAATTTAGAAGCAATAAATATTTAAAACATATGGAAATGTTGGGACGCTTTAAAAGAAATGGGCTGTGTGTGGTGGTCACATCTGTAATCCCAGTGCTTTGGGAAGCTGAGGTGGGAGGACTGATTGAGCCCAGGAGTTTGAGACCAACCTAGGCAACATATTAAGACCCTGCCTCTACCAAAAAAAAAAAAAGAAAAAAAAAAGTTGGGTATGGTGGCACATACCCATAGTCCCAGCTACTTGGGAGGCTGAGATGGCAGGATTGCTGGAGCCCAGGAATTTGAGGCTGCAGTGAGTCATGATCACACCACTGCACTGCAGCCTGAGCAACAGAGCAAGACTCTGTCTCAAAAAATAAATAAATCAATGAAAGAAATAAAAGTTGCTTGGATTCTTACTAACTTGTGATTAGTCCTGGGAGGAAAATCAGAAGACTGTTCCAGGAACAGGCAATTGAGGATGTCAGAAAAGTCAGATGTTGGCAAGATGTCAAAGAGAATAAGAACTGAGAGAAGACCATGATGTTCAGCAAGGGGGGCCACTAGAGCTCCATAAGAGAGAGGCCTGGGTATTGTGGTCAGAGGAAGTCAAGGAATTAGTAAATGCTAAAGAAAGTGGGACAGGTCTCAAGCATCCTTTAGAGAAGTTTGGCAATTAGAAGCATGTGTGTGTGTGTGTGTGTGTGTGTGTGTGTGTGCCACTGTTCATTTTTACCTCTCATCTCCTATCTCATCCAATACCTAATATTCTCTAGGGAAATGGAATCCTGGCTGAAAGGCAGGCTTGTCCTTCAGCTGTCACAGTGCCCAAGAAGTGCACAGAAGGGAGTCCTTTTTTTTTTTTTTTAAATTTATGCTGTGGTTCTGGGAGCCAGAGATAGAGAAAAAAAAAGTTGTCCTGGAGTCTGTTGCATTGTGACTGAATCAAGTTATCCATAAAAGGACTCAAAAGAGGAGTCTGGGTTCACAGCTTAAAGGAATGAGGCTAAACAGCAGAAAGGCTCAAGCAACCACTGGTGGAGGGGAACAAGTAAGAACTTGTCTGGAGAAGTTTGGAGCCAAGTATAAATACCCACTGCTGACATTCACACATTCCCAGCTTGCTTGTCCAAGGGCAAGCAGGAGTCATTCAGAGCCTGAACTTAATAGGCATCTAATATTGCTATGTGTTGTTATATCTCAACCACCACCAACACCACCACTCCCAGCTAGCACTCACAGAGCACCTGACCTGGGAACAGTGCCTGAATCAGAAACAGAAACTTCTAGACTGATGTGGTTCAGTGGTGCTTACATAGGCTATTGTTTACTACATCTGCACCAACCTTTCAGGAAGCATTTGGCTTGTACATTTAGCTCTGTGGCCCACTGAAGAGAATTTCCTGTGGGCAGTGGGGTGAGGAACCCTGCCTTAATCTGCTTCTCAGGTATTCTTCTCCCTTGCTTTTATGTGTCAGAATCTGTATAATCCTTGTAGGGCCTATCCAGGAGTAGGCAGAGCCAGAGTGCCCATTCCTGATGTCCACAAAGTACAGCAATGCACCCAGGCTTGATTTGGAGCCACTCTTGCCTTCCTGACTGTTTTCAAAGATATGTTGCATGGCCTCTGAGCCAGTGCAACAAGACTTGCAGGCATTGGTATTTGCATAACAAATAGTAATTTTTTTTTGCTTAAATAAGGGAAATAGGGAATATTTATCATAGCTATACATTTATTCATTTAATTCCTATTTATTTATTCATTCATTTATTCAAACATTTCTTAAGCATGCACCACGTGTCATGCCTATCTTAGAGGCCACAAAGGTTCTAAAACTATTACGTGCCGACAGAAAAAGAGACCCATATACATGTAGCATTATGTCTTATTGGAATTCAGAGCAGGAAGAGAACACATCTGGCTGGGGGCAGGATGAGGAAGGACCTGATAAATTTTCTATTGAACAATTACTCTAAGTGTGCTTTCTTTAGATGGTAAGGATTAGACCAGGATTCAAGATTACTGGATTTTGAGTCAAAGTTTGAACTCCTTGGGGGAAAATCTGCATATATGCAGAGTCATGGTGGTAATTACAGTATTAAGCCCCATTTTGGAACACTTTGATCTGATCTGATTTAAAATTTTATTTCCTGAAAGGTTTACTCACGTCATATTAAGGTACTCTAGTCTTTTTATTTGCAAACTCATTTAAAATCTAAATACTGCTCTCTGCTTTGGACTTGGCTGCTTTTCAATAACAGGAAGGAATACTGTTTTCATCAGTTTTGTATATCCGCCACGAGAGGGCAGCATTTTACTTCTTTTAAGATTTAACGCTGTTCTACAAAATGCTGAGCTGTGCCTGGAGGGCTTTGTGATGTGGAAAATCTTCAGAAATGTTCAGTGAAACCCAGCATCCTCTGATTCATCTTTAAAGAGGAGAAAAAAATATTCTACGTGACTCTATTACCAATCTTTGGGCAGAGAACCAAATAATTTGGCCAGGCTCTCAATCTTTGTGGTTGAAAAGTTATCAGGAAATTTAAAATGTAAATTCATAGTTACAGAGCCACTAGTGAAAATTTGCTTTTTAATGAACTTTTTTTTTGGTCTATATTTTCACCCTCTGGGGTGGGGGCTCTTTTAAATGCGCCTGTTTAACCATACTGCATCCAGAAATGTATACATATCACAAACCTGTTGGTAATGACACCAATGCAAGCTCCGTTTCCCTTCCAGTCATCTGTGGACCACACCTACACCAGCGCTTCCTTCTGCGCATCCTATGGCACCTGTCTACTTCCTGTTTTGGGAATCCCCACAGAGGCTAGCACAGTGCTGAACTTGTAAAAAGTACGCAATAAATGATCCTCTTCCTGAACGACATTGGATGATAATAAAATCTCTTGTGAGAGAGAGGTGAGACGGGGGAGGGGAGAGAGACAGAGACAGAGTCAGAGCCAGAGAGAGATCAAAAGGGAAAAGCGGGCAGCAGCAGGGAGGCAGGCTTGAGGAGTCCCTGTCTGATTTACGTGGGGGCCACAAATTGGTTTGATCAGGTGTGAAGTTTACACGGCGCCGGGAAGGCTGGTTGCCCCACCCTAATCTTATGCAAATGGGCTTTCCACTTGCTCAGCGCCATCTTGTCTACTCCTTACTGTACATGTGGCTGGCAAAGAGAAGGGAAGATAGAGCTCTCGTTTTGAACACGTAGTTCTGTGTCCGGAACTGGTGGGTTCTTGGTCTCACTGACTTCAAGAATGAAGCTGCGGACCCTCGCGGTGAGTGTTACAGCTCTTAAGGTGGCGCGTCTGGAGTTTGTTCCTTCTGATGTTCGGATGTGTTCTTGAGTTTCTTCCTTCTGGTAGGTTCGTGGTCTCGCTGGCTCAGGAGTGAAGCTGCAGACCTTCGCGGTGAGTGTTACAGCTCATAAAAGCAGTGTGGACCCAAAGAGTGAGCAGTAGCAAGATTTATTGCAAAAAGCGAAAGAACAAAGCTTCCACAGTGTGGAAGGGGACCCGAACGGGTTGCCACTGCCGAGTGGTCTGTTTTGACAGGGCGCTGATTGGTGCGTTTACAATCCCTGAGCTAGACACAAAGGTTCTCCACCTCCCCACCAGATTAGTTAGATACAGAGTGTGGACACAAAGGTTCTCCAAGGCCCCACCAGAGTAGCTAGATACAGAGTGTGGATTGGTGCATTCACAAACCCTGAGCTAGACACAGGGTGCTGATTGGTGTGTTTACAAACCTTGAGCTAGATACAGAGTGCCGATTGGTGTGTTTACAATCCCTGAGCTAGACAAAGTTTCTCCAAGGCCCCACCAGAGTAGCTAGATAGAGAGTGTCGATTCGTGTATTCACAAACCCTGAGCTAGACACAGGGTGCTGATTGGTGTATTTACAATCCCTGAGCTAGACATAAAGGTTCTCCACGTCCCCACCAGACTCAGGAGCCCAGCTGGCTTCACCCAGTGGATCCCGCACGGGGGCTGCAGGTGGAGCTGCCTGCCAGTCCCGCACCATGGGCCCGCACTCCTCAGCCCTTGGGTGGTCGATGGGACTGGGCGCCGTGGAGCAGGGTGTGGCGTTCGTCGGGGAGGCTCGGGCCGCACATGAGCCCATGGAGGGGGTGGGAGGCTCAGGCATGGCAAGCTGCAGGTCCCGAGCCCTGCCCCGTGGGAAGGCAGCTAAGACCCGGTGAGAAATCGAGCGCAGCGCCGGTGGGCTGGCACTGCTGGGGGACCCAGTACACCCTCCGCATCTGCTGGCCCAGGTGCTAAGCCCCTCCTTGCCTGGGGCCGGCAGGGCCCGCCGGCTGCTCCGAGTGCGGGGCCCGCCAAGCCCACGCCCACCAGGAACTCCAGCTGGCCCGCGCAAGCGCCGCGCGGAGCTCCGGTTCCCGCTGGCGCCTCTCCCTCCACACCTCCCTGCAAGCTGAGGGAGCCGGCTCGGGCCTTGGCCAGCCCAGAAAGGGGCTCCCACAGTGCAGCGGTGGGCTGAAGGGCTCCTCAAGTGCCGCCAAAGTGGGAGCCCAGGCCGAGGAGGCGCAGAGAGAGAGCGAGGGCTGTGAGGACTGCCAGCACGCTGTCACCTCTCAGTTCCAGGTAGTGTTTTCCTATTGGCACAACTTCAGGCATTTGCATGTGCAGGCTTCCACCTTGCTTGCCTATGTCTGCAACTTCATTTTACAGTCTGCTCTTTGTTAGGAAAAGAAATGATTTGAGGGCTGCTTTTAATTAAAAGGAAAACCTTACCAAGGACTCCTGTACCCTCACTATCTGCCTAATTTCTTCTTAACTCCTATATCAATAAAACCCCACGATAATTTTTTCCTATAAAAATGTGTTATTTGAAGAAATTAACGTAAGCTGGGTGTGGTGGCTCACACCTGTAATCCCAGTGCTTTGGGAGTCCAAGGTGGGAGGATCCCTCGAGGCGAGAAGTTTGAGACCAGCCTGGGCAACACAGGAAGACCCTGTCTCTATAAAAAGTTAGAAAATTAGCTGGGCATGTTAGTGTGCACCTGTAGTCCCAACTCCTTGGGAGGCTAAGGTGGGAGGATCATTTCTGGCCCCAGGAGTTTGAGGTTACAGTGAGCTGTGATTGTACCACTGCACTCCAGACTGGGTGACAAAACAAGACCCTATCTCTAAAAAAAAAAAAATTAATATAAAATGTGGAACTTTTCGCTAGTGGAGATGAATGAATATAGTCTGCAGATTTATGGAAATATGACATCTAAAAAGACCAGAATAATTCCTAAATGAAGAGGGGAAGGATATGCCCTAGAATAGGGCATAACTGAATGTCTGGGGAAGGTTTTCAAACTTTACTCCTTCTAATGCAAACCTCTGTGACCCCTTACAACCCCTTCCTCTGGATGGGTATCATTCCATATAATTACAGGCAGTACTGAGAGGGAGATTACAAATTGTAAACATTTTCAGAGGTGGGGGGAGAAAAGATGGAAACCACAAAGACACAGCTATATAAAAGGTTAATTGCATGTATATTTGGTTATGTTAATTTTTGTATATATGCTTCATATCTTTTACAGTCAGTGTGTTAGTGGCAAATAAATACGTGGAACTTACTTTCAAAATATTTTGTTGTTTCTTAAAGTGCCTAATTGTACGCGAAGCCCTTTTATAAGAGAGGTGGAATAGCATGCAGAATCTGATCATTAGATTCAATAAGTAAATACGTATTGAGTACTGATGAAGTACCAATTAAACATTATGATTCATTTTGATAAAACAAGCCAGTCGCATTAGTAAGAAACAGCTTGCTCTGGCTGGAAAACTTGTTCCCTACTTTCACAAGGTTGACTTCTTAATCCGATCAAATGAAAATGTCATGTTCAGCAGAGAGGCCATTTCTGACCATCTAATTTATAGACTGAACACCCCTTACCCCGTGATTCTACTTTATAGCACCTTGTTCTGTTCGCAATTTATAATTGTATTATCACCTGTTTACTTGATTAATGTCTGTCTCACTCATAGATTGTGAACTCCATGAAAGCAAGTATCAAATCTGTTTTAAAGCACACCCAGCATTTAGGGAAATACCTGAGGTAGAAGGCATTCAGTAAACACTTGTGGAGTGAATGTATATATTTCTTTTTCTATATGTGAAAAAACCATTTATTATACAAATCAGTTAAACTGTGATGTCAGTATTATGTCAGATTAATATTATAATGTCATATTCATTAACAACGAGGCCCATAGTAAAAATGAAAGTGTATTTGTCAAACAGTTCATTAGTAGGAAATTGAGTTTAGTATAGTATGAGATTTTCAGGTAAGATATTCTAATCTTTTTGAAGATATGACAGCATATTTAAGCTTTGGGCAGGGCTGACTTTTTTTTTTTTGTTTTTTTGTTCTTGTTTTTTTTTTTTTTTTTTTTGAGACAGAGTTTCACTCTTGTTGCCCAGGCTGGAGTGCAATGGTACGATCTCGGCTCTCCACAACCTCTGCCTCCCGAGATCAAGCAATTCTTCTGACTCAGCCTCCCGAGTACCTGGGATTACAGGCATGCGGCACCACGCCCGGCTAATTTTGTATTTTTAGTAGAGACAGGGTTTCTCCATGTTGGTCAGGCTGGTCTTGGACTCCCAATCTCAGGTGATCCGCCCGCCTTGGACTCCCAAAGTGCTGGGATTACAGGCCTGAGCCATCAAGCCCAGCCTAAGCTGACATTTTTGTTTCCCACAGATGTTTACACCAGAATGGCTGTTGCCTATTTTGATTGGGCCAGTGTCTGAGGGCTGATTGTTTGGTGCCTGTATCATAACAGTTGTTAATAATTTGAATATATAATGTTTAAATATGTAGTTTGTCTTTGATCTTTTGACAACAGAGATAGCTTCATTTACCTAAAGGGGTACTGATTTTAAAAATTAATTCATTTGAATTTAAACACATCATATGCTAGACAAAACTTTTAGGGAAAGAATATGTATATATGTGCATGTAAACCACACAGACTGAAAGAGAAGCATTCAGTACATAAATTATTAGGCTCAAGTGGGAGTTTACTATAGAGTTAGCTGCTACTTATTTTCAGAATTTGATTTTATGTTTTGAATTGGAAGAATGCTGATCTGAGAGTCAAAAACTCTTAATTTTGAGCCATGGATGCATAACCTTGGGTATGTTAATATTGGGCTTAGTTTACTGGTTTGCAAAATGAGATGAGTGGACAAAATATCTTTAAAGTCTATTCTAGGCATGAATTTTCATGATTCTGCAGTATATGTTCCTTTTAACAAGTGAGACATTACCAGGACAAATATAGGAAAAACTGGTAGTATCCCCTTACCCCCTCACCCTCCTGAGTAACCAATTTAATATGCACTGAACATCCTCTATCATCCTTTTTGGCACACACAAACATATATAAACAAAAATAAATGTATGTAAGTTTTCTTGCTTGAAAAAAGTAAAAATATACATTCTTCAGATGTGTTTCTTTGCTAATAGACATCTGAATGTCTTTAGTTTTTATTTTTGTCACTATAAATAGTATTTCAGTAAACATCATTGTAGAAGTATCACTATATGCTGATGCTTTTGGTTTTTTTCTGTCAGATACATTTTTGAAAATGGAATTTCTGGATCAAAGGTATATGCAGTTTTCATTTTAATAGATAATTGCTAATTTCTTTCTAAAATATTTATGGTGATTTAGAATGATAACAGTGCCAATTTCCCTGTATTCTTGCCAGCACTGAGTTAATATTTTGTTTTCTATTGCTGCTCATCTGAAGGCTAAAAATGATGCCATTTTTGTTTAATTTGAATTATCTAGATTTTGTTGGAAGAAGAAAAAAGAATTCTACTTGCATCTTTTCAAATGATGGGTCTGCATACCATCTACTATGAATTGGCAATTTGTAGCCTTTGCATATGTCCATTTTAAAATGATCAACTTTTGGATATTATATATACTGTAAATATTTTTTCCAGTCTTTAGTTTGTCTTTCTGCTTATGGTTTACATAGCCAGATATACTTCCATTTTTTATAAAATAGGTAGTTTGTTTTCTGTCTTTCTTAAGTGAGAAGATCTTCACCAAGGGCTTCCTTCTGGAATTTTTATTGGTTTATTTAAAAATATTTAATTCACCTGGACTTTAAAAAAAAATGTATAAATAGTCTAAATTTGTATTTTTACATGGGGTTTTTAATGGAGACGTACTGAATTAAAAGCTCATTTTGTCATATATAAAGCTCTCATGTGTACTTGGATGTAATTCTAGATTCCCTGCTCTGTTCTCTAGATTTGCTTATTCATGTGCCAGTGCTATACTATTCTGACAGCTTCATAGCAAGTTTTAATGGCTTTAGAATTATATTAAATATGTATATTAATTTGGAATGGTTAAAATATGAATATAATATGGTGTCTTCCCATTCAGTATCATTTTGTGCCTCTCCATTTAATAATATATTATTGTTTTCTTTGTATAGCCCCTGCATGTTCCAGAAATGTCAACCTTTTATTGTTATACGAATGTTTTGATTTTATTTCCATTTCTAGCTGTATTGATGAAAAGTTAAACTACTGATTTTGGTATATTTATCTCATAGACAGCCCTTATTAAATTTTCTTATTAATTCTATTAGTTTTTCAATAGAGTCTCTTCAGTTTTCTAGCCACGTTATATCTGCAAATACAGATGATTTTGTTTCTTCTTTTTCAACATTCATAGCAAATATTTTATTTTTTATGGTATTGCAATTGCTAGAAACTCCAAAAGAATGCTGAATAACCATTGTCTGAGTGGATATTCCTACATTGTTCTGGATTTGAACAAAAATGGCTTCAGTATTTATATTAGTCCGTTTTCATGCTGCTGATGAAGACATACTTGAGACTGGGCAGTTTACAAAAGAAAGAGGTTTAATGGACTTACAGTTCCACATGGCTGGGGAGGCCTCACAATCATGGTGGAAGGCAAGGAGGAACAAGTCACCTCCTACATGGTTGGCAGCAGGCACAAAAATAGAGTTTGTGCAGGGGAACTCCTCTTTTTAAAACCATCAGATCTTGCAGGACAACAGCCCAGGAAAGACCCACCCCCATAATTCAATCACCTCCCACTGGGTTCCTCCCATGACAGCTGAGAATTGTGGGAGTTACAATTCAAGATGAGATTTGGGTGGGGACACAGCCAAACCATATCAGTATTTTACCTTTCTGCCTTTGCTACTTTTTATTTTTTTAGAGAAGGGGTCTTGCTCTGTTGCCCAGGCTGGAGTGCAGTGGCACAAACATAGCTCACTGCAGCCTCAAACTTCTGGGCTCAAGCAATCATCCTGCCTCAGTCTCCTGATTAGCTGGGACAACAGGTATATGCCACCACACTCAGCTAATTAAAAAAAAAAATCATGTTAGAGATAGGGATCTTGTTATTTTGCACAGTTTGGTCTTGAACTCGTGACCTCAAGGGATACTCCCATCTCAGCCTACTGAGTAGCTGGGATTACAGCCACTATGCCCTGCCAGTTTGTTTATGTCAGATATGCTTTAGCATACTTATTTTCCTTCTAGTCATGTTTTACTTAGAGTTTCTTACACAGGGCTAACTGTTGGATTTTTTCAATGGACTTTTGGATGCCTAATTATAGAATCATATGACTTTTTGCTTATATTTATATGTATATTGTATATTCCAATGATGAACAATATTTTTATTCCTAATGAAAATTCTATTTTGTTATCATATTATTATTTTAACATAACTGCTGAATTGACTTGTTACTGCATCATTTATAATTTTGCATCTGTTTTCATAAGATAATTTATCTATAAATTTACAAACTGTTTTGTCAGGATTTTAAAATTTGGACTGTCATAATTTTAGGAAATAATTAGAGAACTTTCTTTTTCGGTTGTATGGAATAGTTTAAATAGTAGGCAGATTATCTGATCTTCAAGATTTTAAAATGCCATTTATTTGACTATAACTCTTTTGGTGTGCTAAAATATATTTTGAGGGATATTACATTTGCTAGAAATGAAATTTGTTCAAAGTTCATTTCTGCCCTAAAAAGCATGTATGGCAGAACTGAAAAGGGGCATGCTTATTTCCACTAAGGAAGCATGCTGAAAGTCTCTCTACATCAGACAATTTCCACAAAGCAATTTTGTAGGAAAAATAAATAAGAACAACCCAAACGAGGAATTTATATCACCATAATTTACTGAAACAGAATCTTTAAAGTGGGGGAACCAAGGAAATTAAACCTACTAGGAAAGTTTTATGTTGTTCTGATATGGGAGTAAGACCATGTATATTTCATTGTAAGCACAGAGTTGTAGAAATTAATATGCCATTTGATAGGAGAGAGTGAAAATGAATTCTATATAGATCCATTCCACTGAGACTGATAACAAATTATTTATTTATGAAATATCTACATCTTGGACCATACAAAATGACCCATTCATAATTGACCCATTCTTCAAGACCATAAACTATTTTAGCATAAATGCACACCTTGGAAATCTTTCCTTATTCACCTAGTTTCATTTCAATAGCACTGCTTTGCCTTTGTTTAATTGAAAATTAATTATCTTACAGGCAAGTCCCAGACTCCTATCCAGGAAATATTGCCTCATTTATTTTTTTCTTTGCCTTGACCGATTATAACTTCTGGAATCCACTGAGATTTTCATATTGTGTAGTTAATTATTTTGCATAATTTGGAACCAAAGTCTATTCTGGTAACAATTGTCTGTGATTTTAAAGCTATTTCCTGAATAGTCTCTGTCATTCTGTAAGAAGACTGCAGGTCTAATACAGATGTTTGAATTGTTAGTTTCCATCTCTAAGATCATACCACAAAGATTTTTGTGAAGCAAAGACATTAACATAGTCCAAAAAGCAATTTAAAATCTGAACAATCAGCATAAGGGAAAGTGAGATGTTCCATGTAGTCTTCATAATTGCTCTGAACCAATATATCCTAAAGGAATGTGCACAGATACACTTTTGAGAAAAAAAATTTATGAGCATCGGATGAAGAAAGATTCTGTGCATTTCAACTCATCAGGGAGAAAAGAGCATGTGTCCTATTTTATTCAGATATGTAATAAAATTATGTAGAAAAATCACAAAGACCAGCAAAATCCCTGAATGCTCTCTATGCACTCAGGGATTTTTATTTTATACACTCTTATTTTTATTTGAGGTTTTAAAACTAGAAAATTTGGATATTAAGTTTTCAATTAGAGATACACATGAAAATATATTTCTCTGGATCATGAACATAGAATTAGAAAAGAACATAGACATGGGAGGCCTGAGGTGAGTGTGGAAGCAATAGGCAAGCTTCAGAGAAAAAGACTAGAAATTTTAACTATGAGATTAAGAGCTCAAAGGGAGAGACTATGTAATTTTTGAAATGTCAATTAAAAAATTATTAGGCTGTGTATTTTTCTTCTTCTGAGAGGCATTTTAAAAAATGCTTAGATACTTCTAAACATTGATTTTTGTTTAACATTCATTTTTAATTAGATATTTAATTGTTAGATATTAGAGATCAATTTTTTGTTGTTATTGGGGTGAACTGGAATATTACTAAAATCAACTAAATATTCTTAGTTTTAACTTTCTTATGAAGGTAATGCATTCTGAGAGTAATGTTTGTGCATTTGTGTTACACAGAGGAGCTCACTTTCAACATGAATATAGTTTCTATTTCTATTTAATTCATTATGTATTCTTCATATTATTTCTGTATTATTAACTAGATTGACAATACCACATAAGTGATTGCTGGCATTTTTAAGATGTGTTTAAGATGCTTTCATATCTCTATAATTCCAGCATGATATTTATAAAACTCCAAGCATATTTGGTAAGGAATTAATAAACTATTTAAAACAACACCTTCAATCGCACATTAATTAGTTTAGCTTGTGAAAGCTTTCTGTTTTGATCAGGATGTAGAGGCAATTGTGTTTAAAAAAAAAAAACACAGAAGAAAACCTACAAATAGGGAAAGGTTGAGGCTTGCTAATGTGGAAACCAGATCTAGTTGCTTAAAAAAGAAAAGTATGTAGGAAGAGCCTCTAATTTTCACTACTCTCTTTGGGCTTGGAGAAATGCCCAGGTTAGTGACAAAGGGAACTTTGGGAAAAGACTCTAAATCTACCATAAGAAAGAAAATGGAAAATCAGATGGATGGCTTCATTAAAAACATAAGCCATCTAGAATTTTTGAGAGTTCAAGGAATAATAGCAGGATTTCTATTGATTTTTTTCCCAAATTGAAATATTACTATGATTTAACAATTTCAATTATTTTGAAAATAAGCGGCAAGGTAGCTGTAAGCCAGTAACTATAGTCAAACTCATTATGAATCTGGTTTTTTGGGGGGCCAGTTTTCACATACTCTCAGTAAGGGGTCTTGAAACCTTATTGTCTTCTCTGATCTTTATCACTTTTTGAAGCACAATTTCTCTTGCATCCACCTTTTATTTTTCAGATGCTATCTTATGATACCTAGGCTACTGCTTCTCATATTTTAATGTGCACATGAATCCCCTGAAGATCATGTTGTACTGGAGATTCTGATCCCATGGGTCTGAGGTGGGGCCTGAGAGATGCTAGGTTTTGTTTTTGTGTTTTTGAGACAGAGACTTCAGGCTGGAGTGCAGTGACGCTATTTCTGCTCACTGCAGCCCCCGCCTCCCGGGTTCAAGCGATTCTCCTGCCTCAGCTTCCTGAGTAGCTGGGATTACAGGTGCGTGCCACCACACCCAGCTAATTTTTGTATTTTTAGTAGAGACGGGTTTTCACCATGTTGGTCAGGTTGGCGTTGAACTCCTGACCTCAAGTGACGTGGGGGGTGGGGCGGGACTTGGCCTCCCAAAGTGTTGGGATTACAGGAGTGAGTCACCGCACCTGGCCGAGAGATGGTGTTTTAACAAGGTCTCAGGTGATGCTGATGCTGTTGTTCTGCTGCCCATACTTTGAGTAGCAGGGGTCTCTAGGATACTGAAATAGCCAGTTACATTATTATATATCACTAGATTGATCTTTCAATAACAGGGGTCTCCATCCCCAGGCTGCGTACCGGTACTGGTCCGTGGCCTGTTAGGAACTGGGCGGCACAGCAGGAGGTGAGCCGGGTCCAGCTAGCTTACCGCCTGAGCTCCGCCTCCTGTCAGATGCCTCCCATCAGATCAGCCTTGGCATAGATTCTCACAGGAGCACGAACCCTATTGTGAACTGCGCATGTCAGGGATCTAGGCTGCGCCCTGCTTAATGCCTGATGATCTGAGGTGGGAGAGTTTCATTCCGAAACCATCCGTGGTTCTCTGGTATCGTCTTCCTTAGGTTTAATTAGCAACGTTATACTTAACGTTTCGAAGTGTTCTTTCTTTTTCTATGTTTTGGAACAACCTAAGCAGAATTAGGATTATCTGGTATTTGAGGGTTTGATAGAATTCCCATGTGCAGCTATCTGGGCCTGCTGACCTTTTAGTGAAGTGACTTTTTTTCATAGATTTTTTCCTAAGAAAATTAGTCTACTTATGCTACTTATATTTAATGGGATCAATTTTGATCAATTGTATTTACTGGGAAATTCCTATTTTATCGCTATATTATTTTCATAGAGTTGTACAAAAGTTTCTTAAAACATTTTGATGTTCTCTCTTTTAATTTCCTCTGTTCATTTTCTATTGTGCGTATTTAGGTTTTTCTCCTTCTTATCCCCACATAATTTACCAAGTGATTTACCCCTGAAAGAACCAACATTTTAATTTCTTAATTCTATTTTTTCTAATAATTAATTTCTGCTTTCATTATTACCATTTTTTTCCTGCACTTTCTTATGGTTTACATTGTTTGTTTTTCCTAGGATTTTGGGCTGAAATTTTAATTCATTTATTTTTATTCATATGTATTAAGACTATAAATTTCCCTGTGATCATGGCTTTGATTATAACCCATATATTCTGAGAGGTAATATTTTTATCATTGTTACATAAAGAAATCTGCAATTTCATTTAGTATTTCCCTTTTTACCAAAGGGTTTTTTAGCAAAGAGTTTTTGCATTTTTCAGCTGGAAAAGCTATTTTGTTTTGTTTTCATTTGTTTTTCTTATTAATTTCTGTTTATATTGTACTCTGATCAGAAAATGTGGTTTGAATTATTTCTACTTTATGGAAATTATTGAAGATTTCTATGTGATATTATATACGGTCAATTTATGCAAATATTCCATATGACCTTGAGAAGGAGGTATGTAAAATATTATTGGTGATAAAATTCAAAATATATTCATAAAATCTACCTTATTGGCTAAGTGATAAGTATTTTATACCCTTCCTTGTTTTTTGTCCACTTGATTTTCTTGGCCAGGGAATGATACATTCAAGTTTCATATTATTGGTTTGTTTTTGACCATTTCTCTTGGAATTTCCTGTGGTTTCTGCTTTATAAAGGTGGTGGTTGTATTCATGGCTATTTAAAAAACTCAATTTTCTTTTTGAACAATATGATCTTTTTCATTTTAACGTGTCCCCCCTTGTCTCATTTAATACTTTTGAACATGATTTATACTTTGTTCAATATCAAGATCATCAACCCTGCCGTTTTACTGCCTACATTTGCTTAGTATAACTTGTCCATACATTTATTTTTAGCATTCTTGAATCTCTTTAAGTGTGTCTATAGCATGTAGTATAGAGTTGGGTTTTACTTTGTGACCCAATCTGAAAATCTCTGTAATAGGTAAGTTAAGCTCATATACATATATTAATATGAGTAATATGTTTGGTCTCAATGTGTCATATTGTTTTTTATATTTACTATATATGTTATAGTTGCTATGTTTCTCCATGTGGTTTGTTTCCTTGTTTTTTTTGTTTTTTTTTTGAGATGGGGAGAGGGTGCAGTATTTAATTTGATATTTAGGAAAGTTTGTATTTTTCTAGTGGTTACTTTTCTACTAATACCTTTTATATTGCTGTTAGTCTCTTTATGCCTTATTTAGGCTTCTACTGTTTGGTTGGTAAGTTTAAAATGATTTTCTTTTATCACTATATGATATTCAGTATGTATATTTCACTTTTCCTTTCTTTCTCTTTTATGCTCCCATTTTGTAGTTGTGTATTTTTTTTACTTTGTCAGAATATATACATTACATATTATTCTTTTACCTCCTTTCCCACTTTCTTCTAGTCTTAGATCTACAATTTAATATATTTATTAAATATATTCAGTGCTACCAGATGGCTTTCTTTTTGCTGGTTTCCCCATTCGTAAATGATGGGATGAAACTCTCTAGCAGATTCCTAAAGAAGGACTCTCACGAGAACTGTATTCTTGGGTTGTTGCATATTTAAATTTTTCTTCTATCACCTTGACTCTCTATGTTTAGGAGTGAGAGACTTGGGTGGTTTAATGGGATTCTTGGTTTGAGAATGCCTTATCCTACTGTACAGTGAAGTACAGTTTCTTTGATAGATGGGACATTTTGCAGAGGAAAGTTGATGTATATCTTCCAGTTCTGATTCTCTTTGGTTTCTTCTTCATCTTCCTTCATTTCTGACGCTTCCTTCTACTTTCTCTTCACCACTAAGTCTCCAAGGGCTCCACCTCCCTGTCCCTCCCAGGCCATATCTTCCTAAGACTGCCACCTCTGGCACTGCACACGTTTTTGTCCCTTCCTTTTACTTCTCCAGGAGCCAGGGTTCTGATTCACTAGGTTGCATCCCTGTTTTCAGTATTTCTCCACTCCAGGCAGAATTTCCTCCTTCTGGGGGTCACTTTTTGTTTTTCTGGGTTCTGCTGCTGTTGAGTCCTACCATCCTCTCCTCATGGGCCCTGGTGTGGCCCCACAACTTTGCTGAGTCTCTCCTCACATGTAAACTGGAGTGTGTCACACGGTCTATTTCCCAAGTACACTGTAGACATGGGTTATAGGTAGTTTTATTTGCTCTCTTTTTGGATCAGCGTGGTTTGTTTTGGAGAATGTGAACACAGATTTAAATTTAGGTAGTCACCATCAGCCTGCGGGATGTTGAAGGGCAATGAACACCACTTTTTTATTTCAGTAGTTTGAGCCCATTATATTGTAAGAACTTTGGGGGCACCTCTTACAGTATCAGGCTTGTAGTAAATTATAACTAAGTAGCTAATGGCTAAATGAATTAATAGATATTATAATTCACCTTGCTTTAGCAAAAGAGATTATGGAGGAGCTATTCTAATATTTAGAACAAAATAATTATAATCATGTTTTCCTTGTCTAAACTTCCTTAGTTGCTGACTCAATGGCTTAATTGCTGATAGTCTATCAGTGATATAATATTACAGAAACTGAATACAGAAATTTTTTAATTCACTTGGATACAATTCTGAGAGGATAAAGTGAGGTGAGCCCATATCAGGATAGAAAACAATGTGGTAAAGATGATTGTCTCTTAATAATTCATGAGGTGAGATAAAAAATTTTAGGTAAAGAATGGAATAAGCTATGTAGTTGTATTTCTTTGATTAAAAAATTCACATATATTAAGCTGTCTTCTTTTAGCTACTTGAAAGGATGTCATGTAAGAAAAAAACTTGAAAAATGCATGGAAACTTGCCAATGATTTTGATCAAAGATTGTTGGCAGACTGAGGGAAGTGTGTGATAAAGTAAATGTTGCCAAATAACTTCTATGTTTATAGTAGATGGTTTTCTTAAACTTAATTGTGTAGTTCTGTGATGACACAAAAACAGAGGAACTCAAAAAGAGGAATCAGTGCCACTTTCAGGGGACAGAACCAGCAGTGGCTCCTATCACTCTTCAGAGCAGAACTTTCTGTGATGATGAGCATGTTCCATATCTGGGCTGTCCAGTATTAGCCACCAGTCATATATGGAGAATGGACTGAGAAACTAAATTTTAAACTTGCTTATTTTAATTAGTTTATGTTTAAATTAAGTGGCCACATGTAGTCCGTGGCTACTGTATTGGATGCTGCAAGTGTCCAGAGAGACACATTCATGGTTTCAGGCTTGAAGTTATCTAGTTTGGGTGAGAGACAAAGAATAAAAGAGGAATTTGAGGGGAATGAGGAAGTAGGGCTATCTATCAATATCCATCTATCCATTTGAGAAAGGAAGAGAGGGACTGGTTTTTGATGGGGGGAGAAAAGGGGAATGTGCTTTCTTACTCTTGGGTAAGTCCAGGACTACTTGTACAAAGTGTCAAAGACCTTCACTTGTTGCCTCTGCTGTTTTGTATTAGGCTCCAATATATACATTTATGCACATCTCTACTATTCTTATTATTACTTCGTATTAGTGAAACCCATGGATAGGATATTACTTGGTGAATTGGATATTTTGAATGCTAAGCTAAGGAACACACACACATACACATTCATACTAAATCCACATTTGTCCATCCTCATATGTGTCCTGCTGTTAATCCAGGAGGTATATACAGACTTGTTAACCACATCTGTGGTTTACCAATCTGCTGGGTTGCCTAGGGCTTAGGCTAGGATATAGGACCCAGACTTCCTCAGTTTGAATACTGGAGCCTCCCCTTATTGGGTGTGTAATTCTTGGATAGATACTTAACGCTTGCATCAGTTACCCCATGGTGCTACAGTGAAGATTAAGTGAACTTATATTTGTAAAGTGTATATAACAGTGTCTTACACTATTTATTGAACACATTAACCTTAAAATTTTTTAAGAGATTAGATGCTACCTTTATCTATGCCATTTCCTCATTCATCAGAACATATGCAAATACCTGTCACATGGTGGACATCAAAAACACCCATCAGGCCGGGTGCAGTGGCTCACACCTGTAATCCTAGCACTTTGGGAGGCTAAGGCGAGTGGATCATTTGAGTCCAGGAGTTCAAGACCAGCTTGGCAAACATTGTGAACCCTGTCTCTACTAAAAATACAAAACAATTAGCTGGGCATGGTGGTGCACACCTGTAACTCCACCTACTCGGTAGGCTGAGGTAGGAGAATCACTTGAACCCAGAAGGCGGAGGAGGTGATATCATGCCACTGCACTCCAGCCTGGGTGACAGAGCAAGATTCTGTCAAACAAACAAGCACCATCAAGTAACCAACCAGGTTGCTGGTGGTTTAGTAGGCTTTATGCCTGATAGCCTTCATCTCCAGGGCTCAAGATGGTTGCATAAGCCTTTTTGCTTTCCACCACTAGGCAAAGAGAGAGAAGAAATGGTGAGGTCTTTATTGAGATCAGTTTGACTTACGGCAAATAGAAAAAACATGTCTGACTTTGCCATTAAATACCTTCCAACTTAGCAATCCTGAGACAAACCTGTTTGCAAAATGTAACTAGGTACCCAGGTTAGGCTGGTGGAATGTTCATTATTCCGTTGCTAAGGATCTAAGCCTATTCATGGTGTCCTATTTTTAGAGTATACAAGAATGAATCAGAGACCTATGATTAATTATTAATGATTGTGAAATAACACTGTTGGATGACAGAAAGTTGAAAGTTTTAATAACAGCTGCTTTGAGACTTTTAACAAACACATAAAAGGAATTTTAAAGTTATGTTTTTTCTTTTTGGAATGTTGCTTGTTTTGAAATATGTTTTTCCCTAAATGTCTATGGTTTAGTCCTATCTTGAAAAGAAAAGAACCTGGCAATAAGAATCTTTGAAAAGATTAATTATATCTCTTCATTGGTGTGCAAACTAAATTCTTAAAATTTGTAAATGTCTGGCAGCCTGTCAGATTAATTTTTTTCAGTTTGGTTTTTAGTGTCTATAATTAGTTTATTGATCACTTACTATGCCCAGCCTCTGTTCTCTCTAAGTTAAGTAGATGAGAAAACTCAGGACTAGAAAGGTTCAATACTTGGTTAAGCTCACACAGGTAGTAAGGGATGGATTTGATCCCTAGAAGTCTGACTCAAGAGGCTATTCTCTTAACACTGAGTCATTTTCTGGTTCACATCATACATCATTAAGCAAGAACATTGAACGATTTCATTGTGCACTGTTTCATTCTTCCAAAACTTACTATAAACTCATTTGTTTAACAAACACTGAACACACACTATATTAATCACAAATCATTTTATTGAGTATATATTAGCTAATGATTTAAATATATCTTCTTATTTAACCCTTATAGCAAACTCATGAAATAGCTTAGTAGCTTAGAGAACTTAAATGACCTGCCAGTGTCTCACAGCAAGTGACTGTGGAGGCAGGAGTTGAAGGCAGGGATTCCAACTCCAGTCCTGATGCTCTCAACACATGACAAGCAAGGAACTGTGCACTCAGTGCTGTAGAGCATGGAAATAGCATAAATCGCATAACTTTTTTTCAAAGAACATGGGTTTTACTTTTGCTGTTAAGATATGTACACAAATAACTCTGACATGTATGGGAGGAGTTTAATACTCCTAGTGGTACCAATAACATGATATTGGTCAGAGAGAGGAATTACTTTGGACAAAACAGGAGAAACCTAATAGAAAAGGATATTTGAGCCTAAAAGAAAGTGACGTTTGGAAAAGGAGAGATTTAGGAGATAACATTCAGGTAGTGAAAACTACCAAGAGAAATTTGAAAGGGGAAAAAAAATCGCTTGAACCCGAGAGGCGGAAGTTGCAGTGAGCCAAGATCGTGCTGCTTCACTCCAGCCTGGGCGACAGAGCAAGACTCCGTCTCAAAAAAAAAAAAAAAAAAAAAAAGAAATCACTACAGTTGTGTCATGCATAAGCTGGTTTCCATTTTAAAAACACAGTTAATACAGGCATTTTCTTCCCAACGTTGACATTTGCATCAGTTTCCCCATGATCTGATGAGCATCTGGGGATTCTCAATATAGGCTTATTGAATGAATGAAGGAAATATTAGATATTGCTAATACAGGCAATGAAGATATGGTAAAGTTCCAGAAGAGAAAAACTATTTCCTGTTCTCTTAGAGCATGTGGAATATGGAAGAGAGGCAAGTAAAGCAAGTAAGTGAAGTGTACAGGCTTGTCTAATGGTGATAGTGTTACCATCTGACTCAAAGCGAGGGATGGGGATGGATGGAGAGTCAAGGGCAGGAGTAAGGCAGGTTGCTATTTCAAATAGGGTGATGAGAGAAGGTTTACCAAAGAGGTGACCCAAAGGACCTGAAGGAGGTGAAAGAGTGAGCTAGGCAGGTGGAAGAGCAAGTATAAAGACCACATTTTAATACATTTTGCTTTAAGAACTTCCTACTTGAAGGCGTGTACCAGATAAATTCTTTTACCCACTAGCCCTCAGCCCCCAGGATCCATTCTTCATCCTCCATCCTTCTCCACCCTTTTTTTCTGCCACAGGAAATGGGTTGTATGGACTACATCAACAGGGAACCTTGCATGTTGGCTTACAGTTAGGTTTAGCTGATGGGGGGCGCTGGCATGTAATCAGAGAGAGGGAAATGAGTGACGTCTGTGTATTTATTCTGTCTTCTGAATAATATAGGGCATAAGGAAATAATCATTAGTCCTGTTTTAGAGAGTAAAAATCTGAAGCAGTAAAAGGTTACGTCTCTTTTGTCATGTAAGGTAACACAGTCTCAGTTTCCAGGAATTAGGCTGTGGACATCTTTGAGGGGGCCATTGTTATGTTTGTCACTCTGAGACTGACTTTCTTCCTTCAGGTGCTTCTGAGCTGCTCTGTGTGTTACTCACTCTCAGCTGGGACGTTGCTGCCTTGGTTGAGGGCTTTAATTTCTGACCACAGAATTACTAATCCTGGTCTTTGTTTCAATATTTATTGATGAATAGGGCTTAGCTCTTTCTAATTCTGCATGATTTCATTCATTCATTCAATGATTAAACTGAGTCTTATCAATTTATTTTATTGAAAGTGGTGCTATTTTCAAAAAATTCTATAAAATATTAGTTGATTATCTTATACAAATATAAATTGTTACAAGTTGGAGGAATGAAATAATTTATTTCATTTTTAGTCATTATTTGCTATCCAATGATAGGGATATTATCATTATCATTATTATGATTGTGTGGGAAGAATTGCTTTTTCCTTAGAGCCTAATCTAAAAGCAGATTTCTTTCCTGTTAGGTAATACTGTGGGACTATCTGTATAATCACCATCAAACATCACTCCTTAGCAAGGAGTTGAGAGTATTGTGGTTTCACCATGTCATGTCCAATAGTCTAAAGGTGGAAATAGGATTTCCTCAATAAGGACAAAATGGCTCAGGGCCAAAATGAAAGCATCACTCAGCACTTTTTTTTTTTTTTTACTTTTATAGTCAATGCAAAGAAAAAAATGCTAAATTCTAGGACCATTACCCTATGGAAACCATCTCTACAATATAAAATGCCTATTCAATCAGAATCATTAAAAAAATATGGAATCAGAAACTAGAGGAAAAATGAGAGTTTCATAGACAATTCCCCTTCTAGTGCAAGTGAAAACCCTGGGGCCCAGAGGGGAAGTGACTTGCCTAAGGTCAAACAATTTATTAGAACCAAACTACGACTAAACTCAATTTAATTCTTCTGACTCTCAAAGAGGAAACATACTCAAAAGATGCATGGAGTGAATTAGGCAATATGCATTGAACATTCCTATAGAAATATGGCTGTGAGGTTTAAAACAATGATGTTGCAGAAGTAATTTCTTGTAGACTTCTTGTTTTGTTTTCTGTTTTCCTATCTTTGTGACTATTGCAAAATATTACATGTATTCTTATGCATGTGTAATACAAAAGGTGCTCTTCTGGCTGGGCGTGGTGGCTTATGCCTGTAATCCCAGCACTTTGGGAGACCGAGGCAGGCGGATCACGAGGTCAGGAGATCGAGACCATCTTGGCTAACATGGTGAAACCCTGTCTCTACTAAAAATACAAAAAATTAGCCGGGCGTGATGGCGGGCGCCTGTAGTCCCAGCTACTCGGGAGGCTGAGGCAGGAGAATGGTGTGAACCCGGGAGGCGGAGCTTGCAGTGAGCCGAGCTCATGCCACTGCACTCCAGCCTCGGCAAGAGAGCGAGACTCTGTCTCAAAAAAAATAAATAAAATAAAAAATAAAAATAAAAAAAGGTATTCTTCTAGGTTCTCTTATATATAACAAACAATAGAAATGTGGTGACTGTCTTTGAAGGCTTTGGGCAAAGCCATGGGAAATTCAATTCCAATATAAATTAATACATGAAATGAACCAAATGGGTGGTTCAGGACTTCTCTATGTATGAGGAGTCATCAGTGTAACTTATAAAAGAAATAAGAAAATAAGTGAATCTTGAAGATTGATGATATGTCATGACATACGTGTCATCAGCTCAGGGAAGTAAGGATGTATAAAGAAAAAAAAGTTTGCCTAAACAGGAACAGAAGATGAAGGAATTTAGATGACTCCAAACCTCAGCTAAGTCCACATATTCCATTTTGGCCTGTTTCTAACTCATTATTCAGTGCTTCTTCTTCAGTATCCTTCTCTGTAGTCACTGAAGATGTTTAAGTGGAGATATGACATTATTAAATTAATTCTTGATGATGTTTTATTTATCAAACTGTGCTGAATGTTGTGGATTTGATTTGATTTGGAAGAGAGTCCAGATGGAAGGTGAGCAGATAAGAGGTGAAGAAAATAGTCTAAACCCAAAATATTCAGGGCAGTGGGAATGAAGACATTGTAAAGAATCAATAGACGCCATCACACAGGAATGCTCTGGACTGCCAAGCACAGCATCTCTGAGACTCTGGTCATCTGTACCCCTTTTTTCCTCTGACTGCAATAGTAGACTCTTCCTACTCCAATCAAAGACTTATCTCTCCTATGTTCTGAATGTCATCCTTTCTCACTTGCTCAAGAATATTATTACACTTTGAATCTTTTCTCTAACCTCTATGCTGACTTTCTCCCTCATTGTGGACCCTTTAAATATTCTGAAATCTCTGCCATTTTAAAAACAAAAGTTAAGCTTTTTGAAAGAAGTATCTAGGCTTGCTGCTTACAGCTCTTCAGTTATATACAATCAAACATTTTGCATTTCATGATTTTTTTTACCTTTTTTTAATTATACTTTAGGTTCTGGGATACATGTGCAGAATGTGCAGGCTTGTTACATAGGTATACATGTGCCATGGTGGTTTGCTGCATCCATCAACCTGTCATCTGCATTAGGTATTACTTCTCCTAATGCTATCCCTCCCCTAACCCCCCCACCCCCTGACAGGCCCCAGTGTGTGATGTTCCCCTTCCTGTGTCCATGTGTTCTCACTGTTCAACTCCCACTTATGAGTGAGAACATGCAGTGTTTGGTTTTCTCTTCTTGTGTTAGTTTGCTGAGAATGATGGTTTTTTAAATAAATCAGAAAATTACTCTGTTCTGGTTTTTACTTTCACTTCCTCCACACAACTATGCCTGCTAAGGTCACCAATGCTGTCCAGATCAATAAGTCAGATGGTTCTATCCTGACTTGCCTGACCTTTGAATGGCTTTCAGTACAGTTTGCTACCCATTCTGTTTAGAAACTTTCTTCTTCTGACTTCTATAATACTATGTTCTCTTCATTTTCCTCATTCTTGAGTCCTAGTCATGCTTTTTTTCTTAATCAACCCTATTTTCCCCCAAATCCATCTTTATATAACCACTTTAGCTACCATCTCTTTAGCCATAGGTAACAAATTTGCATCTCCAGCCACATCACTGTGTTTCAGCTCTAGATATGCACATCCATTTGTTTAACCAATGAATATACAACATCTTATAGGACTTCACATGCAACATGCTCAAAACAACTGAGCTCATGATTTTTTTCCTCAAAGTTTCTTCCTCTCAACTATTTCAACCAACAAAACCACCACCTGCCTATTTTTTCATGTTAGAAACCTGGGCAATCACGGATCTTCCTCAACACTTTCCTTCTCTATTCCCCAATTTCCAATCAATCACAGAATGAAGCTGGGTTTGCTTCCTAAATATCTTAAAACTGGATCTTAAACTCATTTCTGCTGCTACCACCTTAGTCTAAAAAGACTTCCATTTCTCATTTGAGCTATTGCGATTGCTTCCTAATGCTTTGCTAACTAAACAGCCTCTCTTCCACCTACAATCCATGTTCTTCATGACAGCTGCACTGTTACCTTAAAAGACCATAACACCACCAGTAATTAAGATAACTTGGATATAATTTGATTTGTGACTAGTTGCTATTTCCCATCCTTTTCCCATTTCCAGATAGGAGTGAACTAAAGTTCTTATGCTTTGCTGGGAGATTGAGGGTAGGGGGGCAAAGAGGGGAAGGCAAGCCCCATTGAGGAAACTTCAGAAATTTCTGTCTTGGGAAATGGATGAGGAAGTTCTATTCCACCAGTGTTCTTCCAGTCCAATTTCCCTACATAGTACCAACAAAACAAGAGATCCCCAGTATTGCTACTATGATCTTGGAAATCCCAGCCACAGAGCCCAGAATCATCCCTACCAATCTACCAATATTTAACCTGGAATGAACAGTTGCCACTAGGTGGCGCCAGGCTGAAGCCAGCACGCAGACCCTGACTGGCAGGAATTTGGACAGCTCTTCTGGACTCCCATAACTCACAACCTGTTGTTCTTGTAGGCTCATCCAGGTCACTTAGTTAACCTCACCATAACCAAACACTACATTTAATGGTAGTGAAAAATTCTGGACTACACCTACTGTGTTCGGAAAGAATTTTACTGTATTTTATAAACTCAAATCAGAATGTGTCACTTCCCTGTTAAAACTCTTCCATGGCTTTCTTTGCTGTTAGGATAAAATCTCATCACTTGGACCCTAAGACATAATTTTAACCTTGAATACTTATGGAAACAGGCAGTTTGCATGAACGAATGATCCACCTGCTCATAAAACTATAGAATATGATGAGGCCTGTGGTATATGTATTTCCTGTTACAAGACATTCAAATTCAATTAAGAATGAAACAGAACAAATTATAAATATTTTAACAAGGGAAAGAAAAACTTTGTCTAGCACTCCACTCTGGCCAATTCTTTATGCTCCCTGCCCATATGGCAGTTTTATGATAATGTCAAGTTCCTTCTTACCTCAGCATTTTAGAACAGACCATTCCCTCTGCCTGGAATGCTTTCCTCTTCCTTTTTATTAGTTACCAATTTCTTGTCTTATAGACATTGGTCTAAAATCACTTCATCATGGAAGCCTATCCTTTTTGTACTCTTGCCCTGAATTAGATTCCATTTCGCTGTTATAGCACACTTACCCTCTTAGCCTTTGTTCAAAGTTATGATTACTTATGAAATATCTCTCTGTTCCTTTGCATTCATCCATCAAGTCACACATGCTGTAAATCTGTATTAAGCCTCTACTTTTCCAGGAACCTCCAATGTATTGTAAATTCATGGCAAGGTTCCCAGCATTGACTAGCTGGAAAGTGAATATGGAGGAAAGAGAAAAAAAGATTAGAAAATAACTTTTGAGTGGTAAGCCTGGAAAAATGATGAGACTATAGAGAATATAGGAAAATCAGGATGGAAGCAGGTTTCAGGACAGAAGGAAATATCTTTTTATTTTCAAATTGTGAGGAGACATTCAAAGTTTGTTGAATGTATAAGAGGCTGAGAAGCCATTTGCAAATTGTCTATAGAAGTGTGAGTATGAAGCTGTGAGACTACTTAGTGACTACAATCTCGAAGGCATGGAAAAGAATTTTTTAAAAAAGAAAGGATTGGCATATTTGAAGGGCAGTCTGGAAAAGTTAGCTCAAAAATGGAAATTTTCTTCTATATTTTGTATGAAATACAAGTTGGTTTTTTAAGCTTACTTTTAAAGGAAGTAGGTATATTTAGCTTCAGTAAACAAGGAAGGTTAGATGAAGTCCCTGATGTGCATCATTCCACTAGCAAGAGAATGGTGTAACACTTCTAAGGTGAAAAAAATGTAGCAAGGTTTAGTTCTTGGCTGAGCAATATTGTTCTGTAATTGTACAAGTTGGAGACTTAATTAGCCAATTAAATCCTGCTTCTCCATCCTTCCTCTTTCTAAATATACATTTTGAGCTCTCTTCTGATGTTGAAAAAACTCTCCTGTCTTTGAAACAAGTCCTGAAAATATTATTCAGTAGAAACCCATCTGCACAGTGATTGAGTCACAACAAATCCAGATTCCTGGAATCTGTGAGAAAGGCTTGTGCTCATCACGCCATCTCTCCCTTTTCATAGTTCTACGTTGAGGTCGTCCTGAGTTTGTTTTTAAGGTATTTTCTGCGCTGCTACACACTGTCATTTCACGTGAGGGCAGCAGAGAGGCAGCGTAGAAGCCCCTGAATAGCAAATCAGAAGAGCCCGAAGCTCAAATTTTGGGCGTAGTGTTTTCAGAACACCTCTTCAAAAATTAAATCACACGTTGTTTGTATCTCCTTAAACAATCCTAGTCTATTGATTTGCCTACTCTGTTCTTTTAAAAAAAGAATCAGACCTGTATCTAAAAATAGGTAAGAACATGTGAATACAGACTTTTGCAAGAGTTGTATCTGGTTTGCCCAGAATACGTTTTCTAATTTTTCTTCGGTCGTTACAATTTGACAACAGATTTGTTTAGTAATCACGTTATTATATTGTCCTATATACTTAAGAATTATTGTTTTGAGCGTAGTCCAAGCCCTGATGCCATTTTGAAACATACGGAAGCACATTTTGATTAAATGCAGTTTGAATAAAACACTGATGAAATAACAATAGCTTTTGTATCATATTTGTGAACGGTCTTTGGCTGTATCCTAGGTGGCAATAAAAAGGTAGTGAGTCAATTTGGATATTGTGAAAAAATTATTACTATTGAATTACAGCATAGAAAGTAACATATTCCCTAGGCTTCAGGCTCCCTGTCACTTAGCACTGCCTTTGTTCTCTCTGCCCAGAATGTTATTTTCCCTACCATCATCCCAGGCCACTTTCCAGCCACGCCCATCCTTTTGCAAGACTGACTTCTGTGGGTACTGCAGGTCTCAGGGTACAGGTGCCATCTCTGGGCAGCCTTCTCCACTGCTTCTCGATTTTCTTGGCCATTCTGTGCTTCTCCTGTTTACTCCTATGGTCCTCTGTAGGCTCCTATGGGAACTATGTCTTGTTCCTAATTTTGTCTCTAGTACTTAGTACTATGTGCTTAGTAGAAGCCCGTTAAAAAACAAACAATAAATACTTAGAATCTTTATCAAGATGGTGGGAGTGGGGAATAGGAGGAGCAGAGAACTATTCAAACTGTGAAAAAGAGGTTAAAAGAGGATTTGCCACCCTGCCTATTTTAGCGTAGGGGTAGGAGTTTAACATTTGAGGCAATAGCAAAGATGATGGACATCAGTGCTTCTCAGCAAACATTTGACAATCTCAGGTAAGACCAGATAGATCTTAGGTCTATAGCTAGTCAGCTAGTCAGTCATATGACTCAATACTGGTGACAGCTAGGGGCTTAAAGGAAATAAAAACACGTTTGTGAAAATGCTTTGTGTAGGGCTAAGCACAGAGAGGAGTGAGCATCGAATGTCTGCTGAAAAACAAAAGAAGCTTAGACTTTATCGTGATCTTAGCAAAATTCTTTTCCTATAGCTTTCTGGTCGTTAAGGTGACTCCCTCAAGGGCATCAGTCTGCACTGGAAATCATTGCAGTGTGGTAGAGAGAGGGAGAGGGAGCTCTTTATAGAGAGGACTCAGCTCGCCTTCGCCTTCTTAGCATCTTGTTGCTAGGCAATAGCTCCTCTGGTGGAAGCTCATCTCCATTTTTAAAGATGGAGTGAAGTCTTGCCGAGGGAAATGCAGTTTGTACAAACTGGGCCATGTGCAAACAGTATTTTGCTCTAGTCCTGAAAACTGCTTTTCCCTATAAGGGAGACAAATCAGTCCTACTTAAATCCTGTCACTTAACAACCAGATAATATAACTCCTCTCTTTCTCTCTCTTTTCTGTAAAGCATAGACTTCCTTTTTAATCTTATTGATTTATTTTTACCTTTCCAACTATATGTCTTTCCAAATTGATTTAATGAGATTCAGCAGGGCATTGCTTGTAATAGTATTTCCCTAGACTGCTGAATTAATTTCCATTTAAAAAATTACTTTGGATCTGCAGCTCTGTCCGGCACCTAGCGTATTGCTCTTACTGCATTTTACATAATGATAAAATATAATGAGTGGTCAGTAAGAAGGGCCAATATTTAATGAATATAGTTTTTTTTAAACAAAGTGTAGATAGGTCATACTGTTTGTATATATCTGAAAAACCTATACATAATTTGCTAGACTCTAAGCTTTCAAAAACCAATATAGAATAATTATCTTTCTCAGAACTGCAAAATGTCCTTTAGACACTAAGAGCTTTGTGTATTTAATCTTTTAACCTTTTAAATTGTTGGTCAATTTAGACAGCAAAATTGGCAATTCACTTTTATTTTCTCATCTTGTAATAATGTCACAGATTTTTGGAAGCTAGTGACTAAATTCATATAGCCATGTTGTATCAGTCTCTTTTTAATTCTGAAAGTCTTGAATGTATAAATAACTTGAGAAATGTACAGATACCTTACTATGGAGTTTAAAAATTCTGTTCTAATTATTATTGTATGATTTACATAGTAGATCCCTGAATTTATAACAATGTGTTTTTTTTTTTTTTCAAATTTAATTCTGGAGAAGGTCTGACACATGATTGCCACTTCTATTAGTCCATGTTGTGTTGCTGTAAAGGAATATCTGAGGCTGAGTAACTTATAAATCAAAGAGCTTTATTTTGGCTCATGGTTCTTCAGACTGTACAAGAAGCATGGCACCAGCATCTGCTTCTGATAAGGTCTCAGGAAGCTTCCAGTCATGGTGGAAGGCGAAGTGGAGCAGGCATGTCACATGGCAAGAGAGGGAGCAAGAGAGAGAGAAGAGGAGTGCCACACTTTTAAATGGCCAGCTCTTGTGTGAAGTAATAGAGGAGAACTCACTCATTAATGTGGGCAGGGCACCACACCATTTATGAGGGTTCCACCCCCAGGATCGAAACACCTCCCACTAGGCCTCACCTCCAACATTGGAGATTACATTTCAACATGAGATTTAGAGGGGACAAATATCCAAAATAGGCCAGGTGCAGTGGCTCACGCCTATAGTCCCAGCAGTTTGGGAGACTGAGGTGAAAATATCACTTGAGCCCAGGAGGATCACGTAGTGAGCCAAGATCATGCCACTGCACTCCAGCCTGGGCGACAGAGCGAGACTCTGTCGCCAAAAAAAAAAAAAAAAAAAAAAAAAAAAATTAACCAGGTGTGGTGGCGGGTGCCTGTAGTCCCAGTTACATGGGAGGCCCAGGCAGGAGAATGGCGTGAACCTGGGAGGCGGAGCTTGTAGTGAACTGAGATCTCGCCACTGCACTCCAGCCTGGGCAACAGAGGGAGACTCCATCTCAAAAAAAAAAAAAAAAAAAAAGAAGTCCACAAACTTTGGATCTTGAGTGGGTTTAATGAGGTTGAAAGAATTTCCTGACACACTTAAGTTTTAACCTTCCTTCCTTCCCTTCCTGCCCTCCCTCCCTCCCTCCCTCCCTCCTTTCTTTCTTTCTCTCTCTCTCTCTTTCTTTCTCTCTCTCTCGTTCTTTCTTCTGTCATTCAACTTACATTTGTGGATTTCCATCTCTATTAGTTAGCCCATTTTGATAGTGATAGAATTCTAACTTGAACCAGCTTAAGCAAAAAAGGAATTGTTCATGGTAGAGCTGAACACCCCAAACCAGGGTCTGGAAAGCCAGCAGCACACTTTGTCTTACACTCTCATTTGTACTTCTCTCATTATGCTTCATCCTCTTAAACTATCTTTATCTCTGTGTCCGTACCCAGAACTTCTAGCAGCTTCCTGGATCATATCTTCCTAGTTAAAAAGAAAGGAAGGACTTCTAATTTACCAATATTTATATTACAGAAAAGGACCCAGAAGGTAATCTTGAGTCACATACCTACTGAAATACTAAATCCTGTGGCCATGAAAGCAGAGAAAGGAAAGAAATGGCAGTTTCACATGTTCAAAAGGGAAGAGCAGTGGAACAAGAATGGCAGTGGTATTGACTGCAAGGAGTACTAAGCAGATAAAACTAAAAATAACTGCTACCTCATCATTTGCAAAGTACTTTAAGAAAAATGACAAGTTAGATGTAGTCCCTGTCCATAAAGGAACACACTTTCTGAAAAGGACAACAGATTTATAAATGAGTACCTTTAATACAATGTTACTCATGCAATAATAAAAGTTGCACATGATTCTCTGGGATCTTAGGGAAGGGCAAACCATCTTTGTTAGGAAAATGATGAATTAGTCAGTGTTCCCTGTGTATGTGTGTGTATCACATATATATAATATATATGTATATTTTAACATATATATGTGTATTCATATATATTTCATATATATATAAGGGGAGTTTATTAGGAAGAATTGGCTCACATGATTGTAAAGCAGAGTAACCTCAATAGGCCCTCTGAAAGCTGGGGAAAGAGAGAAGCTGGTAGAGTGGCTCAATCCAAGTCTAAAAGCCTCAAAACCAGGGAAGCTGTCAGTGTAGCCCTCAGTCTGAGGTTGAAGACCCTTGAGCCCCTGGAAGGTTGCTGGTGCAAGCCCCAGAGTCCAAAGGCCCTAAAACATGTAGTCTGATATCCAAGGGCAGCAGGAGAGGAAGCCAAGAGTTCTGCCCAGCTGCCCAGCATGGGAAGAGAGAGGGAGCAGACTCAGCAAGCAAGCTACGTATCCCCCTTCTTCCACGTGTTTTGTTCTAGCTGTACTGGCAGCCAACTGGATGGTGCCCATCCACATTGAGGGTGGGTCTTTCTGTTCCAGCCCACTGACTCAAATGATAATCTCCTCTGTCAACACCCTTGCAGACACACCCAGAAACAATGCTTCATCAACCAGCTAGGCATTCCTTGATCTAGTCAAGTTGACACCTAATATGACCCATCACACACGGAGATGAGAAGTGACAGGAATGTATATAATGGGATATGGGGATGGTGTTGTCAATAACGTGTTTGCTTTGATAGTTATGTTTACAATGAATCTTCAATAATATGTAGGATTATGCGAGGTCAACAAATGAAGCAGTTCATTTTGGCAAATGGGACGGCAAAGACAAAAATAACGTGGTTTATGAAATGTTAGAGGTTTAACATAGGTCAAGTGAACGGTAAATGCTGGGACTTGCCAGGAGACAGCTGCAAAGATAACCAGGAGCCATATCATGAGGGCTCTTTGGCCATGATAAAGAGTTTCAAGGAGTCTTGGGAGATTTTAAGTTGTATGTAAAAAATCTGGCTGAGCATTTGTGTTGGTAAGTAAACATTATTGTGGAGTAATATTTAAAATGAAAATGGGAAATGCATGGGATTCTCTGGCGTTACTTGCATTTTATACCTGCCTGGGGAATCACCTGAAAGTAGTAACCCCAAGATCTAAACGCTCTAAGAATTAATGGCTTAAAGTAGTGCTTTCAATCTTTTCCAGATGCTGTGCACATAACAAATAATATTTACACAGCAAGCAGAGACTGCCTGAGGAGGATATTTGTTGCCAGATGTGCCCAGCACAGGAGTCCTGGCCACTCTAGGTCTCATCTATTTGCCATGAGGGCTGAAGAATATATCCTGTCTCCTCAGGCTATAACCATTTGCTGCACACTAGTTGAGAAATTGTAGTTTAGAGAACTGAATTAGAGTGGGGACATGATATGTCTTTCCACAGAATAGGAATCACTTGTTTTGACAGGTAGTACCAACAATGCTAACGTTTTTAATGGCAGTGAATGACCCCTAAAAGATCTTTCAAGATTTCACATTATGTTCCTCTCAAAAACTAGAGAATTTTTATTTAAAAAAATACTTCTTCCACTGGAATGAAATGTGTTTTAAAATGTATGTCTTATTGTTACTCAAGTGTGGTGAGGCCAACACATCAGAAGACAATTGACATTGAAAAGATAGTTTGTTACGCACAGTTCCAGAGAGGGGGCATATGCTATGTAGGACCATGCAGGGAAGCACCAGGGTTGGTCAGGAGGCAGAGGGAATGAGGGAAAAATGAAAGCAAGAGCCATTATTGTAGTTTCTGTAGGAAGGAACAGGTAGGGCAGGGTAAGCAGGTTCAGGATTGGCTAGTTTGAATAACTTCAATGGGCTCTGAAGTGCAGAGGCTGTCTCTAGTTGTCTATTGCCTAGCCCTGGGATGATCAAGACAGGGGGTAGTGGCCCAGACAGTGAGAGACCAATAATGAGGTGGCTGGGGTGTGAACTCTGGATTGGTTGCATATGAAAGGCATGTCCCGGCTGGGTGCGGTGGCTCACCCGTGTAATCCCAGCACTTTGAGAGGCCGAGGCGGGCAGATTACCTGAGGTCAGGAGTTCAAGACCAGCCTGACCAACATGGAGAAACCCCGTCTCTACTAAAAATACAAAACTAGCCAGGCATGGTGGCGCATGCCTGTAATCCCAGTCTACTCAGGAGGCTGAGGGAGGAAAATCTCTTGAACCCAGGAGGCAGAGGTTGTGGTGAGCCAAGATCACACCATTACACTGCACTCCAGCCTGGGGAACAAGAGCAAAACTCCATCTCAAAAAAAAAAAAAAAAAAAAAAAGAAAAGCATGTCCCTGGCAAGTTGTTTGCCATCTCCAGGCACAGTCTCTTCCAGTGTCAGCAAGGCTTCACAATGTGAAAGCATCATAAATACAGAAAACAAAAAGCCATGATTAATGTAAAAAGTAATACTCTTTTACTATATTCAACATTATAACATATAAATTACTGAATTTTCCAAGTGGAATGAAGGAAAAAACTGAGAACTCAGTCATATTTTAGATGACAGACGTTGGAAAGAAAGTATGAATAAAACCTTAATAAAAATGTGTTTATAAAGTAATGATAAAAACTCTACAAACCATAAAAATCTTCTTTTTTATTGTTTAATGGTGAAAATAGTCCTGATTTGCTGATAAAATGAGCCACTAAAACAGAAAACATTGCATGGAATTAGTGTTTGAAACCTTGATATGCTATCCATTGTCTTATGGTAGAAACAATACTTATTCTGAGAAATATTGAAATACATAATTCAAAATAGTGACAGATAATTCTAAAACACTTTGGACATACTTTATGATTTTGATGGTCTTTTTTTCTAATATGTTTTGCTTAGGTAAGTTTTAAAATTAACTTTTATTTCCTGAGTACCCAACAGCTGGGTAGCAGAGGTAAATAAGTAAAAAGCATATTGGGTAAAAGGGGGAAGCTTGTCTGAAACTTACAAATGAACAGGAGTTTTTCATTTCATCTCCATACCAATTATTACTTCACCATATGAAGAACTTTAAAACATTGCAAAAAAATTGGAAAATGTAAAATTTTCTGCAGATCCATCAATATACATATAAAGTAAGTTAATAATACAAAGGTATTATTGTAATGGGAATTATGTTTACATATATAGTCTTACCTTTTCTAATTCTTCGTTTAACTATGTCCCGTAATTAACTTCTGCAATGATTTTATTTTTCATTTTGTGATTATTTTTTATTCCTCAGATTTTCTAAATAGTACACACATGCCACATATCAACTAGAGATGTAGTCAGAGAAATGCTGCGAACAAATAGTTCTTTGAACTAAACCCAGACATTTGCATTGAATATGCTGCTTAAAATTCATTTATTCAGTCTCCTAGGCTGTTTAGTGTTGTAGTATGCATATAAAAATTTTCAGTTTTCTAAAGTGTAGCTAGAAAAATTCTGGATTTATAATGCTCATAATATTTTTACTGGCAACAGATATGCACCACTAAGTGTATTACAAAAACTGTTTGAATTTTCATTTCATTTATTTGTTAGAAAGATATAGCCCTTCTGACCACAATTAATTTATGTGCCTTTCTCCAAGTTCTTTTAAAAAAATGTACCTTTATACCAATCAATTTAATTTATGGAAAAGATAATTAATCCATTATCATAGACACAATTTATGTTATGTTCTTAGTTGAAGTACTGGGAACTCAATTAATAGAAACTTCGTGTTCGTGAAATGGAAAGTTGGAGAAAATGTTGTCCGGTCTCACCAGGGAGAGAATCATCTAAGAATGGTATTAAGAATTTAGGATCTTTTAGACATATATCATGATATTCATGATATTCAAAGTTAGATGTTTGAATGTGATTCCCAAGAAGGTGAGATTTTATCAGATGATCATAAGAATGGCAGTGTTGTAGATGCAGTTGACTTAGAAAAAGGCACAATATTTTAGAAGTACCATTTAGGCTGAATTGTAGAGAATGTCAAGGAAATTACAGGCGTTCATAGCACAATACCTCCAATTATGATGAATTTTTAAATTGAATTTGTTTCAAATCTGAATGTATAATATTGTTAATGCAAATGTTTTATTTGTAATGACAGAGATGGAAATGTCATGTTAGATCATCTCCTGCCAATGCAAAACAGACTCCTGAAGTCTGCTTATAATGACTTTGTTCATACTGGTTTAACATTGCTGCATCAAATGGAATAGTATTAAGAAAAGTCTATTTTAATGTAGAAGTTACTTTGATTTGACTGTCCTATTAAAAATACCAGTAGAGTCAAATGTCATTATTATGATTTTCAGATAACCCAATTACGTATGAGGAGACTCAGTAGAGGTGTCAAAACCAAAAGCAATCCTGTTATGTCTGATAAACTGTCTGTATAACACTCAAAGTGCTTTATGAATCTTTGATGCTATTTAGGTTGATATGTAAATTATCTAGCCCAGCATGTACAGAGTCACTGTGCAGCAACACCAAAGATCAAAAGCAATGTCAGCTCTTAGTCTATTCAACTTCAAAGACTAATAAAAAATGAAGAAAGTTAAGTGAAAAGTATTTTATATTTAATACAAGAAATCCTTTAAAAATATAAGGCATACAATCCTGGTTCAACTGAAGACATTCTAGTGGGTTTACAATGTCTCTAGCTAGTTTACACTGCAGCCCCTCATGACTTCTCAGTACCCATGAAGATACAGATCAAGAGGAATTCTGACAGTGCAGTTGCAATATGAAACTGACATTTAACCCATTGCCAAAATCTGGGAGGAATTTTCAGTAACTGCAAGAACTATGAAAAGGGATTTTAAAGTGCAGGAAATAGACTCCTAATCTTATGCTGTTTTATTTTGATTTTGTCTACTTCAAAGGAGTAGAAAAATGATTTTTTTTTCTCCTTCAGATCTCCTTGTCACCCTTTCCCACCAGACACACACAGTTCAGAGAGATTGAGCCAAAACAACAACAACAAAAACCCGGAGGCAAGACTAAATTATGATTTTGGTGTCTCTTCCTCAATGACCCAGCCTTGATCCCCCTATTTCACCATCCACACCTGCTTCCCAGCCCACATACCCACTGTAAAGGAGGTTGAAGGGTTATTAGGCAGAAGAAGGGTGGTGGTGTATATACTGGCAGTAGCATGGGAAAATGTGGTCAGCACAAGTCAAGTGCCATGGAAGAGATGCCTAGAGTCATGGCATCAGTTCTTTCTGTGACTTGTGTTCCTGACTGCACTGTGAAGACTATTAGAGAGCCAGTGAGTGGGAGGCAATAGAAGTCTCACTTCAGAAGAAAGGAAGCTCACTAGATTGAAAAGATGCTAGCATTGACAGTGGGGTGAAAAATGTGTTTATTTTATTTATTTAGTTATTGAGACGGAGTCTCGCTCTGTTGCCCAGGCTGGAGTGCAGAGGCGCGATCTCGGCTCACTGCAAGCTCCGCCTCCTGGGTTCACGCCATTCTCCTGCCTCAGCCTCCCAAGTAGCTGGGACCACAGGCGCCTGCCACCACGCCCAGCTAATTTCTTGTATTTTTAGTAGAGACGGGGTTTCACCGTGTTAGCCAGGATGGTCTCGATCTTCTGACCTCGTGATCTGCCCGCCTTGGCCTCCCAAAGTGCTGGGATTACAGGTGTGAGCCACCGCACCTGGCTGCGAAAAATGTGTTTATTTACTTGTGATAACATTGTAGATCATAGAGGAAGATAGTATCAGGACAAGGTGTCTGTTAGTCTGTTCTCACTCTGCTATGAAGAAATACCTGGGACTGGGTAATTTATAAGAAAAGAAGTTTAATTGACTCACAGATCCACATGGCTAGGGAGGCCTAGGAAACTTACAATCATGGCAGAAGGCACCTCCTCACAGGGCGGCAGGAGAGAAATGAGTGCAGAGCGAAGGGGGAAGCCTCTTATAAAACCATCAGATCTCGTGAGAACTCACTATCATGAGAACAGCATGGGAGAAACTGCTCCTATAATTCAATTATCTCCACCTGGTCCCATCCTTGATACGTGGGGATTATTACAATGCAAGGCGAGATTTGGGAGGGAACACAGAGCCAAGCCATATTAAGGTGGGAAAAGTTTAATTTAGTCTTTGCTATCACTAAATGTTTACTATAATAAATGTTGAGAATCTGGATAGAGATGACTTACTCAATGTTGAGGATCTGAAAAGAAAAAAAATTCACGATGGATACTATAAGAAATTACCTGGGAAAGAAAGACCTGGGCTCAAAAAGTAGTCCTAAGAATTAAATTTTAGAAAAATGATTAACATCCCTCGTATGATGCCAATGACATTTTTGTTAGGAGCTGAGATGAAAGGATAAGATAAAAAGTGAGATTTCTGAAGTAAAAAGTAATTAAAAAGAGCTAAAAATTCAATATCTAGATTAAAATTCACGTTGAGGACAGTAAAAGACAGATTTGACACTGCAGAAAATTGAACTGGTAATGTGAACAATGATTAGTTCTCTCAGAATGTAGAGAAAAAAGCACAATAATAAAAAAGATGTGGAGGAAGATCATAGATACGAGATGCCAAAAATGGAAAGCCAATCTCAAAATTACACATGCTCTGAGGAACATACTAGAATGATTGAATCAGAAGCACCAAAGATACAATTGATGAAAAATTTCCTGGATTTACAATGCTGGTTGAAAGAGTTTGCTGTGTTCCAGGCAAAAAATAGTACTGAAAAACCTATAGCTAGGGACATCTTGGCAATTAAAAAAAAATTCCTATAGAGTAGCATTATATTTCAAAAGCATTGAAGTCATTAAAGCAGCTTATTTGTAACAGAAAAAAAATTATGATGATACTTGATGAATCCCCTGCTATACATGCAGGAAGGTAATGAAACCATCAACTTATACTAATTTTCTATAAAATATGGAGGGAGAAAGATTGTAGCCCAAGGATCTTACATAAAACCAAGGTATTCTATCATGAATAAAGGTAGCAAATATCAGAAAATATATCATCCATATATTTTGAGATGTAACATGAAAATGTATATCAGCAAACCAAAAGACAAATCAAAATTAAGACTTCAAAAATGACAGTGGAATATAAAAAAGTATTTAGACATCTCCCTTTATCTTTTGTGAAATCCAAATTCAGTAATTCCGTGAAATTTGCAGCATTCATCAACATCTAGTTCAAAAGGGCTTTCTTAGCAACACAGGTTCTGAAGTTAGACTGTCTTGGTTAAATCTGGGTGCTGAAAATTTGTTTCCAAGGGAAAGACACTTAACCTATCTATGCATTAGTTTCTTTATATGTAAAATGGGCATAACATTAGTATCTGTTTTGAGGAATCATAAAAATTAAATAAGTCAAGGCACATTGATGTTAGCTATTCTTATTTCCAGATTTTAAAATAACACTCATATTATTATATATTTCTATGTGTGTAAATTAGAGAAATGAATTTGCAAAACAACTAATCTTCTTGTTGATTCTGATGGAAAGAATATAGTATACTGTTTAAGGAACAACCAGACACAGCATGAATCCCTTCTCTGTCACTTTTTTATAGTGTGTATTTGGATAAGTTACTGAATATCTGTGAACCTCAACTGTTTTCATTTGTGAAATGGGGGAAAATATTTAATGTACAGATAGAGTGACCAACAGGTCCTGGTTTGTTCTGGACATTTTCAGTTTTTACACTGAAACTCCTGTGTTCTCAGTCCCAGACAAACTGGGACCATTGGTCACTCTCTTATAGGATTGTTAAAAATCTCAAAAGTGCTTAGCATATGACCTGAAAACATAAATGTTCAAGAAATGTTATGTTATTTATTTTTCGAAGGAACAAGTTTTCAAAATCCAGTATTTTTCTTAAACTTACAGCACATATCAGTTTAGACTAGCCACATTACAAGTACTCAATGGCCACACATGGCCAGTGGGTACCATGTTGGACAGCACAGTTCTAGACAGATGCTGGAATAAGTTGAAGAAGAGAAGGGTATTGCCACAAAATTGTTATTTTCTGTTTTCTAAGAAGATGATGATTATTTTTTCTCTCTTATTTCATACTCGCTCACAATTTCCAAATTTATAAATTCTTTTGTCAAGTAAAATATTGCAGTTAGGCGATGAAATAAAGAGCTGTTACTTTATCTCATATTTGGAATTATCTACATTAATAAAAACTTATATGTATGTAAAGTTTTATTCAACCATTTTCCTCAGGGAAATCAGGACAAAATGCATAGTGGTAGGAAAGCCTATGGCTTATGCCGTTTTATTGCTCACTTATTTTTAAATGGTTGAAACTTAGCCTATATTCACATTCTCCTGTGCTAGAGAGCTACTTTGAATTTCTGATCACTCTTTGTTTTGTCTGAAAAGAATGTTTGCCCAAGATATTATTAAACACAATATGAAATACAAAACTTTGGTAGTTAAAGTTTAATGCTTCCAAATATCTCTATCAGTTGCTGACACCCTAGAATATTATGAGTAGGTCATAGAGATACTTGCTTTGTGATCTTAATGGATATCAGTGACTTGTAAAACTTTTTCTAAGCCGTTACGAAATATTAGACACTCTGCCTTTGGTTTATGGGCTCCACATAGATTATATAGTCAATAATAACAAAATTAAATAATGCAGGCAATTGGGTCTTGTCTTCCTCTAGTACTGAGTCCTGATTAGAAAACAAAAAGAAGATAGCCTTTTTCTTTTTTTCTTTCTTAATATCCCATAGCCTCCAATTATGCCCACTGAATGAAACCAGGAGAGCTAGTTCAAACTAGATTTAGTTTTTCCTACATAGTATTTCTGGACATGTTCAGTGAAAATCATTGTTATATGATGATCCAAAAAAAGTCTATTCTCTGATTATTTTTGATTGTTTTAACTAAAAGTAAAAGGAGGCAGACCATCTGGCAAAGGGTGGCAAGTTATATCACAAATGCCAACCATAATTGATTATTAGCAGCTGTAAGAAGGCTCTGCTAAGGAGAACTGTGAGGTCTGGTGCAATTCTCTGTGAAAAATCATCTAAAGATATCTGCAAGGGCTGTGGGAAGTGGAGGCACATATGCACATCCCAACCTCTCATTAACAGTAAACTTCACAAAGATGAAACAGAAATCATTATTTCAGCAGACTGTCTGGAGCAGTAAGCAGCATTGAGAAAAACGGGGTCAGTCAGTTGCTAAGCCTAAAGGAAATGTTGCCTTTGGAATTCTCCAAAAAGATGTAGAATTCTGGCCCATAGGCTCACAGGTGCCAACCTTAAGGAAGCAGCTTGCTTGAGCATACTGTAGGTGCCAGTGTATCTGTTTTTATTATAACCAGTGGACACTAGCAGAGTGTGGAATGATGATGACAAAGAAGACCAATGTTAAAAAGTGGAAATCTCATAAAATATCTGATACGGTTAGGCTTTGTGTCCCCACCCAAATCTCATCTTGAATTGTAATCCCCAGGTGATGTAGGAAAGACCTGGTGGGAGGTGATTGGATTATGGGGGCGGTTTCCCACACGCTGTTCTCATGATAGTGAGAGAATTCTCATGAGATCTGATGGTTTTATAAATGGTAGTTTCTCCTACGTTTGCACACACACACTTTCTCTCTCTCTCTCTTGCCTGCCGCCGCATAAGATGGACATGCTTGCTTCCCCTTCTGCCATGATTGTAAGTTTCCTGAGGCCTCCCCAGCCATGTGGAACTGTGAGTCAATTAAACCTCTTTCCTTTATAAATTACCCAGTCTCAGGAAGTTTTTTATAGCAGTGTGAGAATGGACTAATACAATATCATAGTTACATCAAAGACAGTATCAAAATATTCTAAAGTCAGTTTTATCAACATTTCAGTGGGAGAAGGTTATATTTGGATCTTCTTATAAAAAGATAATATTTGAAATGCATAATTATAGACTATAAGAAATATAAGTGATTTTGCTAGTTTAACCCCATCATTTAACAAATAGACAAACAATCCAAGGAAGACGGCTGAAATTCAATGTCTAAGAGTTTCATGTGGATCAGAACAGTGTCCAGAGGTAAGGCCTCTCAGTTCTAACAGGGATCAGAATCTGAACATCAGAGGCCTTCTGGACCCAGTAGAGGCTATTTATTTCATTTTACTTCCTATGGGTAGAACTTTCCTAAAACTATTTTGGGCAGGTAGCTTTTCATCATCTTTAAAAAGCTCTGTAACTTTCTGTTGCTTCTATTAAATAAATGTAAAAGGAGAATAATTGTATTCTTTATCTTTTGCTGTTCTTCCACTTAACTCCTTTCCTGGAACCTCCTTTTTTGGGAGGAAATCCATTAACATATTTCATATATTACCTTTTTTTTGATATACAAAGAATTTATACAGTCATATTTTTGGTAAGAAAAATCCATAACTAATAAAAGTTTCCTATTTGTCAGACATAATTTAGCCCTCTCTCTCTCTCTTTTTTCTTTTTCTTTCTTTTTTTTTTTTTTTTGAGACGGAGTCTCGCTCTGTCACCCAGGCTGGAGTGCAGTGGTACGATCTCGGCTCACTGCAAGCTCCGCCTCCCAGGTTCATGCCATTCTCCTGCCTCAGCCTCCGGAGTAGCTGGGACTACAGGCACCCACCACAACGCCTGGCTAATTTTTTGTATTTTTAGTAGAGACGGGGTTTCACCGTGTGTTAGCCAGGTTGGTCTCGATCTCCTGACCTCATGATCCACCTGCCTTGGCCTCCCAAAGTACTGGGATTACAGGCGTGAGCCACTGCGCCCGGCCTAGCCCTCTCTTTATTCTATTGCATCTTAAAGTCTAGTGGCTGGATGACTCAGTGGAAAAAAAAACAAACATTAATCATAATTGTATGTAAAACTTAAACAATTTTGGGAAAAACAAACATTAATCATGATTATATGTAAAACTTAATCAATTTTGGGAGCACTTTCAAATGTTTTGATTTTAGCCAAGAGTTTATATATTTTTTTCATTCACTAAACATTTTTGAAAACCTACAATATGAACTAGGCACAGTTAAGAATTGAGCATGGAATGCTTACAAAATGCTCCTAATTTGGTTGGTATAAATATATAAATACAGCTAAAAATGATATATTTTATATAAATAACATGGACAATGAGCCATTTGAGTACAGACAATGTAGTTCAGGAAGACCTCATGGATGAGGTGAATTTTGAGGTCTGTAGAGAATTCCCAAGGAGGACAAGACATAACAGTGAAGGGGCACAGGCAAAAGCAAGGAGACATGATGCAGTGTGTCATTTTTCAGGAAAATAATAGCCTGGTATCACTGAAGTACAGTGTGTAAGGGACAGGGTGTCAGAGAATGGTCCTAGAAAAGTATATTGTGTGCTAGGACTGTACCCTTAAGACATGGATAGTCATCACAATTTTTTAAACAAGGAAGTAGTATAGTGAGATCTTTATTTACAAAGATAATACTAGTGGCAACATGGAGGATAGTTTGGAGAGGAAAGAGCTCACAGATAGCAGGGAACTGGAGTTGAAAGATTTAAGGAACAAGGCATTGTTCAGGGTCCCATGATCCCTTATATTTGCTTCACTTTTTTTTTTTTCTTTTCCTACTGGTTCTCTTTACCTATACATTATCCCAATTCCTTAACAGAGCTTACAGAGCAGATCTGCCACCTGCCTGCCAATTGAGCGGGAACCAGCCTCACTCTTTCCAATCACCCCCAAGCTCCAGCATGCTGTTTCTCCTTCCATTACACCTACGTTGCAAACTCCTCTCTGCCTCAGGGAGGCAGGGTCTCCTGTTTGAACTGGGTCTCCTGTCTGAACTGTTTATTTCCTCCCCTTTTGCATGGCCAACTATTTATTAAGTTGCAGGTTAGTGTTACTTCCTTGAGGGATTCCTTCTCTATATTTTCTTTCCTCAAAACACTCATGCATGCACAAGCATATACTATCGCCAGTCTTTTCATGTTCCTTCACAGTCCTCCTTTGCTATGAGGTGATTAAAAAAAAGAAAAAAAAAAAAAGCCTAGCCTAGACTTTTGAAATAGATACTCATGCGATTGTTTGCTTGTTGCCACTCTCCCTCACCAGAAAAGATTTGGATTGTGCTTGTGTTGCTTATTGCTTTATGTGCTCAGTAAATATTTTTGAATAAATGAACGTACCTAGCAGTGTAATAGCTACACAGCATTATTGCCCAGCACCAACTAGCTGCAGTTGTTACATCTGTGAGATGGAGAAGAGAGAGAGGGAGAGAGAAGAGAAAAGTTCTAATTGGTTTGGTCACCATTTGGTCATCATATTTTTTTATTTGAGGCTAAAGGTGTCAGGAATATTGGGTGTGATGATCATTCAGCAAGAACTGTGGACATTGACAGATTTAGTGACACTGGGCGTGGACGTGACAGATTCCTCAAAGTAGACTTAACATGTTAATAACCAGATAAGCAGAGATAAGAAATTCATAGATAGATCTGCAGAGGGCATTTAAGAATGAAAAGCAAACAATAGCAAGGGAGAAGGACTGACCAGGAACAAATATAGGCCCCAAATTGTTTGGAGTATACTCACTGTGTCCTTGTGAGTCAACATTATAATGCTGCCATTTGAAATTTCAGTGACTAGACTATGTTAATAAGAAGATATTATGTAACCATTTCTAATAGTCATCATTCACCATAATATATATCTTCTAGGCTTCTTTATCTTCAAATGGTGGAAGAGATAATGATTGATGTAACAGTGAATAACAGAAATTAATACTTTGAAAAGTAAATGTAACAGAATAACCCAGAGAGTCCAAAGAGAAGAATATTGAGGAAAGATGTGATCCCTCTTTGATTTAGAAATAGTTAGTATACACGGAATATTAATAAAAAAGTTTTTGTCACTACCATGAAACAAGAGGAAGCAGGGTTAAATTGTTACAATTATCAACAAGATTATAAGCATGCAGGTAAGGACGTTTGTTGTGCGTTCACCAATACTGTCCCAATGCCCGACACAGGGCTTGGCAATAGGTACTGTTCAATTAATGTAAGCTGAATAAATGAATGAAAGTGTTGGTTATTTAGTCCCCATATGCATGTACTTCTATAGAAATAATATCAAACAAAATAGATGATATTTGAGTGTTTGTAATGTGAGGCACTCTTCTAAGACATTCTTATGTAAAACTCATTGAATATAGGCCGGGCACAGTGGCTCACACCTGTAATCCCAGCACTTTGGTTTGGGAGGCCGAGATGGGCGGATCACCTGAGGTTAGGAGTTTGAGACCAGCCTAGCTTACGTGGAGAAACCCCGTCTCCACTAAAACAAACAAACAAACAAACAAACAAACAAACAAATTAGCCAGGCGTGGTGGTGCGTGCCTGTATTCCCAGCCAGGCGTGGTGGTGCGTGCCTCCTCGGGAGGCTGAGGCAAGAGAATCACTTGAATCTGGGAGGCAGAGGTTGCAGTGAGCCAAGATCATGCCACTGCACTCCAGCCAGGATGACAGAGTGAGACTCTGTCTCAGAAAAAAACAAAACAAAACAAAAAACTAATTGAATATTTACAACACATTTGAAAATGTCGATTCTATTACTATCCAAGTATAGTGAGGCCAATAGACCAGGAAATGACTGCCACTAACAAGTTAGTGTTTTACTCCCAGTTCCAAGAGGAGGGCGAATATGCTAGGTACACTATTCAAGGATGCAGGGGAAAGCACCAAGGTCAGTCAGGAGGAAGAAGAGACAAAAGGAACAGCTTTTATTATGGTCTTCATGGGAAGAAATGGGCAAGGTGGGGTAAGCCAGCTGAGCATGTTTAGGATTAGATAGTTTGAATAATTTCCTTGGGCTCTGGCCTATAGTGGTAGTCCCTAGTTGTTTGGTACCTGGCCCTAGGTGACTTAGGGCAAGGGAAGAGTGTCCAGGACTGCAGGAGCCTGATAAAAGGAAGTGGGTGGGGGTATGGACTCAGATTAGTTGGTTTGCACATCAAGGATGTACTCACAGGCAGGTTGTTTGCCATCCCTAAGAATTAGCCAAGTCTGGGAGAGGCAGTCCCTTCTCAGGTATACAAGGCTGAGGATATCAAAGCATCATCAAGTACAGAAAAATTTAAAAACATGATTAATACCCACCCTATTTAAAAACATGATTAATACCCACCCTCATGAGCTAGGAATTATTATTATTCAAACTTTCAGATGAGCATGGAGTCAGAGAAAGGCTCCATAACTTTCCCAAAATAACAGAAGTAGTAAGTGGTCAAGCTGGTATTCAAACCAGATAATATGGCTTCAAGACTCAGTTCTTAACTGTCATATTATACTTTACATATACGTAGTAAGAGACTACCAAATAAAACAAAAAACCTAGATAATTTTTAAAAAACCTAGATAATTCAAATACACATAGAATGAAACAACCAAGAGCAGAATTAATAAAGCCATGAATATAAATGTATTTAGTTTAGTGATTAAAATCTTGCTGAGAGGCGAATGGGTCATTAGATGAGAGAACTTTTCTTTTTTATTTTATAAAGATGACTTCATAGATGATTTTTTTTTTTTAGGATGAGAAGAAAGATACTTTCTAGACAATAAAGACTATTTATATTTACACCTTCTGAATACATACTACATCGTATTGTATCATAGCTTTTTTTTAACATGGATTTTCCACATTACACAGTGGTCATGTATGGCAGAGACTATTTTATTTACCTCAGTATCTCTAATGCCTGACATATAATAGGCATTCTAGGAAATTGTGTGAAATATTGAAACCCTGATGGTAGCTATGTTAGATGGATAGATAGATAACATAATGATTGATAGGCCAGCAGACAGAGAGATATGATGTGCAGTTTTTGAAGACAGTGGCCTGGCCTGGATTGCTCTGAACACTGTGTTCTAAATGCACATTTCTTCCTTATGTAATAGCTCAGAAAGAATCAGGAGTGAAATAGGCACTTAGAGAGGCTGAGACTGGCTCCTGATTGCACTTTGGTTATTCAGCAACTCAACATACTCATCAGATCATTGTTCCTATGGTCTTTATTCATTAGTTATTCAACTGGGAGCTAACAGAGTGGGCCACCTGTGCTGAGGCCAAGCTCAATGAACTTGGAAAGATGATGATGGGAGACAGTTAAATATTTAAAGGCAATAAAAGAAGTAAGCATTAGTATTGTAATAAAATGCCATTAAACTTTTTAAAAATCGAATCAGCACATTTCTGTGTAGTGTTGGTGTTCATTTTACATCCCTTGATCTGTAGGATGAGATTTGTTTCTCGTGGGAGAACACTTCACCAAGCTTACTAGAGTTAATTGCATTTAGCTATTGTAAGTTGTAAAATGAATGCACCTTGAATATTAGACTGTTCATACCACAGTCTTTTGCAGAAACTGAAAAGCAAAAGGGCTTATTCCCACAAGTTTGTTTCAATTTTAATTGCATTTTGAAGAAACCCAGAAGCTTGGAGCCAAGATTTGAAGATATTAGAATGTAGGTCATTATACTAGTGCACAAATTTTATCTCTAGGACTATACAACAGTGACTTACAAAAAAAATGATTTAAATGAATTTTTATTGTTTGGCATGTCAGCAAAAATATTTCAGAGAATTACTATGCTAGGTAAGAAGATGGATTAGTCTTATTCATCACATTCTGTGGATTATTTCTTTTTGGTGCCTACTTGTGTGCAGATGGTTTAAAAAGCATGATTCATTAATAATTGCTAGAGCTATTAATTGAAAATGTAGATTTTGAACTCATTTCCTTCCTATTACCCTGTGGAAGGCTAACATTTCCAGTTTCTGGCTTTATATCAAGTCAACCCAATTTGACTGACTACCATTTTTTAAAAATATAAATATCTATGGAGTAAAAAGGGAAAAAAATCAAAGTTTCTTTTTCTCTGATCTATATTAAATCAAACTGAACATGGCCTATTTTTAATTACTTATTTGTTTTTAATATTTTTTTTCTTTTTCTTATGTAGTCTCATGTGAGTGTCACAGCAAAGACAGAGGGTGTGAATTTTGCAGAGTTCCCTGTTTACTGGTCAACATTTTTAGCATGTAGCTAAAAATAATAATTTTGCAAGGTTATTTATTACTTGTTTACATTATTTGAACTTTTATATTTCTTTTTTGAGAGAACTTCAGTAAGCAGGGCACAATATATTGCTAAATACATTTTTTAAAGGATTTTCAAAAACCTTTCTATTGTATAAGAGTAATTTAATATAAAAATAATTTTTTCATTATAGATTTCTTCTTTTTTATTTCAGTAGGTTTTAGGGGAACAGGTGGTGTTTGGTTACATGCATAAGTTCTTTAACAGTGATTTCCGAGATTTTGACGCACCCATCACTCGAGCAGTGTACCCTATACCCAGTATGTAGTCTTTTATACTTTACCCCACCCTTCCCCGCCAAGTTCCCAGAGTCCATTGTATAATTCTTATGACTTTACCTCCTCATAGCATCCAGGTTGCTGCAAATGCCATTGTTTCCTTCCTTTTAATGGCTGAGTAGTATTCCATGGGTATATAAATCACATTTCCTTTATCCACTCATTGATTGATGGGAATTTGGTCTGGTTCCATATTTTTGCAATTGTGAATTGTGCTGCTATAAACATACATGTGCAAGTGTCTTTTTCATATAATGACGTCTTTTCCTCTGGGTAGATACCTAGTAGTGGGATCACTGGATCAAAAGGTAGTTCTACTTTTAATTTTTTAAGGAATCTTCAGACAGTTTACCATAGTGGTTGTACTAGTTTACATTCCCACCAACATTGTAAAAATGTACGTTTTTCACCAGATCTATGCCAACATCTATTTTTTTTTTTTATCATGGTCATTCTTTTAGGAGTAACGTGGTATCTCATTGTGGTTTTGATTTGCATTTTCCTGATAATTAGTGATATTGAGCATTTTTATATGTTTGTTGGCCATTTATATATCTTCTTTTGAGAACTGTCCATTCATGTTCTTAGCTCAGTTTTTGATGGGATTATTTGCTTTTTTCTTGCTGATCTGTTTGAGTTCCTTATAGATTCTGGATATTTGTCCTTTGTCAGATGCATAGTTTGTGAATATTTTCTCCCACTCTGTGGGTTGTCTGTTTACTCTGCTGATAATTTATTTTGCTGTGCGGAAGCTTTTTAGTTTAATTAAGTCTCATCTGTTTATCTTTGTTTTTGTCGCATTTACTTTTGGGTTCTTGGTCATGAAGTTTTTGCCTAAGGCAATGTCTAGAAAGGTTTTTTCCAATGTTATCTTCTAGAATTTTTGTGGCTTCAGGGCTTAAATTTAAGTATTTGCTCCATCTTGAGTTGAGTTTGTATAAGGTGAGCGATGACGATCCAGTTTCATTCTTCCACATGTGGCTTGCCAATTATCCCAGCACCATTTGTTGAATAGGGTGTCCTTTCTCCACTTTATGTTTTTGTTTGCTTTGTCGAAGGTCAGTTGGCTGTAAGTATTTGGCTTTATTTCTGTGTTTTGCATACTGCATACTGTAAAACAGTACATGCTGTTTTGGTGAGTATAGCCTTACAGTATAGTTTGAAGTTGGGTAATGTGATGCCTCCAGATTTGTTCTTTTGCTTAGTCTTGCTTTGGCTATGTGGGCTCTGTTTTGTTCCATATGAAATTTCAGATTGCTTTTTCAAGTTCTGTGAAGAATGATAAAAGACCCAAATAAGCTCGATTAGGAACAAAACGGGAGATATTTAATTTAATTCTGCTCTGATCTTTGTTATTCCTTTTCTTCTGCTGAGTTTGGGTTTGGTTTGTTCTTATTCCTCTACTTCCTTGAAGTGTGACCTTATATTGTCTCTTTGTGCTCTTTGAGACTTTTTGATGTAGGTATTTAATGCAATGAACTTTCCTCTTAGCATGACTTTTGCTATATTCAGAGGTTTTGATATGTTGTGTCACTGTTATCATTCAATTCAAATAATGTTTTAATTTCCATATTGATTTCATTGTTGAGGCAACAATCATTCAGGTACAGCTTATTTAATTTATATGTATTTTCACAGTTTTGAGATTTCCTTTTGGAGTTGATTTCCAATTTTATTTCACTGTGGTCTGAGAGTACTTAACATAATTTCGATTTTCTTAAATTTATTGAGACTTGTTTTGTGGTGTGTCATATGGTCTATCTTGGAGAATGTTCCATGTGCTGATGAATAGAATGTACATTCTGTAGTTGTTGGGTAGAATGCTCTGTTAATATCTGTAAAGTCCTTTTGTTCTGGGGTATAGTTTAAATCCATTGTTTCTTTTTTGACTTTCTGTCTTCATGACCTGTATAGTGCTGTCAGTGGAGTATTGAAGTCCCCCACTATTATTGTGTTGCTGTCCATCTCATTTCTTAGGTCTAGTAGTAATTGTTTTATAAATTTGGGAGCTCCACTGTTAAGTGCATATATATTTAGGATTGTGATAATTTCCTGTTGGACTAATCCTTTTATCATTACGTAATGTCCTTCTTTGTCTTTTTTTTTTTTTATACTTTAAGTTTTAGGGTACATGTGCACAATGTGCAGGTTAGTTACATATGTATACATGTGCCATCCTGGTGTGCTGCACCCATTAGCTCGTCATTTAGCATTAGGTATATTTCCTAATGCTAACCCTCCCCCCTCCCCCCACCCCACAACAGTCCCCAGAGTGTGATGTTCCCCTTCCTGTGTCCATGTATTCTCATTGTTCAATTCCTACCTATGAGTGAGAACATGCGGTGTTTGGTTTTTTGTCCTTGCGATAGTTTACTGAGAGTGATGATTTCCAATTTCATCCATGTCCCTACAAAGGACATGAACTCATCATTTTTTATGGCTACATAGTATTCCATGGTGTATATGTACCACATTTTCTTAATCCAGTCTATCATTGTTGGACATTTGGGTTGGTTCCAAGTCTTTGCTATTGTGAATAGTGCCACAATAAACATACGTGTGCATGTGTCTTTATAGCAGCATGATTTATAGTCCTTTGGGTATATACCCAGTAATGGGATGGCTGGGTCAAATGGTATTTCTAGTTCTAGATCCCTGAGGAATCGCCACACTAACTTCCACAATGGTTGAACTAGTTTACAGTCCCACCAGCAGTGTAAAAGTGTTCCTATTTCTCCACATCCTCTCCAGCACCTGTTGTTTCCTGACTTTTTAATGATCGCCATTCTAACTGGTGTGAGATAGTATCTCATTGTGGTTTTGATTTGCATTTCTCTGATGGCCAGCGATGATGAGCATTTTTTCATGTGTCTTTTGGCTGCATAAATGTCTTCTTTTGAGAAGTGTCTGTTCATATCCTTCGCCCACTTGTTGATGGGGTTGTTTGTTTTTTTCTTGTAAATTTGTTTGAGTTCATTGTAGATTCTGGATATTAGCCCTTTGTCAGATGAGTAGGTTGCGAAAGTTTTCTCCCATTTTGTAGGTTGCCTGTTCACTCTGATGGTAGTTTCTTTTGCTGTGCAGAAGCTCTTTAGTTTAATTAGATCCCATTTGTCAATTTTGGCTTCTGTTGCCATTGCTTTTGGTGTTTTAGACATGAAGTCCTTGCCCATGCCTATGTCCTGAATGGTAATGCCTAGGTTTTCTTCTAGGGTTTTTATGGTTTTAGGTCTAACATTTAAGTCTTTAATCCATCTTGAATTAATTTTTGTATAAGGTGTAAGGAAGGGATCCAGTTTCAGCTTTCTACATATGGCTAGCCAGTTTTCCCAGCACCATTTATTAAATAGGGAATCCTTTCCCCATTGCTTGTTTTTCTCTGGTTTATCAAATATCAGATAGTTGTAGATATGCGGCATTATTTCTGAGGGCTCGGTTCTGTTCCATTGATCTATATCTTTGTTTTGGTACCAGTACCATGCTGTTTTGGTTACTGTAGCCTTGTAGTATAGTTTGAAGTCAGGTAGCATGATGCCTCCAGCTTTGTTCTTTTGGCTTAGGATTGACTTGGCGATGCGGGCTCTTTTTTGGTTCCATATGATTTTTAAAGTAGTTTTTTCCAATTCTGTGAAGAAAGTCATTGGTAGCTTGATGGGGATGGCATTGAATCTATAAATTACCTTGGGCAGTATTGCCATTTTCATGATATTGATTCTTCCTACCCATGAGCATGGAATGTTCTTCCATTTGTTTGTATCCTCTTTTATTTCATTGAGCAGTGGTTTGTAGTTCTCCTTGAAGAGGTCCTTCACGTCCCTTGTAAGTTGGATTCCTAGGTATTTTATTCTCTTTGAAGCAATTGTGAATGGGAGTTCACTCATGATTTGGCTCTCTGTTTGTCTGTTATTGGTGTATAAGAATGCTTGTGATTTTTGTACATTGATTTTGTATCCTGAGACTTTGCTGAAGTTGCTTATCAGCTTAAGGAGATTTTGGGCTGAGACAATGGGGTTTTCTAGATATACAATCATGTCGTCTGCAAACAGGGACAATTTGACTTCCTCTTTTCCTAATTGAATACCCTTTATTTCCTTCTCCTGCCTAATTGCCCTGGCCAGAACTTCCAACGCTATGTTGAATAGGAGTGGTGAGAGAGGGCATCCTTGTCTTGTGCCAGTTTTCAAAGGGAATGCTTCCAGTTTTTGCCCATTCAGTATGATATTGGCTGTGGGTTTGTCATAGATAGCTCTTATTATTTTGAGATACGTCCCATCAGTACTTAATTTATTGAGAGTTTTTAGCATGGAGGGTTGTTGAATTTTGTCAAAGGCCTTTTCTGCATCTATTGAGATAATCATGTGGTTTTTGTCTTTGGTTCTGTTTATATGCTGGATTACATTTATTGGTTTGCGTATATTGAACCAGCCTTGCATCCCAGGGATGAAGCCCACTTGATCATGGTGGATAAGCTTTTTGATGTGCTGCTGGATTTGGTTTGCCAGTATTTTATTGAGGAGTTTTGCATCAATATTCATCAAGAATATTGGTCTAAAATTCTCTTTTTTGGTTGTGTCTCTGCCTGGCTTTGGTATCAGGATGATGCCGGCCTCATAAAATGAGTTAGGGAGGATTCCCTCTTTTTCTGTTGATTCGAATAGTTTCAGAAGGAATGGTACCAGTTCCTCCTTGTACCTCTGGTAGAATTCTGCTGTGAATCCATCTGGTCCTGGACTCTTTTTGGTTGGTAAGCTATTGATTATTGCCACAATTTCAGATCCTGTTATTGGTCTATTCAGGGATTCAACTTCTTCCTGGTTTAGTCTTGGGAGAGTGTATATGTCGAGGAATTTATCCATTTCTTCTAGATTTTCTAGTTTATTTGCGTAGAGGGGTTTGTAGTATTCTCTGATGGTAGTTTGTATTTCTGTGGGATCGGTGGTGATATCCCCTTTATCATTTTTTATTGCGTCTATTTGATTCTTCTCTCTTTTTTTCTTTATTAGTCTTGCTAGCGGTCTATCAATTTTGTTGATCCTTTCAAAAAGTCAGCTCCTGGATTCATTAATTTTTTGAAGGGTTTTTTGTGTCTCCATTTCCTTCAGTTCTGCTCTGATTTTAGTTATTTCTTGCCTTCTGCTAGCTTTTGAATGTGTTTGCTCTTGCTTTTCTAGTTCTTTTAATTGTGATGTTAGGGTGTCAATTTTGGATCTTTCCTGCTTTCTCTTGTGGGCATTTAGTGCTGTAAATTTCCCTCTACACACTGCTTTGAATGTGTCCCAGAGATTCTGGTATGTTGTGTCTTTGTTCTGGTATGTTGTGTCTTTTTTAACTGTTGTTGCTTTAAAATCTGTTTTGTTTGATATAAGAATAGCTACTCCTGCTCACTTTTGGTGTCCATTTGCATTGAATATCTTTTTCCACTCATTTACCTTAAGTTTATGTGAGTCCTTATGTGTTAAGTGAGTCTACTGAAGATAGCAGATACTTCGTTAGTGAATTCTTATCCATTCTACCGTTCTGTACCTTTTAAGTGCAGCATTTAGGCAATTTACATTCAGTGTTAGTTTTGAGTTGCGTGGCACTATTCTATACAATTTGCTAGTCATTGCCTGAATACCTTGTTGTTGTTTTTTCATTGTGCTATCCTGTGAGGTTTATGCTTTGAGGAGGTTCTATTTTGGTGTATTTTGGGGTTTTGTTTCAAGATTTAGAGCTGCTTTTAGCATTTTTTATAGTGCTGGCTTGGTAGTGGTGAATTTTCTCAGCATTTGTTTGTTTGAAAAAGACTGTATTTTTCCTTCATTTATTAAGCTTAGTTTCACTGTATATAAAATTCTTGGCTGATAATTGTTTTGTTTAAGAAGGCAAATGATAGGACCCCAATCCTTCCTAGCTTGTGGGGTTTCTGCTGAAAAATCTGCTGTTAATTTGATAGGTTTACCTTATGCTTTTGCCTCACAGCTCTTTAGGTTCTTTCCTTTGTCTTGCCTTTAGATAACTTGATGACTATGTGCCTAAATGATGATCTTTTTGTAATGAATTTCCTGGGTGTTCTTTGAGCTTCTTGTATTTGGATGTCTAGATCTCTAGCAAGACCAGGAAGTTTTCATTGATTATTCTCTCAAATATGTTTTCCAAACTTTCAGATTTATCTTCTTTTTTGGGAATATCAGTTATTCTTAGTTTTGGTCATTTAATATAATGCCAAACTTCTTGGAGGCTTTGTTCATTTTTTTTTTTTTTTTCATTCTTTCTTCTTTGTCTTTGTCAGACTGGGTAATTCAGAAGCCTTGTCTTTGAGCTCTGGAGTTCTTTCTTCTACTTGTTCTATTCTGTTATTGAAACTTTCCAGTGTATCTTGCATTTTGTTAAGTGTGTCCTTCATTTCCAGAAGTTGTGATTGTTTTTGTATTTATGCTATCTATTTCTATTGAGATTTTCCATCTATATCCTGTATCATTTTTAAACTTTCTTTAAGTTTGTGTATACCTTTCTCTGGTGCCTCCTTGCATAGCTTAATAATTGACCTTCTGAATTCTTTTTCTGGCAAATCAGAGACTTCTTCTGGATTGGATCCATTGCTGGTGAACTGGTGTGATCTTTTGGGGGTAAAAAAGAACCTTGTTTTGTCATATTACCAGAATTGATTTACTGGTTCCTTCTCATTAGGATAAACTATATCAAAGGAAAGATTTGGGGCTCAAGGGCTGTTGTTTAGATTCTTTTGTCCCATGTGGTGATCCTTTGATGTAATAATTCTCTCCTCCTTCCCCTAGGGATGAGGATTCCTGAGAGGTGAACTGCAATGATTGTTATTTATCTTCTGGGTCTAGCCAACCAGCAGAGCTACCAGGCTCTCAGCTGGTACTGTGCAATGTCTGCAAAGACTCTTGTGGAGTGATCTGTGTTCAGGTCTCTCAACTATAGATACCAGCATCTGCTCCCATGGAGGTAGCAAGGGAGTGAAGTGGTTTCTCTGTGGGACCTTAGTTGTAGTTTTGTTTAATGCACTGGTTTTCTCAAATGTTGGTTGTGCTGGCAGTAAAGTTGTCATGTGGACAGACTCTGGACCTCTGGTTAGCCAGGATATTACAGGCGGTGGAGTTAGCTGTTGATTTCTCCTTTCTTAGGACGGGGTTGTTCTATTATGAGTTACTGTAATGGTTTGAATTGGTTGGCCTCCAGCCAGGAGGTAGCACTTTCAAAAGAGCATCACTTTCAGTAGTATAGGGAGGATATAAGCTTGCCCTAGGGTCGCTTGGGTAAGTATTTGGGTTTCTCAGGTGGTGAGCAGGGCCATAGAGCTCCCAAGAGATTATGTCTTTTGTCTTTGGCTACCAGGGTGGGTAGAGAAAGACCATGAGGTGGGGGCAGGGTTAGGCATGTCTCAGCTCAGACTTTCATTGGTCAGGGCTTGCTGTGGCAGCTGTGGGGGATGGGGGTGTGGTTCTTAGGCCAATGGAGTCATGTTCCCAGGGGGATTATGGCTGCCTCTGCTGCATCATACAGGTCTGCAGGGAAGTGGGGAAAAACCAGCAATGACAGGCCTCACCCAGTTCCCATGCAGCCAGAAAGGCCGATTTCACTCCTTTGTACTACCCCAACAGCACCAGGTTTACATCTAGGCAGCCAGTGAGCAGGGCTGAGAACTTGCCCTAGGCTACAAACTTCCCCACTGAGGAAACAAACAGCGCTTTCAGGCTTCACCCCTCCCAGTCTGCGGTGGATTCTGTGCTGGTATCTGCATTTCCCATTCACCCCCTCACCCCCCACCCAGATTCTATCCAAGTAAATTTGCATTCAAGTAAACATATTACAATGTTCAGCTAGAAGTTTCCTTCTCCTAGTGGTCTTTCTGCAATTCCACTGGCAGCCCTCCCCAAGGACCCCTGTGAGAGAAAGTCAGAAATGGCTTCCCTGGCCTTCCTTGTGGGCCGGGAATGCCTACAGGGCTCTTCCAGCTGCTGCTTCTACTTGTCTATTTCACTCAGCTCTCTAAATTTATATTTATATAAATTTATATATTTATATTTCAGCTCTAGGTAAGGTTAGATTCTTCTCCCACAATATGGATTTTCAGATTCCCCAGTGAGGATGTATGTTCAGAGACTGACATCCTCTTTCACACTTTGAGATTTTTTGGCTGTCTCATCGAGTTTGCAGTGGCAAACCGCTTCTTTCAAAGGGTATGTGAATTCTTTCGCTTTTCCTGGTGTGTCCCTGCAGTAGTTCTTGGAGCAGAAGTTCACAATATGAGTCTGTACACACTGTTCTGTCTGTCCAAGTGAGAGCTGCAAGTTGGTCCTGTTTCCTATAGCTATTTTTACAGAAATACTTTATTGAGCAACTGCTATCTGACAGCTATGTGTCACAACTGGAATTACCTACATAAATAACACATGAGCCTTGATTCCAATAAAAGATTGAGTTGTTAATTTTAGTTTTAGTAATTTGATTTTATAAATGTGAAATATGAACTCAATAGAACCCCATGATTGTAAATGTTTGAAAATTTAAGATCCACATTCCTAGATCTTATGTTTAAATGTTTATGTTTCCCTGGTACCCTTCTTTGTAGGAAATAATGGGAACATCATGTAAGGTAAAGTTCTGTAAAACTAACTTTGTTATTTCTAGATTTTTTTTTTCTGGCCACACCTATTGAGATACTTTCATGGTCCTTAAAAGTGGTCTGACTAGTATAGATACCTTAAGGCAGAATAGAAAGCATTGAACTATATTCTAGGGCCAGATTAAGAAAACCCATTATACCTTTTGTTGAACAAAGTTATCAGAAGCTAGCTTAGAGCAGTGGAAGTGCAATCTTGATATTATTAGTGAAGACTTTTAGCTTTCCACTCATAAAAACAATGACAGATGTTTCAGTGAACCCTTCCTTGACCCTATGCTAAATCTTTTACAACCATTAGCACATTTAATCCTCACAGCAGCCCTAGGGGGTTTGGGACAATATAAGAAGAATATCTTGCCTTCTTGAACTAGTTGATCTGGAGTTGAATATACCAGGACGCCCCTGTTATATACCAAATGCAACATTTCCTAAATGAAACCTATTGCTGCTGATGACTAACATGTCCCTTACCTGAATTTGCTACCTTAAACATTGGTACCAAAATCATCCAGTCGCCAAATCTGACAGCTGAAAGTTATCTTCAAGCCTCCATTTCTTTATCTCCTAATTTCTAATCCTACGTATTAGAAATCAATCCTTTCCTCTCTTTCAATCCCAGTGTCATTGCACTCATTGTGGCTGTCAGCATTTTTATGTGGACTATTGTACCAATCTTTTCTCTGGTCTTCAGTCTTGTCTTGGTGCAATATATGACTATGAAACCATCTCACAAATCTTATCATGTCAGACCCAACTCAAAATTCTTTAATTTCCCCTTTACTTTCAGTTCAATTATAGGAAACTTTAGGTGAGTGCTTCTGTATATCAGATATTAAATTACATTCTGGGCTATTCATATATCCCTAGACACATAAACCAAATTATATCAATATAATATTTAAGTACAACAAAAGGTATGACTAACATTTGTGGGTAGTATGTTGTTTTTCTGTGAAGACATTACACTGTTTGAGGGTTTTGAGTTGAGTCTTCAAAGATCAGCTTGAATTCGTCAAGACGATGAGGTAAAGAGGATCTTTCAAATATGTCCCAGGAAAATACAACTAGAATGTACAAATAAAATTTAGACTCCCTTCATAGCATTCCGAATCCCTACTTTTAATGATCCCCTGTCTTATTCAATAAATGGTTGTCCCTACAGAATGAACCAAGTTTTTCCAAACATGCTGTAGTTTTTCATTTTCTCAGTGCCCTTTTTCTATATTTTAAATCATTTAACTACTACTCAACCAGTGGTATTTCTAAATTCAGTCATTTTCCTAACCACTTTCTCTCCCTGCAACCCCTATTTCTAGGCTGAGTTGTTTTTATCTTTTTTTTTTTTTTTTTTTTTTTTTTTGAGACGGAGTCTCGCTCTGTCGCCCAGGCTGGAGTGCAGTGGCGCGATCTCGGCTCACTGCAAGCTCCGCCTCCCGGGTTCACGCCATTCTCCAGCCTCAGCCTCCCGAGTAGCTGGGACTACAGGCGCCCGCTACCACGCCCGGCTAATTTTTTGTATTTTTAGTAGAGACGGGGTTTCACCGTGTTAGCCAGGATGGTCTCGATCTCCTGACCTCGTGATCCGCCCGCCTCGGCCTCCCAAAGTGCTGGGATTACAGGCGTGAGCCACCGCGCCCGGCCGTTTTTATCTTTTCTACGTGCATTGATTTTTGTCCTAGGGCTAGCTTGATGATCTTGAAGTGGCTACTTCAGATCCAGGTGTCATGCTGATACATCCAGGTCCAACAGGTGAGCCTCCAACAACTGTGCTTGTACAACTTGACTCTGCCCACTCGAATAAGAATAATCAGCACCTCCTTTCTAAAAATAGTATATCTTGAACTTTGAGTGACATAGGCAACCCACTCAGAGGAAGGTCTACAAATTTATCTTGAAGTGATCACTAAGATTTTTTTTTTTTTTTCTGCTTTCTGGAGCTTGTTTAACACAGATTTTTATGAGCTGTTTCATTTTGCTTCTAGTCAATATCTCCTTTTTGCTTAAGTTACTTGAATATAGTTTCCATTACCTGCAACCAAAAGACCTTTAAATATGCCATTCAAATAACATTGTCTAAAATAATTGATTTTCTTGTATGGATCCCTTATTTACCTATGAATTCACTGATGTCAATGAGTAGTATGTAATGGGCCCTCAATAAATGTTGAATGAATGCAAGGAGAAATGAGTGAACTATGCACTATGCACTATGTTGGGTTTAACTCCCAATTATCTGGGAACACATAATTTAAAATTAATCAACCAAAATCACCAATAAATTAAGATGTATCTATTACTTGAAACTACAGAAAAGTTATACTACACATGCCATATTATGTCTACTGCAACATGGACTTGTTATACCCTGTCCAGTCAAATTAGCAGCACCTGAGTAGTTCCTCTCCTCTGCCAATATCCTTTCTGAGAGCGTTTTGGATTGCATGGTGAAGGTGAAGGAGAGGTAAAGCTATAGTGGATACAAACACTGCAGAGTAAGGGTGGAGGAATTAGGCTCTGGAGAAAGGTAATGGAAAAATATAATTTGTCTGTGATAAAGAAGAACCATTCAATATTTTAAAAACAGCTAAAATGTGAGGAATAGTGAATGCTTTTTTTTTTTTTTTTTTGAGACAGAGTCTTGCTCTGTTGCCCAGGCTGGAGTGCAGTGGCACAATCTGGGCTCAACGCAAGCTCCGCCTCCCGGGTTCACGCCATTCTCCTGCCTCAGCCTCCCAAGTAGCTGGGACTACAGGCGCCGGCCACAACGCCTGGCTAATTTTTTGTATTTTTAGTAGAGATGGGGTTTCACCATGCTAGCCAGGATGGTCTCGATCTCCTGACCTCGCGATCCACCCGCCTCGGCCTCCCAAAGTGCTGGGATTACAGGCATGAGCCACTGCGCCCAGCCCGTGAATGCTTTTAACAGATAAACTTTTGGCCATTTTTAGAAGCAATTTATGTGATATTGAGTATTCTTAAACTACTATGTTATTTTTACTTTTTGGTCCGACATTTATAGAGCAGTAAAAACATTCTGAAGTGTATCATTTTAACCAAATACACTTCCATTAAATCTATTTTTATTTTTGCTTTAAATCTTGTCCATACCTTCCTACACCACCCTTTATCACCTATTCACTAGCAAATCAAGAGCTATTATTTTTGTAGTTTCAGAAAAACTTCAAGTTTAAAAGCTGCCCATTGTATTTACATTAAAAATTATTATTATTATTTTCTGAGACAGAGTCTCATTCTGATTCTCAGGCTGGAGTACAGTAGTTCAATCATAGCTTATGGCAGCCTTCATTTCTTGGGCTCGAACAATCATCCCACCTTAGTTGCCTGAGTAACTGGGACTTCAAACACTCACAACCATGCCCAGTTAATTAAAAAAAAAAAATTGTAGAGATGGGGTCTCACTATGTTGCCCAGGTTGGTCTTTCCTGGCCTCAAGCAATTCTCCATCCTTGGCCTCCTAAAGTGATTGCAAATTTCCCTAAATTAATGTCATACACCAAGCCACAGATCCAGGAAACTCAGAGAACACAGAGCAGGATAAATGCCAAAAGAGCTATGCCTAGGCATATCATATTCAAACTAGAAAAACATTCAAGGGTAAATTAAAAATCTTGGTAGAAGCCAGAAGAAAAGAACATCTTATCTATAGAAAACCAAAGATAAGGATTACATCGAACATCTCCTCAGAAACCATGCAAGCAAGAAGACAGTGGAGTGAAATAAATTCAAGGGTTAAAAGAAAGAAAACACTAACCTAGGTGTCAGTACCTTATAAAATTTTCCTTCAAAAGTGAAGAAAAAATATTAGACAAACAAAAACTGAGAAAATGTGTTGCCAGTAGACTTGCCTTGCAAGAAATGTCAAAAGACATTTTTTAGAAAGAAGGAAAATAATATAGGTCAGATACTTAGTTCTATATAAAGAAAGAAAGAACATCAGAGGAGGCAAAAGTTAAGGTAAAGTAAAAACTTCTATTTTTCTTATTTTTAATTGACCTTACAGATAACAGTTTGTTCAAAATAATAACAACAATTAATTCAACTGTGTATGCTTATATCCAACTATCTATCTAGATATGCTTATGTATACTTATGTATAAGTGAAATGAATGTCAATAATGATACAAGGGATGGAAGAAAGGAATTGAGATTATTCTGTTACTATAAGATACTTGTACCACCTGTGAAGCTATACAGTGGCATTTGAAAGTAGACTTGGATTAATTGTAAATGTATAATTCAAACTCCAAGGCAACAACTAAAAAAAAGTAAAAAATAAAGTATAATTGGTATGCTAAGAAAGGAGAGAAAATGGAATTATATAAAAGGCTCAATTAAAACTGCAAAGAGGCAGAAAAAGTATGAAAGACAAAAAGGGAATGAAGAACAAAGGCAACAAATAGAAAATGGTAACAAACATGGTAGATATTAATTTAACTATATCATTTATTACTTTAAATGTCCATTTTCCAAATATAACAATCAAAAGCCATAAATTGTCAGAGTGGATGGAAAAATAATCTCCAGCTCTATGTTGTCTACAAGAAACTCACATTACACATAAAGACATATATACATTAAAGGTAAAGAAATAGAAAACCTATACCATGCTAACATTAATCAAAGGAAAGCAGTAATACCTATATTAATTTCAGACAAAATAGACTTTAGAGCAAGTAACTTTATTGGATAAAAATAGGCATTGCATAATGATAAAGGGTCAATTCCTCATGAAGACATAACAATGCTTAACTTGCATGTGCCTAAAAAAGGAGCATCAAAACAAGTGAGGCAAAAACAGATAGAACTGAGAGAAGAACTAAACGAATCCACTATGTAGTTGGAGGCTTCAACACCTCTCTATTAGAAATGAACAGATTCAACAGACAGAAAATCAGTAAGAATGTAGTTGAACTCAACAACACTATTAATCAACTGGATATAATTGACATCTATAGTCTACTTCATCTAACAATAGCAGAATACACATTCTTCTCAAGCTCACATGGAATATTTACCAAGAAAAGCCACATTTTGGGTGATAATACCTACTTTAATAAATTTTAAAGAATAGAAATCATACAATGTTTGCTCTCAGAACACAGTGGAATTAAACTAGAAATCAATAACAAAAAGATAACTGGAAAAATCCCAAAATACTTGCAGATTAAGCAAAACATCACTAAGTAACATGTGGATCAAAGGAGAAATTTCAAGAGATGACAAAAAAAAATTTAATAAAATAAAAATAAAAGCACAACAAAATTTTGGGGATGCAGCAGTGAAAGTAGTGCTTAGAGGAAATTTTTTAGCATTCAATGCATATATTAAAAAATAAGAAAGATTTAAAATTAAGAATCTTAGTTTCTACTTTAAGAAACTAGCAATGGAAGAGCAAATTAAATTCAAAGTAAGTAGATGAAAAAAGATAATAAAAAATAAAGCAGAGATCAATGAAATTTAAAACAGGAAATCAACAGAGAAAATCAACGAAACCAAAAGCTTGTTCTCTGAAATTATCAATAAAACTAATATGCCTCCAGCCAGGCTAAGAAAAAAAGAGAGAGAGAGAGAGAGAACACAAATTACTAATATCAAAAATCAAAGAGGGGACATTACCACAGATTCCATGGATATTGAAAAGACAATAAAGGAACATTGTGAAGAATGCTATGCCCATAAAAATAATAACCTAGATGAAATGGACCAGTTCCTTGAAAAGCACAATCCGTTAAAACTCAAATAAGAAGAAATAGACAATCTAAATAGACTGATACCTATTAAATAAATTGAATCAATAATTAATAACCTTTCAAAATAGAAAGAACCAGGTCCAGATGGGTTTACTCATGAATTCTACCAAACATTTAAGAAAGATGTTACACTAATTTTCTACAATATCTTCCAGAAGATAGAAGCAGAAAGGAAGACTTTCTAACTTATTCCAAGAGACCAGCATTATTGTAATACTAAAACAAGACAAAAACATTACAGAAAAAAAACCCTATAGACAAATATCTTTCATGAACATAAATGCAAAAAATCCTCAGCAAAATGTTAGCATATTGAATCCAACAATCTAGAAAAAAAGTATACACCATGATCAAGTGGGATTTATCCCAGGTATGCAAGGCTAGTTGAACATTTAAAAATCAATTATTGTATCTTAGCATGTCAGGCAAAAGAAGAAATATCACACAATCATATCAATAGATGAAGACAAAATTCAGTACCCATTCATGTTACTCTTAGTAGACCAGAAAAAGGGAGAAACTTCCTCAACTTTGTAAAGAACACCTTAAAAAACAACAACAAACAAACAAACCCTACAGCTACCATCATACTTAATGGTGAGAACCTCAATGCTTCCCCCACAAGATCAAGAAAAAAGGCAAAAAGTCCTCCTCTCACTACTGATTTGCAACATCATACTGGAAATTCTGGCTAATGCAATTAGGCAAGGAGAGAAGAAAATAAAAGATACACAGATTGGGAAAGAAGAAATAAAACTGTCTTTGTCTGCAAATGACATAACTGCCAATGTGGAAAATCTGAAATAATCAACAAAAAATTATCCTTGAATTAAATAATTATAGCAAGGTTGAAGGATAAAAGGCAAATACACAAAAGTCAATTAGTTTCCTTTATACCAGCCATGAAAAAGTGAATTCTGAAATTTAAAATGTGTTACCTTACATTAACACCCACCCAAGATGAAATACTTAGTATAAATCTAACAATATAGTTATAAAATCTATATGAGTTAAACTTTGATGAAAGATATCCAAAAAGAACTAAATAATTGGATAGATATTCCATGGTTATGTACAGGAAGACTCAATAGTGACAAGATTTCAGTTCTTCCCAGCTTGATGTATAGATTCAACACAATCTCAGTCAAAATCCCTGCGAGTTATTTTGTGGGTACAGACAAACTAATTCTGAAGTTTATATAGAGAGGCAAAATATCCAGAATAGCCAATAGAATATTGATGTAGAAGAACAAAACCAGAGGACTGCCACTATCTGACTTCAAGACTTACCCTAAAGCAGGGATGTTCAATCTTTTGGCTTCCTTGGGCCACACTGGAAGAAGAATAATTGTCTTGGGCTACACATAAAATACACTAATACTAATGACAGCTGATGAGCTTTAAAAAATTGCAAAAAGATCCTATAATGTTTTAAGAATGTTTACGAATTTGTGTTGGGCCTCAATCAAAGCCGTCCTAGGCCACATGCAGCCTGTGGGCCATGGGTTGAATAAGCTTGCTTTAAAGCTATAGTAATTAAGACATCATGGTATTAGAAAAATAATAGACAAATAGATCAATGGAACAGAAAAAGAGAGCCCAGAAATAGCCCTACATGAATATAGTCAACTGATCTTTGATAAAAGGGTGAAAGAAATGCAATGGAACAAAGATAGTCTTTTAAACAAATGGTACTGGAAGAACAGGACATACATATATAAAAAAAAAAAAAAAAAAAAAAAGAATTTACACACAGACCTTACACCCTTCAGGGAAATTAACTCAAAATGGTTCATGGACCTAAATGTAAAATGCAAAACTATGAAATTCCTAGAATATAACAAAGACGACCTAGATGACCTTGGGTATAGTAATAACTCTTTAGATACAACAAGAAGGGCATGATTCAAGGAATAAATTATTAATAAGCTGGACTTTATTAAATTTAAAACTTCTGCTTTGTATAAGACAGTATCAAGAGACTGAAGACAAACCGCCCACTAGGAGAAAATATTTGCAAAACACACATCTGATATAGGATTATTATCCTAAATATGCCAAAAACTCTTAAAACTAAACAATAAGAAAATGAACAACCCAATTTAAAAAATGGGCAAAAGATCTGAACAGAAATCTTACTAAAGAAGATATATAGGTGGTGAGTAAGCATATGAACCGATATTCAACATTATATATCCTTTGGGAACTGCATATTAAAGTAACAATGAGATACCACTACGCACGTATTAGAATCACCAAAATCCAAAACACTGACAGTACCAAATGCTGGTGAGGATGTGGAGCAACCGGAACCATCATTTATGGATGGTCGGAATGCGAAATGGTACAATATAGAAGATGGTTTGGCACTTTCTTGTAAAACTAAACATATTCTTACTGTGTGATCCAGTAATCTTGCTTCTTGGTGTTTACCCAAGTGAATTGAAAACTTATGCTCACTCAAAATCCTGAAAACAAATGTTTATAGGAGCTTTATTCATATTTGCCAAAATGTAGAAACAATCAAGATGTCTTTCTGTAGGTGCATGAGTAAATAAGCTGTGGTACACACAGACAAAATAATATTATTCAGTGCTAGAAAGAAATGAATAATCAAGCCATGGAAAAGCATGGAGAAACCATAAATGCATATTACTAAGTGAAAGAAGCCAACCTGAAAAGGCTGCATATTGTCTGCTTAGATCCATATGACATTCTGGAGACGACAAACTATGAAGACAGTGAAAAGATCAGTGGCTGTTAAGGGTCAGGGGGATGGGAAGCATGAATAGGCAAAGCACAGAGGATTTTTAGGGCAGTGAAACTATTCTGTAGGATACTACAAAGGAGGGTATGTGTCATTATATGTTTGTTAAAATGCATAAAACTTACAATACCAAGAATGAATTCTAATGTTAACTGTAGACTCTGCGTGATAATGACATGTCAATGTGGGTTCAGCGATAGCAACAAATGTACCACTCTGGTGGGAAATTCATAGTGAGGGAGGTTGTGTGGTGGGGTTGTGGCGTGGTGGTGGCAGTGGGTATAAGGGATCTCTCTGTACTTTCTGTTCAATTTTCTTTGAACCTAAAACTGCTTAAATAAAAGAAAACTTATTAATTTCAAAAACCTTTGAATTTTTCTGGTAACAAGTTGCTACTCTTTATGCAACCTGAAATACTTAAGAGAAGTAAGACATAACTCCAGTAGCTTTTGAATCAACAGTATACGTGTATGCACTTAGATTAATATAACTGCATCTGCACTTGCAGTGTTAATTCTATTCCCTTGGATTCACACAGAACTCGATACTGTATCTATTTGCCATGGCAACACTATCTTGATGAAATGCGGGCTTCTTATCAAAATGAGTCATACTTCTGGTAGTGACAATATGACTGTCTTCCCAGAGCACAGCAGCAACTGATTCTTGTGCTAGGAAGAGAGGGAATGTTTCATGAGTGTGTGGGTTGTAAACAGAACAAAGGGGTTATCAGCAATTCAGACTAAAAATAAATTGCAGAGTTAGCAACAGCATTCTCACTAAGGCCCTGCTCCAGAAAAGCTTCAGATAAAAATTTGTGTTTGAAATTTTTCTAAAGAAGAATTCAAGCATAACACAGACGTGCACCTTTTCTAATATCTTTCCCTAATTACTTAAGGGTTTTTTTCCCCCTTACAGTCTGCCACTTTTGGACTTATTCTTCCCCCTCATGTAATAATAAGATTGTAAAAATTGCCTAAGGATATTGTTACAGAGCATTAAGTGTCTGAACCTAGGGAATAAAATCCACTCTCCAGCTGGGAACTAATAATGACACTCTTAGCAGACATGCTGTCAACCCAGGAAGGACATTGCTGTAAATGTGAAACAGGGGTTTATTATTTAGCTTTCTTGCTTAGTGAAAATAGAACACGGTTAAAGGTAAAAGTTCTGTGTTAACAACCGGTAACAACTTTATGACATAACACTCTGTGTGTTTCTGTGTGTAAATATAAATTGTGAAGTCTATATAATTAGTATAAAGAGGTTGTCATTTCTAATTAGTATTGTTAAATGCAACAACAAAAAGCACTACTACAGGTGTGTCTCTGATATATGACCATCAGACCATTCTACATTGAGTACACTCATAATTTCTCTTATGATGCTATCTGCAGATGATTTTTGACAGGCCTAATTGAAATTGCCCTTGAAAAATTTTGACAGTAAGAGAAATCTGACATAGTTAACCCCATCTTGCTTCTGACCTCCAAGCTGTCCTTGGTCACTTCTGGGCATAGGCCAAGCTAACTTTGGGAGGAATTTAGTGTATCGTTTAACTTTGAAGCAAGAATGATAAAAGTCCCTCCCTCCCCTCAAATGAATCCCCTCCCTGTTTGAGGCTGAAACCAGCTTTATAAGACTAATGACAAGTCACAAGATATGTGTAGTTTCTATAATTCCTTACTGCTTGGGAGTAATATGGCCAGAGGTCACAAGATTTATGACCTTCCCAATTGCTCCTACAGATAACATCACTATTGAAGAATGTAAGATTGGGGATTTTTGAGATATGTTTCAGATTGACCCCACTTGGACCCATGACCCATGAATCAGCTGGTCCTGTGGACCCATCCAGAGACATACTCAATGCACGAGGATCGTTTTCCACAATTCCTATGATTTCGTCCCCAACGAATTGATAGCACCCATTTCCTAGCCCCCTGCCCACCAAATTGTCCATAAAAACCCTGAGCTTCAAGCCTTCGGAGAGACTGATTTGAGTGATAATTCCAGTTCTCCTTCATGGGCCAGCCTCATATCAATTAAACTCTCTCTACTGCAATGCTGCCATCTCAGTGGATTGATTTTGTCTGTGCAGTGGGCAGGAAGAACCCGTTGGGCAATTACACATTTCTGATTCTTGGCCTACTTCTTTGCTGCCTGGGCCATATGATCTCATCTCATAATGAATGTCCAAACAGGCAATGTTTGTATATGTGGCATGTGAACTGATGTTTTATTTTAGAGCAGTGGCTCTGAAACTTTTTAATATCAGGACTCCTCTAGACTCTTAAATGTTGTTGGGAAACCCAATGTGTTTTTATGTGGGTTATATTTATTGGTATTTATCATATTAGAAATTATAACTAATAAATTTTTAAATATGTATTGTTACTTTAAAATAACAACAGTAAAACAATTACATTGTAACATAAATAACACACTTGTGTGTTTGTAAAAATACCCTCTATTTTCCAAAACAAAAACAATTTGGTGAGAAGGGTGGCACTGTTTTACATTTTTGCAGATCTCTTTAATGCCTGGCTTAATAAAGGACAATTGGAGTCCCATATCTACTTCTACATTCAATCTATAGTAGTATGTTGTTTTGGTTGAAGCGTATGAAGAAAATATGGCCTCACAAAACTGCAGTCAGAAAAATGAGGAGTATTTTAATAGCTTTTTAGATAATTGTGGATACTGCTCTTAGATATTATGGTAAAACTCGACAAGTAGGAGTTTTTAAAAGTTGCAATGTGGAATCTGAAACCATATCAACAAACTTTGGATACTGTGTTGCATATAAATTCTGTTGCTTTATTTTGCACTTTGAATGGATCTTACCTTGTGAGTAATTTTTTACCATCATGGATTAGTCAATTGGGAAATATTGCTTCACTGATTTATGTAGACCTTCCAAATGTCAATACATTACATTATGCAACTTCAACAATTATTTGTTAATATCATTGCTAACTTCCTCAGAAAAGTTGTTTTTGTTTTGCTTTGTTTTGTTTTCTTTGAGACAGAATCTCTACCACTCTGTCACCCAGGCTGGAGTGCAGTGGCACAATCATGGCTCACTGTAGCCTCGACTTCCCCGGGCTCAGGTGATCCTCCCACCTCAGCTTCCCGAGTAGCTGGAACTACACCCAACTCATTTTTGTTTTTTTTCTAGAGACAGGATTTGCAATGTTGCCCAGGCTGGTCTCGAACTCCTGGACTCAGGTGATCCTCCTGCCTCAGTCTCTCAAGGTGCTGGAATTACAGGCATGAGCGATGGTGCCCAGCCAGAAAAGTTTTTAGGTACTGGGGAGCTATCAAGCTCATGGTGAAAGATACAACTTTCCAAAATGTTTATTTTTGCTTGAAAACTCAAATTTTATCACTGGCAAAAGTAGTGTTGATTGTTTTCCTTGAAGTGACAGGCTTATTTTGCTTATTTTCAAGAAAACGCCTGTCAGATACCCAAGTCTGAATAAGCATAGCTTGTCTGTCAGTTTTTCTTTTAAAGAAAAATGCTGTTCTGCGTGAAATGCAGGTAGTTTATCTCACAGTTCAATCCTCAATTGCTTTTCTTCAGATGGCAGGTATAAAGGTGGATTTTTTTTGTCTACTTCCCATTTCGTCACACAATTCAAAATATGTGGACTCAAGGGTCAAGATTTTATAAAATTAACAATGTTTACTGCTTCATCTAGCATATTTTTAAATAAAATGAAAATGGTTGAAAATTTAAATGTGTGGCCATCAGAATATGATGCCTACTCACACAGCTTGGTGTCACTGCCTTGATTCAGGCTAAGGCGTTGGCAGTTTTCCCCACCAGTGCTTCTGCACCATTAGTGCCAATGTCAACATAGTGATACAGAAAAATAATACCTTAGTGTCATTATGAAATTGTTTTGACCTTGTAGACCCTGTGCAGAGGTCTCATAAGTCCCCAGGAATCTGTAGACCAAAATTTGAGAACTGCTGCTTTATTCATGTCACCACAGCTGCAATAAATGGATCAAAGGTTTTATCTGCTACTACCCAGATCCTAGCTCTGCCACTCAATAAACAGTTTTGGGTTATCTATCGCTGAGTAACAAACCACATAAAAAAAAAGTGGTTTATCATGGCACATGTTTACCTGTGTAACAAACTGGCACATCCTGGACATGTACCCCTGAACTTAACATAAAAGTTGAAAGAAAAAAAATTAGTGGTTTATTTATTATTTTTTTTACATGTTTTAATATGACCCAAAGTTAGATGCCAACAATTTTTTTATTTTAAAAATTTGTATTATTATGTTTTTGCTAAAAAACCAAGTAGATGAAAACATTAGTGGTTTAAACAACATTATTATTACCTCTCATAATTCTGAATTGTTTCAGTTCAGAAGAGAAGCTTTCATTGTGGTTTCTAATGCAGGTGTAGTCAGCAGCTGGGGCCAACTCTAATTAGAGTCATATAATGGCTCTTTCACTGTCATGTCTGCCTGCTGAGGCAGGATTGGAATGGCTGAGGGATGACTGAGAATCTCTTCTCTCAACGTGGCCTTTTTACTTGGCTAGCTTGGGTTTTCTAATAACATGGTGGTCTTTCAGGAGGTGTTTTTTATACACACAGGCTAGTAGGCTGGCTTTCTTCAGAGAGAGTGTTCCCAGAGATAGGAAAGGAGAGGAGAGCCCAGGTTCAGAAATTGACCTAATATCCCTTCTATGTAATAAACTGGTCAAAGCGGTTACAGAGTTCATCCAGACTCAAGGCGAGGGAACATAGACCCGCTTCTCAACAGTAAGAGTTGAAGGAGTTTGTGACCATCTTCTATCTGCCACAAATAGTGTGACCTTGGACAAGTTACTCCTTGGACTTCCCCAGATGTTAAAGAGTATTTTTCTTGTTTATAAAGTAGGGATAATAATAGATCCTACTTTATAGGGGCTCCACAAAGATTAAAGACCTAATTATACAATCCCTAACACTGTGCCTCCTAAAGAGTAGAATTCATTGTGTTAAATATATTCATTCATACTTTTATTATTTTACACAATTGTTTAGCAGTGGTCAAAAACTTAGCCAACATTTCTTATGGTTTTAATTCAGCTTATCCTTTTAGAATTTCACCAGTTTCAGATTATTAGAATTAAAGTTTTTGTTCCTTTGCTTGGTTATCATATTCATATCAGTTTTTGATACCAATTATTCCACTGGAAATACAGAGAAGAGTGCTGTGATGCTGGAAAACAGGCTTATTTCCAGGCTATACTTCACTGTCAGTGACCTTGTATTAATATTTAATAGCAAGTGGGTCTGAATCCAGATATTGCTCAAGGAGATGGATGTGACACCTGGGTCAGGTCCCAAATCATTAACTCTGATATGTATTGGTAGACTTGCAATGATGACTAGATCTTGTGTATGATGGCTTCTGCCCTCCTGGGACAACCCTCCCAAGAATACCCTTGTCATTATTTTTAAATATCCTAATTACCACTTTATTTATTAGTGTACTATCTGACAGTGTGATGCTAACAGAGCACAACTCAGCAGCCCTTTCTACTCTTTAATTTTACTATGAAGCCCCACAATCAAATGTGGAAGAAAAAAGTCCTGCTCCCTATGTGAATGACAGCAGAAATAATGAAATATCTTCCCCAAACTGACAAATGTAGGAGATAACTCATTTCAACTTCACTCTCCTAGACAAGTCACTTGTATCACTCTAGTTGGTAAATTTGAGTACTTCATCTCTACGTACAGAAAATTTGCATCTTTTCTTTCATAAAGAGTCACTGACAAAATGTTCAAAACTAAATTTGCAATTGGGTTATAAGTAATTAGGAACCTCTGTAGAATAAAAGTATATTGCTACCCTTAAAAGTATGCTTCAGTATATATTTTTTCTTTAAATGGTAGAGATGAGCCTGGGTTAGCAAGCAGCATCCCTCTAGGCTTGTTCAACACTTACTTCCAAGGCTAAACTCTTTGACTTCTTGCCAATTGGCAAGGACGTACCGGCCTCTACTGCAGAATTTCCTTTCAAGAAATAGAATTTAAATGGAAATATCATTTGTATATATTAGTAGTAACAGTAGTTGTAATTTTCAAATTTGCCTTTATTTAGGTAGTGAAAGATAACCACAGTTGTTCAAAAAAAGTCACCTTTTAAAAATATGTAAAAATGTTTTTAGAATACATAATCTTAACAGTCTCATCCATTATAATATCATCTTCTACTATTTGAAAAGTAGCTAATAGATCTTCTATTTAGATGCCAACCTTGTGATAGTCACAATTAGCCAGAAACCATCTGTAGGCATGCATCCCACTTCTGTTGTCATCTCACACTCTTGGACGGTTAAGTCTCTTACAAAGAGATCACTCACACTCAGGAAGTTGTTAGGATAACAGGGGTAATGAATTTGAGCAAATGAAAGCGTTCTCTTAGAAGATTGGGGCGGGGCACAGTGGCTTACGCCTGTTATCCCAGTACTTTGGGAGGCAGAGGCGGGTGGATCACCTGAAGTCAGGAATTGGAGACCAGCCTAGCCAATATGGTGAAACCCCATCTCTACTAAAAATACAAAAATTAGCCAGGCGTGGTGGCGGGCGCCTGTAACCCCAGCTATTTGGGAGGCTGAGGCAGGAGAATTGCTTGAACCAAGGAGGCAGAGGTTGCAGTGAGCAAAGGTCATGCCATTGCACTCCAGCCTGGGCAACAAGAGTGAAACTCCATTTAAAAAAAAAAGAAGAAGAAGGAGAAGAAGGAAAAGAAGGAGAAGAAGAAGGAGGAGGAGAAGGAGGAGGAAGAAGAAGAAGGAGAAGGAGAAGAAGAAGAAGAAGAAAAAGCAGAAGCAGAAGGAGAAGAAGAAGAAAAAGAAGAAGAAGTGTTCTACCTCTGGTTAGGTTTTGAAGGGAAGGGAAGCGTTAAAGAAACACACACACACACACACACACACACACACACACACACACACACACACAGAAAGAAGGCGGGTCAACAGCAAATGCAGGCTTTATGTGCACCATAAAACCTTCAGAAGAGGGGAACCAGCCTAATGCCAGAGCCCCCCATTGCTTGCAGGCTGGGGGTACTTACAGTTATGAGCAGGAGGGGTCTGGGCAGTATGGCTTGCTTTCTGGCAGGATATTGACAAAATGTTCCCATGATGAGGCGGTTCTGGCCCTTGTTCTGGTGGGTTCTCATCCTGGTGTTCTTTGGGCCTTTTTCCAGCAAGATATGATAGGGATGTTTCTTCAGTTGGGCTTTTGTCAGTCTTGTGGCCAGGTGGTTGGGGAGGATGTCTCTCATGGCCCAAACCCCCCTGAAATGTTTCACTTTGACCAAGCTCTGCAAAATAGCAGGGAGCTTACAAAATGGTGCAGTTTGGACTAATACTTCCGTAGCAGCTTGGGATGGACTCTTCTATCTTCTAAGAATATGGTTTTGTCTCCATTTAAAATATAACAGACCTTATATAACTTTATCTTCTGAGACTGGGTATTTGCAAACAACCTGGGAATAATTCTTGTTTGATTGGCATAGTAACCTCATGTATTCACTGTATACAGCAGGGTGAATCTGATTAAAACAAGTTGACCTAAATTGAAATTTAAGTCTCAATTTTAAAAGATCATTTAATCTTATTTTTCCCTTCAAAAATTGTATAATTAGTATTATCTTAATGTACATTCATTAAGATGTAGAGATAAAAGGCAGACATTCTTTTAGAAGGCATAAACTAGTGTTTCAAAGCATAATTTGTGTTACTTTGTACTTTTTTTTTTTTTTTTGATGGAGTCTCATTCTGTCACCCAGGCTGGAGTGCAGTGGCATGATCTTGGCTCACTGAAACCTCCACCTCCCGGGTTCAAGTGATTCTTCTGTCTCAGCCTCCTGAGTAGCTGGGACTATAGGGGTGCGCCATCACACCTGGCTAATTTTTGTATTTTTAGTAGAGACTGGGTTTCACCATATTGGCCAGGCTTGTCTCGAATTCCTGACCTCGTGATCCTCTGGCCTCGGCCTCCCAAAGTGCTGGGATTACAGGTGTGAGCCACCATGCCTGGCCACTTTGTATTTTTTCAAGTTAATTTTATAGTATTATGAGAAAGCTGAAAGATACAGTATAGTCTGTGATTAAAACTGTGAGCTCAGGAGTTACCTGGGTTAAAATACAGTACCTGTTCTGCCTGCTAGTAGTTACATGACCCCTGTTCATTTTCTAAACCTAAGCCTCAGTCTCCATATCTATGAAGTGGGGATAAAAACAGTGCCTCCTTCATAGAGTTGTTGTGAGAATTAGCTGACATAAGTCATACAAAACACCAAGTATATGGATTTTAAGCCTATAAATGTTTGCTATTTGTACTTAACAAAAATTAAAACACTAAGATATTTTGAGGTTGAAAATGTAATTTCTCTACTTAGCACAATTGTCAGGGATTGTTTTTCTTTCTTATATACTATAAAAATAATCACTGTCAGAACAGGAGGCATTTTATTATACAATTTAACTAAAATCATAAACTAAGTACCTTGAATATATTTCTGTATCAGCAAGTGGTGCATAATGATTCATCAAAATTAGCATGCATATTTGAATACATGTTCTGTGTGTATTATAGGAATTTTTGAAAATCAGAAACATAGAATAAACATGAAAAAATAGCGAAGTAACCATTGTGAACCTGTGATGCTAATAGCATCAATTTGTTTTACACCCCTACCCCAGCAGTCACCAGCCTTTTTGGCAACAGGGACTGGTTTCATGGAAGGCAGTTTTTTCCCAGACAATTTCAGGATGAAACTGTTCCACCTAGGATCATCAGATCATCAGGCACTGGATTCTCATAAGTAGCACACAACCTAGATCCCTTGCATGCACAGTTCACAATAGGGTTCATGCTTCTATGAGAATCTAATGCTGCTGCTGATGGGACAGGAGGTGGAGCTCAGGGGGTAATGCTTGCTTGCCTACCACTCACCTCCTGCTGTGTGGCCCGGTTCCTAACAGGTCACTGACTGGTATCAGTCTGTGGCCCAGGGGTTGGGGACCCCTGCTCTACACATAAATACCCTCACATACATGTGTATTTGTGTTTATGTATATAAACATAATGTAAAGATACTTATCATAAAATAATATTATTGTACATACTGTATTTTCTTACTGAACAATACATGCTGCCAGGAATTTATACTGTGAATATCCTGTAAAATAACATGACATATATATATATAAGATTAACATTGTAACATTGATAGTAGTCGGAGAAAGGTAGCTAATTATTCTAAGATTTTAAATGTCAAAAGGAGAGTTGAAAATAACCATTTAGCAAGCTGTCCTCAAATGTAAACCCATGCTAGCTTATCATTCTTGCCTTGGTTGGATTCAAGAGTAACTTTCTCTTCATTCATTTGGTCAGTTTGACAAATCATAAAATATTACCTACTCTTTGGCAGGGCTCTGTGCCAGTCCCTGCAGCCTTAGGTAGTCTATTCCCTGAGCACTCTGCACCTTTACGGCCTCATCACACAGCACTGACATTGCTTGTTTGCTTCTCTGTACTCTCTATTCATTCCCCATGAGGGCAGAGAGTGGGTATATTCTTGATTGGTATTTTTTCAGCATTTAGCACAATGCCAGGCACAGTCAGTGCTCAATAAATGTATGAACTGTGAATCTATGGATTATCTTGCCTGCATTTTGCTTTGACTTCTCCACTGTCTCTATTCATATACTTTATTTTTTAGTGCATGTGTTTAATTATTTCTTCTGTGTGTGCGTCAGCACTGCCTGACCCTAATTGGGTAAGACATTGTCTATTTCATCAATCTTTCCATAACCAGAACGGAATAGTCGGGTGTGATCAGGCCTTTAAACTCTGAATAAATTGTCTGAAATTAAATTATTTTAAGCTCAAGGGCAGAGATGATAGAATTTTCTTTTATATTATCTTACTCTTTTTGAATTTTTATATAAAAAGACATTCAATAAATATTAAGTAATATAAAATGTGACTTCACAGAAAATATTGACTAAAGATACCAGTGGAGTAGCTAATGTGTCTGATAGATTTTGAACTATTTATTTGAGACAGTCTCACTTTGTCACCCAAGCTGGAGGGCAGTGGTGCAATCACGGCTCACTGAAGTCTCGACCTCCCTGGGTTCAAGCAATCCTTCCACCTCAGCCTCTGGAGAGGCTGCGACTACTGGCACATGGCACCATGCCCACATAATTTTTGTATATCTTGTGCAGATGCAGTTTTGCCATGTTGCCCAGCCTGGTCTCAACACCTGGGCTCAAGCAATACACTCAACTCAGCTTTCTAAAGCTGGGATTACAGGTGTGAGTCACCATGCCCAGTGGTGTCTGATAGTTTTAAAGAAGCATTATACTAAACTGGGTTTAAATTTTAGCATGTTTTGACACCCACCAGACCTGAATTTGACTGTTAACTCTGTAGTTTTGAGCCTCAGTTTCTTCATTTTAAAATGGAGTTAATAAAACCTATCTCATTGAGGTCTTATAAGGGATAAATAGCATAAAATTTTATAAACACTAGGCATATAATATAGTGGTCTTTAATAATTGTTTTATTATTTTATTTCTGACCAACTTACAGTCATCATCAAGATAAAATAGGAGATTCCTTACACTTGTACAGTATGCCTGCATGTTTATTGGCTTATTTTCTTACAAAAACAATATTTTGTTAAATAATATAAAAGCCTCTGGGTCTTTATAATTCTGGACAAGTAGAAGTGCATGCAATAAACTAAGTTCATATTGCAGCTTCCAGAGATGAAGAAATTTGAAAATTGGACCAGAGCATCAGGAGAATATAACTCTGCATGTATACTGCTTTCAGTTGGCTGGTCACAAAAAAGTTTAGTTCCACAATGAATTGTAGAAAGTAGTGTTTAAGTTCAGGAGAGTTGGCCACTTTAAACTGAAATGCAGAGTGCACCGTTTTATTGTATAGGAAATGTCTGCTTCTATTATATGCTTTTCAAAGCACAGTGTTTTAAGCTGAAAATGAAATATTTTAAAATACATTTTTATTTTTATAAAAAGCAATATTGAAATTATGTTATTCAGAGTGGAGTCTAGAGTTGGGAAGGAATTGCCCTGAATTCTGTTTCTTGAACTCTATCACTACATCTCCATGCAAATGAGGGAATTATAGCTAAAAATAATTTTGTCCATAGCATACACAAAAAATGTAGCCTCATTCCAGTGTTCCGATTTCCATGGCATTCTCTGATTTAGAATTACTTAAAATAGTATCTGAGAGTGTTAAGTTCTACCATTTTATTCCCCATATGAGAACTACAAATTAGGAAATAATTGAATATTTGAAGCTGGATTAATTTCTTGGAGTAAAATTTGAAAATGAGAGAGGGAAAAATTGCACCTATAAGTTTGCATGTATGTATGTGTGTGTACAATTATTTCCCTCTCTCATTTTCAAATTTTACTCCAAGAAGTTTATATATATGTATTTCAGATTTGGGGGAGGCCAAATTTATTCCCTTCAGTCACAGACATAACTATACCATTACAGCCTTTCGCTGGAGCAATTCTGGCCAACAAAGGTTACTGCGGCTCACAGAAAGTCCAAATGTCTCTTTGCAGGCCTCAGACCCAGAATTTGAGCCTGGAAGGTGGAAGCCAAGTATTCCTGGCTCCTTTTACCAAAACCCCTATCAGAGACATCACTTCCCCTCCCCTGAGAAGACTAAGAAGATGAAGAGAGAAAGATTCTTTCCATAGTGTTCTCTCCGGGAAACTGGGTTGGAAATATCCTCTATGAAAACATGAAGAGAGAGAGAGAGGGAGAGTGTGTGTGTGTGTGTGTGTGTGTATGTGTGTGTGTGTGTGTGTGCTACTGCCTGTTACTATTCTGTAATTTTTTTTTTTTTTACTAACTGTGTGTGTGTATGTGGGAGGGTGTATACATACACACATATTTTCTCTTTAATGTCTATATATACAATGATTTGTCTTATATGTATACACACCCACATACACACTCCTTGTGAGAGAAAAAGAGAAAGACTAGAGAAAACAGAAAAAGGAAGGGAGAGAGAGAATAAAAAGCTTAAAGGTAAAAAGAGTAATCATAGAGTCCAATGTGATGGAAACCAGTGTAAAAGAACATCAGCTAATGTACTGATGATAAATTGTCTTCATTCCTATTTATCTTTGGTATTTTATTGCTAGGATTAACCATACTCTTATGTTACCAAAGTCGTAAATAACTTATTGTTTCATAACATCAATTTTTAGAATGTTAGGTATTCCCTAAGAGTACATATTGCCTTTTCACATAGCTTAAGATCCATTTTTATGTAACATTTATTCATTTCTGGTTTGCAATCCATGTTTTCTCAGAAAGAATTGGGATGACATTATGTTATAAATTCCTTTATTTATATGCTTAACTGTGGTCTCAGAAAGTAGGGGAATAAATGTCTTCTGTGAATACATACCTGTTTTGGTATTTAAAGGGCAAAAATTTCATCTATATTTATCCATCATCTATTTTTTAAAAAAACATTGGTAACTTTAGTGTTGTATATAGTTTATGTTTACTGAATGAAATTCAAATGGCATTTTTGTATAAGGACTTAAAAATATATCCTTGAGTGTGATTATGTTAATTTTCTTTTGGAATTTTTTAAGGGTGGTAGCCCACAGTAATTAAATAATAAAAGGAGTTTAGATGCAAATTTACTATTTGATTAATTATACAAACCTTTTGCATTTACATACTCCTTTTCTTGTTTTCATTCTCTGCTGAAGGATACAAGATGTCAACATAAATCGAAGATGTCACCACAGATTTTCTAGACAAAGTAGCTGTGCTTTGAATTTAATAAGACTACACAATAAAGGAAGAAATATTATTTATACTCATCCAGACAAAATATTATATATAGAATAGTGTTAAATATATCTGGCTCGCATTTTCACTTTTAATTACTTTCCAAATTCTAATTGAATTAATTTGTTCTCTTTTATACTATAAATGGGGCATATTTATAAATAGGAAATGTTCTCTGTAAGCACCAATAGATTACCTATTTCTATTTGTGTTTGTCTTAGTCATTCTTAATTTTAAGAAATCTGATAGCTGGGTCTTATCTTTCTGTACACATTACTGGCATTTAATGACTGAAAGATTCCAGTAACTACAGTACATAACTACCTTAAGGAATTCAACAAGCATTCTTGTAATAATGTTGTTTATTCTTATTACTAATATTTGTTATATCAAAAGATTGAATTATATTGGAGGAGTAGTAGCTTTGCTTTTATTGGCTCTTGAAAGAAATAAATGGCTTTTCTGTAAACAGCTATTTGATCCACTTAAATGTTAGCTAAGTACATCGGTGACTGAAGAGTTTCCTTATTGTCTCCAATAACATTATGTTGGGGTTTGTGTGTGGCGGAGAGCGTGCATGGGGCTGTTTGTATTTTTACATTTTCTCTTTTTCAGTGCACTAGGTCATTGCTTGGTGTCCACTGCCTGCAGCAGAAGGGCTCACCATTGTGTTTCGGTGCTCGCTCCCAACCAGCCCTGCTGTTTCGGCTCCAAGCAGAGAGGAGGAGGCCCTGCCTGTCTCCATGACAACCGTGTGTCCTCCGGGAAGCTGCTCAGAGCTAAAAACCTTCTGAGAGGCGGGGGAGGGGCCGTTTCTGAGCAAAATCTCACCTCGTTTCTCCTCTTTCCAGCGCAATTTGCTAAATTGTGTCTCTTTTATTATGTTTTTATTTAAGACTGTTACTCAAAAGCCACACACCCCAAACCTTATTTCATGAACACAAAAGCCACATCACAAGGATTTTTCTAGCATCTGGCACATAATTTCACACACCCCTCCCCCCTTTGTGTTAACTTTAACTTTGTCTCTAGTTCTCCAGTTCCTTGGAAAGATTTAAATATTAATGAACATTCAAAAGCCAAACACTCCCTTAGCCTGGCAATATTGTTAGCATACATTATAAATATTTGAAAGGAAACAGTTTTTCCTTTGCTTTTTGCTTAAACAAATTTACAAGCATAGTTTAAAATTGTAGCATTAAAAATATTTTACCATTAGACAACATTAGATGTATGTCATATATATTATTAAAAAATTAAATTTACCAAGTTAATTCACTAGGGGGTGAGCAATTGATTTATAATTGTCACAAATTCTTAACAATATTTCACACATATACATACTTTTGAAAAATAATCTCTGCTCCTATAGCCACCCAATGGGTTCATTTTGCTTGCTGCAGAGAGAAAGCTGAGTTTTCCAGACAGGGGAATAGCAATAGAGAAAGGGTTTACTGCAAGTCGAGCTGGCTAAATGGGAGGCAGGAGTTTTATTATTACTCAAATCAGTTTCCCCTACAATTCTGAGGGTAGGGTTTTTTAAGGATAGTTTGGCAGGCAGAGGCCAGGGAATGGGAGAGCTCATTGGTTGGGTCCGAGATGAAATCATAGAGAGTTTAAGCTGTCCTCTTGCACTGAGTGTGTTCCTGGGCAGGGGCCACAAGAACAGATGAACCAGTTTACCATTCTGGGTGGCATCAGCTGATCCACTGGAATGCAGGGTCTGAAAAATACCTCAAACCTCTTAGGTTTTACAATAGTGATGTTACCCCTAGGAGAAGTTGGGGAGGTTAGGAAGCTGATGGCCTCTGGTTGCATGACTCCCAAGCCATAATTTACAATCTTGTGGCTAATTTGTTAGTTTTACAAAGGCAGACTGGTCCCCAGGCAAGGAGGGGGCTTGTTTCCGGTAGCAGCTGTCATCATCTTTGTTTCAAAGTTAAACAGTAAATTCCTCCTAAAGTTAGTTCAGTCTAAGCCCAGGAATGAACAAAAGTAGCTTAGAGGTTAGATGGGAAATGGAAGCCAGGCACAGTGGCTCATGCCTGTAATCCCAGCACAGTGGCTCATGCCTGTAATCCCAGCACTTTGGGAGGCCGAGGTAGGTGGATAACCTGAGGTCAGGAATTCGAGGCCAGCCTGGCCAACATGGTGAAACCTCGTCTGTACTGAAAATACAAAAATTAGCCAGGTGTGATGGAGGGTGCCTGTAGTCCCAGCTACTCAGGAAGCTGAGGCCGGAGAATCGCTTGATCCCGGGAGGCGGAGTTTGCAGTGAGCTGAGATTGTGCCACTGTACTCTAGCCTGGGTGACAGAGCCAGATTTCGTCTCAGAGAAAAAAAAAAAAAAAAAAGCGAAATGGAGTTGGTTAGGTCAGATTTTTTTCACTGTCATTGTCATAATTTTTGCAAAGGTGGTTTCACTCCCAGAAAATACGTATTTTTTATTTTGACCTGTGGCTATACCAGGTAGCAGTAGTGGGCTGGAGCAATTACTTTTGCTCTGTTCTCTATAATTTCTCTCATGGCAGTTTCTTTCAATCTTGTGGCTTCAGATAGCTCCTTGAATTAAATGAATATCAATTTATTTCAAAGGTGTCTTGAGAGCTTCCCTAGCCTAGTGTAGTGGCTTTGTGCAGAGTGAGCTTACATAAAGTGGAACTACATTTCCCAGAATTCCGTTTCTGGTCTGGCTTTGTCTTGGCCTTGTCCGCAGGCTGAATGGAAGCAGCCGCCGTATTTTTTTACCTTGTGAGGGTGGCTCATGGCCCCAGGCAACATGCTAAATTGCCTCTGTTGCTGCAGAGACCGCAGTGCAGCCTTTTGACTTCTTAGCTCCTTCACCTTCTCTGAGTCCTGGCCCAGGCCACTGTGCAGCTCCACGCTGCCGGGGTTCGGCTTCTTCTGCTGGTGACCCACCCTCTGTATCTTCTCTTTTGGCGTCTCTGAATCCTGGGCAGTTGCATGTGCAGGAGAAACTCGACTACATTTAAAGGAGAAACGGACAAATCTACACTTATATAGGAGTTTTTAACATACTTTTCTCATTATTAGAATAAGCAGACAAAAACTCAGTAAATACAGAGATGATTAAACATTAAATATGTAGATCACTGTGCCTCACAATTCCCAAGCAGACATTCTTTTCAAATACATACAGAACATTTACTAAAAAAGACTATCTGCCATCTGTAAAGTAAGTCCTAACAAGATTTTAAAGACATGAAATTAAACAGGGTATATTCTTTGCTGCAATGGAATGCTGCAATGGAATTAAACTAGAAGTTAATGACAAATTTACTAAAATATCCTTATGGATCTTGAGTTGAAAGTGGCAACTCACGAATGACAAGGTTCATAGATTTGGAAAGGAGAGCTTTATTTCTCATAAAGGGTTGGAGCCTGCAGGGTGGCTATTCTGACAAGCTGGAAAGGATAGCCTCTGGCCAGAGCCAAAAACAGACACTTAGAGGGAGGGACAAAGGGAAAAGGAGTTTATGCTAAGCAGAGTGGCCAAATATACATATTTAATAAGTTATAGAAAGAGTCATGAGAGGAGTACCTGGAACCCATGTAGGAGCATGAAGCTCAATTGCACATGTCCATGGTTCTTCTATGAGAAGAACATGTGCAATTGAGAAGAGAACCATGGTCGTGTGTAATTGAGCTTCATGCTCCTTCATGGATCCCAGATACCAAAAAACAGCTGTGTTAGTATCATCCAAAGTGGAGATTTTAGCCCTCTGACACCCAAGTTGAGGCAGAAGATGTGAAAACCCTTCCTGTACATCATCAGTAGACTGACCTGACCCCTCCATGGTTGGTGGTCTCATATTAAGAAGAAATCCTGGCTAGTTATGCTGAAACCACAAAAAGGAGTGGGAAGCATCAGGTGGTTGGTTGATAACAATGGTGGGGTCTTTTGAAAGGGCTGGTTTCTGTTTAGCCGTTTGGGAAGAAAGCCTCATTGTGGTTATCCAGGGAGAGGGTATCACGAGGCATGTCTGACCTCCTTTCCTGCCATGGCTGATAACTCAGTTTTCAAGATTTCTCTAGGGTCCCAAGTCTTCTCTCTTGGGAGCTTAGAATTTCATTTTTTATTTCTCAAAACCAAAGATGTACATTTTTTTTTCTTGAAACAGGGTCTTACTCTGTCGCCCAGGCTGGAATGTAGTAGGAAAATCATTGCTCATTGCAGCCCTGAACTTCTGAATTCAAGTGGTCCTCCTGTCTCAGCCTCCTGAGTATCTGGTACTACAGATGCATGCTACTATGTGCCTGGCCAATTTAAAAAAAAAAAAAGTAGAGACAGGAGCTTGCTGCGTTGCGCAGGCTGGTCTCGAACTCCTGGCCTCAAGAAATCCTGTGATTATTCCCTCCTGCTTCAGCCTCTCACAGTGCTGGGATTATAGGCATGAGCCACTGTGCGCAGCCTACAAGGATACACATTTTAAAACAATCGATAAGTCAAAGAAGAAGTTGCAATTAAATCAAATATTTGGAAAGAATGAGAATATGAAATACTGCATGTAAAACTTGTGAGATGCGGCTAAAACAGTGTTCTGAGAGAAATTTGTGTTCATAAATGCATACATTAGAGGCTATAAACGTGATCTAAGTTTCTATATCAGAGATTACATTAAAAAAACTACAAACCCAAAGCAAATAGAAAGGAGAAAGAAATAAACGAGCAAAATTTAATGAACTGGAAAAACAAATATGCAATAGAGAAACTCAACAAAGCTGAAAGTTGATTCTTTTGAAAAAAAGAAACATGTATAAAATCGATAAACTCCTCTCAAGACTAATCAAAACACAAGGAAAATGAGGAACAAATAACTATATTGAAGGGAAAAAGCTTGGATAATCACACTTCCTATAGGGAGTGATAAGACGATAAGGAGACATTATGATCAAGCTTATGTCAATAAATTTATAAATTTAAATAATATGGACATATTTTCAGAAAAACACAACTAAATCCATAAAGAAATAGATAGTCTGAATAGTACTATAACTATATAAAAAATTGAATCTGTAATTTAACACATTTCCACATACAAAATGCCAGACTTAGATGGCTGCACTAATGAATTTAAAGGAATATTTATGAAAGCAATAACATTAATCTTGCAAAACTTTTTCAAAAAAATAGAAAAAGAAAATATTTCTCATCTTGTTTTTGAGACTGTTGTAATAATGGTACCCAAATTTTATTTGGTTATTGCAAAAATTAAAGGGAAATTATAAAACATAGATGTATATTCTTAAATAAAATATTAGCAAACACATTGAGTTATTAAAAAAAAGCACAATCAAATTGGATTTAAAAAGAAAATGCAAATTGGCTTATTTAAAAATTAATTTCTATAATTTACCACATTATAGTTTAAAGGAGAACAATCTTATGGTCATTTTGATAAAGAAAAAAATTAAAATTTAATCTCCATTCACATAAAAAATCTTGCCTATACTGTAATAATTCTTGCTTGGTATAAAGTTAGCAAACATCATAAAATTAAGTTTTTTAATCTGAAAAAAGTATCTAGCCAAAACTGTAGTAAACATTATAATTAAAAGCAAAATATTGAAAGTTTTTTCTGAATTCGGAAATGAGACCCTCACCACTTCTATCCAACATTATACTAGAGGTGGTAGTCAGTAAAATGAAGGTAGAAACAGAACTAACGTGGATTAGAAGAGAAAAAACAAAACTGTAATTAAAAAAATATTAAAAATCCAAACAAAGAAATCTCAAATGATTTAGAAATAAATTTATACAGTATATGAGAGAGATGAACAAGTTTCTAGATTCCTGGTCAATATAAACAAATGTATTTTTATATACTGGCAACAAACAAAAATGAAATGTAAAAAAATACCTTTGATAAAGAATTAAAAACATCAAATTATTAATAATCTAATTAATGAAGTATAAGACTCCTATATATAATAAAACCTCACTAAGAGAGATGAATGAAGACTTGAGTAAATGGAAAGACATGTTATGGATTGGAAACCTAATAATCTCAATTATCACCAAATTGATGTATTGGTTCAGTGCACTCCTGATCAAGACTCCAGTTGGTTTCATTTTGCTAATGGACCAGCTCACTCTAAAATGTTTTTAGAAGTTCAAGTACCAAGAAAGCTAAGATGATCTTAAATAACAATATATTGTAGCCACCCAATGAGCTTTCCTTGCCCACTGCCCAGAAGAGCCAATCTATTAAGACAGGGAAATTACAATAGAGAAAGAGATTAATGCACTCAGAGTGGGCTAAATGGGAGACTGGAGTTTTATTACTCAAATCTGTCTCCCTGATAATTCAGAGACTGGAGTTTTTTCAGGATAATTTGGCAGGTATGGGGCTAGGGAGTGGGAAGTGTTGACTGGTTGGGTTGGAGATTAAATCACAGGGAGTTGAAGCAAGAAGCAAGTTTTTTTGCTGTCTTCTGTTCCTGGCTGGGATTGCAGACTTTGTTGAGCCTGATAACCAGTCTGGGTGGTGCCAGCTGGTCCATCAGAATGCAGGGGCTAAAAAATATCTCAAACAACAATCTTAGGTTTTACAATAGTGATGTTATTCCTAGGAGCAATTGGGAAGGTTAAGAACCTTGGGACTCTGGCTGCATGACTCCTAAACCATAATTTCTAATCTTGTGGTTAATTTGTTAGTCTTACAAAGGTAGTCTGAGGGCCAGGCAGGACAGGTATTGTTTCAGGAAAAGGCAGCGCTTGTCAGTCTGGAGTCACTGATGTGAAGACACTGGCAGCAGCTGTGTAGGAGGGGCTGGGGCTGTGCACTCCGGGAGAGCTGGTGGGGGGTGGTAACAGGCAGGAGCCCTACCACCTACTGAGTTGATGGAGCAGGAGTCCCACGTTCCTGGGCACAGCTGCAGCCACCCAGTCCTGGCTCTAGACCCAGGCATCCCTGCACTCCTGGGGGCCCAGGAAGCCCCTGGTCCCTGCAGGCTTGAAAGTGCCTGCTCCTGTTGTCTGGCCTCTCCCCACTCCTGGTGCCCACTCCAGGGTGGAGCAAAGTTGCAGCTGAGCCTGGGCACTGTGGTGACCTGGCCAGGTGTGCATATACTCTAGGTGGTGCTGACACACCAGCTTCCTGCTTCTTTAGCCCTCTCTGGACTTTGGGTGCCCAAGAGCATGGGAGCGAGGCCAAGGGGTATTGAGGGTGGCTTAGCACAGTCTCACAGGAGCCCTTTGGCCTGAACAGCCTGTGTGCTGTGGACCACATGTTGATGGCAGCTGGAGGCAGACAGACAGGCTCCTGTGTGGAAAGGGGCGGGTCCCTCGTGAAGCCCCACCTTCAAGCCAGGGATGACCTGAAGCCTGAGGGCTGGGCTCAGTTCTGGGTGGAGTCCACTGCCTGGGGTGAAAACTTATGGTGCTTTTTCTGGGCCTGCCCATGACTGCCCATGGGCCAATCAGCACACACTTCCTCCCTTCTGAGCCCATAAAAACCCCAGACCCAGCCAGACTCATACAGATGTGGGGACTACTAGCTGTGGGAAGAGCTACCCACTCTGGGTCTCCTCTCTGCTGAGAGCTGGACACTTGTTGGGACTACCTGCCTGGAGAAAGGAGCTACCCACTTAGGTTCTCCCAAGAGCTGTTCTGTTGCTCAGTAAAGCTCCTCTTTGCCTTGCTCATGCTCTAGTTGTCTGTGTACCTCATTCTTCCTGGATGTGGGACAAGAACTTGGGACCTGATGAATGGTGGGACTGAAAGAGCTATAACACAAACAGGGCTGAAATGCTTCCACCTCCCCTACTGTCCATGTTGGGAACAACAAGATGGAGAGAAGAGCTGTGGCCCTTCAGGGAGCCCAGACCTAGGGGCTCCTCAAACCAGGGCTGTGACACCCTCTTTGAGGCTCTGTGGTTCCTGGTATCTCCAAGTTTCCAGGCACCACTGCATTCCCTGGTGCTTGTAGTGGAAGTGATTTGTGGTATACCTGGTCTAGATACAGCCTGGCAAGAAACCAGTGCCCGTGCTGGTGCCTGGAACTGCCTGCCCTGCTGCAGCTGGCACGTATGGTTGTGAGAAGTGGCTGGACCCCATGGTTGCTCACACACCCCTCACTGCTCTGCGCTTGGCTTGCCCTTAGCAGGTGTGGGATCTGGTGCCAGTAGTGCAAGCCAAGTGCAGCCTGCCAGGCCCAGTGGGTGGAATGAACCCAGTGGGCCCAAGCAAAACTCAGGCAAAGGTGCCACCAGCCACAGAGGTTTCTGGCCAGAAAAGTGACACCCTAAGGATCCCAAGACATTTCCAACTTTGTTTCAAAGTTAAACTATGAACTAAATTCCTCCATAGTTAACTCAGCCTACACCCAGAAATGAACATGGGAAGCTTGGAGGTTAAAGGCAAGATGGAGCCAGTTAGGTCAGATATTTTTCACTGAAATAATTTTCTCACTGTTATCACTTTTGCAAAGGTGGTTTCAATATTGAGAGGGTTTACTCTACTATATGTATCAATACTTATAAAGTTGCAATAGTTAATATGGTATACTATTGATGAACAAACAAAAATAAACAGAATAGAAAGTCCAGAATTGTATTCCTTTTTTTATGGACACTTGACATGACAAAAAATTAGCACTTTGAAGCATTAAGGGAGAACTCTTGAAATGGTTCTGGTTCAACTAGACATTTTTAGTAATAAAAAAATGGAACTTAGATCCCATTTCCCACCAGACAAAGAATTAATTTCAAATTAGTCATAGAGCTAAATGTAAAAACAATTAAAATGAAATGAGAAAGAAACCACACTTTGGGAAACTCAGTTGTAATAATGACCAGATTCTTTGATGATATCTAGTTCCCACATCAAGGGTCTTTATATGTAGTTACACGTCTCCTATGATAATTTGTGACATGCCACTCATATACTTTCTTGTCTTCCTGCTTTTACTATTAATTTTTCTTTGGTTTGGAACTCATAAGAATATCTTTTCTATACTTTCTCAGCCTATGAAAACCCTGTCCTTTTCTTACAGATTCAGGTTAAATTCCATGTATCTGTAGAGTGCTGCCTAATATTCCCAGTCTGAATGAAGGTATTATTTCCCCTTACACTCTCCCTCATCACAGAGTTTCTATTTTACTTTCATTTAATGTAGTTTGTTTTGCGTATGTTGCTCTTTAGTCATTCCACCAAACTACAAGTTCTTAATTGCAGGGGTTAACTTTATCCATCTGTGCATTCCACTGCATTCAGCTGATTAGTTAGGGTAGTTTAAATTTTGCCCTGGAAACAATAGGCCCCCAATATTAATGAGTTATAACAAATGTTTATTTCTCATTCATGCTTCATGTTCATCACTGTCAGCTGGGGATGCTCTGTGTCTTCTCATTTTGGAACTAAGCTGAAGGAGCAGCTACTGTTTCAATCTTTGCCAGTGGTCTGGCAAAAGGAAAATAGAACTGTTGAAGGTCTCAGAAAGGCAGTTAAGTGATCTTTCCAGAAAATGATCATATCACAAAAACTGGCTACTTAAGGGAAGAAGTATCATGGGTTTCCTCTTAAGCAAAAGGCAGGCCAGGAAATATAGTCAATATATGTGCCCAGAAGGGCAGAGTACTAGAAAAACTCAATGAACAGCTCTAATGACTATAACGCCACCACGCTATTTCTCGTATTTATAATAAATATGTGCTGAGAGAATAAATGAATGAATCAATCAAAAACTAACAGAGCCAATATGAATAAAATGAAAATGTGAACTATATAAAGATATACAATTCTATTTAGTAAATATATATTTATGAACAATAGAATAAAAAGAAAATTTTGAAGAAATTCTAGTCAATGAAATGTTTATAAGCTTTTAAAATCTTTTCCCTTAATAACTACTTGATAGCCTTCTTTATTACATTACAGAGCTATTACATAAATTTAAATTACATATTTTGCTGTAAAAATACATGCAAAAGGAATGACAATTTTGAACGTGATTTTGGTATCCATGTTTCTATGAGTAGAAATTATCATTTTACCATTGGTGGTTGTATTAGACAACTCAGATTGCCATAACAAAATACCACAGCCTAGCTGGATTAACCAACACAATTTATTCTCACAGTTCTGGAGGTTAGAAGTCCAAGATCAAGGTGCCATCAGGATTGATTTCTTGTGAGGCCTTTCTTCCTGGCTTGCTGTGTCCTCAGATGGCTCTTCATCTGTGTATGTGCAGAGAGAAAAAGATTTCTCTGGTGGCCTTCTAAAAAAAAATCAGTCTTCAGAGGTAAATATTTTTCCTAAGATTTGTATTGCCACCAATATGTTATACATTATTGTATTATACTATTTCTTCTCTTTTTATACTATTCTTCTCTTATTATCTTCTCTTTTTAAACTTCAAGATCTTTATTTTGAAAATGCTCTCTGTTTCATTCCATTTAGCTTCTTTTTTATCAACCTGTGCAACTCATAAATCTTAATAATTAAGTCTTCAAACACTCAACTCAAACTGGCTTAAGTAAAAAGTAAATTTATTGGCTCTGTTAATTGGAGCCAATTATTCAAATATAGGCACCAAACTTCAGGTTCAACTTGATCAAAAGCTAAAGACTCCCTCTCCAACTCTAGAAATTGCCTTTTTTCCTTTATTGCTGGGAACTAGGAGCCAATATGACCACCCAAATTTTCACACTGTTGTATTGTTTCAGCAAACCAGTGCTCTGTGTTCTTTTATGAGACAGTCAGATGTAGTCACAAGGGCAGAAACAAGAGAGGATCAGGAAAACAAAGCTTAAGATCACAGGTCCTAGAAACAGGAGGCACAGTGCACCAAATAGGGCCAGATGGGAAAGCACCATGGTGGGTCCGGAGGCAGAGCTTGCAGGAGATAGGAGGGTGCCCAGGCCACAGCCTTTAGGGGAGTTTCTGCAGGAGGCAAGATAGGTCCCAGTAAAGAGTTTAGGATTGGTTAGTTTGAATAATGTCAGTGGGCTTTAAGCTAAAGGGGTGTTTCCTAGTTTCCTGGTACCTAGCCCTGGAATGATTAAGGCAGAGGAATATTGCTCTCCTGACAGGTATGGGCCAGACAGAGGAGGCATGACTCTGGATTGGTTGGTTTGCATATCAAAGACATGCTCTTGGCTGAACCTTTGCTCTCTCTGGAATTGAATAGCCTTGGGAGATGCAGTCTCTCTCTAGCCAGAAAGATTATTAAGGTGCCAAAACATCATAATATATAGAAAATAAAAAATACAAATAATATACCCAGCAGGAAAAAACAAACATAAATGACTATTTTATTTCCCCTGATAGTTTGGACGGTGTTTTTGTTTTAGCCTAATTTGACCATGGGCCATGTGCCCATATTGAACCAATCTCTGTGGTGAGGTAAATGGAATATATTGACAAGTCAGGCCTTGTTACTGTGCCCATTCATGAAGCTCTAGAAAGTAAGGTGATTGTGGCTGAACTGTATAGATTGTTGATGATTTTCCACAAGAGAAAATCCATGTGACCTTACCACATAAAGGGGAACAAATGCTGGACAATCCAAAACAATTTAAGGCCATTGCACAGTCTATATTTGAGTTCTTTCAGTTTTGATCCTAAATTAGGACTGACACCACTGAAAACCAAAACTGAAGTGTTTACAATTTTTTTCTGCTTAGATATAAAGATATCTGCATTCCACAATAACACATGATTTTGTCAACACTTTGACTTTCTACATTACTTTAGATCAGACTGATATCTTCAGTTGATTTGGTCATGTTTGTAAATCAAATACAATTGAGGAAACATGATAAGAACATTGAACATTTGTGCCCAGTAGATTAGGATAACTGGTGCATGTAGTTTATATGTCTTATATTAACTACTTGTTCTAAGATCAACTAGTTGTTGTAAGAGTAAAAAGTAATCAATAGTTGGCTTTTGGCAGGATGTGGTGGCCCACGCTTGTAATCCCAGCACTTTGGGAGGCCAAGGCAGGAAGATAGCTTGAGCCCAGGATGTCAAGACCAGACTGGGCAACAAAGTGAGAACCCATCTCTACAAAAAATACAAAAATCGGCTGGGTGAGGTGGCATGCACCACTAGTCCTAGCTACTTGGCAGGCTGCGGTGGGAGGATTGTTTGAGTCCAGGATGTTGAGGCTGCAGTGAGCCAAGATTGCATCACTGCACTCCATCCTGAGGCGATAGAGAGACTCTATCTCAGGAAAAAAAAAGTTGCATTTTAATAGTTGTGAAGTGACACAAGAATACCATAATCAAGGTTGCATTTTAAATAAAAGCATTTGTAATGATATAAAGGGAGAAATACATAAAAGATGAAAAAGAAATAGGGCAAAATGCAAAATTCATTGTATGTGAGTACCTTCTCCTGAGGCAGATTCATTTTTGTAATTGCATTTTGGGAAGTTTAGCATTTGTTATTCCCTTAGCACACACTGGATAGTCAGCAAAGGAGACAGCAGGCAGTGTAGTTGGGAGTGTGGTGGAAAGGCAACACAGAACTCAAAATTTACCACAGAAAAATCTAACATGAAGAATCTCCCTCGCTCCAATTTGGTCAATTAAAAGTAGACAATGGTTGACAAACACTGATATAAAGGTGGTGGCATCTTACTGTTAACATAGGTATACTCTCATCTCATTGCACGTTGCTTACTGCAACCATAAGTAATGGAATGCGTTGACAATTGGTTTTACCAGGAGTGGTACCCAAGCTCTCTCTCCTCCACAATGACCTGCCCGCAAAAATTATCCATCTCTTCACCTGGCCACTAAACTGTTTCCTTACTGCAAGTCAGCTCAAGTTTTTGAGATGATAGTCTGAGAGATAATCTACTGGGATAGTGGGAAACAAAGATACTTTTAATCAAGGAGATCTTCTTTACAATTTTTGCTTACTGCAGGCTGCTGTTTGATCTTTCCACTTTACAAAAGAGAATGTTTTGAAATCGCAAGCCTTCTGCCACAACTTTTAAAATGTTAAATGCTAGATATGCATGCTTTCTTTCTACTTTACAAATAACAATGTTAGTAATGAAAGTTAGTTGCCTTTTTGTAATACCTACTTGATACAGTTTGGATGTTTTGTCCCCTCCAAATCTCATGTTGAAATGTGACCACCAATGTTAGAGATGGGCCTAGTGGGAGGTGTTTGGGTCATGGGGCAGGATCTCTCATGAATGGCTTGGTTGTCTTCCTGATAATGAGTGAGTTCCACTATGAGTTCATGGGAGATCTGGTTGTTTAAAAGAGCATGGTACCTCCTCCCTCTCTCTCTTGCTCTCTCTGTTCCCATGTGATATATCGGCTCCCTCTTTACCTTTTGCCATCACTGGAAGCTTCCTGAGGCCTCCACAGGAGCAGATGCTGGTGCCATGCTTGTACAGCCTAATTTGTGAGCCAAATAAACCTGCTTTCTTTATAAATTACCCAGCCTCAGATGTTACTTTATAGCAATGCAAATACGCTAACTTTAATACCACAGTAGGCCAAAAACACATTATCTAATTTAATTCTGCTACAAATCCTGCTAAAATAGTATTCTTATTTTACTGATGAGAAAAGTAAGATTCAGGGAGATGAAGTAACTACTTTAGCGTTACACAGTAACCAACTGGGAAATTCAAGCCCAGGTCTTTTTGAATCTTTATTTTTTACTTTTATTCATTCTTTAAACTGTAAAAGAAGTACAAGTATCTAAACTTAAAACATGGAAATTGTAAAATATTTTAGGAAAGAACCATTTACGTATTGTTTTGGATGTATTTTTCCATATAAATTATAGTGAGGCAATAAATATGTGTAATGTCCCTAATCACTGAGATACAGTTATATGGTATTATATACATACATATAATGGTATTACACACCATTATATGGTATTTTCTTTGCTTGAGTGGATGTAGCACAAATGATAATTTACTGTTAAATTTATGACTAGACAATTTTGATTGTATGCTAAGTAAGCATTTTTTGTGGTTTCTTTAATGTACATTTGACATTGTCTACTAAGATAAACTTCAGCTGTTCTGTCCAACTAACTTAGAAAAGAAATTAATATGTATTTATTCAAGTGCTTAGGAAAATTATCAATTCAACAAACTACAATTTTGTTTTAGACATGAATAACTGAAGGTGGTGGGAGGAGGGTAGAGAGATGTTGGTCAAAGGATACAAAATTTTCATTAGATAAGAGGACTAAGTTCAAGAGATCTGTTATGCAACCTGGTGACTATGTAGTTGATAACAATATATTACATTCTTGAAAAATGCTAAGAGAGTAGATTTTAAGTGTATTCACCACAAAAATGATAACTATGTATGGTAATGCAAATGTCGATTAGCTTTATTTAGCCATTGCACAATGTATATCTATTTCAGAACACCGTATTGTACACAATAATAAATATGTTTTTTAATTAAGAGAAAACCAAATAAAACATTTAAAAAGAATACCTATTTTTCACAAACTCAAAAAAAGAAATAAATAATTAAATTAGTAGTTGATATAAATAATTTGAATTTCTCTCTGGTATAATTTGCTTTCATTCTAAAGAACTTCTTTTAGTATTTCTTCAACAGCATTTCTGCTTGCAAAAATTTCAGTTTTTATCTGAGACTGTCCTTATATTACCTTCATTTTTGAAATATGATTTTGCTGGAGAGATCATTGTTTTAACAATTTTTACTTTCTATACTTTGAATATGCTACCCTACTGTCTTCTGACCCCCATTTTTTCAGGTAAGAAAGCAACTGTTAACTTTATTTGGGTTCTGTTGAACGTAATGGGTTGTTTTTTTAATTTTACTGTATTCCAGATTTTGCTTTTTGGCTTTCAACATTTTGATTATGGTGTGTCTGGGTTTCTATCTCTTTGCATTTATCTTACTTGGAATTCATTAAGCTTCTTGGATGTGCAGGTGATTTTTTAAAATCAAATTGGGAAGTTTTCAGTAATTATTTCATCAAATATTTTTTCTTTGTCTTTCTTTTCTCTCTTTCTGGCACTCCCATTATACTTATGGTGGTGTGCTTAATGATGTCACATGTTTTTCTAAGGCTCTGTGTTTTTGTTTTGTAATTTTTTCTCTTTTTCAGACCACATAATCTACATTAATCTATCTTCAAGTTTGCAAATTATTTCTTCTGCCATCTCCCATTTGAAACTTTCTAGTAGATTTTTTACTTCAGTTATTGTGCTTTTCAACTCTAGAATTTCTGAACCCACCTACTCCACAAGATTGTTGATGTTATTGTTTGCTTTTTAAAAAAAGTTGTTCAATGATTCAGCTGAACTAATTCTGTAAAGTTAATTTATCTTACAGTGTAGAGCCTCTAATGTCCCTGCTCAGATTGCTTTTCCTTGTTTGTATCTTTTATCTTGAATACCTTGGTGTAGCCCTTGGAGCAGCATAAGTCACTTATTGGTCAAAAGATGTGCGTAAGCCCTTTTAGACAGGTTTTTACCCTTTACCATTGAATATGCATGTGGCTTGGAGGCCACCATATCAGATCAGAAAGGTTGGGTTTTTGGCCTCATGTTCAGCTAGAGACTTGTGCAAGAAGGTTATATCTCAGGACCCCAAAATCACTAAGCCAAGGGAAAAGTCAAGCTGGGAACTATGTCAGGCAAACCTGCCTCCCATTTTATTCCTAAGTAAGATTATTACAAAGATTAAGAAGCTACATACCTCCCTCACAATTTGCCCAGGAGGAAATTCCTTGTGGGCCTCAAGATCTTTACCCTATAACAATTCTATTGAATTTTACCCTGGCAATGAAAACTAATAGCTTATCTTCACAGGTAGAGGGCAAAAAGTCATTCCTCTGCTCACCTGAGACATATGCATATCTAATTGCTTCATCTGCCTTATTACTTATGTAAAAATGCAGATTCAGTGAGCCAGACTAAATTGTGTATTCACAATTCACAAAAAGGCTCAGTGAAAGGCTGATAAAGTACTCAAAAGAATGCAATCTTTGTCTCTTATCTAACTATGACCCGGAAGCTCCTGCTTCGAGTTGTCCTGCCTTTCGGGACTGAACCAATGTACATCATACATATATTAATGGATGTCTCATGTCTCCCAAAAATATATAAAAGCAAGTTGTGCCCCAACCTCCTTAGGCACATGTCATCAAACCTCCTGAGGTGGCGTCCTTAAACTTGGCAAAATAAACTTTCTAAATTCTTTGAGATTTGTTTCATATTTTGGGTTCTCAGACTTTAGCTGGGAACTTTCCTTTCTGATAGCTCCAGAGGGGGCACAACCTGGGACAAGCACACAGTCTTTCAGACTGGTAAGGATAAGTTTACATTTATTTTTAATTCTGGTCTCCCAGGAGTCACCCCTGGGTCAGAATAGTTTGTTGTTCAGTCAATGTTTTATCAGAAGTTGTGTTTAAGTCCCGTATGCAAGTTAACCTTTCATCCTATGTTGATGGGTTTGTTTTTCACTTGGGATTGCTGTCATGTCTTCTGATTTCTCCTGAGTGGATGCAGCCTATTGCATAGATACTGTCTTCCTGACCCACAAGAAGGCTCTTTTTAGTTGTGTCTTTCCCTGGTTCACTCTGTTAAACTTTTGGTTGCTCTGAAGTTTTGCTTGCGTCATGGAGCTCCCAGCCTCCTCTAACTTAATGTTCATTATGATCTCTATTGTTTGTGAAAACAGGCTTAGCCATGGAATTCTCCACTTTCTATTTCAAATAAAGTCAGTCTCCTCAAGAACTTTTGTGAAGCTCTTTGTCTTTATGGCTTGACTTCTCCCCTGGGCAGAACTCTGACACTGCCACAACAGTACTGGGGACATGGTCTTGCTTTTCCCACAATGACACTCCCTCTTTAAGTGTAGGCACTAGATGGTGGGTGGCAGCCCTGGGGTAGACTTGCAAGACATTGCTGGTGTGAAAACTCTGTCCTGTGAGTGTCTTGTGGTGGGGTGATTGGAGCCCCAGGATTCTTCTTCTACCATGCTTGGGGTAGCAGTTTTACCCTACAAATAGGGGATAGATAGGGCAAGGGACAACCAGTCCTCTTGGCCATGCCTACGTGGAATATAACTCTTGTAATATGTGGCTGGCGGAGGAGGAGATGATGGTGGGAATGAAGTTATCTTGTTTCTCCTGAGGCTGGATGCTAGGGTCAGAAGGAGTCCCTCACTCTTAGAGTACCCAGGATAAAGGTTCTGTAAGTTGGAACTGAGGGTGGGGTGGAGGGGAGCGAGTTGTGGCTTAAATGCCACAGACTCTCACTCTTTTTACTGATATTCAGTCGATTTTCTTGAATGAGTGTTTCTTCGTTTGCTGTATACCCTTAGGAAAATTTCCAGAGAACTTAAATAATTGCTCTAATTTTTACCTCTTAAATTGTTGTTTCGCTGGTAAGAATGTCCTCTGAATTTCTAACTCTGCTATTCTAGAAGACCTATCTAATTTATATTTTTCATATATTGCTGGGTTTGGTTTTCTTATATTGCGTTAAATTTTTTTTTCCATTGGTGTTAAGAGTAAAATTGTCAGTAATTTTTCTTTCTATTATTTCTTGCCTAGGTTTGGTATCAATGTTTATTCTAGCTTCTAGGACGGGTATGGAAATGTTTCTTCCCTTCCTAATTTTTGGAGGAATTTGTATGTGATTATCTTTTCCTTGCCTACAAAACCATGTGTGTTTTGTCTTTCTTTGTGTTGGGGCATGATTTTAACCATTGATCACAGTTTTCAAAGGTTATAAATTTTTCAAAAAATATTAGTTGTTATTTTTCCTCCAGTATTGGTGTGCTATTTTTATTAGAATATATTCATTTTGTTTATTTCACATAGCTTTTGAAATGTAAGTTTATAGCATTCTACCTATAGTTTTCTCCCTTTTTCCTTCCTCCTATTGTTTACTCTTTTTGATTCATCTTGCCAGAGGTATAAAAATACTAGTTTTTTTTCTAAGAACCAACATTTGTCTGTATTTATTCTATTACTTTTTATATTTCATAAACTACCTTTCTATCTATATCTCTATCTATCTATCTATCTATCTATCTATCTACCTATCTATCTATCTATCCTCTTCCTCATCATCTCACTGCTTCTTGTTTCTTAGGGATTATTTCCTTGTTTTTAAATTATTCCTCAGCTCACTGAATTTTGGCAATATTTATTTTTTAATAAAATAATTTTTTACTATAAATTTACCTTTCAGTATTATGTTACTTTCATGTAACAATTTCTTTTCTTTTTTTGTTATTTTTTTTTCTATTTTGAGACAGAGTCTTGCTCTGTCACTCAGGCTGGCGTGCACTGGCTCAATCTCAAAGAAGAAGAAGAAAAGAAGAATTAAGAATTATCAATTATTTTCTCTGCAACAGAATTATAGATGTTATTATAAGAGAATGATATGCATATTTTATCCTTTTGTAATACAAACTTAGCTCTAGAGATTATAAGATTTAAGCCCAGTATGTTGAAGTGTTGTGGTAAATGTCATTAATGACAAAGAACTTACTACACTCGTGGTTTGAGGCAATTTTACAAATGACTAGTGATTTCTTGATTTTAATATCTTCTACATATATCAGATATTGTCTTTTAGAAATCTGTAACTTCACAGAGAAGAAATAATAGCCATAATTTCAGTTATTTAAAGCATCCTTCAACTTTATTGTATAAAACTTTTTGGGGATAAGAAGAGTTTTCTTTTTTTTTTAATGAGGCTAAAGTCAAAGCCAAATGTTGTGTTTCTGTTTAATGTTATCTTAGTAATGTTTCTAAAAGTCTATTGACAATATACATTTTTTTCTCATTAAGTATTTCCCATATAGAGGAAATTACTCACTTTGAATAGGCAGTGAGTGATCACTTTGATTTTGAACATTGCATTTTAGAATTAAAGGCATACCAGAGATAATATTCTAAATTCAACATCCCTATTAATGATGGAAAAATCTGAGGGCTAGAATTTGATTTGCCTACATTACACAGCTAATTTGATGCCAAAATTGAAACTAAAAGCCAAATGTAAGGACTATTGGTTCCGTTCTTTTTACCTTTTTCATTTCCGCAAAAAAGGTCAACTGACTTTCTGTATGATTATTAAGTTGTTTGAAATACACAAAAATGGTTTTCTTGTTATTTTACCATATACTAGTTTTTTGAAAATTATTAAGATATATAAATTTATATAGCCATTATCTTTTGGCTACAATATTTGAAAACCAGAACACCCATTTTTCTCTTCATACAAGTGTTTTCTCTTTATTAGAAAGCAACCATTTAGTTTCACTTAGTGAATTCAAGTTTTCAAGTTTTATTTCATAGTATTGTCATTTCTATGGCAACTTGATTGATTCTACCTTCTTTTTTTTTTTTTTTTTTTTTTTTGTGAGGCAGAGTCTCACTCTGTTGCCCAGGCTGGAGTGCAGTGGTGCGATCTCAGCTCACTGCAACCTCTGCCTCCCAGGTTCAAGCAATTCTCCTGCCTCAGCCTCCTGAGTATCTAGGATTACAGGCATGCACCACCACGCCCAGCTAATTTTTTTGTATTTTTAGTAGAGATGGGGTTTCACTATGTAGGCCAGGCTGGTCTTGAACTCCCAACCTTGTGATCTGTCCATCTTGGCCTCCCAAAGTGCTGGGATTACAGGCGTGAGCCACCGCGCCCAGCCAATTCTACCTGCGTTTTCAAGATAGAATCCTATCATGAAGTTGCATTATGGAAGTAGTTATTTCAAAAATATGTCAAATTATATTAGCAACTCTATATTCTGGACAGTATTTTCAGAATATCCTTTAGCTAGGTAGGTATATTTTTAAAAGTATTCTCCCTTTTCAACTAAAGTCTCTTCTGATGATTCTGGAAGATGGTCATTTAGGTATAATGCATACCAATTAATAGATTCCTTATAGATCACTTGGATAATGATTACAAAGGTTTTGCAAAGCAATATTTGGCATCTCTGTGGTGTCAGTGAGATGTAGATGTGTAAATTGACTTGAGCAGAAAGAAGCCAATGAATTCCAATTAGCCACCTTATATAATTTATTATGGGAGAATTATGAAATACATATTTAGATCCAAATTGTCTTTAAAAATATGCATTACAACTGGAGTTTTCCACTGAGAATAAGAGTTTGGTTTTGACCTCACATAAATCCAAGGGTTCTTGAAAAAAAAGTTAATATAAATTCTCAATAACTATATCATTAATACCTTATGTATACATAGGAGTTTATATAATGCATTTAAGTAACAAAGAATGTAACATTTATTAGCCACCAAGTAATTAGGAGATAGCATCAATTATATTGAAAGAAGATGAGTTTAGATGCTTATAGCCAAGGGAGTTAATTGAAATTGAAAGCTATTGTAGGTGGTTACTACTATTATTATCAAACCTGAAAGTTGGAACATGTGAACTTGATCCTTTGCACACATAAAAGTTCACAAAGCTGCTTTTAATTTGCCTTTGTTCTGTAGTACTGCTTGGTGAATCATGCACTAGTTTGTTGTAAAATTCATGTAAACTTTTATGTATACAAATGTCAGATCAAGCACAGGTTTTATTAATTATATATATTTTAAACTGCCAACAGCAAAAAACAAAAACAAAAAACCCCAGAGGCCAATAAGTGAAATGCAATAAAAAATGAAATTTATTCTTTTGGCTCAATAATGACGTAGCTCACCATTCTTTTTAGCAATAGCAATTCCCTGCATGCAGTTCTTCAATACACTACAGTAAATAGTTTTGTAAAAAGAATTAACATTAAACTTTTGGTTTGTGCAAAAAACAAAAATTTATATCATGTTAGGTAATTGCACAACTTTGCCACTTTGTTCATGGCTAAAAAGAACAAAGTCCATGTTATATTTGTAATAGCTTTAGTGCAGCAGGAATTAAAAAAATAAGACTAGTCTGCATACGTAAATACTACAAAAGTTGAATAAAAAAAAACATCTATGAATAAAAGGTTATATTGAGGCAACCATAGTTGGTAGAAAATGATCTAGGTTTGAGTGTTTGACCAATGTATCTCCTATTGGAATGGTAGAAAATATATTATAACAAAGAAATCCATAAAACCCATTATCTAACTTTTATTTTAGGAAATTATCCATTGAAAAATCTTATGGATTCAAAAGTTTGGAATTGTGATTAAAAATCAAAAGCAAAAGCATAAAGTAAAATAAATTGTGATGTCATCAACCTGAAAATAATTTTCTTATGTACAAAATGCTGACAAATAAAGTTGATTATATTTTTACATTATTTATATTTAAACAAGTTTTAGACATATTTTTAGCAAAATATGAAGAATAGGTTTTGTCAGTAGGCAGTATCCAGTGTGTTTCCTTGAAATCTAGAGAGATACCATATGATACTCATGTTGAATTAAAAGTGCAAAAGTAAAGGTGTTTGTAAATAGCTTCAAATTATTCTGCTTGACATAATGGACAGAGCAGGTTGAATTCATTCTATCACCAATATGTGACATTCTTTAACCAAGACTTGTGAAGAATGGATTGAGTAAAATAGAGCAGCATAGGCAATATTAACATGCATTAGTGATAGCCTTTAAACTATGTTTAATGAATGATACAGGATACATCCCTGTTGGAAGCTTGCAAAAGACACATACACTGTGGTACATATTTGATTTAATAGAAGTTGTTTATCAGGCTATATATATATTTGCCCAAACATGCACCACAGGATAAAATAACTATTTACATAACATAGGGTATTTAATTGACATAGACTATCAGCTTTGCTGAGAGCAGAAGATGGCAAAGCAATACTGCAGCAGAAAGTGGAACAACTATTCTAAAGCAATACTTTAGATATATTTTTCTAGAATGGATTTATTAGATTACTTTTTGGAAAGCATTTGACCTAAATTAAATATAGAGCTCTGAAACTTAGAATAAAATTTGCACTTGCTGAAACAGAATACTTTGCATAAAAATAATCCTTTAAATATTAGAGGAGACTTTACAGGCACATAACTGTTCAGATAGAAACAAACATAACAGACTAAAATACTTTCAAAATTAAAGCCATCTAGAAAATGGAAGTAACTGAAACTGTAGCCATTACAATTCTTTTTCTGGTTTTGAGCAAAAATTTTATCTCTCTGGCAAAACACCTTTGTCTGATCATTTGAGAGACAGGGTTCTTGTATACTGTTTCTTCAACGTAAACCTCATTTACAAAAATAGTGACATAGCATTATGAATAAACTATGAATTGGGGACCATGGAAATGCACTAGAACAAATTTTGTAAAAATATGGCAGATATGGAAGTTAAAAATAGAATGGATGCAAGGACTGTACTAAAGGTGTTTGGTGTAGTTACAATGTTCACTTTGCACAACTATCCCTATAGTCTAGGTAGCCATTGGGTTTCTCCTCAGCAGTGTCAGCTGGTAATAAAAACAGCAACCTCTTGTCAATGTTGATACCCTGCTTCACAGAGTTGCAGTGACAGAGAGGTCACTTCACTGTCTTGTATAGGCACTGACTATGAGTATTTGTTAAAACAGTCAGTTTGGCATGGACCTCCTCTTGAAGTCCAGTTGACACATATACTTTACCTTCATAGGCTGTAAACAATTGATCACAAAGATAATTCTTTGTTTCTTTTTACTTTTGATTTTCTCTGACCTCTTTTCCTTTGCTTTCTTTTTCTGGTTTGTCTTTCTCAAACTTTTCCTTGTCTGGTTTTGTTACACTATCATAGGAAGGAGGAGAGGTGGTAGAGGAACTCCCATCTGTTTTTTCTGGAGTGGAGTTCCCATTTAGTTTGTCAATAATCATGTCTTGTTTTATAGGTAAGTCAATCCTCCCTTTAATTGCCTCTTTGTTATAGTTACTTGATATATTTTTTAACCTTTGCTTTAAAAGATAACATCTGAAATTACGCTGAATGATAGCGGCAGACACCTCCTCTTGTTTACGTTTCAAAGTGGTTGTAATAGGCTCATAAGAGACTTTGGAGGGGTTTGATGCCATAAACCTGTCTTCCATCTGTATTCGAAGGGCATCCATCTCTCCACTCTCACCCAAAACACGCTTTGTAAAGGCAAATAAAATATCAAGACAGTGGATCCGGTCACCACTGACCATGGGCAGATCCATGGCAATAAGCTGGACTTTGTTGGGTTTTGCTATGAGAAGAGGAGGATCCAGGGCAGCTGCAAAATCAGAGAGTTTAGAGAACTCTATAAACTGGGTCGCATCGGGATCAAACTTTTCCCAAACCTCATAGAACATCTCAAAGTCATCCTCACTCAGGGGCTCTGCACTTTCTTCAGTAGCAACACTGAAGTTCTCCAGGATGACCGCGATGTACATGTTCACCACAACCAGGAAGGATATGATGATGTAACTGACAAAAAAGAAAATCCCAACAGATGGGTTCCCACAGTCTCCCTTAACTGAGCTGCCAGGGTGAATTGTGTCAGGGTCACAGTCGGGTGGTGCACTATTAAGAATAGGTGCTAGCAATCCATCCCAGCCAGCAGAGGTTGTAATTTGGAACAAGCAGATCATGCTGTTGCCAAAGGTCTCAAAGTTGAACATGTCATCAATTCCAGCTTCCTTTTTAACATAGGCAAAGTTGGACATCCCAAAGATGGCATAGATAAACATGACCAGGAAGAGCAGGAGGCCGATGTTAAACAACGCAGGAAGGGACATCATCAAAGCAAAGAGCAGCGTGCGGATCCCCTTTGCTCCTTTGATCAGACGTAGGATTCGGCCAATCCTGGCAAGACGGATCACTCGGAACAAGGTAGGGGACACAAAATACTTTTCTATCATCTCAGCCAGAAACATACCTATGGAAAACATAGAACACAGCTAAACAGATAATATCTTTCACTTACATGATGGCTTTATCTTTTTTAAGGTCTATGAACACAACAAACTTGTTATGAATATGAGCCTTTATTAAATATTTGGATCCACTCCCTGACATTAGCAATTACAGATTACAGAGTTTTATTCAGTGATTCTGTAATGTCATAAACCAATATGAATTTTTGCAAAATCCAAATAATCTCCAATGGTAGCATGGCAATTTAAGATTATATAGACCCAATTTATATGAATTGTTATCCCTACACATGAATTGTGGCAATTACAAACAAAAATATTTCTGAAATCTCTGAATATATTGTTTTCTATTTTTTAATGATACTCTTCAGTTAGAGAGAAATGGGCCATATTTGACATGAGGTTAAAGTTGAAGTTTCTAAATTTGGGGTTCTATAATTCCCCATCTCTCTTTTTCTCCTACTAAATCTCAACTCTTCTTTGAAGACCCACCTAGGATGCATCACCTTTATCTCTGGAAGCCTGTGTTAACTCATTCCAGCAGAGATGGCTACTTCCTCTTCAGTGCTTCTTACAATACCAACTTTATTGCATTACAATGATTTGTTTTTTAAGCCATCTGCCTCTTTTAGCCTGTGACCTTGGTTTAAGATTAGGAGAGTACCTGATAATGTTTATTTCCTGTCTTCTTCACCTCTTTCCCAAATCTGGTATTCCTAACATGGTTTCTAACTAGTTAGCTTTGTGAATAAACCCAGGTTTCAGAGTTTTTATTCAAATATGCTAGTGTTGAACTTTACATCTATATGCATTATTATTCTCAGACCTAATTTCCATGTTAATCAGCTAGAAGGTCCTGGGGCAACTGTTTCTCTGTAACTATACCTCTTGGTAATTAAGCTGTTCTTACCTACAATGGAGAGAATCACCACCACAAAGTCAAAGATGTTCCAGCCTATAGTGAAGTAGTAGTGTCTGAGGGAGACGAGCTTCAGCACAAATTCTCCAGTGAACAGAACAATGAACACTAGGTTGATCCGGGACAAAACTAGGGTCATGTATTTGCCCTGGTCATCCGTTTCCACCATCATGGTGACCATGTTGAGGCAGATGAGGATCATGATGCTGATATCAAAGACTTGTCTGGTTACAAAATCAAAGACCATTCCTTGGAATTTGTTCTAGAAAGTGAGAGAAGAGAAATAAGGTTACTATATATATTTCATAAAGAATAATGCAGTAAAATTGTAGATAAAGCCCTTCCACATACGGGATGGATGTGCACCCTCCTCATATTACCCCAAACAATTTTGTGTGCTTTTTTTCTCTTCATGTTAAAAAAAATGGAAAAAAAATTTATATAGCTAAACAAAGCATATTTGGTTTATATAGGTCCTATGGAAAGACAAAGCTGGATGAGACATAAATTAAGGCTGGGCGTGGCAACTCATGCCTGTAATTCCAGCACTTTAGGAGGCTGAGACTGGAGGCTCTCTTGAGGCCAAGAGTTCCAGACCAGCCTGGGCAACATAGTGAGACCTCATTTCTATTAAAAAAAAATTAGCCTGGTATGGTGGCACAGGCTTGCAGTCCCAGCTACGAGGGAGGCTGAGGTGAATCACTTGACCCCAGGTGTTTGAACTTGCAGTGAGCTATGGTCTTGCCACTGTACTCCAGCCTGAGAGACAGAGTGAGACCCTGTCTCTTAAAAAACAAAACAAAAACAAACACATAAATTTGTGACAATTGGCTGATAATATATGTAGTCTTTGCTTGATTTGAATAAGTATGATAATTTTTATAAAAAATAGTGACTACTAATAACAAAGATTTACAAAGCAGGTTAATATCAACAGATATTTAGATAGAGAATACACCAATTCATTTATCAATATTTTAGAAATTTTGGTTTATACCTTATTTCCCTCCCCTGAAATACATCAGTCATATTTCTATTGAATTCTACCTCTCTAGCTCTGTGAATCTATGTATGGGCTTGTTAATTTATCTGTATTTCTTTCCATCTGTCCTTCTTTACCTATGCCCTGTGCTTTAACAAAAATGCATGACTTTAAACACTTTTTTTCTTTGTCTTATTAACAATCATCTCAGGAACAACATGCTTTCAAAGATTCTTATATTAATATGGCTAGTAAATACAGTTTTATTAAAGAAATATATTATTAATCATTTAGAGTAAAAACTTAAAACTTCATGGCTTACCAAAAATCAAAGGTCATGAAGTGACCATGTTTTAATTTTTAAAGAACTCTAGTAAAGTCAGTTCAATCCTTTCCCCTCTTACCCTGCTCCCTCACATTCCAGCTCCAACTACTCTTATAAATATGGTAAAGTCAAGTCACTTAGAGAATTTATGGGGCCTTGTCAAGTCCCAGTTCTGGCAATTACAAGATTTGTGACTTGGGGCATGATTCGTATGTTCTTTGGGCCTCAGTTTCCTTACTCCTTACCAATCTCAGAAAATAGCTGAGTTAGAGTCCAGCTCTGTGAACATAATCTGTCATTATTACATCATTCCATCATCATGAGGCTCTACAGAGTATGCATTCTGAATATGCCTTATTCTGTTTTGGTGTATTTGGTGAAACAAACAATTTTGATGACACCTTTTCCCTTTCTAAACAGGTTTGGAATATTTTCTAGTCTTAAGAATGGAGGGAGCAGAGAGTATAGAGGGAGGCCTTGGAGAGTGGGATGGGAAGGCTAGAGGAGGAGGAACCAGGTGTGCTGTTGGTAGCAGGAAAGTGAACCTTGCTTTGGAAGTATTTATTAGGAACCCTGAGCTAGAAGTTTTCAACTCACAAATTATAAAGAACATTACCTCCTTTTTTTGGAATGTGGTAACTCCTAATGAGTGCAGAAGTTGTGAATTATGATGCAAAATATGAACTTTATAATTAGGGCTCAATATTGGTGATATCACCTAATATGTTCTGCTCCAGAGCATTGCTCAATTTGACCATATGGACGCATGGCTTTGGAACATTAAAGGAGACAAGTAATTCTTACTGCTGGGCGAGGTATGGGTTTCTGAGGTTTCTTGGATCCAAGTTTCTTCATTGCATTGTAATATTTTTTCTGTTCCTCTGTCATAAAGATGTCTTGACCTCCAAAGTAAAGACATAGTATAAAACTGGTTACAATTCTGTGTTCCAATAGTACTTTCACAAAAAATATTTGTCTTTCCTTTAATCTTTTCTAATTTTTAAGTGGATATTATCCTCCTACATATACATTTATCCTGCTTTTCCCATTTATGTGAAATTCTGAATATCTTAATATTATGCAAAATCCTTACGTACATAAAACTCTGATCGCTACAGGATCCTAATTTGATTATACTATGTTTAAAAGTAGGCACAAGGGTCTCAAATATATTTTTGCAAAACAGAAAACATTTTCTTAGTCCATTTCACTGCCGATAATTTTACTTCTTCATTCAACAGTTTTTAACACTTTCTGTGTGCTAGACAATGTGCTGGGTGTCAGAATTACATAAATATATAAGATACAGTATTCTGCTTCTAAATGGAGCAGGAAACTGAAAACGTAGGTGGACAGTGTATGTTGATATGACAAAAAAATTAAATGTACTGCAGAGGCAACAATGAATTCAGAGACTCAGAGACAAGCTGTTACATAGCTTACCCTTAAGCTAGGCCTTAAAAGATGATTATGGGTTTTCTAGGAACATTCCAGGATAAAAAAAAATCACAAAAAGCCATGGAGGTACAAGAGAATGCTTGTTCAGAAAAGGGCAGAAAGCTCATATAGATGTATGGGTGGTGACTATGTAGTAGGGAAATACACATGTATAGAGTGAAGTGTAGGAAAAAATGAAGATGGAAAACTGGGTGGAGGTAATTCCTGAAAGGCTCTGTAAGCCAAGCTAAAGCACTGGAGACCCGTTGGATGGGTCCGAAGGAGTGGACACATTTTTGGGTCAGAAAGCTATCCAATAGATAAACTTTGAGAGGAGCCACTGACTAGAGGCTGGAATCCCTGCAGCTTAAATAACCACATGGGCAACTGAAAATAATATAAACATGATTTAAGTCTGTCATGACCACAGGTATTCTGGTTATTTGGCTGTATTAACAGACAGAACCCCAGAATGAAGAAAGGTAAAAGCTAAAGAATACTTATCTTCTTTTTCTGCTGGTTGAAGTTATCTATGATGACACCAATGAATAGATTCAGAGTGAAGAATGACCCAAAGATGATAAAGATGACAAAGTATAAATACATGTACAGATTTTCTTCATATACAGGCTGAAGTTTAACCTAAATGATATTGAAAATATTAAATAATATGAAAAATACTATAAATACTTACACTAAATCAGTAATTTATTGAGTGCTGTTACTTAATACAGTGCTACTTTTGCCTTACCCTGAGATATTGTTCTACAAAAACAATTTTTTAAAACTAGTATGATCTAGTAAAATGAAGGTTTGCAAGTTTTATGATTGTTCTTGATTCTCTTTTCCCATTGTGCCTTACATTTAACATATTCTTTAACATAAATACGGTGATATAAGCAGGGAAAACATTTTGAGCCTATTATTAGTCATAATTTTTTGCAGTATTTTCTGTTTGGTTTTGGAAATGCTGAATTTTGGAAATACGGCTTTAAGAGCAGAACATCAACTTCTAAGAGGAAAATTCAGCACAGATATATTCTGTGGAGTTATTTTTATTTTTATTTTCTAAATTGAGTGTCCCTGAAACTTGCTTGCTTTTCTGTATCATGATATTCTTGGAAGCTGCTTCACAGAGTCTGGTTTATCATACTCTCCAGGGATAGGGAGAGACAAGTTACTTCCCCACTGAACAACTTTTCCACTCAGAATAGTCTCATTTACTGGACCAATCTAATGTCTTAGGATCCATGCAGCTAGATATCGTTTCATATTAGCTACATATTGTATATTAGGCACACATTAATCAAGCATCATCTATATTGAAGCAGACTGTTCATTTTTTATATGCAATATTAAATGTTCTAATATAGAATTTTGGATGTATCAGTGTTTAAATTACCACCAATATTCACCATAAGAAATCTAGAACCTATAAATAATATTTGAGTGATACTTACATCTCGTGAATCAACAGCTGCATACATAATATCCATCCAGCCTTTAAATGTGGCCTGTAAATAACATATATTTGAATTGTTCATAAAAATTTCACCTAACAATGACATTTAACCAGATGAAAATCTGACAGTATTATAACAAATAACTTTTTGTACAATATTGTGAAATTTCATATCAAGAGATTGAAATAAAATTGAAATAGAAAAACATTTGTATTTAAAGTCTGGAACTTGTTTCCTTTTTTTTCTTGAAAGTATTCTATTTTCTTCCTACACTAAAATTTAGTGAAAGACTTTATTCATGAAACTGCCATCTCAGTCCCAATTCCCTTATATGTTAAAGTGTAAGCTCTATGATTTGCATTTTGACACATAGTAGAATCATATTTCTTAGACATTGTTATAATAAATTATCTGGCTAATAATTTATACATTTAATTCATCACTACAAATATGCATTGTTATTTTAGTACCTAAAGTTGCTCCTTTGGCAATAATTGATACAGAAAACTAAAAATGATACCAGTACCCAAAAATATAACAAAAAAGAAAGCAGAAATATAAAATCACATTAAAACATACTAAAAGCTTAACACTAAGGAAAATACATTATAAAATAATTGTAACATCTTTTTTATGATCAATTCAAGCTGATATTATAGGTGTTATCATTAACTTTTTTTCATGCTGTCAAATGTTAGTCATTCAAACGAAGAACATCAGGGAAATAATCTTCCTTGAAACATCTTGAAAACTTTTTCAAAACTCGTACAGTAGCCACTTACCACTTGAAGCAGTGCAAGATAGCCAGCGCCAACATTATCAAAGTTTACTTTCACGTTTTTCCACCGAGCTTGCTTGCCAAGAGCCTGACAGTCACTCAAATTGTTAACATCACTAATGTCAAACATGTTACCCGTTGTCATGTTAACACAGTGGTAGAACTTGCCAGCAAACAAATTCACACCCATGATGCTAAAGATCAACCAGAAGATGAGACAGACCAACAGCACATTCATGATAGAGGGAATTGCTCCAACAAGAGCATTCACAACCACCTAGAAGAGACAGCGAGGGGAACATAGCTTACAAACCTTTTGAATGGAAACCATTCCTTCAATGTATTTGTTTAGTATTAATATGTGCTTGAAAAGAGTTAAATAAAAATCTAGGTGGACAAGTTGTTTCTTCTAATTTTTCTAGCACATATTTGAAGGAAAACAAACAATGACACAACTAAAGAGCTAAGGTTTTAAGGAAAGCAAAATATGCTACAGTATGAAAAGAAATCATTAAAAACCTGGTATAGTAAGATGGAGTCAGAAAATGTTTGTATGCTGGGGAAAAAAGAATAGAAAGATGCATTAAATGCCAACAGAAAAAATAATCATCTTTCAGTAATACATTTTAATTTTCAAGAGTGTTAATGAATGAATGATAATTTGAAAAAGCCAGTAAACAAACCCTTTGCAAATAAACAAAGTATTAAAAATGCCTTAAATCTATATTCTCAGATCAAGTTAACTTTTTATGACTACGAAGAACAGGATTAGGAATTTACTGGGTCCCTTTTTCCCCCTGTTAGTAAATCTCAATAAAAAGGTTTATTAAGTTAGGGGAAAAAGTGGAATTTATATCTGGTCGTAACAGTACTGGATAAGTTCCCATTATTATTACTTCACAATCTCTTAAATGTTCACTTTGGAGCACATGCTACTTCATCAACCCAGGCTGACCTATTTCATGAGAGGAAAATTCATTCACTTCTCATTAAATTCAGAAGATATTAAGATGTATTTTGAAATCTTTATGAAAGTCAACAGTAATTTTTCTTGTCTAATCTAGTTCATATTGGACCATTCTGTTAATCATTTATGTTAAATAAAAGTATTGTTTTATTTTAAAATACTGCAAACATTATTTTAGAAATCAATACCAAGGAATCTTAAATTGACATCAAAACCAGAAATCCAAAATTGTAAACATTTCCTATGCTACTTGAATTTTGTTTCTTTTGGAAGTTAAGCCATATGCATTATACTTGCCAGGGAGAGAATGCATTCACTGGGTTCTTAGTTTCTGTTTCTGGCTGGGCCCGTAAAGTCCCTTCCTCATCCCTCTTTTCCACTTATCACTAGAGATAGAAACTAAAAACCATGGCTTCAGGCTGTTAGTAGCCTAAAACAATATAGAACAACAACAATAACAAAATAAGGCGGGTTGGACAAGTTTGGTACACACCACCACAGGTTCTCCTGTTTTCAAGTAAATGCATAATACATTATCATAATTTGCATCTGGAATATTAATTGTGCTATATGACTGAATTAAAAATTCTAAACTTTGAATATTTTTCAGATTAGAGAAAATTTATAAGTTTTAAATTTTGCTCAGTTGCTATCTCCCCTCATAAATGAACTGTTAATAGGAAACATGGAACCAAATGAGAGCTTAAGTATTATGAGTAATGGTAAAAGTTTGGTTTGAAAAGAACTTGAAATTGTATAGTAATTTTTATGAATTTTATCTTGTCTAACTTTCTTTAGCATTAGCAAGGAAATGAAATTACAATGTAAAAACCAAATATTTCTTTGATTACAATGATTCTGGAGAGTCTGGAGAGTGGCTTAATTCTCCCTGATGGGTGAACTTTAAAGTCAAGGTTGAAATATTTTTATTGCCCCAAACCAACCATCTCCTAACATCCTAACATGAAAGCCCTATCACCTAGACTAAATTAAATATCCACATGCACTCACAAGCCAGATTAAACAAAACTGGCCTTTGTGCTGAATTCTACCGAGGGGCATGGCAAATGGGTGGTATCTATAATAAAGTGTGATTTTATGTTTAGATGCATAATATACATATTAAGGAAGAGAGCTGGGGAGGAAAATACAACTGCTATAGAAAAAGTGAACCTTATTCAGAATGCTCAATTAGAAAAAAAGATCTATAAAACAAACTCTGGGCTGGGCGCAGTGGTTCATGCCCGTAATCCCAGCACTTTGGGAGGCCGAGGCGGGCGGATCATGAGGTCAGGGGATCGAGACCATCCTGGCTAACACAGTGAAACCCCGTCTCTACTAAAAATACAAAAAATTAGCGGGCGTGGTGGCGGGCACCTGTAGTCCCAGCTACTCAGGAGGCTGAGGCAGGAGAATGGCGTGAACCCGGGAGGCGGAAGTTGCAGTGAGCTGAGATCGCACCACTGCACTCCAGCCTGGGCGACAGAGCGAGACTCCGTCTAAAAACAAACAAACAAACAAAAAAACCAAAAAACTCTGGAGGTTGCCTGAAATGCTTAATTACCTTAACCCTTCACTTTGGATGTTATTTAGCAATTTGTTAGAGGCTAAAATTCAATGTTGTTTCCTTATGCAATAATTTTTATTACTGATATTAATTCAAGAAGCAAAGCACACAAAACCCATTTTACCTTTCATTCATTGCCAGTAATTTTGAAGGAATCAAACTATTGAGAGAAAGAAACTCCCCACCACGGATGAATGTCAGTAGTCAGTAGTCATTTCAAGGGGTGTAAGCAATGAAAAGAAACAACTGGCAGTCCAAGGTTTTTGAGTGTTGTAGAAACATATTTGAACTGTGACAAGAAGACCTGGATGCTAGTCTCAGTTCTGTCCTCCCAAAATTCTGAGAGCCTGTTTAAATAAACTCCAGTTTCAGAAGGCTAGGCTTTGTGATATCTAAGATTTTTGCTCTAATTCTGTAATTCTATGAAATAAATATCAGAAGAGTATGGCACCCTTTTCTATCTAAATCATTACCTACATGTAATTTTGACATGAATAATTAGAGTGTCTATTCTTCTTACCCTCATGCCTTCAAACCGGGATAAGGCTCTTAGAGGTCTTAAAGCTCTTAATGTCCGTAATGATTTGATGGCACCGAGTTCTGAGTAGCCAAGAGCATTGGCTACCAGGCTAACCAAAGAAACCTACAAAAGGAAAAAAAAATTAATTAGTTCACCAAGAAATAAACTGTTGACTGAAGGTATAGGGTGTGGTATCTATTTAATGCAGACTAAATACTAATTTGGACATACCTTGGCAACTTTCATCTTCCACATAGTGGGGTCATCTTATATTGCCAGTCTCATCTCATACTATTGCTTTTTTTTAACCAATGAAACCAGAATACTTGCCCATATTTATCAACACGTGTCAATATCTCCAGTTAGATATTTTATACCATGGACCCCTTTTCAACTTGTGCATATACCACTGATAATTCAGGATTGAGTTCAATGCCAGATCCTTCATGGATGTGTGCTTAAAATTATTGATTAGAAATAATGTTTCTCTCTTGAGTTTATGTAATATCTTAGTTATGCATTCTGGAAGCATTCACCATGTAATAGCGTTCACTGATTAGATATCTTATCTCCCTTTCCAGATCGTATACGTTTTTTTATCAGCTGGGATGAAACATTGTTCTCTTAACATGTCTAACGCTGTCTGGTCAGATATACTTTAGCCAAAATATGTTGGATAAATAATTATTCCAGGGAAAATTTTTATCCAAACTGCTGGACTTAAGATTTAGAATATAGTCCTCGTCATTCAGAGAGATGGTACAGCTTCCTGATACAGGCTGAGCATCCCTAATCTAAAAATCTGAAATCTAAAACGCTTTGAATGCTAACATGACACTCAAAAGAAATGCCCATTGGAGCATTTTGGATTTTGGATTTTTCGATTAGAGATGCTCAACTGACATAGAACGAATATTCCAAAATCCAAAACACTTCTGGTTTTTGATAAGACTTAACTTGTATTTATACTAAATTTTACTTAAATATATGAAAGATCAAAGAAGACATGTCCTTTTTTGGGGGAGGAAGTTTATTTGCTTTAATTTTCTTTCAATATAATAACATGTCTTCATGTATAAATCCAAAGATATAGCTACCATTACCATCACCTCTTTATGTGTGAGGAAGTTAGAGCGCCACCCCCACCCACAACAACAAAAGGATGCACAGCTAATAAGAGTAGAATTGGCGATTTGAACCCAAATAATCTGACGTCAAAAGCATATCTTAACCTTTTGCATCCATTAAAAATGTTTCTTCTTCATCTGAATCATAGGGCACTGAAAATGATTTGAATGACCATCTTCTCAGTTCTTTCAAAGATGGTACATAACTAGTGCTTTCCTTAATTCATAAGAGAGAAATTAATTCATTATATCCACAATGGCTTAAGAGCATTAGGGCTTAATTTCCTATGAAAAAAGGCTGTTGAAAATGGATTTAAGTGAATCCTCCCAACAATCTTGTGAAATATGATGAAATCAATAATGTGCCCAAGAACACAGGATATAAAGAGTGATACCAAAACCAGAACCTAGGCTTTAACAACATATGAAGCCACTGTCCTCTCATTGTTTAATTTAGCATACATTTTAAGAATTGAACAGAATAATACATGACTTGACTGCTAAACTTGATTAGTGGCAGGATAATTGATTGAGCTATTCATTTCTGTCTTAGGTTTGCTGTTATAGAAGACTGGAAAGATTGGAAAGGTTATTAGAGAACACACAGGCTTCTATGTTCTATGCTCCTTTTCCTCAGGAGGAATTAACAGCTTCTTTATGTTTCTAGAGTTACTATCTGAAGATTTTTCTCAACCTCCCAACAAAATCCTTTATTTGAGACATGGGATTTTAAAGGGACGTGGCTGCAAATTTCTCAAGACCTTGAAGTAAGGAAGCTTATGCTTTGAAAAGAAAAGTAAAACTGGGTGTGATGGCCTATGCCTGTAATACCAGTGCTTTGGGAGGCTGAGGTGGGAGGATCACTTAAGGCCATGAGTTCAAGACCAGCCTGCGCAATAGAGTGAGACCTTATCTCAACAAAAAAATTTAAAAAATGATTAGCCAGGGATGGTGGCTCGCACTTGTAGCCTTAGCTATTTGGGAGGCTTAGGCAGGATGATTGCTTAAGCCCAGGAGTTCCAGGTTACAGTGGCTATGATCACACCATTGCACTCCAGCCTGGGCTATAGAGTGAGAGCCTCTTTTCTCTTTAAAAAAAAAAAGAAAATAGTAAGGTAATATCCAGAACAGTGGGTTCAGGAAAGATAGGAAGTCATGAGTTTAAAGGTTGAAAGGCACCACCTGCATCTAACCACCCTACATGGCATGGAATTGTGTGTTGTTAGAGAAGCTGGGCTTAATGAAGCTACACTTATTTTAATGGACCTCATGGCCCAGAGGACATAGTGCCAGAGTTGCAGCCACAATATGTGAGGATCAGAGGAAATTAGCACCACATTTCTAGGCTACATATGTCCTAGAATTTCTAGAAGTTCCCAAGGAGAGATCATAAAAAACTACCTGACACTGGATTTTCTGACAAATCTGTGCTGGGATCTGTTGCGTATTTGACTTATATAGGAAAATAAAGGGAATTTAAAATATTTTTAGGACTTTGAGAATACTCACTGCAGATTGGTTTAATCAAATAACTTAAAATGATTTTTCCACGCAAATTACGATAAGATTATCACAATCTGATCAATCACATACATAAATATTTTTTTCTGGTTTGCATGACTTAAGCTACAATGTCATTTTGTATAAGGCAAAACCTTATTTTAGTGGTTTAACTGATGTGAAAAAATATGGTTTAAAAGCTATTTTGAAATGAGATCTTTCAAATCTCTATTATAAGTGGAGATAGCTCCTTGCAAGAATTTTAAAGATTTGCAACATACATAAAGTTTGAAGATAATGACTACATTGGTAGGGTGCTTTACAATTCACAGTGACCTCTTTCACTCATTATCTTTGTGTCTCAGAATAGTGAAATGACCACTCCAAGGAAAGATGGCCACAGGTAAACATATAACTAGAATTTAGGTCATCTGTTTTTATGTCTAATGTGTTTTTCACCTTAGCAAATTTGTCCCCAACCTTTCAATACATAGTGTTTTAATATTATCTCTTTTGTGCTAAACACAAAAGGCACTCTTGCCAATGTGTGCAAAGTATGAGATACCCATTTCCAAAAACTAAATTTTTAATATGAATTTATATGACCCTAGGTACCATATCACACTACACAGTAAATAAATGGAAATGTCTGTGATAGAGGTGTCAGGGGTTGGTTCAGTTGTCATCCACACCTTTCCACATTCTTATGGCAGCTGAGACTGAGAAAGAAAAGAATAATGCAGGATGGAGTTGATGGTTCCAAAGAAGATTCTGGAAATCCTGTGATTGGTTAAGGAACCAAACAACAGGAATTTTTTTTCCTTGAAAATGGCTAAAGACAATGTTTAAAGTTCAACATGAACAAATAAAAGATAAAAACTCTATATCACCTCCATACATTCTGATGATATATTTCAATCTAAAAGCTTGTATAATTTTTGATGATGAGATCCATAAGCATTCTCATTAAAATCAGAATAAAAGAGTATGCCCATCAACAACATTATTATTTAACACTTTCTGGAAAAAGAAGAGTTATAAGAATTAGAGAAGTGGGAGAAATCATTGTTTGCAGATATATTGTTGTTATCTTAAAAAATCCCATAAGAGAATCAAGTGAAAAACTATTATAAACAATAATCTAATTATTTTAGGCGGTTGATAAATACATTTTTCATCTTAACTTTTAAAAAAGTTTGTGTAGGAGTCTTTTTGAATTACAAAAACTTTAAAAATATAATTCAGAAAAAGTAAAAGTATAATAATAATTTAAAATTTTGTGAAGAAGAAAAGCAGAGAGGACAAATTTCACCAGATATTGATTATAAATATACAGTAATTAAAGCTGTTATATTAGCAGACAAAGAATGAATGAAATAAAATAAAGCTCAAATTAGCATGTGGATACTGAGATTTAGCACATGGATAAGGAGATAATTTTAAATGAGAGGAGAAATAGAACAACTGATTATTCATTAAATGAGAAGCCAGATAGAAAAAAATAATACTAGAGCCTTACCTCACACCTTACACCAAATTAAATTTCAGGTTGGTCAAAAATTGAAACATAAAATATAAACTAATGGACAAAGAAACAAACAAAATTCTCCAACTAAAAAACTGAAAAAAAAAAGCCCGGAATATTTTTAATAGTCTTGAAATGGGTCTTCATAAACATGAGAAAACCAAGAAGAAAAAAAATTCTGATAAATTTGACTAAATCAATATGAAAAATTTATACATGACAAAAGAATTCAAGAGACAAAAGCTCAAATTAGAAAAATATTCATACCACATGTGACAAAATACTAAATTTCCTTAATATAAAAAGAGCTCCTACAACTCATCCAGTAAAAGCTCATTAACCAAATAGTAAAACACACAGATTCTTTCTAAACTTTTACTATATCTGTTTGAACAACATATTTATTTATACCCCCTACTGAAGTTCAACTAGAAGAAAAGCAAAGGAATACAGACAAAGATAATAGGAGAAGATACAACAAGAAGAGTTTTAAAACATTCTGGACTGTGGAAAGCACAGGAATAATTACTTTCTCATCAGAGAAAGAGCAGCAGAAACCCAGGTGCCTGCAAAAGCAACTCAAATTGTTTCAAAAAATGATCAGAAGGCTCTGGAACTGGAGGCATTTGGTTGCTCAAAAACAGAGGGGCAATTGATGGAGCTGAAAACAGAACTGATTAAAATTTTGTATACAGGAAAGCTAGACACTCTTGAGTCCCTTCACCCAACGCTCTCCAACCCTTCAGAGAGCAGAATAAAATACAACTTCACAACTTCTGGAGTAAAATCTGTACTTGCTACAGACATCAGAACATCTAAACAGTTATCTACATTGTTGTTGGGTTTCCCTGCAACACCACAGATGTCTCTTCCAGTATATCCTGAAGTTGAGTTTTTCCCATTAATAGTACTGAGGGGCTTAAATAGCACATGGTATTTAAGCTCAGTATTTCTTAGGACAAGGGCACCCGGAATTTCAGATTGCTAGCTGCACACCTTCCTGCTTCCACCACAGAGGAGCCCTATTTCCTATCTGCTGAGTAGTTCCTAGAAAAGGGCTCAGGTAGTGGTGAGGGGCAGGTACAAAGCTGCCATGGGAATGGTAGCAGAGAGCTCTAGTGAAGATGGGAGGTTGGGGATATTTGTGACAGAGGGATTTGGCCAGCTGGGGTGGGTAAGGTGTACAGCAGGAATAGAGCGCAGGCTTCCAGAGGCTGTGGGAAGTGCAGTCTCTATGCAATCTCAGTCAGAAATGGAAGTCCAGACTGGGAGTGGTGGCTCATGCATGTAATCCCAGCACTTTGGGAGACTGAAGCAGGAGGGTTGCTTGAGCCTAGGAGTTTGAGGTTACAGCGAGCTATGATTGCACCACTGCACTCCATCCTGGGTGACAGAGAGAGACTTTGTCTCCTAAAGAAAAAAAAAGGATAATTTATTTTTATGTAAGGGGAGTTTGTAAGTTTGTAACTCAAGGGCCGCCTCTTTGCTTTCTCTTCTACTTTTATCTTTATGGTTTATTTATTGGTCTTTAACTTTATACATGATTAGAAAATTCACAATGCTCACATGCTATATAAAAGCAAATACCGTGGTCATTGTGGTATTGTTTATAATAGCAGGAAGCAGACGATCTAAGCGTTCATCCCTGGGAAAAGGATGAGTAAAATCTGGTGCACTCATCACTGGTGACTACAATATGGTACAGAGAAGCCATGAGTTTCACAGGAATTTCACTTAAACATTCCAAACACTATGTGCAGTGGGGGAGGGGTCTTTAAAATGAAGACTTTGAATCAGGTGATCTCTCTAAGTTTATTTCTTTGTCTGGAATTCTTAATTTGGCAATTTAAAGATGATTAAATCAAAATAACACTATATGTTCTTTATGTTGAAAAAGAACAAATCAAAGTATCTTTGTTAATAGATGCATCATCTTCAAGCACACTCCTAGAAAAAATTTTAAAGTGCAATTTTGATTCATTGTGAGCATAATTACTTCTGTTTATGAAGTGTGTAATTATGACTGTATCTTCAGGTGTAATTATTTCTTTTTGGAAAGATATGAATTGTTTTTGACATTTTACATAATGAATGTATGTTATATGTTACTTAACTAGATAACTACTCTGTGCCTCAATTTTCCCATCTACACACTAGGAAAGTAACAGTAGATGCTGCATAAGTTGTTGTGAAGATTAAACAAATTAAGCATTGAAGACAAAGGACAATTTATAGCTCAGTTAAGGTTGGTTGTTATTAGTATTACAAATGATAACGCTTGTTTGCCTTTACTGTCACCATTTAGAATGCTGGCTGATGAATTGCATCCCACGGGGAGGCCTTTAAGAAGAAAAAGAGTGATGTAGGTCTTCCGAAAACATTTATTTGCAGAGGTTGTGACTGGAGGCAGGAACATTTAGTAAGCTATTGCTTGGTCCAGTTGATTGCAGTGGTGTTGATGTGCTGAAGAGGAGGGGCGAGACTGTCCACTCATTTATTAGTCAATAAAATGGAGAAGAACTTGCTGATTGATTGGTTGTGAGGGGTGAAAGGCAGAAAGGCTGAAGATGACATCTGGCCTGGATTTATACAAACATTACCATCAGACTAAGTAGGGAATTTGGAAGAAATGCATGACTTAGAGGGGAAACATGATGAACATGTGCAGATAACAGGTGTATTAACATGTATTATCTAGGAAGCAGTTAGAAGTATGGGTTGGAGTTTAACAAAAGACCAGAATTAGAGATTAAAAGTCTCTATTAAAAGCCATACTCTTTCAAAGAATGGGCTATAGAAATTTATAGCTACATTAGTAGGATTATCTTTTTAAACCTTGCCTGTGAGAAATTTTTCTTATTAATTAATTAATAATGCTAAAGGAGAATTAAATTCTTCCAAGAAATGGACAAAATGAATCATTTCTATCAGAAGACATTTATAGAAAAAGTCAAATCACATACTAGACTGTTTACACGGAAATATATCTAGAGAGAGAGATCAGAAATTAATATGAAATGACAATAATTTATAATTATTTAGTTCCTTTACCCCAAAGCTCTTTTAATTTATTCTAATTCTCTGCACAAGGGTGCTAGATAAAATTCAAGGCAGGTGTCTGCATATTAGCAAGGCACCATCTCATTGCTTTCATTCACCACCACTTATACGCAATCACCTTCGGTGTCATGTGGGAACTCTTTGACTAGTTCAGCACAATATGCCAAATAGATCTGTGCCCTATTGTAAAATATGGATCAAAGAACCCAGTGTTGGGTAAAGGTAGCTCTACCACCTACTAGCTGTATGACATTTCTAAACCTGTGAAATAGAGATAACATCTGTAGCAAAATAGAAATAATAATACAAAAAATCAAAAGCTTGTTAAAAAGATTAATAAATACTTTGTAAGTAAAAGAGACATTTATAATGAGGTTTGTAATGTAGGGGTTAGAAACACAGTCATTAGAGCCAGACAACTTGGGTACCAAATCCAGCTTGGCCACTTATTAGTTCCGTTAACATGGGAAAGTAACTTAACCTCTCTTTGTCTTAGCTTCCCTACCTGCAAATTGAGAATAGTTGTTTCTAACTCATAGAATTTTGAAGATTAGATGAGTTAACACATGTGAAGTGCTTTTGGTGGCACCTGTACACAGTGTGCATTAAATCAGGGTAGTAATTTTCACTATTATTATGTAAGGCTCTTAATTAGTGCCATTCCCACAATAAGTGCTTACAAAGTACTAGGCATAATATCTTTCTACTACTATTACTACTAATAACAATCTAGCTCCATTATTGAGGTTGCCAATATGTCAATAATAAATGTCAAGAACTAAGGCAGGAAATACTAGATCCTAGGGGTTGCTGGCAAATGGAAATACATATTAGGATCAGAAAGTGTCCCTATGGTGGTTTTGTTCACCTCAACAGAGCAGCTTATGGGATTCTAAGGAGCATGTGATTAAGCAGGAAAAGCATTCCAAAGCCATAATATCAAGCATCTCCTTTTAACCTGTGCTGTTAGTGAAAATTACCTGTGAGCAATAAATACTTCATGATGGTTGAATCTTTTACTAGAGTTTGTTTTTCACACATTAGCATGTTAGGATGTTTTAGAATCAAACGAAGTTTTTATGAGAGATGCTCAGATGCATTTTCTCAGAGATGACTGCAAAAATTGATAAGGACCTCAAGAAATCTGATGTTTTCAATACGTTTTAAATAAATATTAATTAAATTATGTATTTACTTCATTGTGTGGTCAATAGCAGCATCTATAGTATAGTTTGTGTAGTTATAGGATGGTATAGTAAGGTATATTTTGTTTTTTAAAATGAACATAGTATCTTTTTGACCTTCACCTGAGAAGAAAAGAATTGTACAGAATCTGAAAAAGTGCTCCTTCTAGTGCAGTATTCTGGAAGGCAGAGGCATGAGTTAAGTTGCCCTTGATTCCATCCTGAAGTATCATACTTGCTGTCTCCATTTCTTCATCTTCATTATTTTCTGTCATCCACAACACCAATGACCTTCATTTTGCCAAATCCAAATGTCAATTTTATATACCAATATTGCTTGATTTTTGACTTTTTTTCACTGTAGCCTTTGATAAAATTGATCACCTCTCCTTTGGAAAAACCCAACTATCTTCTCTGGGTTTCTATGACACCATGCATATTTTGTTTTCCTTTTAATTACTACTTCTCAGTCTAATTTACTGGCTGGTTCTCCTTTGCCCAACTTCTAAATGTTATAGTGTCCCCAGAGTTTGGTTCTGGGTTGCCTTGTTTATTTGCAGTCTCTGCCTAGGTGAGCTAAAACAGGTTTGTAGCTTCAAATGCCATATACATCTCGATGAACCTTAAATTTATATACATAAGATTCTGGATTCTCTCCTGAGCTCTAGATCTATATAAAGTTCAGTACCTTGTTTTGAATGTCTAATAAACATCTCAAATGAATATATATCAAATGAATACATCTCTCTCCCACCCATCATCTACCTACCCTGCCAAATCTTTTTCTGATATTCCCCATCCCAGTTAATGGTTCTATCCTCTACCCATTTGTTCACGGTGAAAGAAAATCCATTTGTTGAATCCTCTCTTTTCTTCACTCCACATATCAAGCCTATCAGTAAGTCTCATCACCTTGGTCTAAAATCTCCACTTTCTTGCATTATTAAAACAACCTCCTAATTGATCTTTCTGCTTTTACTCTTTGCCTCCCCCTCTCCATAGCCAGATATGATCATTTTGTAACAGTAGGTCAGATCCCTGCTTATCCTGCTGCTGGGGCTTCTCATGGTCATTATAACTAATATATGATAGATTACATAATGTTAACATATATGATGTATAGTAAATTACAATAAAATACGAACTTCTTGCCATGGCCACTGTGTACTTTTTGAGTTCGGTTTCTACCACTCTCACTCATGTTTCATCACATACAAGTACGCCAGTTTCTTTCTATCTCTTTTATCTCCTTGGCTCATTCCCACTTCAAGCGCTTCTGCTTCTTCTCCTCTCTTCTCCCAGGTCTTCAAATGACTGGCACCCTCCCCCATGCACTCCCTTAGACACCCTCCTGGACACTAGCTGACACACTGCTCCTGCCCTCCCTCCGCTTCCCCAAACACGCAGTAATTTACCAGCCTAGTACTCTGTTTTATTTCATAGCAGTGATCTGCCTTTATCTTATCTTTAGATTTTACTTGTTTACACGTTTCCTGTCTGTTCCTCTCCTCCAATAGAGTGTAAGCTTAACAAGGCTAGGTCTGTTTTGTTCATTTCTCCTTTGTCTTGAATGGCATATGATCCTTTATAAGGTACTCAAAAATATTTATTGAATAAATGAATGAATTTTAGGAAATTACAAAGATATGTCACTATAAATCTAATTTTACTTTTAGACAGAGAATTGAAGAGGTTACATTTTTTACACAGACCTATTTCTCAAGTATGTGAATGTAGTTTTCGAAAGATACATTTGAAAGGAAGTTTATTTGGTGTTCTGTTTATTTTCTTGCTTCATTGATTGCTTCCTTTCTTTACCTTTCTGTGACTTTAATTTTGTTACAGTGATATACCCTATGAACTTTAAACTCTTTAAGTCCATTTTATTTGTACTTTCAAACACTGTTTTAACCTTATATTTACTTTAGCTTAGTGAATCCCCAGTACTCTGAGGACAAGCTGTTATCTGAGGTTGCATTAATTCATGTATTTAACCCCTGCTTTGGGAAAATTAAGAAAATAGACCCATTTAAGATACAGTAACTTGCCCAAAGGAGGAGGCTTTCAGTACCCAGTTCCAATCTGCTAATTTTGACTCACTAAAAGCAAAGTAATTTTGGGGCACCATTCGTTTGTCATTCATTGAAACATTACTCAATAGATGTCTAAATGTCTGTGTTAGGTGTACAAGGATAAAAACATGATGGAAAACCTCCAACCTCAAGAGATTTTTACATGATAATCATGTTTTCTATATAAGGGGAGTACATAGAAATACTCGAAGTACAATGCAGTAGTTCAGTAACTGTAAGTCAGAATTTTCTAGAAAACTTCTATCACATTTTAAAATAACCTTGCTGGGCACGGTGGCTCATGCCTGTAATCCCAGCACTTTGGGAGGCCAAGGTGGGTGGATCACCTGAGGTCAGGAGTTTGAGACCAGCCTGGCCAACATGGCAAAACCCTGTCTCTACTAAAAATACAAAAAATTAGCCAGGCATGGTGCGGGCACCTGTAATCCCAGCTACTCGAGAGGCTGAGGCAGGAGAATCACTTGAACCCCAGAGACGGAGGTTGCAGTGAGCCAAGATCGCACCATTGCACTCCAGCCTAGGCAAGAAGAGCGAAACTCCGTCTCAAAAATAAAAAAAGATCATAATCTTCATACATGATAAAAATCTTTTTGAACCAGAAAGGATCATTGAATGTATTTAGTGTTCCATCTTTGACAGAGAAGGTGGAGATTTTAAATGCTAAATCTCAAAGCCAGTCTGATGCCAGTCTGATACACACACACACACACACACACACACACACACACACACACACACACATTTACCTATTACAACTAATATATTTATAATGGATCAGTTAGGCAGAAAATCTATGAGGGAAAGGAGCACTGAATTGAGAATTAGTAAATTTGGACACGTATCAACTTTATTATTAAGAAGCTGTGTTATCTCCAAAAAATATTTAAACTGAGGCTTTAGTTTTCTCATGTCTTGAATAAACCCTAGATATTCCTTAAGGTCCACTCTAGCTGCGGAATGTGAAAATACTAAGTTTCCATTTGTGCATAGCTTTTCAGAGTTATGTTGAAATTCATCTCTATTATTAATGAAAGGCCAGCCAAGGAAATTGAAAGTCATTTCTGGTCTATTAAAAGTGACTTGACAGCAGATTTCTTATCAACTTAAAGGGTTAAACACATTTTGGTTATATAATTGTGAATATGTGTTTGTGGGAGGAAGAAGAGTAGAATCTGGATAGACCCAGACTCGTCAAAAATGAGAAAAAGAACGAGGCACACATATGGCAATCATTGATTCATATTGACAAGTGTTAGAGCTAAAAATAAGGAGCTTTGTGATTGCTAGGAAATGGCTAGAGATAGTATTTGAAGCACCTTGTTTTGTTAGGAGGCTGTGAAGCCTTGTGCAACGGAATATCACAGACTACAAGGAATCAGAGGACTGTCATGTTGTCCCAGTGCCTCTCCGTCACTTGCAATAAAAAAACAGGCTGCACGTCAGATAGATTCCATAATTGGCAATGTTCCTATGACTACTCACCCCAGGGTAATCAGATTCAGAACAGACCTACACCTAACTCTTTGCATGGTAAATACCTGATTAGCTATTGGGATCTAACTACTGATTTAAAAATGGAAATGCATTTTGTTGTGTCTGTGGGTATGTGGCTGTGGCTGAATGAAGTCAGTACATGGGTTAATTTCACAGTATTTAGTCACACGTACTCTAGGAAGGGATTAAAGTGCAGTTTACACACTTTCTGACCTTCAGTCATTTTTTATTTTGCTTCTTGGAGATGTTTGTTTGTTTTTTTAAACTGAACTGTTAATAAGCTAAGTGCTTACATCTGTCAATTAACATATTACTTATCTATTACTTACCTTGAGGCACTTAACTTTCAGAAAAATAAAAGCTGTCTATCTATGGTAAAGAACAATTCTCCCTGTGTTTGCTCTTACCACTGCCCATGTTTTTAGGACCTCCTCTACTCTTTCCCATGAGATATTCCTCATTGTTGCATATGTTACAGTTTTGTTTAAATAACTGCATAATTATGTCATTATTAGTGAAAGTTTTAATAACAGAAACATATGAAATGTCAAACTTGCCTCTTTTAAAAACAATTTTATAAAAATCACTTAAAATACTTACATCAACGATCAAGAAATCTAGCCAGCACCAGGCATTAGTGAAATATGTTTGAAATCCATAAGCAACCCATTTGAGAAGCATTTCCAGAATGAATATATAGGTAAAGACTTTGTCAGCATATTCTAGCATGGTTTTGATAGTCTTTCGCTGTTCAATGTATATATCTTCAAAGGCCTATGAATCAAAAATATTTTATTTTACTTAAATGGCTTGCTTCTTCTAAATATTTGAAAAAATTGCTTAGTATAATAGTGAGTACAAAACAATAATTTGATTATTGATATTTTACATAAACATTGAACATCAGACAAAATCTAAAGACTAAACTAAGTGTGAAAATGCTGGCAGGGAAACGTCATGCCTTTAGTGATTTAGAATGTGCTTTCTTTCCTACTTCTCACCCCTAAGTCTCTATCTCAATTACTGTTACAAAGACATGCTTTTAATGAAGTAATATGAACTCAGAAATAACTAGAAGTTCTGTTAATGAGGGACAGAATTGGCCTATTCAAACATTACTTTCTACAATTTCCTGAATGATCTGGCTTATTTTGAGAGAATAAGTTGATTATACATGAAAAAAAAACCTAAAATACACTTTTAGTCCATAAATGTTAATACAATTATTAGGGAGAACTGGATAGTATTTGACAGGGAAAGTAACGTGGTTACAGAATGTCTCTGCAAATGGTTGTCTCAGTGAGGAAAACATCTGTTAGATAAACACCAGATGAGAAATTCCATCTGGCTGTTTCATGGTGCTGATTTGTTCAGAACTGAATTTTGCATCGTTAAACCTTGGGTGCCAAGCTCTGCAAGACACAGATATGCCTTTTCTTTTGATTCTGAAGCTCAGTGTTTGCATCTGGTAATTTTGGAGAATAAACTATTTCACCAGAATCTGATTCTTGCCAATATGCATTTCACTTACCAATGCACCACTACTGAGAAGGATCATGAACACAATGAAAGTCTCAAACCAGTTGTGCTCAACAATACTGTAGCAGGTTTTTCGAAGATTCCACCAGATCTTCCCTTTGCCTTCTTCTGTACTTACTTGACAGAATGGAAACTTTTTAATACATCCTAAAAATCAAATATAGTTAATTAAAAAATATATTTTAATCTTAAATAGGAAAAAATAAACTTTCTTGCCCCTTCCCCACTCCACTTCCAGGTAATCATTTCATAGGGTAACCATCTCCTTCATTTCCTAGTTATCGTCAGCATCCCTCCTGTATAATGAATTATTCTCAGACTTATATACTCAGCCAGCTACTTAGAATTCAAGGAAATATTTTATCTAGATTTGCTTAAGTAACAATGGTTTCATTCTTCACCACCAGTCAGGATTATTTTGCCTCAAGGCCATTGATGAAAATAGTCCAGGTGCATCTCTCAGGTTTGAGGCAAAAACTACATGTTCGATTTGTTTATTCATATTTTGATGTGATCCTGGGTTTTTAATTCTTTTCATGCACACATGCACAGAAAATCTCGCTGTCTTCCCAGGCATCAGCCACTGTCAATTTTCCGAAGCTAATTTATTTTTCAGCCTCAGTGCTTCTCTTAGTCACACCTATGACTCAGCTCGTCAGTCAGTATCTCTTTCCCTTTGTCCTCCCCCTCCTAGCTTTCGCATTATTTCTAACTCCCATCCACTCTTCTGCTGTAAGTCTCTGAGCTACTACTCATCTGATTAAGTCCAGTCACATTGAATAATAGATATTCATTGATTTGTGTTCAAGACATTGTGCTGCTTTCTGTGAGAACAGCTATTGCTTTCCCTGCCAAAGCTTCACAATACAGTTACATCTCAAAACAGCTCTAGCCAAAGCACATTAACCACATTGGAACTGTAAGGGAGGGAATGTAATTACTGTAGCATCTATAAATCAAATCACACCATTGCCAAGGAGTTCTGAAGGGATTACAATATCAATGACATGACATTCTAGAATGCCATTTATCTCATAGGGTCAGCTTCCTCACATTATGGAGAATGAGAAAACAAAAAGACCTATCAGATCATTTTAACTGTCCAGGAATAGTCACTGCCATAAGTATAATCCAGAAATCTAGAGAGATTAACTTTTTAAAAGACAAAAAAGGAAAATAAAGATAAACATGCCTTCACTATTTATTTTAAATATTTTTCTTATTTAATTTAATTTATGTATTTATTTTGAGACAGGGTCTTGCTCTATTGCCCAGGCTGAAGTGCAGTGGCATAATCATGGCTCACTGTAGCCTCGACTCCCTGCAAAAGCTCTAAGATACAGCTGTGGCTGAGGTAGCAGCGACTACAGGCATGTACCACCATGTTGAGCTAATTTATTTTTTCTTTCTTTATTTTTTTTTTTGTAGAGGCAAAGCCTTACTACATTTCCCAGGGTGGTCTCAAACTCCTGGGGTCAAGCAATCCTCCTACCGTAGCCTCCCAAAATTTTGGGGTTACAGGCATAAGCCACCACACCTCGTTTCATAAATTTTTTTTTTTAAATGAGGCATATTCAGTCTCCGTAAAGAACAAGGGGAGATTGTATTTAATCACATCAGAGCTTGTTTACCTTCAGTAAAACAAGCTTCCGGTTTAAGGTCTTCTTCGGGTTCAGTTTCAGCTTGTTCACCTTCTCGGGGTAGAACAACATCAACTGTGCTTCCTTCAGATGAGCTGGTTGCATTTAATTTCTGGAAACAAAATCCCATTTCAAAGATGTGATTTTCCCCCTTTTATTTAACTAACTGGGAAATACTGTGTCATTGTGTGAAAAAAAAATAGTAGTGATAGCATTTAACTCTATTAGCATTACTGATCATTATGTACTAATAATTTAACATAAATCAAGTTGTACTATTCAAAATAACGTGACTACTGACCTGAATCAGACAAAAAAAGTTTAGACAACATTCAATGTGGGTGGTCTGGAATGGATGGATTATACTGATTAACTTGTTTAATGATCTGCATTTGTATATGAATGCCATATGAATATAACTTAATACATTGAGGCCAAACCAAGAATAGTTGGATAAAGTGGTATGCTGACATCTAGCCATGATTATGTTAATTAAAATACATCAAATCAAATTTTTAATTTCCACCTCTTCAGATGGAAATTTTCAAAGGGCAAAGAATATTACCAGTTGTTTCTAAGTATTGTCCATGTTTCTATAATTTTAGAAAGAAAGAGCAGCACATTAACATTAGTCACAGTCATATTTCAACTTTGAGCTCTATTTTTCTCTGGCTTACATAATTTTCTTCTTATTTTACTAGAAGAAAAATGATGGATCTCTCTCTTTTTTTGAACTGCATAACTGAATTCAATACTTGTCAAAGAATTCTAAATGAAATGGAAATTTCCTCATAAATGGCATTGTCCAGAATCTCTATAGACTTTCATTAGGAGCACATTCTGAATTCAATGTGTGATCCGGCTGTGAATACTTCCTTTAACTAAATCATTGTGACATGCCACATGGCTAGAAGAGCCACTGTAATATTACAAGAATAAATAATAAGTACTCTGAGATCACTTGGGAAGACAGGATTGTGCAAAGTTTTATGAAAACAGTTGCAAAGACATGACGCACAGCACAACCTAGATAATGTAAAGCTTTTAAGATGAAACAATAGTGCATGGACATGTTAATGATTTCAAAGCCCCCATTAACTTTGGTAGCTGAGTGTTAGGGTCACTCTGCCAAAGCCTTCTGAAAGAGTTACTGTGTTATTTTTAAAAAGGCCATAAACACAGTTCATGTTGGGGAAATTTGGCTCAAAATTCCTGATTTAATGAAGACGTAATGCAAATGTAGTTTAATATTTTACAATGTGAACTAATTAAAGGGTAGTATCCAGATGATACTTTCTGTGGTGTTACTTTAAAGTTGATATTAACCTGACATTAGCCATGTCCAAATATATATATTATGAAAATTACTTTAAGTCAAAATACAGTTTTTTAGTAGAGTACCTCCTAGGTTGGAGTATGGTAAATAGAGAAGCTAGGCCATCACTTTTGGCTGATAGTTCTTAGGGTCATGATAGCACAATTTTTTTTTTTTTTTTTTTTTTTACCATTAATTTCCTCTACATTATGGAGAGGTGGGAAAGCCAAGACATCTTCTCCTCTCCTAGGATTTTTCTGCTTCTTATAGCCAGGATATTTTTATTCATTTAAGAAAGACCTAGGAAAATTACTGCTGGGTAGAATTGTAGCAGCTTCTGGTGTAACTAAGAAAATACTGGATAATTGTTTGGTCTCAGCCACTTTTTCTTCCAATTTCACTGGTAGTTTATGGGTTAATTACTATGGCTTTTGATGAGTGACAGCTATTAATATCCACTTTATAAGTAATAACAATAAGAAACCAAAGTATTTGAGGTTAGTTATAGAAAGTTTCATGCTTTTTTGTCCTCTTGGCTAATCCAAACTTAATAACTTCTGAGCCTTATCATAGTAAACCTCAACTTCCTGTATGAAGCCATTCTTTCTTGCATGATTTTCTTCATGCTAAATTTTATAGAGCATTTAATCTATTATACTTGTTTCCTTTGACTAAATATTCTCATAAATATATGTACATATTTACATACATCTATATATACACACACGTATACCAACTACATACATATAGACACATATATATACCAAAAGATCCAGTGTATCACCAAGTATAGAATAGACACTGAATAGTTAAGTTGAGTTCATGAAGAGTGAATCGATGAATGTTTGAATACCTTTTAATGTCACTTTATAGAGAGAATTATAGTCTTTAGATAATTCTATCTCTCCATTTTGATATATAAGTCAAGTCTGGTCCTGAAAGAGTCTATGTAATTATATTAGAAAATGCATTGTCTTATTAAATAGGAATGATTTAATAAAAAATAATATGTTAATAATAAAAAAGTAATTATACATGTATACACACACAGGTACTTTTCCATTTGAAAACTTTAGAAAATATACTCACCCTTCACTTCCCATGTTACCACTGCTAATATAATTGTGAGATGTTTAATTTTTCACATTATAATTCTTCCATGTATTCTGCAGGTGTCTTATGTTTAATACAAATACATACATATTTAAAGCAAATCCTTTACAGCACAAGTCCTAATAACCACTAACCTGAATGACAACGGAATCAATCGTTTACACATATGGACCTCTGGTTGTATTTTTTTGTTATTGGGAAGGTCATTAGATTACATATATTTGTGAATGTGATTAACTTGTTTGGACATAAATAATCTCTAATAGCTCTGGAGGTTATGTATTTATACATCTTAAGATAGAGAGGGACAGTGATCACAGTTCACCTCTCTCCTCCTGGCATTATGAGGCACAACATATCTTTTGACAATGGACAAGGAAAAAACCCTGCCACCATTCTGCTATTGTCCAAGGAGTAGAACCCATTTCATGGAGAATTGCTTTACAGTTATTACAGAGATTTTCTGATTATAAAGATAATCTTCCAGGCTCTAGAAAGCCCCTCAAGGAATGCTCAGAGGGAATCTTGGCAAAGCTTTTGCAAGCTCCCAGGACTCTTATGAACCAAAGCTTAGAAGACGGTAGATTAGTTTGCATTTCACTAAAAAGTGTTTTATGGGAGGCTTCCTTATCTATGAAGGTTGACATAAAGTCAGTTTTCCCAAGTTGAAGAATCTGCCTCAGTCATGATTTAATCTTTTTTTTTTCCCCCTTGGGACAGGGTCTCATTCTGTGGCCCAGACTGGAGTGCTGTGGCATGATCATGGCTCACTGTATCCTCAACATCCCAGACGCAACTGATTCTCCCATCTCAGCCTCCCAAGTAGCTGGGGCTGTAGGTGCATGCCACCGTGCCTGGCTAACTTTTATATTTATTTATTTATTTTTTTGAGACGGAGTCTCGCTCTGTCACCCAGGCTGGAGTGCAGTGGCGCAGTCTCGGCTCACTGCAAGCTCCGCTTCCTGGGTTCACACAATTCTCCTGCCTCAGCCTCTCTAGTAGCTGGGACTACAGGCGCCCGCCACCATGATTGGCTAATTTTTTGTATTTTTAGTAGAGACGGGGTTTCACCATGTTAGCCAGGATGGTCTTGATCTCCTGACTTCGTGATCAGCCTGCCTCGGCCTCCCAAAGTGCTGGGATTACAGGCGTGAGCCACCGTGCCTGGCCCACCTGGATGATTTTTAAATTTTTTGTAGAGATAGGGTTTTGCCATATTGCCCAGGCTGGTCTCAAACTCCTGGGCTCAAGTGATTCATCCACCTTGGCCTCCCAAAGTGTTGGGATTATAGGCATGAGCCACTGCATCTGGCCAATTTAATCTTCTTAGTCAGAAATGCTACTACATTATTTTTTAATGCCCTAGGTCACATATTTATCATAGGAAAGTACCTATGTTTTAATTGTATGAAGTTATGAAAATATTGTATCAAATTTCTAAAGTTATGCATTTACCTACATTTATAAATTAAATTGTGAATCACCTTCTTATTAAATTACATCAGCTTACGAATTATGATCTACTACCTGATATGCTTTAGTCACTGGATACATAAAGAACTTTACTGCTGTATTTTTTAAATCACTAATGTACACCCTGAAAAACTATATAAGCATTTTAAATTGTATACATTTATATGATACATATCTATACTATATGCATAATTCTATACACTGATATAATCTAAATAATCTAAACATTTTCTAAATAAGTTCAACACTTTGGCATTCACATTCTAGTCAAGGGTGGTTTGTGATACATCTTATTATAGCCATAACCAAAATGACCTTCAAATTTATTTAAAAGCATATAACTGATTTAAAAGCAAGTGACCAATAAATATAAAGAATAACTTACTTTCTTTATATTGCCATAGCTGTGATACTACAATGATATAAAAAAGCAAAGAAACCTGAAATTAAATTTACCATATTAAGAAACTAGATGACTATACTAAATAACTAAATTCATACTTGTCCTGAAGTAGTTAGAAAAATATAATTGGGAATATAGGCATAATAATAGAAAGCTTCCATATAAAACCACATAGTACAAGTTCAAACTTGTTTTCTTGTACTATTTTCTCCCTACTCCTCCAATATTTTATGGCACTTAAAGGTTAAATTTTTCCATCCCTTGTAGAAACGAGTGGGTCTACAGAGGGATGATGGCTTATGCTCTACAAATGCACGCTGAAAAGCAGGTTTTAAGATGCAACATTCTCCAGGCCTAATTCAGCCGCAGAAAACATGCCTGGCTGTAGCAGAAGCCCGGCGCAATGCTGTGGAAGCCGCACGCTGATCCAAGAACCATGTCCTCAAAGACATGGTACCTGAATATGAAGTTTTCAAGAAGGTTAACTACAAATACCACTCACAGGAATGGGTTATTTCAACATAAGAAACAATAGAGTTAACACCCAAAAAAGGCCACGAGACCATTCCCCGCCGCCCAATAGAGTGACCTTATATAGAAATTCCCCCATATGACAAATATTGCTCTTGATTTTTATCCAATTAAATAATGAAATTTAACTTTCAGAGATAGAAGAGAATGTTAGCAACTGGCCTACTTCCACTGAAATGCGCTCACATTTCATTTATTTTCAATCAGCTATCAAATATTTGACTCTCACAAACTGCTGTATGATTCAAGAGGCAAAATAAAAGATTCAGCCATTACAGATTGCCTTTAAAATCTAGCCATTTCTCTAAAAAGTTGTGGATTTTTGTCTTGCTAGTAGAAGAGGAAAGTTTTGGTCATACACACTATCAGGGCCTTAGTCTGATCTTTTGGATATGCATAACCATATCTTGACTTATGATATTTCACCTGAAAAACAAGACAGCCACACAGTGAAGCCATTGGGTTGCTTGTCCTAGGCGGGAAGGAAAAGGCCAGTAGCTCTTTTTTTTTTTTTTTTCACGATCACTTATCGAAAGATTAAAAATATGAACCACCACCATCTGGTTTGCCTGGACATATATTAAATGTACAACATCCCCGGAGCTTCTTTTATTTTTAAAATAGCCTGAATAAGAACATGGTATGTGAAACTGAAAATAATTACGTTGTAGTTGAAGAGTAGGGTAAAAGAGCATCAAAAAGGAAAAAGAAAAAGGCCATTTGTTTTCAGAAAGGATACAAAAGTATTCGTCTGAACCAGCTTTAATTTTTTTTTTTTTCAGCAGAAGTACACTAAAGCACCAAGACCATCTTTAAAGGTTGAGATGGGTTTAAAATGGCTATTCACACACCCATCTGCTCCTCTCAAAAATTATCTCACATTCAATTTCACAAAGAGCATTTGGAAGACACTGGCCATGTAACAGAGAAACTGAAAGCTAGAGTCATTATTCCATTGCTTTCCAAATTCCAAAAATAGCACAAAGTCATGTCCAGAAGGGCATGTGCTCCGGACCTTAGTCAAACATCTACTTTCAAAGTTTCCATAAAGACTCTGAAAAGGAGGGAATCCTGTTATAAACACAGTGTAAATAATAATATGGCAGTACCATTTAATTCTATTCTGCTGGTGAAGAAAAAAGAAAAAGAAATCAGATTTTCTTCAATGACTAATAATGTTGTTTTATTCTAAATCTAAAAATTTGGTGCTGAATAAAAATTGCATAAATCACCATGGACTGTATCTTTGTTACTATTTTCCATTGATAATTTTATTTCTCATTTTTTTTGCATTCTGCAACTAATTCTCAGTTATCCCTAAGGAAAATAAGACTATGCATAAATTAAACCTAGAGACAACCCCAAACTAATTAGATATTCCTTGTCACCAGAAGCCTTGAAAACTGCCCAATATTTATGAACTCTTTACATTTCCTTCAAAATTTCCCTCCCAGAACCCGCACTCTGGCTGAGATTCCAGTAAGCAATGGAGAAAGTTGAGTGAACAGAATAAAATAAAAGCTCATTACGCCACAAATCTACAATAATCTTGGGAGATTCCCTTTACTCCTCACAAAACTAAAATTAATAATTAATAACTGAAAATAGTAAATTTTCCAAGTCTCTTTTTTGCCTGGTCAGTTTTGGATAGAACATTTAGGGAGAAATTAACATAAATCATTGACATTTCAAATAACAAATGGGTACACTAGGCCAATTACTTAATGATCAAGATATAATGAATTTTCATCCCATATATCATGATGTTTCCTTTTTTAAGTTACAATGATCACTATGGTTTTGCAGACATAACTTTTCCCAACCTACATGAAAATCCAAGATATGTGTTGCCCAAATGCATACAGACTATGGCCCTTCATCTCCAAACCTCAGGATCACCCTATTCTTTTTTTTTTCTTTTTTCTTTCTTTCTTTTTTTTCTTTTTTTTTTTTTTTACAGAACCTTTCCCCCAAAACATGAAAGCAAACATTTTCATCTGGAGCACATGAATTGGATAGGCTGAAAATTATATTCATAGATCTGAATATAATGATCTGAAAGTGGCAGTACTATCAGAAAAAAACCCTGTGAGGCTTATTTTGGTAATACAATTTACTTATAAAGGCTGAATCAACAATAAAAAGTTGTGGTCTTATTTTAATGAAATAAAAGCAGAGAAACAAAAAAATGCATGCCCTCCTACATCCCTGACTATATTGAACCATAAACATTCCTATCATGTTTTAAAATAGATATTACAAATCCTATAGAGCATGCAATTGGTTTTAAAAGGCTAAAGACTAAATTAGAAAACTCATTAGCAGAATTAAATATGATGTTGGGATTGCCCATCTCGCCTGACCATGCTGTGATGTGTCACACGATTCAGCAGAGAGCAGCTGGGCAAGTCTAGCACTTCCTTGCCATGGCAGGGGAAGGAACATAGCTGAGTAGCATGCAGGCCAGTCAAAATTCATTTAGAACGTGATTGTACATGTACAACTTGCTTGGATAACCTGGGTAAAAGTGGTGGCACGAGCCTCTGGCTGGTTAAAAAACACCAGAGCTGCATTCTTGATGGCTCCAGCTTGATTTTACTCCTGTGAGAAGTAAGAATGGTAAGCAGTGAAGGTCACAGTATGATATTGCTAGATTGTGTTTGGAATTCAACTTCAAATATGATTGTTAAAAGCATTTATTCTATATCCTTCACTTAGGAAGACAAACCAATAATCTTTTAAGAATTAAATTGCAAAAATTCATAGTTATATAAGTATTTCAAGAAATTATGATTATGAGAACTTAAAAAATATAAAAACAAACAAATTCTACATTAGAGCTCCTCAAAAAGATTCGCATAATTCCAAGTTTTTGCAAGATTAAAAAAATCACTATTTTGAAATCCATGCCTTCAATTTCCTGAACTTTTTTCATGCAAAAGTTTATATTTGCTTCCATACCAGCCTATTTATGTTAGTGGTATTCATATATACAGATGTAATATATATACACACATATATAACATATATAACAGCAATTCCCATGTTTATCTCTAAAAACTTCTAGGGATCATTTCTCTTTAGCTGCGATAGTCAGGTATCCTTTATTATGAAAATGAACAGAGGAAATACAGTAACTAGAGTTTCCAAATACCATCTAAATTAATGATTAATTTACTGTCTCCTCTTCAAGCAGACATTTCATGCAAGTTTTTTAGTGAAAAATGTATAACTCTGGTGGGTTTAACTTATGTGAGTGCTCACTTTATTAGCAAAGAGGAAGGATATTCTGTGCTCTGCAAAGTAGAGTTCAATGTTCTCTTGCTACTTGTGTCAAAAACCTAAGAAACATGAACCAAAATGTCACTTTATGGATATGTTATTTTAAATGTGTTCGTGTGTGTGATAGCTATTAAAAGGGAATAACCCAGCCAATATAAGTGTGCACCTGAAGTATGCTAGCAGCTTTTGGAAATTTCAAATCAAAAATGCACTTTGCTAGAACTCATTTAATCTGCTCTATGATATTAGAACATGCTGGTATTGGCTTTTTATTTTAAAAACTGTCTGCATTTTATCTTGTGTGTGAGCATATATGAGAGTTCCCTATTACTTTTTTGGTGGGTTTTTAAAGTATTCATTTTACCAAATCATTCATATAAAATTTATTGTTGAATTTAATATTACTGTGCAAGATAATTTGAAATTTTATTCTAGCTTTATAAAAATATATACCTTTATATTTGTTTAGTGATTTTCCCACTAACATATTTATATATTTTAAATAATTTCTTTACATTTTGTAATTGAAATCTATGTATTCAAAATTTAGCTTGAAAGAGGAGGATAAAGTAGTTATTTAAATCACCCCATAAGACATTTTTGTTCAGGTAAGAAATGTTTTCCAGGTACATAACAAAGGAGAGATTTATATCTTGTTACTCTAAATTTATTATGTTTAAGCCATTAAAAAGGCATGATAATTAGCAGTCATTTGAAATATCGGTGGTCATTATGAAATTTTAAAAATACTTTGGAAACCAACTGTTCGGTAGGAGGAAATTAAGATATTTACTTTCCATAAATCTGATGTCAAAAAATTCTATCGTATTAATCTAGAAAAAGTTTTTCTATCTTTTAGCTTTTCTACCTCTTTTGACCCTAAGTTTTTATGCTACTTTGTCTCTAGTTTTCTCTTTTTTCTTTCACTTTATAATTACTTATTTGATGAGCTCCTCCATTTTCAGGGAATCAGGTAATTATAAAATCTGCATTATCAAACATTATACCTTATTTTTAAACCCTGACCTCTAACTCAGACTCTGTTTCCCAACACTGACACTTCTAATTCAGTATATCCCAATTGAACTCCTTTTCCAACATAAACTGGGTAGCCCTTTTTAAAGACCATTTCAGAAAGTGGCATTGCTGTTTTTCCATTTTCCCAGGTTCTTTAGTAGGTTTGTCAAGTTGCCAATGAGTCTCAATTCTCATTACTTATTGCCCTAGCTGAGAATTTTATCACCTCATTGCTACCGAATGATTATCACCATATTCCCCAAGATAACCTTTCTTATCTTTCACTCTAAACTGTTTTACTCTTTGATATCAAATAAATGTTCTTAAAATACCACTTTCCAATTGCCTTCCCCTGCTTCAGAACAGAAAATAGCTCCCTATTAACTCCAAACTCTTTGGCTTACTTTAAAACTTTATAATCTGAAACTACCTCACACATTCAAACATATTTTCCACTATATATTCAACCAACACTTACCTCATGTAGATTATCACTGCATGATAATCTGCAATGATAACCCTAAACTGTCTTTAATACCAAGCTCACTGTCAGCTCCACCTTTCCTTTAGTAAGCTTCAGCATTTTGCTTTCTGATAATGTATATTTGACCCAAACTTTGAGGTCTATTTCAATTTTATCTCTTCCATTTAGCAATTATTCTTGCTCTCCTCAATACCTATAGCCTCACATGCAACCTGACAGGATTAAACTTTTTTTTTTTTTGAGATGGAGTCTTGCTCTGTTGCTCAGGCTGGAGTGCAGTGGCGCAATCTCCGCTCACTGCAAGCTCCGCCTACCGGGTTCACACCATTCTCCCGCCTCAGCCTCCCGAGTAGCTGGGACTACAGGTGCCCGCCACCGCACCCAGCGAATTTTTTTGTATTTATTTATTTATTTTTTAGTAGAGACAGGGTTTCACCGTACTAGCTAGGATGGTCTCGATCTCCTGACCTCGTGATCCACTCGCCTCGGCCTCCCAAAGTGCTGGGATTACAGACGTGAGCTACCGCACCCAGCCAGGATTAAAGTTTTTAATAGGTCTTTAATAATTTCATGAGTTCATGTTAGCTTACTCAAATATGTCAAGATTTCCTTGAAGGAGAGTTTTGTTATAGAGCTCTCCTTCACCCCTAGTATCCAGCAGATTGCTGAATTCACAAAAAGTGCTCAGTAAGTTCTTGTTAATTGACTGGTATTTCTTCTTACATAAATTCATGCCAGGTGATGGGAAATAAAATTAGAGTTGAATTCTTAGTTTGTCAGAATGAGCAACATAAATTAGAGTTGAACTCACTTAGCAGACTTTAAATGGAATTCAGAGAAAAAATATCACTACTTAATTTTGTATGTATTTTACCTTTTTCAAAATATTTTCCAACTTATTATTATACTATCTTTCAGCAACTCTAAAATACCTGAAAATAGTCAGGAAGCTATGAGTTGTAAGATTGTCAGCTACCTATTATAGGGATTTCAGATCAAGTTTTGTTGATACACTTATTTAAAAAAAAGAGTTCCAAAATATGCTCACGAAATCAGACATTGTTGGTTTGGTTCCCACTGTGTCAACATTATACCCTCAAGCCAAAACCTGTCTTTGATAACTCCATCTGTGCTAGACTTACTTTGTACTCATATGTATTAAACGTCTATAAATAAATAATAGTAAAGAATTTTAATCCTCTTTTCCACAACACAGGATTGAAGAATTAATAACATTACTACTATGATAGAAACTTAAGAATACTAATCATGCAGTAGGAACAATTTCCTTCCTTCCTTGCTTCCTTCCTTCTTTCCTTCCCTCCTTCCCTTTCTTCTTTCTTTCTTCCCTTCCTTCCTTTCTTTCTCTTTTTCTTTTCTTTCTCTTTCTTTATTTCTTCCTTCTTTTCTTTCTTTCTTTCCTTCTTTTTTTCTCTTTCCCTTTTTTCTTTATTTCCTTCTTTCTTTCTCTTTCCCTTTCTTTCCCCTTCCTTCCTCCCTCCCTCCCTCCCTCCCTTCGTTCCTTCCTTCCTTCATTCCTTCCGTCCTTCCTCCCTCTTCTCCTTTCCCTCCCTTCCTCCCTCCCTCCCTTCCTTCCTTCTTTTTTCTCTTTCCTAGTAACACAACAGTAAGAGTAGGTTTATTAACCTACAAAATAACTATAGCCCTCAAGTGAAGCTTTTAAAAGTAGTTCTTAGTATTTTCAAGTTACTCTGGAAGACTATAGATCTGCTCATCCTTGACTGGGCAAAATATAATAAGTACTACTTGTACTTTCCTAATGTGTATAACACTTTCATAAATGAAACACTATCATAGTGAATAAGACTTTCAGAGGTTAACAAAAGTACATAAAGTTTTCACATAAAAATCATAGCAAAACCTAATATAGAGAGTAAGGAGATGACGAAAATAAGTTATTTTTTAAAGAACATAATGTAGTTGAGAGTGTAATGTACTAAATAACATCTCTTTTTTGGAAGGCTACTTTTTTTTGAGATAGGGTCTTGCTTTGTCACTCAGGGTTGAGTAGAATGATGTGATCGTGGCTCACTGCAGCCTCTACCTACTGGGCTTAAGCAATCCTCCCACCTCAGCCTCCTTTGTAGCTGGGACTACAGGCATGTGCCACCATGCCCAGTGAATTTTCGTATTTTTTTTTGTAGAGAGGAGATTTTGCCATCTTGCCCAGGCTGGCCTCGAACTCCTGGGCTCAAGTGATCTGCCTCCTTGGCCTCCCAAAGTGCTGGGATTACAGGCATGAGCCACCATGCCCAGCCTAAAAGGCCACATTTTTTAACCACATTTTCAAATGATCAAGAAAATGAATATACTAAAGACTCAGAATGGTTTAATTTCCTGTGAAAAATTGGAATTTTTAGAAATCCATTTCCCAATAAAGAGTATCTTGTGATTTTCCAACATCACTATAGACATATGACTTTCAATATTGCTTTTTGATAATGCATATAAGCACAATGAAAATAGTAAATAACTGTAGTACATGGTTATCATAGGAAATGGAACAAAAAATTTAAAAGCATTCTTACCTCTTTGCTTTCTTCTAGTTCTGACTCACTGCTGAACTCTTCAGTATTTAAGTTTTCAAAGTCAGACTCTCCAACAGCAATTGGCACTGTGACGGTGAGGCTGGGGTTGTTTATGAATGACATATAATCATTTTCATCGATTACGTATTTTTCAACACTGCTTCCAGTACCTACACCACTGGTGGTTCCATTCCCATCTCTAAGATAATTAAGCTCTTTGCTTATTTCAATTCCAGTATTATTGGACATGCAGCTGTCTATCTTATTGCCTTCATGGATTTCTATAACTTTTGGCTTTCTAAAAAAGGCTTTTTGGAAACACTCCCGCATCTTATTTTTCACATAATCAATTCCCTTTTGCATTCTTCCTACTGCAATCTGCAGATTATTCATTTCATTGTCATCATCAGTAGCAGCAAGGTTGTCTGAGCTAAATGAACTCAACAATAAGGCCAGAAAGAGGTTCAGAACCTAAAAGAAAAAAAGAAAAATGTCTATTTTAATATTGAAATATGCATTTAAATAACAGCCTAAAAAGGGAACTCATAGATCTTTGCTAAAATTATTTCAACAAATGTTTATTGAATGCTTACTATATTTCAGATGCCATGTCTAAGTCACACACTCTTTAAAGGACCTAATATCCTGCTCTAAGGGCAAAATGATAAAACAAGCACCTCTTCTTTTTTTCCTATTGGGAGGGACAATAGGAAAGCAGAGCTTCTAAGATTTAAATGGTGTCTACTCAGGTTTGCCAGTGCAAAGACAAAATCCTACCCTCAAGGATTCTGCCAACGAGAGAGAGAGAGAGAGAGAGAGAAAGATACTTTCTTCTTAATCATTTTATCTTACTTCATCTTACCATTTTTTTTCCTAGGGAATTTCTAGCTTCGTGTATATAAAGAATGAACTTATTTATTTAATAGCCTGATGATATGTTCCAAATGATATACTTGAAATACAAATTCCTTTGGCCCAATGGCCACAAACTTTTATAACAGCAGAAATTTCTAAGTGCAAATTATATACGATTTAACACGTTTCCCATCAAATACACTTTGAAATTTATATGTTCAAATAGCTCAACAGATGGAGAGAAATCTAAAAGTATACCAGGGTTTAGGCTAGACCCACATAAGTTACTTTTCTTTTTCTTTCTTTCTTTGTGTGTATGTGTGTGTGTGTGTGTAGAAAGTATGAGGCGATTTTAACTTTCAGAATATCATGGGATATGTGAAAAAGTTACTCAGCCAACTGATAAGTTATGGTTAATGCAGGAATAATTCATTATTTCTGATGTAAAAGAAAATTTATAATAATATTTTTAGCCTGAAATGTAGTTAGTTATTGAGTTTCAGAATATGTTACACTATAGGAAGACATGCAAGGCAAAAGCCCCAGTTTGCTTCCTTACTTCTGTATCAGATTTTTTCAGAATCTAGAGCTCCCTAATTTACTATTCTGGAGAAAAAAATTACATGTTCGTAGGTATCCCAGTAGCATTCTTTTGAACAAGTTTATCTGAAATGTATCCCTCAAAGGAAAGGCCCAATATGATGGCATAAAGAAATGCTTTGCCCACGCATGACTGAGAAATTTAAGCATTAAACATATAAATATATAAACTATGCTTTTGCATTAGTGATTTTAAGTCACAGTTAAAAGTAACTCCTTTGAGTCTGGACAATGTCCATACATATGAATAATTTAAACTGTAATAATTGGTTTTCCTATAGTAATGCAAATTCAGGGAAGAAAACATTTTGTCCTCTTCCAAGTTACTTGGATAATTACAATGCATAGCTAAAATATAATGGTCTACTTCATTGAAATGTGTCTTCAAAATTTGGTACTATGCAACCTATGTCTCTAAGTAAGCAAACTACATGAACTATGAACATGCAAAGAGCAATTTGATTATAGAATAGATAGTTGTCTTTTTAGATTTAGTAGAGGTCATTTTCTTATCAAAACAATATTAGGATACAATTCTTCTTAGTGATAAAAATTTACTTTCTTTGAAGAAGAAAGGAAAATCTAATATTTATGCCCCCAGGCATTCATAAATACATCTGATTTAATCTTTGCATTAAAGATATGATTTCAGTTTTATTATTCCAATGTCATAAAAAATGGGAAACCAGAGCCCAGGAGAAGTTAAATAACTTGCTTATTCTCTGAGTGCTAATAGGGGGATTTCAGTCTAGGCCACTTACTATAAACCAGAGATATGTTTACTACATCTGGCCACGTTCCTAGCTACTGTCTGCTCTTGTTCTAATTTATGAGCATTTGTACTACATACATACCACAAGGTTTCCAATGACCATGACCAACATGAAAACAATAAGGCACATGGTTTGGCCAGCGACCTCCATACAGTCCCACATGGTCTCTATCCACTCTCCACACAGCACGCGGAACACAATCAGGAAGGAGTGGAAGAAGTCGTTCATGTGCCACCGTGGGAGCGTACAGTCATCATTGATCTTGCAGACACATTCTTTGTAGCTCTTACCAAAGAGCTGCATGCCGACCACAGCAAAAATGAAGACGATGATGGCCAACACCAAGGTGAGGTTTCCTAGAGCCCCCACAGAATTGCCAATGATCTTAATTAGCATATTTAGTGTGGGCCAGGATTTTGCCAACTTGAAAACTCTAAGCTGTAATCAAGTGAAAAGATGCTGTTAGTAGTAATCATAATATAATTTTAGACATTATTTTATTAGTATGTGGTATCATAGAACCACACGTGGTAGATGTAAAAACTCAAAATATACTGAACTGATTCAATTTCAAATCCAGAAAAAATAGTGTTAACAATATTAGAATTGTAAATCTGGTCATAATATCATTTAAGTGCAAAAATAAAAATAAAACATTTCAGAAATAATAAATAAAACATTTCTGATTCATCCAAAGATATGCCCATGTAAACAAATGGTATTTTGATTAGAGACTTTTTAAATTAGCAAATAAATGTTATCTTCAGATTCTATTTTAGACAGTAAAAAGAAATATTAAAAGTATAAATCATAGATTTTTATAGGCCAATATAAAAGTAAAATAACCTAAATAATGTGATAAAAATGTACAGGAAAAAAATTGAAAAAATACACATTTTGCTTAATTTTCAATAAATTTTACATATTTCTCAATAAAATTTTGTGATAATTCAAAAAGTTTTTTATACAATTATTTAAGATACTAATAACATCAAATATTTTCCCACATGTTGCTTTAAAACAGTCCCCATTCCTAGAAGTAGGGTTAATAAAAAGCTAAAATTAACTGGGGTCTAAATTTTTATTTGCGTATCTTTACAGACTGTAAGGCCAAAAAAGCTTCATAAACTTAAAACACAGTTTTAGAAAGTACTTGTAGGTTTTCTAATGTGCCCTACATACCTAATCATTATAGAGTATTTTGAATGCTTTCATCATTCTTAGAAAATGGTTTAGCTTTAAAGAGGATGTTTACATGTTTTCTTAGAATGTCACATATTGATGTAAATTTAAAATTAAAATTAATAATTATATAAATATACATTGATTCAATTTCAAAATAAATGTTGTGCCAATGAGCGACAGGGATATATATAAATAGATACCAGTCTGAATGATCGCAGTACAGACAATCCCTCCACATTTGACAGACCAAGCTCCATTAAACTGAGGCTGACAATAATTCCATCAAAGATATTCCAGCCTTCTTGGAAATAGTAATAAGGATCCATGGCAATGATCTTGAGAACCATTTCTGCTGTGAAAATCCCAGTAAAGACCTAAAAAATAGAGATCAGCACTACTTCAAGAGCACTGAAAAACACTGATGCTACACGAATTTATAAAGAAGAACATTAACAGGAATAAAAATATCTAAAATTTAAAGTGAGAGAATGTGACAAATCAATTCAAGTCTTAGTTTTTTTATTTTCATTTTTTATTTTTATTTATTTTTATTTATTTTATTTTATTATTATTATACTTTAAGTTTGAGGGTACATGTGTACAATGTGCAGGTTAGTTACATATGTATACCTGTGCCATGCTGGTGTGCTGCACCCATTAACTCGTCATTTAGCATTAGGTATATCTCCTAATGCTATCCCTCCCCCCTCCCCCGACCCCACAACAGTCCCCAGAGTGTGATGTTCCCCTTCCTGTGTCCATGTGTTCTCATTATTCAATTCCCACTTATGAGTGAGAACATGTGGTGTTTGGTTTTTTGTCTTTGTGATAGTTTACTGAGAATGATGATTTCCAATTTCATCCATGTTCCTCCAAAGGACATGAACTCATCATTTTTTATGGCTGCATAGTATTCCATGGTGTATATGTGCCACATTTTCTTAATCCAGTCTATCATTGTTGGACATTTGGGTTGGTTCCAAGTAATTGCTTCAAAGAGAATAAAATACCTAGGAGTCCAACTTACAAGGGACGTGAAGGACCTCTTCAAGGAGAACTACAAACCACTGCTCAATGAAATAAAAGAGGATACAAACAAATGGAAGAACATTCGATGTTCATGGGTAGGAAGAATCAATATCGTGAAAATGGCCATACTGCCCAAGGTAATTTATAGATTCAATGGCATCCCCATCAAGCTACCAATGACTTTCTTCACAGAATTGGAAAAAACTACTTTAAAGTTCATATGGAACCAAAAAAGAGCCTGCATCGCCCAGTCAATCCTAAGCCAAAAGAACAAAGCTGGAGGCATCACACTACCTGACTTCAAACTATACTACAAGGCTACAGTAACCAAAACAGCATGGTACTTGTACCAAAACAGAGATATAGATCAATGGAACAGAACAGAGCCCTCAGAAATAATGCCACGTATCTACAACTGTCTAATCTTTGACAAATCTGAGAAAAACAAGCAATGGGAAAAGGATTCCCTATTTAATAAATGGTGCTGGGAAAACTGGCTAGCCATATGTAGAAAGCTGAAACTGGATCCCTTCCTTACACCTTATACAAAAATTAATTCAAGATGGATTAAAGACTTAAAAGTTAGACCTAAAGCCATAAAAACCCTAGAAGAAAACCTAGGCATTACCATTCAGGACATAGGCATGGGCAAGGACTTCACGTCTAAAACACCAAAAGCAATGGCGACAAAAGCCAAAATTGACAAATGGGATCTAATTAAACTAAAGAGCTTCTGCACAGCAAAAGATACTACCGTCAGAGTGAACAGGCAACCTACAAAATGGGAGGAAATTTTCGCAACCTACTCATCTGACAAAGGGCTAATATCCAGAATCTACAATGAACTCAAACAAATTTACAAGAAAAAAACAAACAACCCCATCAACAAGTGGGTGAAAGACATGAACAGACACTTCTCAAAAGAAGACATTTATGCAGCCAAAAAACACATGAAAAAATGCTCACCATCACTGGCCATCAGAGAAATGCAAATCAAAACCACAATGAGATACCATCTCACACCAGTTAGAATGGCAATCATTAAAAAGTTAGGAAACAACAGGTGCTGGAGAGGATGTGGAGAAATAGGAACACTTTTACACTGTTTGTGGGACTGTAAACTAGTTCAACCAATGTGGAAGTCAGTGTGGCGATTCCTCAGGGATCTAGAACTAGAAATACCATTTGACCCAGCCATCCCATTACTGGGTATATACCCAAAGGACTATAAATCATGCTGCTATAAAGACACATGCACACGTATGTTTATTTTCATTTTTTATTTTTATTATTTTTTTTTGAGACAGAGTCTCCCTCTGTTGCCCAGATTGGAGTAGAGTGGCGCGATCTTGGCTCACTGCTTCAAGTGATTCTCCAGTCTCAGCCTCCCAGGTAGCTGGGATTACAGGCATGGGCTACCTACCATGCCCAGCTAATTTTTCTAATTTCTGTAGAGACAGGGTTTCACATCACGTTGGCCAGGCCAGTTTCGAACTCCTGACCTCAAGTGATCTGCCCGCCTCAGCCTCCCAAAGTACTGGGATTACAAGCATGAGCCAACACACCCAGCCATGTCTAGCTTTTTTTTTTTTTTCCTCTAGGAGAGTATTTTATTAAGTAGAGTGGTATTATTTAATGAATCTTCTGGATTTCCAAGAAAAACACTAATTTTAAAACATTTCATGGTCTACATTTTAACTCTGGTATTGAATAATAGCTACTGAATTATTGCCCTTGTTGGTACACTACATTTCTAACATAATCACAACCAAATTTATTTCTGGGTAGTATCGCATCAGGAACAAATCCACATATTACTGAAAGTTATTAAAAATTGATTTCGTAAAAACCATATTTTGTTTTTGATTTTGTGTTTTTTAAGGGACACCATCTTATTTCTATAATTTTATAAACATTCCTGAAACAAAAGTAAGTTTGCCACAAATTGTTTATTATAATGATCTCTGGATGTATGCCTCAGAATTAAGGTTAATGGATTAATAGAGCAAGAAGCTGCAGATTTAATTGAAACCAGCAGGAGAAAATACTCAGTATGCATATACATGTAATTGAGATTAATAAGTCACTTGAGTGGCTAGATAAATGTGTATTTGACAATAGAAAGAAAAACAATGAAACAAACACAACATTTATTTTTTAACTCAAAACGATAGGCTGAGAGATACAGGACATGAAGAATTATGAAATTACTCTTGCAGAAAATCTTTTAAAGCAATTCTCTTAATTTGCTATAGTTACAAGTTGCAGTTTATGACTGTAAAGTCAAGTTTAGCATTTACGAAGATAAATCAGCCTTTATCTTGAAGGAATTCTGTCAAAATAACAGTATAACAATTATTTGGTTCCACTTAAAAGAAATCTTGATCCACCCTTACGAATATATAAATGCAGCTAACACTTCATTTTTTCCAATCACAGATGGGAAATACCCATCACAGAAAAAAACAGCCTAATGGTAGTCATCCATTCACTCAAATAGAAATAAAATGTATTTTAAGCAAGCCTAGTACATGAAAATCCAAGTATATGGTGAAATGCCCATTGAAAAATATATTTTTCATTTTATAGAATAACACATCAAAGATTTTTTTTTCAAATAGTGAGTTTGCCTGGTAAATGTAAAATAAGTTGTAACTATACAAATTTTATTTCATGTATAAAACTTTTAGAAGCAGCTATTATTTGAAATAGGCACTCTGATGATAGAAATATATTATTTAAGGTGAGCTAGAACCATCCAGGTAAATAATCTACAAATATCTCTTTCTATAGAAAATCATAAGGTGATCTTTTCAGCTCTTCTAAAATGACTAGATCTCATACCTTTAAAAACATATACCCTAAATTTACGCTTATCTAAAAATGTAATCCCGCCATAAAACTTTTCATTAAAAATAATATTTTTATTACAACTAGCAATCCAAAATGACAGCTATATCTCTGTAACTGTTTTCAGTTAAGGCCCTAAAAATCAATGGGATTGTTTTTGGTACATTTTAATCTAGTTTCAGCATTGTCAGGTAAGTTGGAAATGTTTGTTATGATGTTGTCTAACCTACTATGATTGATAGGCTATTTTTTGCTGATTGAATCCCTATGATGGGAGCAAGCATTTTATAATGATTAAAAAACAAAACAAAACAAAATACTCCACAAAAATACGGAGCACCTTAGCAAAACTTAATTGAGATTCAAGGTCTCTTGATACTCAAATTTGATTAATCTCATCAACAAGGAAGTGATGTAATTTTTATGTACTGCAGAAACAGAATGCAAAATGGGGCATATTGATCTAAGTTAAGATGGAAAATTCCACAATTCAGTGTCCTCATGTAGAACATAAAGCAGTATGCAATAATTTGAGCAGTAATAAACTAGTCTGTAGATATTCTAAATTTATTTTAATGAGCAAATTATAAGCTCTCCACAAAACATTCTGTGTAATCATCTATGATCTATAATATAGTCCTAAGTCAGCTTAGCACCAATGATAGAAATTCTTTCTTTCTCTCTCACATGCTCTTTCTCTGCATATATATTAAACATATGTATTACTTTCATATGGATATTTATGATAAAGGTTGTTATGGGTAGGAAATTCTATGGGTAGATATTCTATGAACAAATGCTTTGTAAATTATGCAATGCATTATTGATATGTTAATCATTATAGTAAGGAGGTATCAACCAATAGAGACAGTCAGTTTACATATTCTCCTATTTTTATGGATAGAAATAAATAACTCAAGTCTGTTCCCTATAATTTATGCTCTCTATCTTGGCAAGTTTTGTTTCCCCAACACTAACCTGAACTTATAGATGGTTCTATCACAAACAATCTACCAGGCATCAGTCTCCCATTCCACTTTCCCACCTCATTATTTCAGTTACTACCCATAAAGTCATAGAATTGTAGAACTGGGACATACATAAAAAGTCATTTAGTCCAACACACTCATTGTTTATATGTGTGTTGAGAAAATAGACTCAAGGATCTAAGTGACTTTTCAAAACCACACAGATATTTACCATGAACACTTTGACTAGGACCTAGATTTGATGCTTTTGTCTAGTGCTTTTTCATTCAATCATCTTATAATCCAGCCTCTCTTATCCTGTGTTTCCATACTCAACTGCTTCAGCATTGGAATTCTATATTTCCTGCTTCACTCTGGCAAATTTCCTTCACCTGTTCAACTTCCCTAACTGTCCAATATCCTGGGAAAAATACAAGAACTACACCAGAAATATTTTCCATCATTATTTCAAAGAAAGGTCTAAAAGGTTAATAGCATATATATGAGGAAGGAAACTGTTTATTGAGCACATGCTAGATGCCAGGCACAGTCTAGGTGCTTTCACATTACCTCATGTGACCTTCACAACAACTCTGCACGAAGGGTATTATTACACTCATTTCAATAATAGAAAACAAAGATTCAGATTGTTTATCAGAATTGTCCAGAGGCCATATCACTAGTAAGCACTAGGCAACTAAGGTCAAACTCAATTCCACTCCACTGCAAAGTCTGTGCTCTTTTGCAAAATCATGCTACTTGAAGCAGCCTTTTTGGGTAGTTATCAACCAGTGGGTTATTTATTGAGTGACTAGCATGTAAACACTGAGAGAGGCAACAGAAAAATGGGACACGGCCTTTGCCAAAGATGAAGAAAATCTCAAGAATATGGTGGGTGTTCTACTGAGTCAAATAATGCAGATAATTTGAGGTCACTTATTAGGGCACACAATTATCCAATTGTCCACCAGCATTTCCTTTCCCCCTTCTGTTGGCAATTGCTCCTTCACGCATGATTCCTCAGGACTGCCATGTTTTCAACATGATCCCACCCTCTGCCAAGGCTGATTAAATCAGAGGTGAGCATGTGACCTAAATTATGCCTAAGTTCTACCAGGAGAGTCTTTGGAATGAGACTCAAAAGGAGATTCATGCTTTTCAGTGTAGAGGTTGTAGGATGGAAAATCAGTGAGCTCTTGCTGAACATTTGCTGACCTAAAGACAAATGATGCAGTGAACTTGTGGGCCATATCTAAGCCCTTGATGAAAACTGTTCCTAAAGTCAGACTGCAATACTGCCCTTTACTTAGTTTGTTAGTCTACCTTTTCCCTCCATTCCAGTTTCCCCACTACCCCTTGCCCCAAGTTTGTTTTAGTACAGAGAAAGCTCTTGATTAATAATATATGTAAACCCTTTTCTTACTTGTTCACCCATTTTGATTAGCACACATAGACACAGATGAATGCTCAGTAATTTGAACCAGAGGTATGGCTAAATCACAAATGCAAATTTAGCAACTATTTTTTTTCTTGTATGATTATCACTGAAGCTTTTTATTAGGTAGTTAACTTGAAACAATGATGTTCTTTTTTTCATATACATCAATCTTTGGGTCATCCCTTCAATGGACATGATTGTTTTAGAGGCTGTGTGGGTTAAAACCACATGATTGTGGAGCCAGTATTAGATCTCCTGGTTTATCTGGACCCACATTTCCAGCAAGAACAACTGTAAAGATTTTGAGACGTTTACAACTGGTAAGACACCATGATCAATCAGCACAGACATTGGCCTAAACAATCAGCATTCATACCAGTTGAGTTTTAGGCTGTATCTCTGAGATTCCCTGTAATATTCCTTAGATATTTCTTTCTATGAGGAAAGAGGATATAATTTTTGGGTTCAACACAGCACAAATACATCTTTCCCTTTGGTCTATCTCTCCCACATCTACCAAAGTAAATAAGTAAACTTCAAATGTACTTACCAGGTTTCCTACAGTCAACACACTACTGAATTGCTCAGTCATGGGGTAGTGCTCCATGGCCATAAAGAGGGTATTTAAGACAATGCAAATAGTGATGGCAAGATCAACAAATGGATCCATAACAATTAAATTCACAAGATGTTTTACTTTTAACCATGCATCACAGCAGTCCCAGATCAAGAACACATTGGCAAATCTATACCAGCATGGCGGACATTTCTGTCTAGATTCTTCAAGTTCTGGAGGGACAATAACAAGGAAGAGTAGTAAATAACAACAAAAATGAGTTATTATTGCTAGTAGATTTTACATTATTTAACAAAATTGATGCTTATATTTGAAAATAGAAGTTCATATTACTTAAGAAACTTGAGAAGACAATCCCATTAAATATTTTCAGAAAATGTTAATTAAAATGTCATATAGATCGACTTTTTTCTCTTTTGAATACAGAAAATAAGCACTTTGAATTTAATATTTTGCTTTTAAAATGACTAGGTTATGATTGATTAAAGTGCTGTATTCTCTTTGTCAAAACAGAATTTTAAATAAACATTACACAACTATTAAAATTTTAAATAATTATTGTTTCTTCTGAAAGTACCTTTTTAAAAACATTGTCTAAAGTTGTGATCCCTTATGTGTGTGATAACATTTATGAACTATTCTCTCCTCTCATAGTTTCCATATCAACATTAATCTTGCACACAGTGAGAACGTAGTATGCCTTTCTTTTTAGTATAAATTCAGACTCAAATCTACTTTTGTGGTTTGTACATATCTTTTAGAATTTTAGCATCATGTATTTAAAATATTGCTTGAAATTTTAATGGATGAGGCCTGTTACAAAATAATTATTATGTGACTGTATATCTAATACACCAAGAAGACATGATATAAAATGTAATTGATGTTTTCTAAAGAACATATGTTAGAATTGACATATAATTGATCTAAAAAGGGCAGTACTAATATATTCTCTCTCCAGACTTCAAGGAGTGAGGGCTGTGTGATGTATGAACAAGTTTAGTGTATAAATAGTTGCTGCCTATTCCTCTGTGTCAAAATCAACAAACATTTCTTTCCGTGGTCCTTTGGAGGAATGTAATGGTTGCTGTGTATGTAGAAGATGGAAGAGAGACCCTTTTGTAGGATCTCTCTTGCAGTGGAGGACAGGTTTTGATTTGCCCAACTCATTTAAGTGCTCCCGCAACCCCATCAACACTTCCATGCCTGAAGAACAGACTAAAGCCTGAAAGAAATGTTTCCTTATGCTTCTATATACCAAGACTTAGAAAAGGGGAAGAGTTTACTCTATTTGCATATGAGTAACATAACATAAGAATAAATCCTCATTGATATAATATCAAGTGTTGAAATATCACTCTGCAAGTAAGGTAAGGACCCAAGTCAAAAAGAAATAAGGCCAATATTAGTTTTTGTAATCAATGTGATAATGTACTCCATATATCACATTCTTAGGTCTAATATATAGTTTCGATCTGGGTAACAGACTTCAGTAATTCTATGAAAAGAAGGAATAGTTCACAAAGCACATAATCACAGAAAGTTGGCTGTTCCATGACCTGCTTCTTACCTTCCATTGTGTTGGTCAGAATGCTGGCTATGCTCACGGCTCTTTGCCTTCCAGAGGAATCCTCCAGCATCTCCATTGAAATCTGGTAAGAGCTTAACCTTCTCTTTCTGACTTCCGTTTCTGTGGTGGTGCCCTGCAAACCAAATACTGATGGCTCAAACCACTCTTCCCAATAAGTAATACAACACCACATAGCATTTCTTTGGCAAATCATGCTACATGCAATTTTTCCAGGTAAGAATTTTCAAGGAATAAAATATTGAATTATTGCTAAGTTATAAACAGTTTTTTTTTTAAAAAAAAGTTATCACAGGTAGTACTCTTTAAGAGGAATTCACCAGTGGGATGCAGTTTTATAACACAATTATATTACAGAACTATTTTAATTAACCTGTCACAATTTTCAAGGAAATTTGTTGTAAACATGCTAAAGTCATTTATTATTTTATTTCATTCAGGTGAAAATTATTTTTATCTTCTATCAATGATTAATAATCAGATCAATCTCCCCCCAATAAATATTATGATTATATAGTCTCAAGGCTGAATTATTTTCTTTGAGGCTATATTGACAATATTGACATATGTGGGCCAATTTTTTCCATGCACAAACACAGATGTACGATGAAATGTGTGTGCTTTCCTGAAATTTCTTTAATTATTTCTATATCTTATCCTATTAAAAAACAACACATTTTAGAGTCATTTTAAAATAGCACTGTAAATATTGACAGTTGTATGAAATTGCCCATTATCAACAAATTGGTTATAATATTTAATTTTAAGAATATGAATTTTCCAGAATATGAATAGATAATTATACAATTCTTGGTGAATATACATCTTATAGATTTGATGGTGAAAATGTCCATTATTTGTCTCGGTAGGTCTACCAAATTTGCAGATATGTATTTCATAGCAGACTCTAAAAACGGGGCCCTTTTAACCTAAAGCCATGGTCCCTTACAAGTAATTCCCATACAACAAAAGCTAATGGTCCCATACAATTCAATTGATTCTCAATATTCTATTGTTTTCCCTTTGATTAATCATGTATTATTTTTACCAACTTTCATTTTGAGGAAGCAGGACGGTATGACAGCCTAAACTGTCCAGGCTTTGATTATTTCAAATTGGTGAATAATGTCAGTAGCAGCTAGGTCATCTATTATCACCTCTGGGGGAAGTTGTCCAGTAGGTGACGTTAGAGCTGAAGGTCCACCCACCAAGGAAACCACACCATTGCAATCCACAGTGCTGTGCATCTTCCCATTTGCTGGAAGCCCTGGCACCATCCTGGATGACATACTGGCCTGACTAACGTTACTGTTGCGTCGCTCTCCATGTCTGTGCGGCACAAACAGTGAGTCTCTCCTGCTTTCGCTGTCTTCAAATGTGCTGTGTTCATCATCAGCAAAGTCATTTTCAGATCCAACATCCTTTGCCCGACCTCTGAAACTGAAAATGCTTGTTTTGCTATTGCGTCTTGGGGAAAACAGGGAGCCACGGATACTCAAGAGAGACTGCAGAGAAAGCAAAAAGGAAAGGAATGGGATGGGGGTAGGGGAAGAACGCAATTATTTAATAAATATTAATATTAAAGGATCTGTTTTCTTTGGAGTTAGTATACTCTTGCTCTTAAACATGGATAATCAAATTTATAGAGGACACATATATTTTGATATTTTTATTAAAGCAAATTTAAGTACAAAGAGTGTTTTTCTGACTAACAATACTGATTTGCAATTTACTAAGTATACAACCACTTCATTTAGTCTTCACTTTAGGTGGATTGGGTTATCATAATGCTATAGGTTAGGGACCAGATGCTGAAAAGGATAAATGATTTCTTTTGATGGGAATGGTGGTTAAACAAATAGTAAGTAGCTTCTACTTCTTAATGCTATAATCTGAAGGGAATGTAGCCTGGAGAATAAGTTTTGGCTCAAGTGAGAATGTTAGCTCAAATTTAAAATATTTGTTTCAAATGTTGCATTGTAGCCAATATTTCACTTCAGGATAATTACTTTTTTAAAAAACTACTATTTTTCCATTCTCTTCTTTTGAATTCTGAAAGAAAAGTAGTTTACTCTTTCTCTGAAACTGTTTGTCTCTACCCACATGGGAACAGAAGTCACAAAACTTACCTACGATGTTGTCTTCCAAATTTGCTAACAGTTTCCCAAATGGCAACCAATGATTCACCTTATTTGAGAGACTATATGTCATAGCAAACACAACACAGAGGATTCCTAAACTGCTACACAAATTACTCTTCTTGTGTAAAATATAACACTGGCTTGTAAAAGCAAGACATATAACATGACTTCACCAGCAGGTGGTGTGAAAAACAACATATACTTCTGTTTTATTTTAATTATATTAAAAAGAAAGAGACAATTCAAAACCTTTTTCATTACAGCTATTCCCAGATAAATTAAGCAAACTATTTCCTAGTACCAGAAAATGAGGATTTAGCTTGAAGTTCCTTCTTTCACATTTTGAAAGGATTTTAAACTAGCAACCCCAAATAATTCTGTGTGTATTCTTGTCTTGCAGATAGTTTTCAAAAACATCTCTATTCAGTCTGCAGAATATTTGTTTTCTCCCCTCATCATGAACAATGGCATTCCTCCTTGCTCTCTCATTCCCTTTCCTACTTCTCTTCACACCCAGGGTAATATACATACATACATATACATATACATATGTCAGCAGCAAACATTCCTGGATCTTCTCTTTCTTCTAAGCTTTAGTGTAAAACCAAATAAAATGATTTTAGTGGAAAAAACAGAAAAGGCAGACTCTGTCAAATGTATTCTTGGTTCCTCTGCCTAATTAGGTCATGCTGATTTTCTTAGGCCCCAATTTTTAGCTTTATTTTCATGGCTTTTCCCAGACTGCAAAGCACCAGAATAATCTTTGTTGTCCTCTGTCTCAGTGATATTCTGGAAGGATATTATTCACTAAGAAGTGCTCTGTTCCTTTGGATTTGGTTAGATTCTCCACAGGAACTATTGGCTGTCCAGCTTGTCCATCGGAGGCTGTGTCTATGTGACACTCAATTCCTGTAGCAGGTTTGTCTACCGAAGGGCAGACAATAGAGTGATTTTACAGCAAAGTGATCAAGAGATTAGATCATGTGAAGACATCAATTCATCCCCCCATTAATAAAGAATGCTAATGTTTTTCATTTCCTCAGACTCCATTTAAATGATCAATATAATAACAGTTATATCCAGAACTCGTGTTGTTGTTGTTGTTGTTGTTGTTGTTGTTGTTGTTGTTGTTTTGAGGCAGAGTTTCGCTCTGTCGCCCAGGCTGGAGTGCAGTGGTACAATCTCGGCTCACTGCAATCTCCACCTCCCAAGTTCAAGCTATTCTCCTGCCTTACCCTCCTGAGTTGGCTGGGACTAGAGGTGCCCGCCACCACACCTGGCTAAGTTTTGCATTTTTAATAGAGACAGGGTTTCACCATGATGGTCAAGCTGGCCTCGAACTCCCAACCTCAGGTGATCTGCCCGCCCTGGCCTCCCAAAGCCCTGAGATTACAGGCATGAGCCACCATGCCCAGCCCAGAACTAGTGTTTTGAAACATTTGAGTGTATGTGAATCACTCTGAGAGTTAAAAATATATATTTTTAGGTCCCAGATTTTGGAATATGGATTCAGGAAGTAGCAGATAGGACTCTGGAATCTGAATTTTCCTGACACATTCCAGGTGACCCTAACACAGGGTGGACCTCATCCTACACTCAGAGAAATACTAACTTGGTCTTACATTAATCCCTAGGATGGCTGAGTATAATCACCTCAATACACCTATGTTCTGAAACTGTCTCTGGAAACTGAAAATCGGTCTACACAGTATTGGTTGGGAGTATGTGGTACGTGTGTACATCCACTATGTATCTGGGACATGCCTTTAATTTGGATATTTTTATGTCAGGTATTTTCAAAGGCGTTCCAGATCTCTGAGTTTATTTGAAATTTCTATTCACTCTTTGGAATGTATAATAATGGGTGTGAGCGCAGCTTTCAAGGCAACAGAGACGGAAAAAGAAGATAACAGAAATAGCATTCAGAGAAAATAAACCAAAAATAACACACTAGAAGATGCAGCAGAGTGGAGGGAATACCCACAGCTGTGGCAACACTTTCTCTAGGGAAAACCAGCTTTAATGTTTTAAGGAGTGAAAGGCCATCTTTCTTTACCTCAGGCATGTCAAAACATATTTCCCAGGTATCTTTTTCATCTTGTTCCCAGAAGATAAATGTAGACTGTTTCTTAATTTTCAGTAACAAAAGGGAAAATAGAAGAAATTAGGTCTATAAGACACAGTCATGCATGTAGGGTTTGGATTCAAAGTGGGTTGGGAAAAGTCAAGATGGAAAAAGATGCTGGGAATTTTAAGATGTTCTAGTGGGAACAAGGAAAGTGAATATTTGTCAGAAGTACTTAGCATTTTGAGGTTTCATTTTATACTTTTAAGTATTTCTTTATTTTGTACAACTAACATTATCTGTTTAAAAATAAAATAATGTAATAAACATAAAATAACATTTGTAATTTATGTGAATAGAAGGCAGGGCACCCACAATTTATGCCCTCTCTGCTTTGACATTTTCAGAAGATACATTTGATTTGAGCAGTATTTACTGTCTATCTTACGCTTCCTGTCCCCACCACCTTCACTGATTCTCTTTCTACCAGATTCCTTTTTTGTTTACAGAAGCAGAAATTGTAAACCGTTTATGGTACATTTCTGCTTGTTAGTTTTGTTAATGCTCTTAGTCTGTCTTTACTGGGATATGCAAATTTAAAACTAATAGATTATTTCCTTCACTTTTGAAATTATCCATCTATCTTCTGTCTATTTACAAATATAAAATGAGCGACATCTACCACATGTATGTACTGATTCTGCTTTTAGTATTAAAACACTGGCCATCAGCTAAGCTCTCTGCTCTTGCCTGTCTGTGGTTCACTCAGCTCCAGCAAACCAAGTCTACCAGTTGCTTCTTAAGCACTCCAGGCATGCTACCATGTCAGGGTTTTGCACTTCCTCTTTCATCAGTTTAGAATGCTGTTCCTTAAGAGAGCCTCTTTCTTTGCCTCCTCCAAATCTTTCCCAAAATGTCTTAATAGTGAGGTCATTGTAAACCACCCTATTTAAAATTTTACCTCCAATTATGGCTCCTGTTCCTCTTTTCCTGCTTACTTTTTTTTCCCTTAACATTTGTTACCTTCTAACACAGTCTATAACTTATTTATTTTATTCATTGTCCGTCTCCTTTGGAAAAAATTTCCATGAGGTCAGTGGATTGAGTCTCTTTTATTCTTTGAGGTATTTTCAGCATCTTGAACTATGCTTGCTACATAGTTGGCGATCAATAAATATTTGTTGATTGGACTGAATGAACTGATCTACAAAATTTATTTGAGCAAAATGATGAAACAATAAAGGAACTAATACTGCTATCAAATTATGTATATACATTTGTTAGTAATTGAAACTACTCAGAAGTTTGCTTTCCCTCACTTGAAATTCATTCACCGATTTTAACTTAATAAGAGACTTACTCTTTGTCACACAGATTTTCTATATATTGCTTAGTCCCCTAAATCTCTTTAATGTAGGTATTCTTACTTTATTTTACAGAAATTTTACAAAGTACAAGTGACTTGACCAACGTCACAGAACTAGTTTGGAGTTGAGATATGAACACAAAAGTTTGTGTTCACTGTAGCATCATTATGCTATAGTTTCATATACTCTTAATTCTAATAACTCCTAATAGTTTTAAGAATTCCAAAATATCAAAGGTGACTGTTTAAGAAAAAAAAATCTGATCTGAGGAACCAAGTTGCCCTTCAGAGCTTCAAGTTAATTCCAAATATGTTATACTGATTTGATAATATATTTTATATTTGTATTACACAAGATAGTAATAGTTGAATTTCTTGATATTGATGTTATCTGCAGAAAAATGGCTTTATCTTAAAACTCTTTGTGTATTCATGTCCATTTTGTTCTAATATGAGAATACAAGTTTTAAGTTATTAATATAGTCTACTTTTTTCTTTAAAAATATTTGTTTACATATTAAAGATAGATTATAAAACATTCACTGAGAACTTGCATATTACCTTTTCTCCCAACCAAAAGTAAATACTATGTTGAATTTTGTGTTTATTACTTCTGGTTTTTTTTAGAAGTTTCTTTCTTTATGAAAAATATATCATACCCCTTGGTTGATTTGCAGTTTTTGATTAAATTAATCTTATATATTATCTCTCAAAGCATTATTTTTAGGGTATAATTCTGACTCAAGATTGTTATGATTAGAAGCATTTGCAATTCATAGCACATGAAATTCTAATGGTGCCAAATAGTGTTCAAAGCCAAAATTGTACTTATCACAGATTTTGTAACTAATTATTCTTTACATCAGACATATGTAAACAATACATTAACTTACTAATCCATAAAACTTACTAAACATCAAATAATTGAAACTAGTTTTTACTCTTTTACTTAAAACTATGCTGAAGAACCAGGTAGTTGGCATTAAATCAGAGCAAAAATAGACTACCTTTGATGCTGTTCTCTTCAAGAACATTTAGGTCATAATTTCATTCTAATGTATCACGGCATGACCCTATGCAAGCAAAATGGAGACTCACCATAGTCCAGTTCTCTTAATCAAAGGATAAAGACAAAACCCAAAGAACACTTCTTTTCAAAATTTATATGTATGTTACGATCACAACTTTGGATAACAAAGGCAGAAACCCATTCTCAAAGAAAATAAGTTTATCTGGGGTCTCAAAATGGAAAATGTAAACAAGAGATTCCAAAACTCTCATTGAAAAGTCTGCTAGTGTAGGTTATATATATATATATGTGTGTGTGTGTGTGTGTGTGTGTGTGTGTGTGTGTATAGACACATATATACACACATATATATATACAGGTTGATATATAGGTTATATCAATATATATTATATATATCTATATATTATATCAATATATCTATCTGTATATATAATCAGTCTCAAAATGGTGAACATTTTATTAATGGTTTAATAAAAATCCCTTTGAAGACAATCTATTATAAGAATTTAAACAACTATATTAAATGTTAGTTCCCTGTCCCTCACTGAAGTCAGATAGTACAAAAGTGTACCAAAACAAAATACAAAAACTAAAAAGCAATAGCAATGACAAAGAAACCAGAGCACTTAGTAGAAAATCATACCTGATGAGGGGAGCAGAATTTTTTGTCACTGGTCAGTCTGTTTCCATCCATGGAGAAAAGGAAGCTGCTTCTTTTGACGCTGTCTTCAGATTCGGATTTGGGAAAGCTGTCTCTCTCTCCTTTGTTGTTTCCTTCAAGGTGCTCTCTCTGTCTTCTTTTCTTCCTTCGGTTCCTCCATTCTTTAGCACTTTTGGAACTCAACTTTGATGCTTCTGAAGAACTTTCCAACAGCTCTCCTAACCCACCTATTCCACTGAAATCTCTTGAAGCAGCTGATGCTGCCGCAACTGCCTGTCATAAAACAAAGCCAGGCACTATTTAGAACACAGAGCTTTGAAAACAGTTGAGTATGGTTAAAATATTGCCATTTAAGACTCATTAACTACAAGTGAAAAGTCTATCCTCTAGTCCTTTTATTTTGTCTCACCACAAGAGTTTACTTAACAATGACCCTTATGTTTTAAATCATATAAAGCAATATGCTAGTGTATGCATTAAAGCAAGAAAAATCTGGTTTTGCCTATCTTCTGGATTGTCTTTTTTTTGGGGGGGGGGGGTTGGTGACAACTGTTCTCTTCAAAGTGTCTTCTATACTTTAAAAAGCAAATGTTTTCTTCGTGGTGGTTGCTTATCTAACTACCATTCTGATTCCATCTGTAAAACGTTTCCTCCTGTGTGCACTTCTGAGCAGCTGAGTCGTATTTTTTCCCCTCTAAATCCAGTACAAAAGACTGTTTCTTTTATTTTTTGTGAACATAAAACATTTCAAGTGTCTACTATTTTACCTCCAGATGGAAGTAGGGAAATGTATTAGATAGCTTATCCTCTTCCTTCCTTTGAATTACATTTAGGACTGTAGTTCACATCTCTGTGATCATGTTACTCCCAGAGAATTTATTACATATCACTTAAAAAATGTTAAACGTTCATAGATTATTTAATATTATAAATAACAAATGATTAACATAGCATTACATAAATTCATTCAAAGGATTATGAGAACTGCTTCAAATATTTTCTTTCTATATTGCAGCACTAAGTATTCTTAAGCACTTTGAATTTCTGTACCTACAAATGAAACACAGTCAGCTCTGAGGTGAAACATGGCAAATAGTATTTTTAGACTGGAAATGATCTAACAATGACATACAGAGGATATGAAACAATATGGTGTGCATCAAAGCTGAGTTCTCATTAAGTATATTACTATTTGTAAATGTAACCACAGAAGTGAAAATAATTAAATTATGACAATATCAGTTAAACTTTTTACATATGTCATCACTAAATACAAACAAATCTAACTTATCTAATATATTATCTTTCCCATTAACTGTAAGCTAGATAGAAATTGTATCATTGTATGCTCAGTGACTAGTATGTCACCTGACATAAATAAGGCTCAGTAAATAATTGGTGAATAAAGATTTAAAAATGTACTTTGCTATCAATTGTCTCAGACACTGGGGTGGGGGTGGGGGAAGAACAAGACATACTTAACCTTGACTTTGATGCTTCTGAAGAACTTTATAGAACTTATATTTAACTTGCTACAGATAGCAAGTTGACTTTTCAAGACATCATAAAAGACTTGACTTTTCAAGACATCATAAAAGACTGTCATAACAGTCTATATAACAACATATTTTAGGAAGAAATGGAGATAAAACCTATTTATAATGCTTTGACAACACTTTGTGCTTTATGTTTCATCTTTCTTGAGAAGAAGCAAACTCTCCTAAGTAGTTTTCATTTTTAAACTTCATGTTTAAAAATTTAAAAAAGATTTTAAATCTAAAATTACTATGCTGCAAATTCTCTAGGATTACAATGATCTCAGGGAGGGAAACTTAGTACTAAATATGATTTTAAATTTATGTGTTTGACCAAGCAACACATAAAATGTAACATATTTATTTATATTAAGCACTATATTCATAATGGAAGCTCAAATCTAAGACTTGATATAAGACAATACCCAGCATTTAAATAAAACAGTAATTCAGAATTTAGATATTTATAAAATTTTATAGAGTCATATAGCCAGGTTTTTAATGGAATTATTGATCATCAGTATCACTTTTAATATAATTCATGATGTAAAATGAGAAATATTAAGTACATTTTATAACTCTGACTATATATGCAAAATAAAGTGAATAAATGAATCACTTATCTATAGCAAGTTAAATATAGTTACAGAGTTCTGGATACATATGAGGTACATAATATACACCATTTGTTGAAACAGTGAATATATATATACCCTTTCTTATCCAAATAAAGTCCTTAATTCTCTTTTCTATTTTATATAGACACAAACACACAACACACAGTGTTAATCATTTATTGACTTGTTTGTCCCTGCAAACAAAGGAAGTGGTGGTAATAGTCCCTTACCATAATCCTACAACTTATGTCCATTTAAATCACTTCCAAACTTTTTTTTTTTTTTTAGATGGGGTCTCACTCTGTCGCCCAGGCTGGAGTGCAATGGCATGATCTCGGCTCACTGCAACCTCCACCCCCGGGTTCAAGTGATTCTCCTGCCTCAGCCCCCTGAGTAGCTAGGATTACAGGCGTGAGCCACCACACCTGGCTAATTTTTGTATTTTTAGTAGAGACAGGGTTTCACTATGTTGGCCAGGCTGATCTCAAACTCCTGGCCTCAAGTGACCCACCCACCTCAGCCTCCCAAAGTGCTGGGATTACAGGCGCGAGCCACCGCACCCGGCCACAAACTTTGTTTTGCATAAGACATTATTTCCAAACCTATTCTGGGTAACAGTTCAAATAACTCAAAACCAAAACAGATTTCTAAGGCAACAAAGGTAACCTCAGACACATTTTCTGTGTCACTCATCAACTCAAATCTGTCATTTGTTCCACTTCCAGTGATTTGCCAGTTCCCTCAAAGGCAGATGTTTCCTGTCATCTCTCATGTCTGTGTACCTGTTTATACCCAACTCTGTGACACTACCAATGTCCTGCGTATGAGAATAACTGTGTTACTTTCACAGCCAACTTGCTGAATTCCTCTTTTAACAAATAAGAAATTTCACTTAATATTTACTCAGGAAATTACATTTTCTTATAACATTTTTGTGTGATTCAAAGTAGGCTCTGTAACTCACTGTATCTGTGTGTCCGTAAAAATATAACCACATAACTAATACTTTGTTCATTTTATGTATATAATCCAGTTAAAATCCCATTCAAAGCTACAAGACATTATACCTATTTCTGTTCTACCCCAATTATATTAGATTTCTTAAGAGCTACTATTTCGAATTTTGTTCTAGAGCTTACTCCCAAATTTTTTCCTATCAGAGCAATATAGACTGCTATGGGATATACTAAGCTGGGCAACATTAGGCACTTAAATATCACAATTTAAATGTCAAACACAATTAGAATGATCTAGGACAAAACATTGATTTCTTTGCAGGGTTTGTGTTTCTCCACATTATTTTCTCATGCCTACACCGTGACTAGCCCTAGGTGGCCCCTCAACCAATAATAAACAAAGATGGAAGTGATGCTAGCCTTCATGAAGTCATTGGCTAGATAGTAACTTTTGAAGAGTCGTAGGTGGTTAGGGAGACTTAAGCTACACTGCAGCATAAATGATCTTATAGGTGCACTAATTCTGTCTTTGCCTCCACTTCCTCCTGGCTTCAACATTGATAATTTACTAGTCATCATTACTTGTGTTGTCAATAAGGAACTAAAATGGATTTGGCACTGTGCTACTCCAATCAGTATTATACTTTACCTTGGATAAATTTAAATTTTATATGTATGAAGCTAAAGCTGAATCAAATTGTGATGATTTGGTCACTAAGATTCAGTAACTGACTACTAAGGTAATAGAACTGATGTTTTTTAGCCGAACTCATCATAATCATAGGTTCTTTAAACTTCTACTAGAAATAGTGCATGTTTATTTCTAAGTTCAAAAAGACTATACTCTTTTTAATTGATGTCATATTTTACCCTAAAATGGCTGCATTTTAGAATAAACTCATTATCTGTGTAGGATTTTCAAGCACATTAATTTGTCTTCTTTTATTAATGATAATAGAAAAACCCAGTGCTTTAAAATACAATCATATGCAATTTATGAACATTATTTCCTATAACACTTATTTAAAACCTTGAAATAAAGTATTTGCCCTGTAAATAGCTATTTTTATTTTATTATATTATAAATGTGTTTTATTTATGGTGACATAGAATAAAACTCTTAAATAATTCAAATGTAGAACTTTCTGGCAAGCATGAGGTATATTTTAAAATATTTTCAAGTTTCACCAAATTTGTTTATAGTTTTCTGTATAAAATCAATAAGGTATATCCACATTACTACTCTGTATCCAATGGTAAGATGAAAGTGGTCAAGCTAGCATGTTCAGCAAAAGCTATGCCTAGAGTTGAGCTCAATAATTCACTAAACAACTCATTGCTGTATCTCCATTACCCCAAAAAATGCCTTGAGAAAGGACCTAATGCTATTTGTTGTGCATCTTCAAAGTAACTCAGAATTGTTAAAAACTTAAATTTTGAATATACCAATTTCTGTTATATACTGTCATCCAAAGAATACTTCAAATATGTGGAGCCATTCATCTGAAAAAAATCCTCAAAAAAGTCAGTGCATAAAAATATTATTTGGATTTCTGCTTCTGGCCAAAATTGAGTAACAGAGACCAGATTTGCTCTCTCCTGAAGCAACCAATAAAACAGACAAAATACATGTTACAGTAGTTTTGAAGGCACTGGACATCAGATCAGGATGTTTTAAGATATTGGAAAATGGAAAAGCAAGCAAGTCAGTTCTATGCTTTTGTTAGCTTATGGCCTGGAACTTCCAGACTATGATGTAGAGAGGAAGTATCTCTGCAGACTCCATGAATGGATGAGATGAAGCTGAGTTTAGGAAAATCAGGGTGGTTGTATAGTTCACAAAACAGGGTACCACAGAGGAGAGAGTTGAGCAGAGAGAGAACTCTAGGGATCTTCTCAGGTTCCCCTTGAGTACTGAGAAGATTATTCACCAAGCATGTGTCTTAGAAAACTACCTGAGGCTGAGGATAAGAGAGAACACCACCTGGCAATCACACTGTGCCAGAACAGTGTCTGTTCCTACACTGGCAAACACTTCGTTTTAAATGCGCATTGGGTAGAGTATTAGGAAGGGTCTTGATTCACTAGTGAGGAATAATTAGTCTTAGAATAAATGGTATGCTGGTCCTGCCTAACAAATTTTCAAATGTTTAAAGATACAAAAGGATCAAACTGTGTAAACAACATAACTATGTCCCGAAACAAAGATCAATAATTTTTATGGGAATACAAAAATATCCAGCACTTAAAAAAAGTAAAATTGACAGTGTCTGGAATTCAATTGAAGATTGTCAGGAACATAAAACTGCAGGAATATGTGACCCATAATAAAGAGAAAAATTAATCAAAACTGACCAAGAAGTGACACAGATGTTCAAATTAGCAGACAGGGAACTTAAACAGTTGTTATAACTGTATTGTGTATGTTCACAATGTTAATTAGAGATATATGAAATATAAAAAAGACACAGATCAAGCTTGCAGAGGTGAAAACTACAATGTTTCAGATGACAAATACACTGGATGAAATTAGCGGCAGATTAAATGTTCAAAAGAAAAGATAATTGACTTGAAGACAGCAATAGAAATCATTCAAATTGCAATTGACAAATGGAGTTTAAAACTCATATAGAGTCTTTGCTATTGTGAATAGTGCCGCAATAAACATACGTGTGCATGTGTCTTTATAGCAGCATGATTTATATTCCTTTGAGTATATATCCAGTAATGGGATGGCTGGGTTAAATGGTATTTCTAGTTCTAGATACCTGAGGAATCGCCACACTGTCTTCCACAATGGTTGAACTAGTTTACAGTCCCACCAACAGTGTAAAAGTGTTCTTATTTCTCCACATCCTCTCCAGCACCTGTTGTTTCCTGACTTTTTAATGATCGCCATTCTAACTGGTGGGTGGGGGAGGTGGGAAGGATAGCATTAGGAGGTATACCTAATGTAAATGACGAGTTAATGGGTGCAGCACACCAACATGGCACATGTATGCATATGTAACAAACCTGCATGTTGTGCACATGTACCCTAGAACTTAAAGTATAATAAAAAATATATATATATGAAACTTAGAAAAAAAACTCATACAGAACTACAAGGGACATAAAACAGCCAAAACAGCTTTGAAAAAAAAAAAAAAGAACAAAAAGTTGGGGACCTGCACTATGTTATTTCAAGACTCGTCATAAAAGGTACAGGAATTAAGAGAGTGTGGTACTGGTATAAAAATGACAAATAAACTAAACAGAATAGAGTTCAGAAATAGACAAACTCACCTATGGACAACTAATAATTGACAAAAGTTCAAAGGCAATGCAGTGGAGAATGAATATTTTGTTTTTATGCAGTTGGAATAATTAGATACTCATTTTAAAAAAGTGAATCTCAACATATCACTCATATGTTATACAAAAATTAACTAAAATGGGTTATTTACCTAAATATAAAGCATAAAACTAACTTAAGAAGAAAATTTAGAAGAAAATACTCATGGTGTTGACTTGGCAAAAATTTCTTAGATCCAAAAGAATGATTTAAACAAAAAAGCTAAGAAATAATACTCTGGATAAACTGCACTTTAAATATTTGAGAAGCATATATGTGATATAGGACTTACATCCCAAAGAGTCAAAGAATGCTCAAAACTCAATAATATGAAATCAAACAACCTAACTAAAAAAAAAGGAGGGGATTAAAGATTTGAACAACCACTTCATAAAAGAAGCTATACAGATGGAAAATAAGAACAGAAAAAGGTGCTCAACATTAGTAATTAGGAAAATGAAAATCAAAACAGAAATGAGATACTTATTAGAATGGCTAAAATTAAAAAGACTGGCCATACCAAATGTTGGCAAAAATATTGAGAAATTATAATTCTAACTGGCATGAATCAGATTTTTACTATATATTCGTGAGTCTTCACCTTTCAGTATATGGATTTTTTTTTCTGTCTTTTAATACAGTACTGTGTTTCCGTCTCTTCTCCTCAACACATTAATGTCCCATTCACTATACCCCTAGCTCACACAGCCTTTAATATTAATAAAAATCTCAAGTTGGCATCTAACTTTAGATACCTTCCTGATATCCTGATGTGGGCTATAGCAAACATTTTTTTTTTTTTTTTTTTTTGCTACAGAAATCCCAAAGAATTGTTAAGCATAGGTATATATAAAGTCTCTTGTCAACCTTTAAAATCAATTAACTTCAGAACAAAATCTCAAATGTCATAATTAGGGGTGAATCACTAATAATTGGAAATATCAGTTTTATTTCTTTTCTAAATTAAATAAAAAATTAAATTCCTCTCTTAGGTTCTATGAGACAATTCCATAGTAAACCTTATCTCTAATGTATTTTCTATCCGCTAGCTGATTTCTTTATATACAGTGGCTAAAAAGTTTGTTAGACTCTAACTTCAGAAACAAGTTCATATTTGAATACTTTTTTTTCTAATGACAATGCCTATATATAAAATGAAAAAGCAGTTCCAATCTACCCTCTATAGTATAACACTATTTCTACTTAGAAACTAATAATAATAATGATAAATCTTTGCTTTTATCACTCAGTACCTGAGCTTCTTCCTGTTGCTTTTTAAGCTGTTCGAGCATCTGCTGAAATTCGGCCTCTTTTTGTTCTGCTTCTTCCAAGGTGGCCTGATTCTGCTCCTCATAGGCCATGGCCACCACAGCCAGGATCAAATTCACCAAATAAAATGAGCCCAAGAAAATGACCAGGACAAAAAATATCATGTATGTTTTCCCAGCAGCACGTAATGTCTAGGGGAAATGGGGGATAATTCCATCAGTATTTTAGTATAATGTCCCCAAATAAATATCTGATTACCACAGTTAGATAGTCAGTAGACTAATTAGCTTTTTAGTATCCAGTTTATTTTCACCAAGAATTTTTTGGTATTGATATGCTCAACACACAAAATTAAGAATCAGATTATTTGAGGCTTGACTGCAGTCTTGTTGGATATAAATACATTTTAAACTCATATATAGTGGATATATATGTGAGCCCCACTATAATGCTTTTATTAGAGTTCATATGCAGAGCAATAATATGACAAGTAAGAGCACTGAACCTTTAAATCCTTTCAGTGGGATTCCATTTGCACTGCAGCTATTCTCCATACCATCTATAGATGACTTTTGCTCCCCTCCCCTTCTAGTCTCAGTTAATAGCTAGAGCTTTAATTTGAAATTTTCACATCAACATCACTGATTTTTAAAATCTTTTAACGTGCTGTTTATATACCAACAACTGGATTATCAACTTCTAAGAGTCATGAGCATCTCCAAGTTCCTAGCAGAATGCCTTTCACATAAAAAAGTCCTCAGTGTACATATATAGGTACTGACTCAGTGAGCAATTAGGATTCCTGGCACACTTGCTTTATGTTGGACCTTCCTCTGTGTTCCAGAGTGTTATAAGCAGGTCCTTTCCCTTCCCTTCCCTTCCATTCCCTTCTCTCCCTTTCCCTTTCCCTTTCCTTTTCCCATTCCCTTTCCCTTTCCCTTTCTTTTTTTGAGATGGGGTCTTACTCTGTCATCTAGGCTGGAGTGCAATGATATGATCTCGACTCACTGCAACCTCCACCTCCTGGGCTTGGGTGATCCTCCCACCTCAGACTCCCTTGTAGCTAGGGCTACAGATGGGCGCCACCATGCTGGGCTAATTTTTGTATTTTGGTAGAGATGGGGTTTTGCCATGTTGTTCAGGCTGGTCTCGAATTCCTGGACTCAAGTGATCCATCCGCCTCTGCCTCCCAAAGTGCTAGGGTTACAGGCATGAGCCACCACACCCAGCCTATGCTTTTCATTTCATACATGTCTATAAAAATAAATGTTATGCATGCTCATTTGGACCTTACCAACTGGTAAAGATTTTCCCAGTAGTCTTGAGTCATGAGTCGAAATAGAGACAGGAAAGCCCAGCTAAAGGTGTCAAAGCTTGTGTAGCCATAGTTGGGGTTTCGACCAGCCTTCACACAGATGTATCCTTCTGGACACTGGCTATAAGAGAGAGAAATGGAGGTAGGGTCAGTTTAGAAATTACAGCAATTTCAATTTATTTGACTTATAGGAATTTTCAAAACCCAAAGCTGCTATCTGTGACGAATTATCTTGCTTTAATTTCCAGAACACTTTAGGTGATTGCCCACCGTGAAACTTATCAGATGAAATTCACTAGGAAGACCGATAGAAAATTTAGATGCAAATAAATATTTACGGACATTTAGAATGGCAGAAAGCTAGCAACCACACACTTTTGGCTCTGACATTACCATATTTCTACTCTTTACAAAGTGGCAAGAATCAATAGTTAAAAATTAAGGCCGGGTGCAGTGGCTCACGCCTGTAATCCCAGCACTTTGGGAGGCCAAGGCGGGCGGATCATAAGGTCAGGAGATCGAGACTATCCTGGCTAACACAGTGAAACTCCATCTCTACTAAAAATACAAAAAAAAAACAATTAGCTGGGCGTTGTGGTGGGTGCCTGTAGTCCCAGCTACTCGGGAGGCTGAGGCAGGAGAATGGCGTGAACCCGGGAGGTGGAGCTTGCAGTGAGCCGATATTGTGCCATTGCACTCCAGCCTGGGTGACAGAGCGAGACTCTGACTCAAAAAAAAAAAAAAAAAAAAAAAAAAAAAAAAAAAAAAAAATTAAAAGCCAGAAAACAGACAAAGAGTGGGGAATCAACCATTTCATTAGCTGGTTTTGTAGAATTTTCTAAAATAAAGTTAATATTTATAACAATTTTTTATTTACAGAAAAAGTATGAGGATAGTACAGGCTTCATACATTCCATGCCATTTTCAATATTGATATATTGTTATTATTTAATTGAGATGGGATCTTGCTACGCTGCCCAGGCTGGTCTGAAACTTCTGGGCTCAAGCAATCTCCTGCCTTGGCCTCCTGAAGTACTGGGATTACAGGTGCGAGCCACCGCACCCAGCCTTAATACATTATTATTACCTAAAGTTACTATTTTATTCAGATTTCATCAGTTTTTTTCTTTTTTTTTGTTTTGTTTTGAGATGTAGTCTCGTTCTGTCGCCCAAGCTGGAGTGCAGTGGTGCAATCTCGGCTCAATGCAAGCTCCGCCTCCCAGGTTCACACCATTCTCCTGCCTCAGCCTCCCAAATAGCTGGGACTACAGGTGCCTGCCATCACGCCCAGCTAATTTTTTGTATTTTTAGTGGAGACAGGGTTTCACAGTGTTAGCCAGGATGGTCTCCATCTCCTGACCTCGTGATCCGCCTGCCTCGGCCTCCCAAAGTGCTGGGATTACAGGCGAGAGCCACCGTGCCCAGCCCTCAGTTTTTTTCTTAATGTCCTTTTTTTGTTCCAGGATCCCATTCAGGATACACATCGCATTTAGTAGTTATGTCTTTTTAGGCTCCTCTTGGCTGTGACAATCTCTCAGACTTCCCTTGTTTTTGATGACCACAACAGTTTTGAGGATTACTGGTCAGATATTTTATAGAATACCCTTCAATTGGGATTTGTCTAATGTTTGTCTCATGATTATATTTAGGTTATGGATTTTTGGGTGGAAGACTACAGAGGTAAAATGTCACTGTCATCACATCACATCATGCCAAGGGTACATACTTATCACTCACTATGACTTATCACTCTTGATGTTAACTTTCACCACCTGTCTTGAGGTAGTGTTAGGTTTCTCTACTGTAAATTTACTCCCTTTTCTTCCTTTTCCATATGTGCTCTTTGAAATAAAGTCACTGTGTACAGACCACATTTAAGGAACCCGCAGTTATGATCTTAAGTATATACCAAAATTATTTGAAATTATTCTGCATAGGATATTTGTCCATTCATATTTTATTTAATTATTCAATCATTTCAATTAACATGTAGTCATGGATAGTCATTTTATATTTTGGATTACAATTCAATGATATTTCATTTATTTGTTCAAATGGCTTCATCTTTGGCCACTGGAAGCTCTTTCAGTTGACACCTGTAACAGTTTGACATACACCATGGTTGTGGGTTGCATTTTTTTTTGTTTTTTAACACTTTCTTAGTTTTAGGTACTATCAGATGCTCCAGGCTCATCTTTTATAATTTCTGCCGCAGTCCTAGAATCAACCATTTCTCCAAGGAGCCCTAGTTCTTTTTATTGGAAAATGGTATTAGAAACCAAGATCTGAGTGCTAGCTGTGTTTGTTGCTACTGGGGTGTCATTGCTTCTAGGCCCTCTCAGCTGACAGAACAAGGAGATACACATGTTTGTAATTGCTCAGTACTGGTACACATGCACAGTGGTTTCAGGATTGTTAATCTATACTACCATTGGAAACAACTTTATCAACTAGGGTATTGTTCCTTTTACCTTTAGTCTTACAGACTCCACTCATTTCCAAAGTTACTTAGGTTAGCATGTTATTACCCCACCACCTACAGTGAGGTCATTTCATATTTTGCAATACATGTATATATTTTTGTCACATATTCCATTTCTTCCTGGGATCCCCAAACCTCACAAAAGATTTTTTTTTTAATTTGTATATATTAAGATTCACTCTTTGTGTTATAAAGGTCTATGAGTTTTAACAAATGCATTAAGTTTCATATTCACCATTATAGAATCTTAGAGAACAGGTTCTCACCCTAAAAAAAAATCCCCTTTGCTTTACCTAGATAATCCCTCACCATGAACCCCTGGAAAACACTATTTTCTTATCATCTCTGTTGCTTTGTGTTTTCTAGAATGTCAGGTAATTGAAATCATACAGTATGTAGCTTTTTGAGGTTGGCTTTTTCTCACTTAGAAATGTGCATTTAATATTCATTAATATTTGTTTGTATCTTGATAGCTCATTTCTTTTTAATCACTCAGTAATATTTTATTGTATGGGCATAACAATTTATTTATCTATACAACTATTGAAGGACATCTTGGTTGCTTCCAGTTTGGGGTCATTGAAGGGCATCTTGGTTACTTCCAGTTTGGGGTCATTATGAATACAGCTGCTATAAATATTCACATGCAGGTTTTTTGTGAAGACATAAGTTTTCAAATTGATCAGCTAAATACCTAGAAGTGCAGTTGTTGGATCATATGGTAAGACTATGTTTATTTTGTAAGAAACCGCCAAACTGTCTTCCAAGGCGGTTGTCTAGTTTTGCATTCCCACCAGCAATAAGCAAGAGTTCCTGTTATTCTGCATCCTCATCAGAAGTTGGTATTGCCAGATACATTTTTCAGTCATTCTAACAGATGTGCAGTGGTAACTCCTTGTTGTTTTAGTTTGCAATTCCCTAATGACAAATGATGTCGAGTGCCTTTTTACCTCCTTAATAACCACCTGTACTATATACTCGTGTGGGGTATCTGTTCAGATCTTTTGCCAGTTTTAAATTGGGTCATTTGTTTTCTTATTGTTGAGTTTTAAGAGTTCTTTAGATATTCTGGACACTGGTTTGTTGTTTTGTTTTGTTTTGTTTTCTTTTGAGACAGGGTATAATTCTGTTGCCCAGGCTATAGTGCAGTGGTCTGATCATGGCTCACTGCAGCCTCGACCTCCCAGGCTCAAGTAATCCTTCTGCCTCAGCCTCCTGAGTAGCTGGTACCACAGATACACTACACCATGCCTGGCTAATTTTTTTATTTTTATTTTTTGGAGAAACAGTGTCTCCCTATGCTGCCCAGGCCAGTCTCAAACTCTTGGGCTCAAATGATCTTCCCCTCTCAGCTTCCCAAAGTGCTGGATTACAGGAATGAGCTACTTCACCTAGCCCCAGTCTTTTTTTTTTTTTTTTTAAATCAGATATGTGCTTTGCAAATATTGTCTTCCAGTTGCTGGTTTGTCTTTTCATTCTCTTAAGAATATCTTTGTAAAACAGCAGCTTTTAATTTTAATAAAATACAAATCATTTATTTCTTTAATGGAATGTGCCGCTTAAATACAAAATGGTTTTGTATTTAAAACTCATCACCTGGCTCACTCCTGTAATCCCAGCACTTTGGGAGGCCGAGGCGGGCGGATCACGAGGTCAGGAGATTGAGACCATCCTGGCTAACATGGTGAAACCTGGTATCTATTAAGAATACAAAATTAGCCGGGCGTGGTGGCGGGCGCCTGTGGTCCCAGCTACTCGGGAGGCTGAGGCAGGAGAATAGCTTGAACCCGGGAGGCGGAACTTGCAGTGAGCCGAGATCGCGCCACTGCACTCCAGCCTGGGCGACAGAGCTAAACTCCGTCTCAAAAAAAAACAAAAACAAAAACAAAAATCTCATCACCAATGGCCAGGCGCAGTGGCTCATGCCTGTAATCCCCAGCACTTTGGGAGGCCGAGGCAGGTGAATCATTTGAGATCAGGCTCCCACTGATTCTACATTATGGTGACTTGTACAATTATTTCATTATATATTACAGTATGCTAATAATATAAATAATGTACACAATAAATGTAACGTGCTTGAATCATCCTGAAATCATTTCCCACCACCACCCTTGGTCGGTGGAAAAATTGTCTTCCACAAAACAGTCCCTGGTGCCAAAAAGGCTGGGGACTGTTGATGTAAATTACTTAAGCCATAATAGGAATTCATTAAGGGGAATAGATTATTATGGTTTAATAGGAATAAAGTATGTATTAACCAAATTTATCCAAAATTTTATCTGGGCTTTTATGTTAATCATCATCATAATAAATAATAGTTAATAGGCAATAAATTCTTTTCTTTTTTTAGAGTGTGCTTTTTTTTTAAATTTATTAAAAAAATTTTTTGGGGGGACAGGGTCTCGCTTTGTCATCCAGGCTGGAGTGTAGTGGTGCCATCTCAGCTCACTGCTACCTCCATCTTTCACGTTTAAGAGATTATTGTGCCTCAGCCTCCAGAGTAGCTGAGATACAGGTGTGCCCCACCACACCCAGCTAATTTTTGCATTTTGTAGTAGAGACAAGGTTTCGCCATGTTGGCCAGGCTGGTCTAGATCTCCTGGCCTCAAGTAATCCCCCTGCCTCTGCTTCCCAAAGTGCTGGGATTACAGGTGTGAGCCACCGCTCCCAGCCATTTTTCAGAGACAGCCTATCACCTAGGCTGGAGTGCAGTGGCATGATCATAGCTCACTGTGGCTTGGAATTCCTAGGCTCAAGCAATCCTTCTACTTTAGCCCCCTGAGAAGTTAGGACTACACGTGTGCATCACAATGCCTGGCTAAGTTTTTCTTTTTTTCTTCTTCTTTTCTTTTCTTTTTTTTCTTTCTTTCTTTTTTTTTTTTTTTTTTTTTTTTTGTTTTGTAGAGGTAGGGTCTTGCTTTGTTGCTTAGGCTGGTACATACAATAAATTCTTACAATTGTCCATGTGATAGTTCAAATACTTTATGTGTATTAAATCATTAATCATCACAACTATTAAAGGGACAGAATATTACTCTCTCCATTTTAACGATGAGTAAACTAAGGTACAGAGAGCTTAGGACACTTTTCCAAGGTCAAAGAGCTTACAAGTGGTGAAGTTAGGATTTGAACCCTGGTATACATGAACTCTACAACCTATGCTCTTACCCCCTACATTCATAATAAGGCTAGGAAAACTGTCAGGAAAAAAAATTCCCCAAAGCTCTATTTATATGACTAGTATACATTTTCATTAACTCTCTTAGATTTTTATGGCTACACCAGTTTCCCTTTTTAAAGGATGACTCAAAATATATTTAAGTTCCGTGTCCTAAGAGTCACTTACTATTGCTATCTCTCAGCTCTTAAAAAATTCCCTATTTTGATTTAAAATTAACTTACAATACTCTTAGGAAAATATTTAAGGGTTAGAGAATAACAGCATGACTAAGATATTATGGCATCTTTTGTTGTAACGTGTGGCCTAAAAGAACTATTCATTATGTCAACTGATACTTGGACATGCCTTTGGCACACATGCACCCTTGGCTTCTTTGTATACAGAAATACATGCTCCTTCAAGAATACTTAAATATTTCAAAGCACTTCCCCAAGTGTGCTTCCACCCTGAAGACCACATTATAGTCTGGGTCTTTTCCAGTCACGACAAAACTCATCCCATTGATACATATGTACACCAATAAAAAGGGGCCCATCTTGTGTTCCTGTGTTTCCTAACAGCTCTGATAGATGTACAGCAAAGACAGACTCTGGGCCTTCACACATTGGAGCATCAATTTAAGAACATCTTAACTGTGAAATTTTGGGGAAAGGTCTTCACAAAGGGATAATTTTTAATTGCTGTGAGTTTAGGACCAGTGGCAATCCGGTAAGGCAGACAAGGCACTTCCTAGGGGAGCAGCACTGCTCTTTATTGCATACATGGTAAGGCTACACATATAACCATGTAGTTGTTTTCCTACCTACTTTTTTTTTTCGCAAAGAGTTCTATATCTTAAAAAATATATTATGTTTCTTACCCTGCATCTGAGCCATTTCCACAGAGTAAAGGGTCTTTTTGCCCATCCAAAACATAAAAGTGACCTGTTAATACAAAAAAAAACCCATTTTATTTCATATTAATCCTATTCACATTAGTATTAGTAATAAATCAGAGTTGGACTATTTCAGTTATTTACAAAGGTGGCTGTACACCCACAGTCTCAACTATTTATAGTTGAAAATTCATTCAGCAACACTAAGGTTAACATAATGTAATACTTCTTACTGTCATCTCCAATGTAATCCTTCCAGTTAAATGTGCTCATTGTTACATTAACAAATGTCCCATTTGAATCCATTGTGCCATTAAAGTAGGAAGTGGTGTTGGTTTCAAAAGCAGAATCGCTTGGGGGCCACTGCAAACATTTATTCCTCAGATTGCCCATGAACAGCTGCAGCCCAATGAGAGCAAACACGCTCAGACAGAACACAGTCAGGATCATCACATCAGAAAGCTTCTTTACCGACTGGATCAGGGCCCCCACAATGGTCTTTAAACCTGCAGAGAGAGAACTATAGGTTACCTGAGGAAGAGTGCCAGAAATCATGATTTCTTAATAGTCACACACATTCTCTTTCCCCCATAAATGATTGCTTGACTATTTAGACACCAAAGCTGTATGGATAGCCTGATGATTTGGGAAATAGATGAACAGCAGATTTTACACATGAACAGTGTGCTTGCTGGAAATTCAATATGAAGGTTTAAATATCTAGTCAGGAAGTTTTGTTTGTGTGGTTTTACATGCTGAACAAACATACAAAAAAACTTGGAGTTATTTTTCATTTCAGATTTTGTGTTTCATGCAGCCATTTTCCACCAATCCATTCTTTACTCTAGCCTCCAAGCAGTAGTAATTTAGAGGAGAAAAGAATTTTAAAATAATGTAAGTCTCATGTCTCATGCCATATACATGCTCTTCAACAATAATATTTTCTCCTTTGTAAAAGGAGATCCATTTTTGAACTACATCTGCAGCGAATGGTAAAATCCAAATCTGTTAGTAAAGCCATGGTAGTGAAAAAGAGAGAGAGAGAGCGCAAGAGGCCCAAATTAGCATTTTTTGAAGATGTCTCATGCAATTTTCTGTTAAACTCAAAGGCTGACTTTATAAATACGCATGTAATTTATAAAATTTTAGGAGCTAAACTGACATTGAAACATCATTTGGCATTATTTAACGGGATGAACTGTAATAATAAGCAACAAGGCTAATGCTGTAAGTCATATAAATTGATTTCAAACTCAATAATTAAAGTCAACCTCGGTGTTTAACCTAGCTCTCACCTGGAATGACTGAAATTGTTTTCAGTGCTCGGAGAACTCTGAATGTTCTCAACGCTGAGACATTGCCCAGGTCCACAAACTCTGTCACATATCTGTAATAGGGGAGTTCACACACAAACACAATAACACACAAGAAAAGTTGGAGATATAAGGGGCCTACTACCTTACACCAGTTTCTTCTTACCTGGAATTACAGAAATAGTTTTCAGAGCTCTCAAGACTCTGAAAGTTCGAAGGGCTGAAACATTGCCTAGGCTTACAAATTCTGTTACATACCTGCAGAATTAAATCAGAGTTACTGATAGTTTTGGCAAAGTTTATACTAAATAAGGACTTAATGCTGGGTTTGGCACATAGAGCCCTGTGAGTTTAACAAATGGAATTGCTATAGACCTCAGGCTGCCATATGCTAAAGGTTGCTTTTAAGAAACAAAATCGTGTTGCTTTATTTCAATGTAATTTTCACTAATATGAACACATTTGTTTGCAAAACTAATCCAAGTACAGTTGTTGCTATTAAATTGTAGTCAATGAATAACTTCATTTTGATGAAGAGAAAGACTATATGACATGAAGATAACCCCATTTATTGATCATTTACTGGATATATTTACATTGCAATATGTATTCTAATATGTATTCTTAAAATACACAATCCATATAGTTAACTTGACTAACAAGAAAGCTCTACATTTAATATATGACACAAAGACCTTGTTTGTACTATGACTATTTTCACTCCTTTGCGCTTATCAAATTTTCAAAGTTACTCACGCCATCACAATGACACTGAAATCCAGCCAGTTCCATGGATCACGAAGAAACGTAAAATCTTCTAAGCAAAACCCTCTTGCCAAGATTTTTATAAGTGACTCAAAGGTATAGATTCCAGTGAATGTGTACCTAGGAAAAACATCCAAGCCAAAATTAACAATTTTGCTTGAACTGTTAAAATAAATGTTTTCAATCATAGCAAATCCTATCCTTTTGTGGTTTTTCAATTCATTAAAATATTGTTCCTTACTTCTATTTACCAAATAATCTATTCATTTAGTTAGTTTTACAAGCCTGAGCAAAGAGTTAAACTGAAGAGAAAATATATTCTTTAGGAATCTAATCTGGTTTAACTATTTGGGTTTTAGAATAATAGTTTCATGTATCTTATGGATAATCATCTAGTTTGACCTTCTAGCGCAGCAGTATCTGATAGAAATGTAATGGAAGCCACAAATGTAATTTTCAAATTCCTAGTAGCAAGCGAAAAGATGAGAAGAAGCAAGTCAACGTATTTTTTATACTGCATTTTATTTAAACCAATATATCTAAAATATGAAAATTCAACAATTAATATTAGCCAAATTTCAAGGTTCCATAGCCATATGTGGCTAGTGGCTTCCTCATCAGACAGTACAACTTTAGAGGCAACATAGCTTGGATTCATTTACTTAAATAATAAAATATTTTATTCAAATTTCTTAATGAGTAGACTCATTTTGAGGGCTAGTTTACATGTCTACCATAGAAAATATATTTCTTTTTTTTCAATTTTTAAGAATCATGTAGAGTTATAAACTGCCCCCCATTTCTCTCTCTTCTTTCTCTCTCTCTGCCCTCCTTCCTCCCACCCTGAGTGTATGTGTGTGTGTGTGCATGAGCATGCTGTATAGAGATGTGTGTGTGTGTGTATATATTATCATATGAAATGTTCCAGTTCACTAGTATTTTATATGTGTGTGTTTGCACAAATGCCAAAATACACGGATACACAAAATTCTTAAATCAAACCTTGCATCAGCTACTATCTCTATGCAATTGGGCTAAATCATTCAAACCTTGCTTAAATTCAATTTTCAGCCTCCAAAATGGTGGAAGACTTTTCTATTTGCTGTTTAATGTCATGTATTTCTAGCCCTCTTTTCTTTGAGTCTTGACAATATAAGTTATTGCTGTTTTCGTTTTTTTCCCAAAATAGTTGAGAGTACTTGTTTTTCAACATTGTGTTCTTTAAAAGCACAATTTAAGTTTATTTTTCAGAGCACTTCACCCAAGCCACAAAGATTTGATTTACTCATATTAAATTCATTAGATTTTTCAGCCTACCAGTATTTATATATGAAAAATGTTAGGATCATTATTTTGAAATGTTTTCTGCACAAGTTTCTTTCATATGAGGGAACAAAGACATCAAGAATAATTTATGCAGATATCTTCAAGTCTAGTTTTCTTAAGTACATTCCCTTCCTTTTCTCCCCCAACAATTCAATTGATCTCATAAGCAATAATTCCTATCTTTACTTATATGAAGTAGCTGACTATTAGGAAGAGATATATTTTACAATATCAAGCTTATGTTTACTGTGTTGTAGTTTGGATCGTTGTGTGACACACATAATCACCGTGATATTTCTGTCTGTAGAGATAGCTGGCCTTTTAAAGGCCTAGAAACACCACACATGTATGTTCTGTTTCTTGTATTAGTGGTTAGTGCCCTGTGGTTTATGCTGAGGCAATTCTGTCTTATCTATAGAGTTACTAGGAATAAGATTAAAGTCCCTACTTTTGTTCTTGATTTGGGGAAATTAAGAAAATATGTGGGTACATTTGGAATGTATGGGAAGTGTTCATGGCTGTCCATGGAAGAGAGTCCTAGAGCCTACTGAGACAGAGCTCTACACAGAATAGGTATTCAAAAATGGTTATTAGTAACTAGGTTGGGCAGGTAAGTGGGAGTCAGGGGACCTTTATCTTTCGTGGCTATGCCCACACTAGGCTCATAATCAAGCTGTCAATTCTGTCTATGTTCCTGTAACTTTGGTGTTTTAAAACCTTGAAATTTGGCTAATCTTAATTGTTGAATTTTCATATTTTAAGTATATTGGTTTAAATAAAATGCAGTATAAATAAAATTAAATAAAATGCAGTCTATAGAAGTGCCTTGCCTTATATAACATTCCCCTCACTATATAATATGGTTTTGTGTATGCCACATCTTTGTACAGGGACTGTTTCAAATATCGGTGACTTCAGTTTTCATCTCAGAACTAAGTTATCTTCTGTTTCACTGAACCCAGGGTTTGGGGTAGTAACCACTACTACTTTGCTTTTTTCCTGCTGGCTTGCTTTCAAGCTACTGAAGACAATTGATCAGAAAACCTGAGCAAAGTTTTCCAGCTGAATGATGCAAATCAAAAACTTTCTAAAGCTAAGACTGCCTTCATAATGGGTATAATCATCTCTAAGTTATTACTGCTTCTTTAGAAAGAGAGGCCTGTATATTCAATTGCCTTTTTTTTTTGTTTTGAAACAGAGTTTCGCTCTGTCGTCCAGGCTGGAATGCAGTGGTGGGATCTTGGCTCACTGCAACCTCCACCTCCTGGGTTCAAGCGATTCTCTTGTCTCAGCCTCCTGAGTAGCTGGGACTACAGGTGCTTGCCACCACACCTGGCTCATTGTTTGTATTTTTAGTAGAGATGGGGTTTCACCATGTTGGCCAGGCTGGTCACAAACTCCAACTGCCTTCTTTAACTATCTTTTAATAATGTTATACAAATAAATGAAATTGATACATGTTTAAATGCTTCAATAATTTCTGCTGGGAAAACCACATACAGAGTAGTCTTACATAGGAGTGTCCATTTTGTTAACTCCAAAATCATGTATAGTAAATGAGAGTTCTAAGTTAAATGGCTTTCCTCAATATGGGAGCTGGATTCTCTATTACAATAATTTCTAGGCAGCATTTTGAAGCTACTATTTTTTTTTAAATAACATGTTAAATAACTGACAAATAATGGCTTAGAGTGGTACAGTAAATCCTCAGAGAAATCTATAAAAACGGAACTAAAAGTGGCAGTATTTGTTACACTATCTTATCTCCGATTGTACATTACTTTTAAAAATATAACAATAAAAAGAGCATACTGCATTTTTTACTTAACCAGTCAGATACCTGATTATTGTATTATACTATATATAAGTAGCCTATATAACCACTTTGTTTCACTAAAAACTATGTTTCTTTGATGCAAATAACCTCATATGTGACTGAAAAATAAGAAAATGAAATAATGTTGTTACGATAAAGAAATTGTGTTAGTTCATGCACAGTTTTCCCCAGCATATTGATGTTTTGAAACAATGAAGGGCATTTTTTCTCACACTTAAATGGAAAATCCCTTGCAATAATAATAATAAAAAGATCTTGATACTAATACACAACATCCACAGAAGTGTTTTCTTTTAGTGCAACAAGGGCCTGGTTTAACATCCTGAACAACTAATGTGCTTAGACCTTTCTCCATGTATTAAAATACAGAATGAAGCATTTTATTTTGATGAAATCATACAAATATCCCCAGTCTCCATTTCAAGGGAGAAAGGATGAGGCCTGGGATATGAGGCCACAAAGAACTCAATGGCTATGATTTTAGGTACAAACATTAGAAAAGAATCAACTGGGCAAGTGTCTTTTTATTGGGATTATTATGGTTTCTATGTTGTATTCTAGTTACAAAGTTCCATAAGTTTTACTCTCCCCCAATCATGTTTCCCCTAAGCCCTGTTATTTTATGAACACAGTTTTATGGAAGACATTTTATTTCTTTTACAGAACACATCTAAGCTGTTTCAGCACACATGTTGTGTATAAAAAACTTACATATCTAAATATAACTTAGACATCTTAGATGTATAATTAAGACATCTACTTAATTTAGAGCTAAAAACCTAAATCTATTCTATTCGAATATAACAATAATCACTATATACTGGAATAAAATAATTTAATTCATCAAATTACTGAACTGATCACTGTATTTTATCTCAAATGATTAACCATGATTGAGACCTAATTTTAGGCTAGGTGATTGGTTTAGTTTACCAGAAAGCATATACTAATTTATAACCTCTCTTTAACAGATATTGTCATGATTTTGTTGGAAAAATACTTACCTCGTAGAAGAATAGCTCCCCCAAAGAACTTCCCTTATCTTCTTTCATATTATGAAAATAACTTTTTCTTAGACAGAAGTGGAAACCATAAGTCAGGCTATACCCACAAGGAGATTGCTAGAGAATTTGAGTGTGCATTTCTCATTCCCAGAAGTTATTCCTACTTACTCTACATTCTTTGTCCAGTCAGGAGGGTTGCTCAAGGTCATAAATACACAGTTGGTCAAAATAGTGCACATGATAAGCATGCTGAATAAAGTAGATTATAGTTAAGGAATAAATGTTAGTAGGTTACCATGGCCATTTATAAATGATCCAAAACACACAAAAAAGTTTATCGATGCAAAAACTGTGAAATTAATATTATTTGTTTTAAAACAATGATAAAATAATAAGAAACTTCAAAGCCTGTGATATGGCCTTGGTGCACTCTTTTTTTCATTTTATACCATATACTCACAAAACTGAATTTAATAGAAAAATGATCTCTATTTGAAGCAAATGCAAGTTATTTTGCATTCCAATCAGTTGTGTGAAATTGCCCTGGAAGAAGAACTCACCATCCCTTAGTAAGTTTATAGTATGCCATAAGTGTAAAAGGTGTACTTCAGATATATTCATCCTCACTGACTTATAAAACGTTAACGAATGCAATGTAAAAAGTGTGAGAATGTAGAGCCCAGTATAATCAAAGATTACATTGATTGAGAATTCTATCATAAATAGTAGGTTTGTAGTGATGTAACTTACTCCTTTACAATTTATAGCATAAAAGAGGGAGATCCAATTTTGTGCTGATAAGGTAATGTTATTTTCTAGCTTTTTATTTACACTTTAGATTGTGGCGGACCCCAACAGACCATCTGGCTATACTCTTGTATCTAGTCCACATTATACCTAAACAGATAGCACTATTCTGATGCTCTTCTGAGAATTAGCTGTAGTACGTTCTCTTGGGATCTAAGTCCAGACTTCCCTGTAAGAAAGTTTATGATTATTTTGAGATAAATATTTTATTTTAGAATATAAATACTTTCCAACATCAAGCCATAGAATGAGAGAATTCATACCTCAAAAGGTTATCAGTTTCATTTGCCCTGTCTCTAGGTGAATCAGTCTTTAAGTTTATATAGAAGCCTGCTTTGAATCTGCCTATACAAAATTCCCATTCTTGAACACTGCCTCAGAAAATCACCATTCTATTTTATCATTACTTGAGAATTTTCTTGAAATCCAAACATATTCTGCCCTTTTACATATGCTTTTTGACTAACATTGTAAATAATTTCAAGTTCGACTTTTTGATACATATTCTCAACCAGGTACATGAGCACATAGTAAGAGTCTGATAAATATTTACTGAAAAAAAGAAGGGAATAAGACGGAAGGGAAAAGGGAAGAATGAAGGAAGGGAAGAAGACAGGAAGGACAGAAAGAAGGAAGGAAGGACACAAAGAAGGATAAATCCAGGCGCTGAAGATACAGAAACAATTAAGGCGTAAAAGTTTGAACACTTGGTAATGCAAATAGTAATACTAACCATAATCTAATCTTTAGCAATGGTTATATATGACCTCATTGAAGCTGATAAAGGTGTAAGGAGATTTGCTCTTTTTCCTACTATGTGTTTCCTTTGCACATTCACTATCATGGTTGGTTACATATTTTCTTCTATAATGCTGTAGTCATTCTATAATACTCTCATTATAAATAGTGGAAAACCAATGCAAATAAATGAATTAAACTAACAATGTTACCATTAATCTCAAAGAAATTTTACAGATACTTGAAAATATAACTGACATTTTCTTTAAAATCAACTGTTAGAAATAGCATTTAGGCAATTCACATTAAAAGGATATGAATGTACCAAAATCTTGATAGCAATTTTCCTAACAGGGTTTAGTGGAGTTAAAATATACAAGGCAGAGGTGGCACTGAATCGGAAAATTGCCTTTCCTTTATTCATTACTATAAAAGTCTGAAAAAGAAAATACGAGTAAAATTACTAAATTAGACATGGGCTTATTTAAAGAGCTTACATACATGAAGAACTTTTTAAAAAATAGAATTTGTTTGTTCAAACTTGTTTGTTTAAACCAGTTGATATATCATAACTACAAACATGTTAGATGTTTAAATTAACATATAGTTACAAATAAAGATACTATTTACTATTACCTAATCTATCTCTAAGGTTCCAACTTGCTGATACAAACTGACAATTCTACACAAATTTTTTTATGGAATTGTAGCGTTACAGATTCCAACTCTATTTAAAGCTTACCATCTGTCTTCAGCTTTGGTAACTTTTCAGATTACTCTGTACACATTGCTACTAAAATAATCTTTTATAAGTATTTTAATCATATCAAATCTTTTAACTTCAAAGTTTATGATGGCTTCTGATTGTCCCTGTAGATTTAAAATGTTCAAACAGGTTGAATAATCTGGTTTTGCTGACTATAGATGTGTGAGAAGGGTTCAACTTCTCAGCTAATACTGAAGAGAGATGGATGCATTGAAATTTAGTCTGAAATACACCATTTCAAAGGGCATTCCACAATTAAAATTCTATGATCTGAAAGCTACAATCATCCACTTAGTATTAGCTATGCTACAAGTGATTATTTACCATGTTCCTATAGAATCATCTTTTATTTTTTTCCCACTAGAGTCATCTTTGCTATGGCCAATTCAATTCAGTTGTCAGCCTCACTCACAACTAGTCAAACTCTCCCTATGACTCTGAATATGAATGTCATAGACTCCTAGAAGAAGGTGGCAACTGAAAGGTCATTTAATGCAAACTCCCTTCATTTCAGGGAAATGTCTCCACAACACATTACAATATAGTTCCACCTACAGTGACCCCCTATTATGTCAGAGGTTCTTAATCCTGCCTGAATATTAGGCTGTCCTGTAAAGATTTTAAAATTGCCAATTGAATGAAAATTTCTGAGGGATGGGCACAGATTTGGGTATTTTTAAAACTTTCCTGAGGCGATTCCAATATGCAATCAAGGTTGAAAATCCCTTCTGTCTGGGAATTTTCTCAGCTATCAATCACCTCCTTAATCATGTCCTTCCAAATAAATCACACTACCTCCTGATCACTCCCTAATTGTTTCTCTTTACCAGTAAGTCTTAGTACATTAATTTGTACTCTTTTACATGTTGCTTGTAATTATAGTCAAGTAGCAATTTACACAGTGTTCATTCCAGTGAGAACTAGGTTAGAAATTGTTATAAACCATTGAGCATAAAGAGCTTGTAATCTACTTTTTCTCCATTTTTTTCACAGTATTTAATAGCCTGGTTTGCAAATAAACACTTGTTTTAATTAAATGTGGGTTTACCTTAAAGATACTATTTACCTTTAAGACATCTATTCTGTATATCCATTTACTTAATAATATGTTTCTCTCCTTTAACTAGGGGCTATATGCCATACATTTATGTTCACTGACAACATGCTTTGTTTGAGTAGGTAGACAAAAATATTTATATTGTCAGTATAAAGGGCAGGGAAAACAATTTCTCTGTTCATTGCTCTTTTGTATTTAAGACCATGGTGCCAACCATTACTTAACTAACCATTTTCCAGAAACTGAACAGTTTTTCTGTTCATTATCCCTTTGTGTTTAAGACCATCAAGCCAACCATTATTTAACTAACCATTTTTCAGAAACTACACAGTTTCTCTGTTCATTGCCTTTTTGTATTTAAGACCATAGAGCCAACCATTACTTAACTAACAATTTTCCAGAAACTGCACACTATAAATGTGAATAGTTTTATGAAGCGGGCAAGCAAACTATTCTTTACTAGCAGTAGGACTGTGTGTAAAGGACAGTGGACCTTGGAAAGACTGTTGTTGAAGCACAGAAGCATTAAAGGGTTGCCTTGGAGTCACAAGATTAGATTATTTAATATTACAGTTGAACAGTCAAGATCCATTTAGGCATTCAGCAACACAACAGCATAACTTGAAAAAGCTCACCGTAATTTAAGGTTCAGGTACTCATGCTCTTTTGAAACAATTTCCCTGAAAAAGCAATTTCTGCTTGCGACATTAGGAGAGAGTTTCATTTTGAACTATCTCCAAAAACAGAGTGAACAGCAATAAATTATCCCTTTGAACATGGAACCCTTTGCTCCTCCTGCAAGATTAGCCTTCGTAGTACTAGCGGAATTACAGCTGACATGCTAAGAGCATCTTCGTTGAATTTATAGGTTCTAAAACAGAGCAGGCCTTAAGACTACAATCCCAGTTTATGTCTCAGGAACAATACCTGACACAAAGAGAACCCTGAGTTCTGAGAAATGCAGAATAAAATACTAATGTCCTGCATAGTGAAAGAATTGCAAGAATTTGAAATTATGGGGCTCTGATGATATGAAGAGATATACCTAAACTGAAAATTACTTGAGAAAATGACAGATGAATAGGGGAGAGATAGATCGTCATTGCTACAGCTGGAAGTATGTTAAACCAGCTATTTTGTACTCTGGAATGTTACTTGCTTCTTTTTCCTAGAATGTTACTTAGATGCACATCTTATAAGTTTACTAAAAGTTTTACTACTTTGTGGCAAGAATAAGATTTACATCTCAATGATTAGGACCACATCAATCAGAGAACTCAAAAAATGATGCAGCCAATTTTTTAACTTTCCCTTTTATTTTATTATGTTAATAAGCATAGTATATAATTTCACTTAGTGGTTAAGAGCTCTGGCTCTGGAGTCGAATGCCTGGACTCAGATCCTGGATTCACCACTTAAGGAGTGTGGCCTTGAGCAAGTTACCTCATCTCTCTGTGCTTCACTTCCCCATTTACAAACTGAGCTAACAATAGGACCTGCCTCACTGGTTCACTATATAGTAAATGAGTTCAAGAACTTAGCAGTGCTTGACACAGTATGAGCACAAGAAAAGTTAGTTATGATTATCACTGTCACTATTATTAATAGCACCCTGGTCAAATTAAATGCCATTAAAATACATTGTGATATTACTCATTTAATTAAATTAGGTATTCAAAATGTATCACTAATTAATGATGGTAAAGAGTTACATAATGCTTTAAAGCTTTTAAATGCCTTTTACTTGTATTTTTCCATATAATTAACACAGCTTCATAACATATTTTTAAATTCTAAAACTTCCTCCATTAGCTTCTTACTTTACTCCTTCTATGCTAAGAATGACAAATTACCTCCTTGTTTAATAGCACCTCAATCTTCATCTTTATGGATACTTCATAAACGAAAGCAGTGCAGCCAACCGTAAAGACTATCTAGATGTCTCGCAAGATGGTTCACAGCCACTATGAATAAATCAGGGTCTAAGTCTGGCTCTCAGCCATGGAGGCAATAAAAATTGACTTTGTCAAAAACAGAGGACAATTCTGTTTTTTAGTGGCAGACTCACATTAACCAAACTTGAAAACCTGATATATAAAATAAGAATGCCAACCTATTTATTTATTTAGACAGGACCTCGATCTGTCACCTAGGCTAGAGTGCAGTAGCACAATCATAGCTCACTGCAGCCTCAAACTCCTGACCTCAAGCAATCCTCCTGCCTTGGCCTCTCGAAGCCCTAGGATTACAGGTGTGGGCCATCATGCCTGGCCTCCAGTGTATTTATTTACAATGAGATACATTACTTTCATATGGACTGAGATAATTGTAGTGATGTAATGAGCACGTTCTTTTCTTCAAGCAGGTTTAGGGGAAAACAAATTGTAGTCAGAAGGTTTCTTGCTGAATATGGAGCCCAAGCCAGCTGACCTAATCAAATGATGTGGAATGTTTAATAGCATGTGTTAGGTAGTTCAGTGTAGCCCCTCCACAATGAGGTGGCCTGGCCATTGGGAAGAAAATGCTTTCAGTGCTACTACTAAAGTTCTGTCTCCCTTGGAAAATAGTAACGTTTGCCTCTGTTGTTCTCCTTTTGTTTCCCCCTTAATCTTACCAGCCTGATTGATTCTCTTTTTTAAGGACACTTCCTTTCTTTAAGTAGCAAATACTTTTAATCATAGCAGAGTAAATCATGCCTCCTTTCTTAAAGATATCTTTACAAACATATCCTTCAGAGCAACAGTTTTCACCGGATAATATTTTGTCCAATTTCTTGGGGGGTGACTTATTGTAATCATCATAACTACATTTCAAATTTTTCTTTATCAATTCTATAGTAAATTGTTGAAATAAGTTATTTTTAGAAGTACATGAATGTATTAAATGTCACCTTTTATGAAACTAGCTATAAAAGGGGAAAAAGGAGACTCTGTTTAGCTATTTACATGTAGTCTTATGACTTTAAATAAAACATTAAAGCTTGCTATTCAAAGTGTGGCCATGTAACAGCCTGATGATTTGTAAGAAATTCAGGATCTCTGGCCCTAGCCCAGACCTATGGATTCAGAATCTGCAAATTAAAACATCTTGAGGTAATCTGTATGGATGTGCAAGTTTGAGAAGTACTTATTTAGAACAACAGGACTAATTCCATGTCTGAATGGTTGTCATTGCCTTTAGCCATCATTGATTTTATAAATTATAAACTTTTAAAAGGATGTGCTTTGACTAATAAAGGTGTTTAATATCTTCCATAATCTATAAGTCATCAACTCATGGTGATACTAATTTATCTTTAGTTTCTACATTGAGCTATTTTTACGCTTTTAAGTGTAAAATATAAATCGTGGTTATAAAATGCCTTAATATCCAATTAGAAAGCATAGAGTATACCACCTATTTTTTATATTTTCTATAAAATATCACCCAGCTAGTTTAACTATAGAAACCAGCTAATTCTGATACAATTATGCATTTATTTTAGCATTAGGAAAGCACAGTCATAACCACTAATTTAAATCATGTATGGATGGAGAAAATTTGAAAGTTCTTTCTTTTTGGTCTTCCAATTTTGACATTTTTTTCTTCAGGGTGATGTTTTAATGGTATACATGATCCAGAATCTAGCATGCCACAAACTATATAAGGTTAAGAGAAGATCCTAATCATATTCTAGGTTACTGGGGGGGAAAGGAATCTCTGGGTGAACATGCTTCTTCATGTATTGTCTGGCTACAGGAGGATGCTAAGCAGATTATTTATTGTCCTCTAGAATATAAATTATTGTGAAGGTACATCAAGTCAGTCATGAACTAAAAAATAATTAAGTACAACATATGCTCATAATTCTTTTCTGCACAGGTATTATTCTGTAGTCTACCCTGTGCTTGAATATGTCAGCCATAACAGATATTTCACTTTGTTGATATTAATTTTAATTTTGACTATCTGAATTATCACTGTGAAATTGTAGAAATCATTCATCTATTCATATTTCCTGACTGTAACCAACTCTTGACTTCATTTCTTATAAATGTTTGTTTTATTATATTGTGATAAAAATAAGTGACAGTGAAGAGTATTATAAAATCTTTAACAGAAGAAAAATTGTGATGCTGTATATAAGGCCCAGAAAAGTATATTACAGTTAAGAGTTTCATTAAAGATTTATTAGAAGTCTAAAATCAATACTCACTTTCTTATTGATATAGTAGGGATCCAGGTCCTCCAGGGGCTCTGACACCATCTCTGGAGGAATGTCTCCATAAATAAATGGAAGGTTCTTTCCAGCTTCCAAGTCACTATTTGGCTTTGGTTTGTTCTCATCATCATTATCTTGTTCCTTTTTGGGCTTCTTGGCTTTCTCTTCTGCAGCACGTTTTTCGATAGCAGCAAGAGATTCTCTAGTAAAAAGGCGGAAGCTTTCAGGTCCTGGGGGTACCAACAGTGCCTGTGCCATCTTTTCATCCTGCACATTTAATTACGTGTAGCTTCTTGCATACGAATTACCTGCAATAAAAGAAAAATTGCACAAGAGTTAGGAAAGCAAGCGATTGGGCATAAGAACATCAACCAAAATGTCATTTTTTAGTAACTTTTTAAAGCTATAAACATTAAGTCATGCTTTTAGTACTGCACTACACATTTGAACTTGAAAACATCATCATTCAACCTCATTCTCAATAAGCCAAGTTCATAAATCTATCAAAAGTCTGTACTTAATGTTAATTAGTTTGATTTAGCCATTCTACAATGTACAGTATATATAATATATAAACATTATATTTTACCTCAAGAATATCTATAATTTTGTCCATTTTTTAAAAGCATTTAAAAAAATTCTGTTTTGACACTGTAAGCCAAAATATAGTATACTTTCAGCAAAAGAGTAATGCCAGTAAAGTTTGTCAATAAAATTGCTTAATTATTCTGCATCCTGCCCCCCGCCTTTTCATAACTTTGTAACTCCCCAAATAAAGAAGTACTGGTAACAATACAATTATTGTAATACATCCCTGACTCATACAAATGAGGATAGAAAATGAAGTTTTGCCAAACCCAACCACTGTTCTCGTTGTCAGCATCATTGACAACTGCTGCTCCAGAAAAGATCTGATCACCAACCAGCAGGGACATGGAAGCCACTGCTGCCAGAAAAATCTACCTATCTTTAGTATTTCCTTTCTTTTATTAAGCCAGACTCTGTTTCCTTCTGAGGCAATGGAGAATATGTTTACTCCTTATTTCAATATGCTGCCCTTCAATTATTCCAAGACAATTTTGACGTTTTCCCTGAATCTTCCATTTAGTATAGTGGTTAAAAGCATGGACTCAGGTGCTACACTGTCCGTTCTAAACCCTGGCTCTGCCGCTTATGAGCTGTGTGATTGTGGACAAAGTAACCCCTTATTGCTTGAATTCATCTATAAAATGAGGGTAGTAGGGAAACTGACTTCCTGGGTTATCATAAGGAATAAATGAGTTGATTATGTTGTGTCTAGAATAGTTTTTGGAATTAGTAAGCACTATATTATTGTAAACTATCATAATTAAATTATCTTCAGTTTCCCTAGCTATTTTCCCTCTTTTATGGTTTCAGGCATCCTCACAATTCAAACCACTCTTTAAACAAGTTCTTGCTGTGCTGGAACCACAATTGTGACTACGGAATTAAAGGAATGAACTGAGAAGTGCAGTGTATAGAGGCACACTCACACATGCCGATCACCTGGATGAGAAAGAAGGGAAGGCAGACTGATGGAGTGGCCCTGCTCAATTTCTCAGGGAAGGGAACAAAAATCTATTTGCAGGATACATAATAGAACTATCAAAACCACAAGAAATCAGCTATGTAAATTTCGAAATATGAGTTATTTTATTTTGCATTATGCCAAAAATCACATTTAAAAAATCAAGATAGATAGAATATAGAAACAATGACAAACCAAATAAAATAAGTACATCAGTCATCTTATAAAAGAACCTACCACTATGGCACCAAAGTCATGATCAAAGTCATCTGTGACATTTTCCCCATTCCTACCATTCCCCTTTGCCCCCACATGTATTCTAGGCTCCGTAGTAGTTTATCCCTAAATGGCCCTCTGATTCTTGGCAGCTCACTACATATATTTGAGCTTACAATCAGAAGCTCTGGATCTATTAATAACATAAGAAAAACAATATAGCTTATTATGTGTGTGGGGGTTTTTTTGCTTATATCTTAATTACTAGTTCCCTGATCTATTCCAATGACAAAAAAGTGTTTCTATAACATTACTTATTATATTATAATATTATTATTTTTTTGAGACAGGGTCTCACTCTGTCACCCAGGCTGGAGTGCAGTGGCACAATCACGGCTCACTGCAGCCTTGAACTCCCGGGCTCAGGTGATCCTCCCACCTCAGCCTCCTGAGTAGCTAGGACTACAAGTGCCCTCCACCATGCCTGGATCATTTTTGTATCTTTGTAGAGATGAGGTTTCAGTCGCCATTTTGCCCAGGCTGATCTCAAACGCTTGGGCTCAAGCCATCCGCCCGCCTCGGCCTCCCAAAGTGCTAGGATTACAGCGGTGAGCCAATGCACTGGGCCCAAAAAGTGTTTTTAACGTAAGATATGTCTTTTCTTTGAGTTAGTATTTATGATATAACATTGTCATTATATCTTTTGCTACTATGAAGGTATATTCTATATAAGTTATAAAATAAAATAGCAGGCCTGTCAAAAGTTATGTTATTTTTCTCTACTAATTTTGAACAGAACTTCTGTTTTATAGTTGGGCAGCACATTTTTTTTTCTCCATCAGGTTGTATAGTACATGAATCGAAAGGTTTGAGAAAAATTCTGTTTTACTCAAAAGTCAGTTGATCATTTATTTTGTGTTTTCTAAATTTACGGGAGGCAGCACAAAATAAAACTAATGTTTTTAGCCATCTTATGTCAATTTTGATGATCACATCATCAATCCAACTCTAAGCTGTGTGGAATAATCACAGCTTTTATGCTTTTGAGTGCAGAAAGAGTTTGAGCATTTTCTGCAAGCCGTAAGTACCTAAAGATGTGTAATCCATCTGTCTGATATCACCTGCCATGAACTGAATGGCTGTGGCTCTTCTCCAGTGCTGAATGAAAATGAAACAGCATGACAAACATGTCTTAAGGAAATTCTATGAAACACGGTCGCTTTCTTAGAGGAGAAAAAAAAAAAGGTTGATTTGAGGATTTGGTTTTGAACTAATTTTGATGTCTTTATTGACAATGAATGAAAAACACACTGCAATTGAAATGGGAGATCTGGGTTAGTATTGAGTCTGCTGCTAATGGTATGCCTGTATCATCTAACCTGTCTCAGCCTCAGTATCATTGAGGCACCTCAACACAGAAATGGCTGCCCTTTTCCAGATGGGAATAGCTAATTTATATTAATACATACATTTTACTTAATTGGATTCTCCTGGTTGGTTTTTGTTTTAGAAATAACATTAGGTTTAAAATATCTAATGTGGAAATCACCGAGTAATTTTCACAAATTATTCTGATTTATCTGAGATGATATGGAACAAGGTGCCATCACAAAATCATGAAAAACTTTTTACAAATAAATAGTCCTTTACCTTCTTATTTACTTATCAAGGGCTGGAATAAAGAATTTGAATCTTGGTCAAAAGAAAGTAAAAACGTCTCGTTGAAATTCCCATACTGTTGTCTCTAAGTCCTCGGAAGATAGGCTAGTTCCAGACTCTCAGCTTTTCCCCTGCAAGAGAATTAGGGTTTGCCCAATATTTGGGTAGGCTGAGAAATTAAAGAATTTAGTGAGTAGAGTTTCTCATGGCTTCAATGACAATTTTGCTGTTTGGAAATCCCTCATAGTTCTTTCGCAGTTCTCTTTTACTTTTTTCCTCTCCTTTCTTGTACTCTGTGAGCTTATTATACAGAGTTCTTACATAATTTTATATTCACATTAGAGCAGACTTTAAAAATTAATTCTTACTGATGCCTTGGTGTGGAATATATATATTATTAATGATTATATGCACATTATAATTTATTAAAATACATAAAATTTAATATATCAAATTTTCTACAGAGCTATCTTTGCAAGGACAAAAAAGATACGAAAAAAATCTTAGGAGATGATCTCTTTAACTAAAAACCAAAAAGCCTGTGGATGAATGTGTGTAGGTAAAGCAAATACATCCCTTTGTTAACTAGTAAAAAGATTATGGTTCAGTATATCATATTTGAGGAATAAACTGCGGAACTCCAAATCTGGAAAGGATCTCGAAATCATTTATTTGGAAAATATTTATGGAGGGATTCTACGAATCAGTACTCTGTTTGAACCAGGAACCCATGGTCACTTCCCTGGGGCTGAGAGTCCAATGTGGGAGGCAGATTTTTATACAGATAATTATAACACAGTTATATATGGCTGGTTATTGTCTGAAGTTCATAAAAAGTATCAATATGTTCATCCCAGGGAAGGGAGAGAGAGGTATGGTTTGGAGAAATTTCCCTGAGGAAGTGATATTGGAGTAGGTTTTGTAGGCTAGTTGGAATTTGATTGGGGTCTTATGGTGGTAGTGGTTGGGAAAGGATTGGTAGGAAGACACATCAGTAGAGACACATTGAGCAGGTGGGGTGGGGGTGGCATGTGTGCAGATGCAGAGACAAGAAAGAGCATGGAGAGTTTGGGAGCAATGACAAGCAATTCATTATGGGTGGACATCACCCTGCACAGAAGGGAGTGGTATGACATAAAACTCTAAAGTTAGGCAGGATAGATCACTGAGGACCCTGTACTACACACGAAAGTATGCCATGGATGGGGAGTGTTATGATCAATGTGAAGATTGGAAAGATGGTGGCAGTATGAAGCGTGGACAGGCAGGGAGTGATCCTAGAGCAGTAGTTTTCAAATGTTGTGGTTTCAGGATTTCTTTACACTCTTAAAATCATTCATGAACCCAAAGAACTTTTGTTTATCGGGGGACTTAGCTATCCATACTTACCATATTAAAAATTAAAATGAAAAAATGTAAAAATTCTTATTAACTAATAATAAGCACTTGTATGTTTATACAGACAATAGATGGTTAATGAAAACAACTATATTATTCAAAACAGAAAAAAATTTAATGAGAAGAATTTGTTTCACATTTAGTCAAATATCTTCATGTCACTTAAGAGAATACATTTAGATTTTCATAAATGCTTCTGTGTTCAGTCTGATAGAATATGTTGTTTTATTGAAATATATGAAGAGAATTTTCACGCATATGTGTGGCTGGAAAAGGGAGTGTTTTAATTGCCTTTCCAGGTAACTGTGAATATCCTTCTTTAATATCACGTCAAAACTCTACAAATGGTAGTTTATTAAATTAGTTGTGTGAAATCAAAAGCCATATCAATGAACTTTTGATTTATCTTGTCCTTTGAATAAGTCTTTTACCTAATCATGCACTAATTATTTGGAAAATGGCACATTGTTATGAAGGTCTTCCAGATTTTGACAAATTTTATTATATAATATCCAAAAATCGCATTTGTTACTATCACCACTAATGTCATGAGAAAAGTTGTAATGTATGGGTAGGCTGTCAAGCTCCCAGTGGCAGGTAAAAGTTTTCCCAAATTCCAATTTCCTCTTGAAAGCTCGAATTTTGACATTGACAACAAATGCTGTCATTTGCTTTTCCTGAAGTGACAGGCTTTCCCTTTGTTCATTTTTGAGAAAATGTGTGCCGAATACTCAAGTCTGAATAACCATAGTTTGTCAGTTATTCTTTCAAGTGAAAGTGGTGTTCCATGAAAAAAAGAAAAGTGGCTTATTCAGCTCCTGACTCAATCACACAAGTGCTTTTCCTAGAGACAACTAGGACACTTCAGTATGCAGTCAAATACTTTATATATTCCTCCTATTTCATCATACAGAATGTTAAAAATATGTATTTTTAGGATTGTGCTTGAATGAAATTAATATGTACTGCTTCATCAGAGATGTATTATGTGAACTGGCATTATTTTTCTTACTGAGAGTGTGCAGCAATGAAGAAAATGCAGACTATGCCTATAGTTTGATGCTACTGCATTGATTCCTGCTAAAGCATTAGCAGTTTTAGCACATGCCTATTGCTTTATCAGTGCAAGTGCCAAAACAGTGAAAAAAGACAAATGCCATTTTGGTATTATTACGAAAGTAGTTTAGAGCTCAAAGCTCCCACACAAAGGGCCCCAGGAATCCCCAGTTGTCTAAAATCTATACTTCGAGAACAACTGCCCTAGAAGAAAGCAGTTAGTCACCACTCAATAGTCAAAAGAAGAGAAGTAAAAGATCTGACTATAGCTCTGGTACCAAAAGGCATGGACTTAGAAATCAGAACTGGATTCAAGGCCTGACTCTGCTGTGTTCCTGAAGCTTTTTTATTCTTTATAATTTCCCTAGCTGTACAATGGAGATAATCATAGTTCATACTTTATAGAGCTAATATAACATTTAAATGAGAAAATGAACCTAAAGGGTGAGCACAGTGCCTGGAATACATTAATAGTAGGCCATCAATAAGTTAGGGAGAAAAACCACAGCCAGAGGAGTGTATTTAATGCACAAGTATAGGAGAGAGAAAAACAATGAGATTTTGTGACTGACTTGATAGGAGATGTGAATTAAAGTTATAGGGTTAAGCTCACTTCCAGGTTTCCAGCTTAAGCCACAAATCGACATTAACCCAAATAGAGAAATGGAGGTTTGTAAGGCATGATAATAAATTCTGTTTGGAACCTGTTCAGTTTGAGATAGCTGTGAGACATCTGGATATAGAATTAAAATATGGATCTGAGACTCAGAAAGCTGTCTGGGCTCGGGTAAAGTTGATTAAGAAGTTACTGGATGAGTCTGGGCATGGTGGCTCATGACTGTAATCCCAGCACTTTGGAGGCTGAGGCAGGAGGATTGCTTGAGCCCAGGAATTCAAGGCTGCAGTGAGCTATGATCTTGCCAGTGCACTCCAGCCTAAGCTGCAAAACAAGACCTTGTCAAAAAAAAAAAAAAAGAAAGAAAAGAGCAGTCACTGGTTGAAGCTGAAGCTAAGAATATTCACGGCATTGCCTAAGGAAAAAAAGTGAAAGGATGATGAGTGAAGAGGCAAGACTCACACAACTACCAATTTTTAAGTAAAGGGAACAGAGAGGATGATAGACAATGAAGTTAGAACAATTACCTAGATGCCAAAGAGGAATTTCCAAGATGCTAATTAAAAGACATACTTGGGATTTAACAATTAGTCCAACTCTCTGCCTGTAAAATAAATGAAGAACAGTCCCAAAGAAGCTAAGTAATCTCCTCTAAAATGTCTACTGACAAACACAAATTATGACCTTTTCTATTATAGTTGACATATTTGTCTTGAATCTTACTATTATATGATTTGCTCTAAAAGATCTAAGCTGTATATAAATAACTACAGAAAAATAGATTTGACTAGTTCATTTCAGTTTTCTAGCCTCACCTATCAGTGTACTATGATGCTAACATAATCTTATGAAAGTACTTGAAGCCAGCCAATACAATGAGTACAAGACTAATATTTGTTAATGAATCAGAATCTAGAAAAATAGCATTGTAAACATTTCGGATATGCTGTGGTGTTACTAAGGAAAAATTTATTTTTTTCCATTAGTCATGGCCTATGGGTTCTCATCTTGCCTAATTTTCCAGAACAGCAGACAGTTTGGCAAATTGTATTGGTCCATAACCTGTAGTATTAGTAGTGTCTCTCTTTCCCTCTCTCTGTCGGGATTTTTATGATTGTGTTGCAGTCAAAATCGATTAGTTCTGGTCTGTTTCCATGGAAACAAGATTGTGTCAGAAGGCTGTAAATTTTTCATCTTTATGGATGGAAAGTTGCTGTATGTCATACAACTTGAGATAGCATTAAAAAAATCTGTAATGTATTTTCACGTCTTTGAGAAGGAGAGTGTGAGTTGCTGTGAAGGACTGGGTCCATTACTGAGGAGGGATGCTGTATTTTCTTGGTATCTACAAGAGACTATTATAGTAAGGGTATAAGGTAAAAGACAAGATTGACCGATGAATTACCTGTTGAAGAAAATTAGTTATTTTTCCCAGTGAAATTTTCACTGAGAGCTAATGATTGTCTGTTATTTACCATATATTCTCAGGCAGCATATGCACCCAACAGCATAAGATTTATCAAAGGCATACATAGAGCACTCAGCACATTATAATGATAACCACTGGACACATTCCAAGGCAGAATTAAATACTATTTTCTATAATTTCAATAGTTTTGAAATAACACCTTAATCAGGGGGCTGTGAAGATTGAATAACAATAAACAAAATTCTATTGAATGATTACTATATCTCAGACACTGTCATGCCATATATGCATGTTAGCCCATTTAATCACTGTTACAATTTCATGAGGTTGATACCATTAATATTTCCACTTTAGAGATCAAGAAGCTTAGGTGCAGGTAGACTAGATAAGACAAGGAGCCAAGATTTAAACCTGTCTAGTTCAGAAAAAAAAAAAAAAAAGAAAAAAAAAAAAAAGCCTAGGTACCTAAGCCTGCAAAATGAGAAGATTCTTGATGTTTGCTGAAACAAAATTAGGATAAATCAGCTACCTTACTGGGAGGTTACTATGTATAAAGCCCTGTGTCAGGAATGAGTGGTATAATCTAAGAAATGTAGCAATATAGTCCTTATCTTTATTTCCACATAGGAGATAAAGCAAACAGGAATGAATTAATAACAAACATAAAACCCACGTCTACTTTCACATGTATGCTACACACTTTGGAGTTATTTGATGATAAATTAAAAACCTAGGCTAGCTTCTTCTATGTCAGGTACCTCTTGCTCTCAGTGTGTTGTCAAGGAAATCAGCATTACTATTAGTCTGAATAAATCTATTGAGAAAGTAACTCTACAGCAAGGGTATCACTACGTTATAGCCAAACACAGATGAAATCTAGACCTTCTTTATGTTATTGTTCCGTTTCTATTAGCTAAACACATGATTGCCAACATGTGTTAACTATTTAACGAGATGATCTATTTCTGTTTTTCTGTACCTGGACTCAATGTCATGGCTCTGAAAAAAAAAAAAAGCTTAGTAAAAAAAGCATGGGTTCATCTCTATCTTCAAGATAATTATCCTGGAACTAATTAATTTTTAGGGGTTGATATTTTCTGTGACTTCGTCCTTATCAGATAGTTATTAGCTTGAAGAGACAACTGCTAACTAGTAACAAAAATTAAGTCAACATTTTAAAGGACAAATCAGCATCACTGGATTTATTATCTCTTTAATGTTTCTATTAAATGCTTGCAAAGTAAACTGTGTGTTTGACCCCCCAGTATTCATTCCATTCCAGATGTTTCCTTCAAGTCCCTTGCCCATCTTTGTTTAAGGACCAGGTATATGATCTAATTCTGGCCAAGGAAAGGTGAGGGGACTTCAGTCAAGTCATTGTCTGTAAAAAGTTTCTTCACTCCCAAGAAAGAGAACAAAGAGAAGATAGCATTCTCTGTCCTCTGGACCCTTTTCTATTGGGATAAAATACATGGCACTACTTCAGCCAAATTAAAACCAGAAGAGATGCCAATCTGAGAGCAAAGCTGACACACTGAGGGTGGCAGGTCACAGAGACATATTTACCCCTGGGCCTTTGATGGATCACTCAGCTTGTGGACCCGAACAACCTCTGCACTGCTTGTTCTGTTCAATAAACATCTTTCTTGACTAAGACAGTTTTAGACAGTTTTTCTAGTTAGTTGCAGATGATACACCAAATAAATAAATAGTCTTTGGTCAGTTCAAAAACTTGACCAATTCAGAAGCCAGCTCACAACCAAGTACTCACCACATATTTGGATGATCTTTACCCCATACAGTCAGGTGAGCCATAGATCCAATTACCAAATAAATATAATAAAATTTAAAGTAAATACAGTCCAGGGTAATTTACTAAATAGACAGGATGAATGTCTCTCTTAAAAGAAAAATATATAAAAAACTCAGTTGCTGGGCGCGATGGCTCACACCTGTAATCCCAGCACTTTGGGAGGCCGAGGCAGGCAGATCACGAGGTCAGGAGATCGAGACCATCCTGGCTAACACGATGAAACCTCGTCTCTACTAAAAATACAAAAAACTAGCCGGGCTTGTGGCAGGCGCCTGTAGTCTCAGCTACTCAGGAGGCTGAGGCAGGAGAATGGCGTGAACCCGGGAGGCAGAGCTTGCGGTGAGCGAAGTTCATGCCACTGCACTCCAGCCTGGGCGACAGAGAGAGACTCTGTCTCAAAACAACAACAACAACAACAAAAAAACAAAAACAAAAAAAAAACTGAGTTAATCTCTCTTTCTTACATCAACAGCCTTTGGCATCATTCCATTCCCTAAGGTCATCTGTGCTATGTCTCCCTGTATGTATTTGCCTCTTTGGAAGAACAAACTGGTAGAGGAAGGAAGAAAACACCCCTCTGCCTTCTTTTGGTCCTGATACAGCTGTCCTTGTTAAATAGTAGAGATTTTAGTTTATTTTCCACAAAAACAAACTTATACCCAGAAGTTGTTTAGTTACCTTAGATAGTCACAGCACCTTTTTCCGGAAAAGCTCCAGGTCCCTTCTGTGAATTATCTCATTTATTCTTACAATATCCCTAGAAGAGATTCTTTGCTCCTTTCCCAGTAAGCCACTCTACTATGAATCCTTGACAGGTATCTCATCCCTGTCAAACCTTGATGTGGCTTGGCTTCAGTTTTCTTGCTCCATAATCTCTGTAGAAAGAGAATACAGGTGAAATTAGCCTATAATCTTTGACATTTGGCATAGGGGTGCTCTGGCTCTGTGTCTGGGTTTTATTCCTTTTTTTTTTATGGCCCTGGATCGAGAAAGCAAGGATGATGCAAAGCAAGATATTTGACCCTTGTTAAAAGCATGCCCTAGCATGATTTAGGAAGAATGGGACCAGGAACCACTGCCAGGATCCTAGGGTTGGGACAGGGGTGCTCCCCCTTCTTTGGCAGCCTTGATCCATTTAGTCTTTCTGAAGGCATGCTGGCACTCCTGAGCATCCTTCTGTTCTTCCCTCTTGCTTCCTTCTCTCCTCTTCCCTCCTTACATCTTCCCCTTTGCTTCTTTTCCTCAAACATCTCAAAGACCAAAGAGGTAGACTAGTGGAACATGTGGTTCACATTGGTGTTGTAGGTCATTTTCTAGTTCCTTCTCCTCTCCACCTAAAACCCAGTTTGATTGGCTTACTAAAATAAGATAAATAAACCTATTTAGTAGCTTCTAAGAGTATATTTTAGACAAGCTGAGGTAAAAAGCCAGCATGCTAAATATTAACCTAAATGTAATAACCAGATGTCATACTTCTTTCCGCTATAACCAACAGCAATGGCTTAGCAGAGTTAAACCAATAATAATAATTTCAAAGGGCAATATATATAATTCTAAAATCAGTAACTGACATTTAAAACAATATTTACTGCAATTCATTTATACAATGCTCATAAGCCAAACTAGTCATGAATTCTCACCAGTAAATTTCCCTTGGCCACTTACCATAACAAAAAAACATTAAATCTCACTTTTACAATTTTATACATGGTCTATACAATCTTTGTCTCCAGATGAACTCTCTCCTAAGCCATCATTTTTTTTCTCTATTCTGTTACCGGAGTGATGGTTTCAAAACACATATCCTACCCTTGTTCAAATCTGTCAGTGGCTCTCAGTGACTCAGAATCACTTTAGCAAAGTATGGAAGTGCCTTCATGATCTGGCCTCTGCCTCTCTTCTCTTACCTCTCACCAAGTGGTAACAATAACACAAATGCTAATAATAATACCCATAAGACACACCTTGCATCAGAAATTGAGCAATAGATTGTTACATAAATTTATAATTCTTCAATAAATGTTAGTTCCCTCTACTTCACAGCCACAAGCTTAATAAATGTTATTTCCCTTGTCTTCATAGTACACAAGTAACTAAGTTTTAAATACTTTGACCTTCATCCTGAGCTATAATGAACATGATGTTAAGTATGTTAAATAACCAAAACATCAATTTCAATACATTTTTAAAATATTTGAGAGCTTTTTGCTGGGATGTGGAGGGGGATGAGGTAGGGAGGGCTGGATATCGAAGAGGGAATAAGGAGGAGCAGAAGGGTGGAGTTTGAAAAAGCATCCCAGAAGTTTCTGATTTGCTTGAGTTATCTTTCTTTTTCCTACCCTTATGAAAATTACTGATTTACAGATTGGAGAAAATATATTTTATGGCCTTGGCTTCAAAGAGGAGAGAGTATTTTTTTTTCTTTTTCAATCCCAAGTATCCATGGGAAATCGCAGTGATTCCTGCATGTGGATTAATACTTCACTTTAGGCCACATACTTCAAACTGCGTTATATCTTAATAAGAGTTGCATCTCACTTATTTTTAAAAGCAGCCCTGGCTTACAAATTAACTATTATATAAAATTGGACTCTAAGCAATTCTGAACTTCAGTGAGCATAAGAATCACCTGTGCAGCAGGGCGCGGTGGCTCACGCCTGTAATCCCAGCACTTTGGGAGGCCGAGGCGGGTGGATCACAAGGTCAGGAGTTTGAGACCAGCCTGACCAACATGGTGAAACCCCGTCTCTACTAAAAATACAAAAATTAGCCAGGTGTGGTGGTGTGCACCTGTAATCCCAGGTACAGGTACTCAGGAGGCTGACGCACAGGAGAAGTGCTTGAACCTGGGAGGCAGAGGTTGCAGTGAGCTGAGATCACGCCACTGCACTCCAGCCTGTGTGACAGAGCAAGATTCCATCCGCCCCACTTCAAAAAAAAAAAAAAAAAAAAAAAGAATCACTTGTGCTACTTGTAAAAGATGCAGATTTCTGGATTCAATTTCTGGAGATTCTGCAAAAAGTAGGTCTGAGGTAGGGTCGAGGGATCTGCATTTTTAATACACTCCCTAAGTGAGTTTTGTGCAAGCGATGCATGGATGACTATTTGAGAAAGGATGAACTAAAGGAATGAGTAAAGAATATGATCTGAGTGCTTTTGGCAATCAAGCCTGGAATTTTGGTGTAATGTCCCCAGTAACTAAGAAAAAATTGAAGCATATTGGATCACATGAATTTTGTTCTATTTTAGGAAAAAACAAAACAAACACATTTCCTAAAAGTTGTATATAAAAAGCAAACATTTTTCAAGAACTAAACTGAAGGGTGGAAATTTTGTTTAGGATATAGTATAAAGGACATGAGGCAACATGCTCAACAGACATCTTAAATTTTATTTTGCACAGATGTGTACAAGATGCAAAAAAGTCTTTCTCTGATGGTTGCAATTAGTTAAACTAAGTGAATTTCATTTAGAAGGTGATGAGATAAGATGGTCCAGAAACTTTGCTTTCAGATGACCTAATACATTTATTGGATCTGGAAATCCCCCAAAAACGGTTAGCCTGCATTTGAAATTATCTTAATAAAATTTCAGCATTTTAGTAATTTAGGAGAAATTCTTTGGTTTTCAAATAAGGAAGTGATAGCTCAAACAGCATGATAGAAATTTTACCCTAAAAATGCTAGATGTCACCAGCTGAGGAATCTTAGACAAATTAAATCTTTAATTTTATTTTTCTTAACCCGTTTCTACTTAGTATTGTTATTAATGCTTATGCTAATATCAACAATTGAATATTCTAGAGGCAAGTTTGTATCCTCTTTTGTGGTTATTTTAGTTTATCCTGAAAATTTATTTATCCTTTAAGATCTTCTAGTTCCCAGTGTTGTAAAATTTTTGTCTTACTATGGCTCCATTATTTTTTAGCATCATTTTGCATCTTTACTCTTTATCTCTGGCCATGGAAGCAACTTTATTTTCTTTCAATTGTTTTTATCTTCCTTTATACTGATGACATGATATACCTGCTTAAGAATTTTTCAGGTTACAACCATTTGTGTCATGCAGTAGGCTGTAAAATTCTGGCTGTTCAGCATTTTGCACAAGAACAGAAGCAGATCCAAAGGTGGTCATGGAGGAACTCACAAGCTTTGCCATGAGGAAGGGACAGCTTTCCATCTAGGTGGGAATGTGGTTGGCTTTTCAACCTCTGTGATGAGGTAACAGTCTCAATTACCATCTGCTCACTTGGTTTTAAGACTTCAGGTCCCTATGAAAGAGGTAACTTCAAATGGGCAAATCACCAAGATATTAGAGGGTGAAATATTGAAATGTTGTCTAGGAAGCCAAGTTGTCCATTCAGTTCTTGGGGAGCTCCAGAGATTCTCCTTGTAGTAACTTCGATCACCTTCGTGGTGGTTCATGTTAACTTAAAGTCTGAGACTTCTTTCTTTCTTTGTGTTGTATAAAATTCATTTCTTCCTTTAAAAATGTTGAGCTCAGGAGGCTGAGAGCTAAGTGTACATTTTGAAAGAGTAAATTCATTAGCCTACAGTCCTTAACAGATGTATCACATACATTTTCTCCATTTTCCTTGTCTTGAGATTCCTATTGCACAAAGATATATATATATAACTTTATATATATAACTTTATATATATAACATTTTATATTTATATATAACTTTATATATAACTATATTTATATAAAACTTTATATATATATAACTTTATATATATATATATAAAACTTTGCATCACTTTTTAGAAGAGGTGAGATATAATAAATAAAAATCAAGTTCCTCTATGTGATTTAAAAGGCTTTTTCATTCTTTAGCATGATTCTATACTTCTTATAAACCATTTTTTTCTCAAGGACTATACTTAATTTTATAATAAAAATAAATATTAAGAAATGAACTTGGAAGCACTGTATCCTAACATTGAAAATAATCTTTCAGGCCATCTAGTTTCATCAACCTAGTTTAAAGCAGTGGTTCTCAAAATTTAGCATCAGAATCACCGGGCTAACTTCTTGTTAAAACACAGCTTTCTGGGCTCCACCCCAGGTATATATGGCTGGGACCCAATTTTGCATTTCTAACAAATGCACAGATAATGCTGATGTTGCCAGCCCAGGAACCACACTTTGACAATACCTAGCTTATTGAATCCAGGATTTTACGTTGTTTTTTTTTTTTTTTTTTCAGGTTAGAAACATGTATACTGGGCATATCACTTTCATTTTTGCAGTTTCTTAAAGATGACAATCATAGCTTCTTCAGTCTCATTTATTTATTCATTTGATGCCCTATGGTGTAATTTCGCTGCACCTGGAACCTTGAAATGATTTACAGCAGTATTACACAGAAGCCTGCAATTGCTTTCAGTCTCCCTGCTGCCAGCCTGACTCCCATATAGCCTGTTTTTACCTTGCCTGTCAGAGTGATTTGAGAACATAGAAATCGAATCATATCATTCCTCTGCTCAGAAGCCCCCAGAAGCTACCCAGAAAAAAAGTCCCAAATCCTTACAATTGCCTAAAAGGCCTTATAATCTGTCTGACCTTTTGGTTATCTAGTGGAAGGCACCTCCTTCTATTCTCCTCCTCCCTCAGTTCTCTGTAGCCTAACTGGCTTCCAGCTGTCCTCTGTACCTGGAAGCACACACAGACTATTCCCTTATTCCAGTATGCTCTTCCTCTAGGAAGCTGAATGACTAACTCTTCTATCTCCTTCAAGTCTTGGCCAAAAGTTTACTGTCTTAAAGAGACCTGCTCACACTTCTCCTCTAATCTCTTACCCTGCTCTGATGTTTCCAAGTCACTTATCATTTTGTTAGGTACTATATAACTTACTTATAATGTTTATTATTCATTTTATGTCTCTCCTGGATAGCACAGAAACAGCACAGGGGCTGGAATATTTGCCTTTTTGGGGTCTATTTTCACCAATGAATCTCATGTGTCTAGAACAGTACACGCACATAGTAGTGCTCAATGAATACTTTTTTAAATCAATGAATTATTTAATTTTGGTTTCTGAAAAATTTAGTAGTTTTTTTTTTTAGATTTATTATTTGGAAATTCAGCCCAATCTTTAGAAACTCACATATTCTATTTATGGCAACATATTTTATAATAGCAATGTCTAGAAAAAATGAAACCATCCACTAATGGGGTATTGATTAAGTAAATCAGATAACTTTGTTTTGTATTATATAGATATTAAGATGATAAAACATAAAAGGACTCAATATAGGAAAAACAAAGTCAAACTTTATAGGCACTATATTTATTAATTATGTAGCCTTATTTAATCTAAATCAAAATACATACATTACAATCCTCTTTACCTCAAAAATAATTATATAACTATGCCAAGTTTACTAGACTCTCTTGAAAACAAAGCAAATTGAAGACTGAATACTTTACCTAAAGTATTTCCCACTCTAAAATATCTTAGGAAGTAAGAATGATAATAGAGAACAGTGATTAAGCACTGGTCACTTATCAGGGACTGATTACTTCATTTAATATTCATAACAAATATATAAGATAAACATGATTGTTGTTTGTATTTTTTAGATAAGAAAACTATAATGTTCAGAGGGGACAAGTAACTTGCCCAAGGTCACATGACTAGTAAATGTTGCCATCAAATTCTATAATTTTTTCTTTGGGAAAATTAATCAAAGCCTCTCTACAATGATCTTACCAATGAACCTCTCCAGCTACATCTTACATACTCTGTATATTTCCATTCCTTAAAAGACCTCAGCCTCTGACATCTGGCGTTCAAAAATGTTCACGCTGTCTGAAATATCATTGACCACCAACTGTCACCTCTTAAAATCCTACTAAAATTTTTACAGTAATTATATATATTCTATCTTCTGTTGTTATTGAAGATGTGCCTTATTGCTTCTACATTTATTATTAAATTCCTTGAGGAGAAGGATGTATTGACTACCTACCACAGTAAGCAGGGCATTATCAGATATATGGTGGATACAATTGCCCAAACAAATCTTGCAAACATTCTGTTCAACGTGGTAGCCATTGACCACATGAGGAACTGAGCATTTGAAATGTGGGTAGGTGCCAAATTTCAAAATGATATTTAGGACATATCATCTTAAACAAAATATATCATTAATAAAATCAATCTTATTGTTTTCTTTTTTTGATATTAAAATCTAGAACATTTAAAATTACATACATGGGACTCATTATATTTCTAACGCACTGTGCTTTTTTCAGATATACCTGTTCCCTACTCCATCACTCTCCTCCAAGGGATCAAACCCATGAACAAATGCATGAATTAAGCAAGAGGCGAATCCCTTATTCTGAGATGTTCTACATGGGGGAGGGGGCTGTCTCTGGATCAATAGTTTTTCTATTTTATGTAGTCAGGTTGCTGCTTTTGTCTTTTGGTCTAAGAAACACCATAGTGAAAAAGCTACTTGGTCCATAAGTGAACATTCTCTCTCTGTGTGCGCAGTGGAGCAGAAACCACATGCAAATCAGAATATAACAGCATTACAGGAAGCTTTCTATTTTGAAGTACATTGGCAACATGACAAATATAAAGCAAACAGCATTCTCTGAACAATCCTTGATCCCTTTCCTACCCCAACATCAGCCATAATAGACAGCCCTATGTGTTGCCCTCAGCCACATGTCTCCTACTGCTTGCTGGTACCATGTGCTTTAGGCAGTTTCTTTCCAGGCAAACACAGACTGTTTACTGACTGTAATCAAAATGACAGCCCACTGTTTTCACAACTGAGTGTTGAGAGTCGATTGCCTTTTTCACTTGGCAACCTGAGGAAAATTGAGAACTGGGAACTTGAGGTATGACTTACATTACTTCAAGATGGCGGTGTTGACTACTCCACATGTTATCTGCGCTCCTTTGAGATTTAAAATACAGAGGATTGGGATTTGTCTAGCTCAGAGCAAAGAGGTTTTAATCACTGCTTTCAGATGGGTGCAAATGGTAAACCACACTGGAGCACAGGATGATTTAGGTGTGTCTGAAGTTCAGCTGCCATTTGATTCTTCATCAGCAAAAAACCAATCACATAAAGAGGCCTTCCCCACTAAGCAGGCCCCTTAGATACACAGTTATAATGTTACACAGTGGATCACTCCAAGATGGTGCCTCAGAAGATAATGCAATATACTAGAAAAACATGCCCCTGCCCTATCTTTATTAGAAATGAGATTTAATGAAAAGATAAGAGAGAGGAAAACAGAAGGAGAGATATACAAGTTGCAAATCAGACAAACTATTCTAGACTTGTCTCTGCTGTCACTTGTGTGATATATTGAACACATGAGATCTCAGATGTTTCGTGTTTATGTGAGTAAAAAAGAAGGGAGAGGTGGGAAATTGACCAGTTAATTTGTAGTACCTCTTTTATCACTAAAACTCTAGTTCAGTGTCCAGACTTTGGGACTCTGTACTAGGCTTACTCCAAATGTTTGTCCCTTCTGAGAGAAACTTCTGAGGGTATAGCAATACCCTTATACCCTGAACGTGGGTCACTAAACCTTATATAAATCATGTTCCTGAGGTAGGTGTGTCACATCTATTAGAGGATATATTCATTTTTAGAAGACTTTAGTGAACTAGATGCTTGCATAGGTCCTCTGCAGCCCAAATTTAAACTGTTTCTTGATAAATAATATAAATGCCTTGAGTAGAATATAACTTGAAGATCAGTTGCTGAAAAGAACTATCCCTTGAATCCTTTCTAACTCTAGATATTCAATTTTGTACACATGACATCTTCATGAAATGGTAATATAAAAAATCTCCTACTGAGAAATTCCATACAAATTGCAGTTAAAAGAAAAACCTAGAAAACTTTAAGTCTGGTTTTCAGTGAAATATGACCAGTCACTTGACCATATCTCCCCCAAAAAGGGCCCTTTGAAATAAAGAAAAGATGAAAAAAAAAAGTCTTTCCTGGGATCTGAATTCAGGACCCAGAGAATCTGTGTTTTTCCTTCAGGCTCCGAGCACATCATTGGCACCAAAATAGAGCAAAGGACTGTGTGCACTGCCCTGATTTAGGTGTGGATGATGCCACTTACTGCAGCGGGGAATGCAGAGTAAAAGGTCTCTGCACATAAGGACAGGAAGGGGATGCTGTTCAGTGCTCAATTCTTTTGAGGCTAAAGGAGATCCAGAATTCCACAGGTAAGAGAAAATTATATATGATAAAAAATTTTGTTTTAAACAGGGATTGTAGCAACCAAACTGCTGAAGACTGGCGTGGTCTGTCTGTCTTCACCCTCCAGAGGATAGAGGACCTGGTAAGTAAGAAACTGACTAGTGAGGGCAGTAATCCTGAGGAGAAACCTAAGAAGAGGTGAGAGGGAAGATGCCAGGAGGGAGAGATGCCCTGCCGTGTGCCAGGTGTGCCACCTGAGCTGTCTCCTCAAGGACATGGAGGATTCAGGATCCTGATAAAATTGCCAGTGCAAAATCAGACATTGAGTTCACTCATTCTTCAAGTGTCACTCCTCTTTAAAAATTAACAGACTTTTTTTAGAACAATTTTAGGTTTACAGAAAAGTCTATCAGAAAGTATTGAGTTCCCACATCGAGTGCCCTATTGAATGTCTTAAATATCTGTCTTCAAAATTTTTATTGAGAAATAAATTGAGAGAATAAATAGAAACTATTTTGTTAAGTGTGAAACTTCCCAAATTTAGCTTTCTTGAGGGATGTGTATTGTTGGGGGAGAGGAGGAAGTGTATTATTTTCTGATTAAATTGATCTCACAGTGTTTTCTGAACTGGCACCACTATCATAGATTTAATGGGATATTTAAAAGAAAGGTGTCTTACAATGACAGGATAATTTTAAGATACTGAGTAGAAAACCATTCCTTACCAATGCATAAGAGGGAGCTGACTATTGTTTTCATGGTGTATCTTAACTCTAGTGTTTATTTGCATGAAAATCTGCATCTTGATTTGGATGTGCTCTGCCACTTTTCATTTACCTTCATGCTTTACCCTTTCCTTTTCAAAATGTTCAAAGTGCTTTTGAATAAGGAGTTGGAATGTTTCCTCAAAAGAATCTAGCTAGTTCTTACAATTGTCATCATGTTGGTAGAGGGGAATGGTTATATCAACCATAAATTATTCCCCCTCTGCACTGATTGTGTTATTTAAGGTGACCCTTCTTCATAAAAGCATTCCTCCCCTGGTTCAGGCTTTCATTCTTATCAATATCTCATTGGTTTCTTATTTATATTTTCATTGCAGACTTCCCAAATCCTTTGTGTATAAAGGTTGGATTTTTTTTTTTAAATAAATGATCCAATCCCAATGGGAGGACACAAGCACTGTGTCACACACATTCATCATAACCCTGGCCTCGAACATGATAACTTTGCAATTCCTTGGCCAGTATTTCTTCTGTTTATTACAGAAGCACCAGCGACCTGCCTCAAAATGTGGATATTCTCATCTTGAGATTTAACAGATATTTTCTGTTATGATAATCATTTTACTGACCACGTTGGCAGAATGTTAGAGATGGGTGAAGAAAGCATAGTTAAATACTAATACTAAATGATGATCCTCTAGGGAAAAGACTTTAGGATATAATCTTCTCTGAAGGACCTGTAGAGGATTGCCCTCTATGTCTCCTACCCAGCTGTGGGAAACCAATCCGGAACAGCAACTGGGGTGTTAACCCAGGAAATGTCTCCTTAAAAGCTGACTCATCTTAGGAATGAGATTCTTTTTAAGAAATGCAATTAATTATTAATTTCGCTCCACTATTAGATTAATTCACTTCTTTCTCAGATATGCCATTTTCTGAAAATATCTTTTAAAATGCATTTTGGCTTTAAAAAATATGTTCGTTTACAGAATCTGCCTTTCCTCCAGATCTGCCTAAATTGCACTTTTAAAAAATTAAAAATCAAAGTGTTTTGCTTCCAACTGGTGATTTGGAGATTCAAAGAATATCTTTCAGTAGACCTACTCTTATTCGATTATTCAAGATTTAGTTCTCCAGATAGCAATTTGTAAGTAAGAAATAAATCAGTGAGTGAATGTATAGTTGTACAAACTTAAAGTTATGGATGCTCAGCTCCAAATGTGTACATTGTTTGTATGGTTAGCTTGCAAAATATACCATAACCAGTAGCTGAATCAACTTTCAAATATCATTGGGATAATAAATTAACAATTTCAAATGTAAAATTATTTAAACACATAAATAAATGCCAGTGTGTTCAACCAAGGGAGAAATGGACACAAGTGTATTTTTTGTTGCTTCCTTAAGTATTTGCATAATATCTTTACTTAACACATGCCCGCTGGTTAGCACTTTGAAATTATTTTGAAAAGCGTTTGTCAACTATCTTTCACTTCCCTAGCCAAGTTTTCATTGGCTTCTGTTATTTTTCTTTGTCTTTCTCTAGTCAATTGGTTTTCAAACCTGGCTACACATTTGAACTACAATTGCAGAGCTTTTAAGCAAATATTGATACCCAGATTCCGCCTCAGAGAATCTGATTGAATTGGTTGAAGGTGGAGCCAAGCATTGCTCTTTTTTAAGTTTTCCAAATGATTCTAATGTGCATCCACAGCTGTGGGCCACTCTGTGAATAAGCTGTTAATGTTCTACCCCTTTTTGTTTTCTTTCAGTATGTTTGCATATCTCTTTCTCTTTAGCTGTGTTTTTTTTTTTTCTCCTGACATTTTTATTGGTGAGGTCCTATAAATCTATTTTTTTCTTTTCTCATTTTGCTTTTTTCTTTTTTACCTCCTATTTACTGGCCAAGAAGTTCTCATTCCAGGTATATATATTTGATTTATATTCTTATCCCATACTATTCATGCTTTATGTCAGTGTAAGAGAACACAATATGATGGTGAATTATATTTTTGCCTGTTCTTCCAAAGCTAATTTAATAGTTTACATTAATTTTTGGTATAAATATAAAAAGATCAATAGTAGAAACTAAGGCCATTGTCAAAAACGGATATTAAGGAAGGATTTATTTTAAATGTAGTTATTATTGGCTATGACAAAAGACAATAAAACAGTTTAGAATTTTGAGACCATACAGGTCTCAAGGACATGTATATATCATATCAACAGTATTTTTCCCTTTCAGAGGTAAAGGACGGCAATGTGTTTGCCCTAAATTTTAAACTTTAAAAACAAATTTCAATAGTATTTAAAGAACAGAGTGGAAGTGGGAATATTACATATTGCAACAAATAACATAGCAGAAACAAGATATCACTAGCAACAGAAAATAGCAATAGAAAAAAAAGAAAAAAAAAGAATCAATGCTGCTAAGTATTGTGATGATGTTAATATTGGGAAGAAAACTAGAAATCAAGAAGGTAATGCATAGATTCAAGGATTTGAAATGAAACAGACTGAGCCTAGACTAGGAGAAAAGGAATCTGAGTGCCAATGTAGCTGTGCTTCTAAATATGGTCAAGAGGTTTCCTCTCCATGCGGTTTATTTTCCCCAACTGGCGAAAATACTGGTTAGATTGGCAAAAGGAGAAAAAGAAACCTTGCAATTCCTTGGCCAGATCCTGCCTACACATGTGTTTTATTGAATCTATCTGGTATTATAAATAATTTGAAATAGATGATTCCATTTAACAACAGAGGGAAATATTTACTAACAATTTGGATTTTTCAGCTTCTTCAGGGAAGTCATTTGATGTAACAGTCTCCTAGCAGTGAGAAGGCGTTTTCCATTTTAAAAAGGGCATGCATTCACTTTCTAGTTCCTCAGGCCCAACATGAATGGCTTTACTGCTTTCTCTTACCTACTTTGCCCATGCAGGAATTTATGTTCGTTTCTTCTAGAATTTATTATTTAAGGTCATGACCAACCATTATATAAATTCCATGAAAAGAAAATGCTCAGAGTACTTGGGAACATGTTTAGTTAGGCATAATAAAAACAACTTATATGGAGAAAAATAAATGTCACAAGCAGAAACACCAAGGAGACAGAGAAACTAACAAACAGGTGACTAGTCCTCAAATAGAGGCTTAAGCCCACAAAACGTGTCCTATTAAACCTTATGCAAGAATATGTTGGACTCTAGACCAGAAGCGCAATGTCACTTGTTAGAAATATGAATTGGAATTTAGTGAATTATTCCAGTTCAAGCTCTTTCTTGGGAAAGGAAAAGGACAAAATGTTCTGTACAACCAAAGTAAGAATAAAGTATATTCTGAAAATCAGGAGATTAAAATTCCCAAAAGGGAGCTTCTTGGCAGAAAATGGTCAAAGTTATTTAAAGAGTGACTTTGAATTCACCCATTGAATAAAACAATATTAAACCACTATTTAATAATTAAGGGACCATCATTTCTCTAACTTTGCTCCAGCACAGAGTTTAATCACATGAAGGGCTCCCTATATGCAGTCTCCAAAAAAATGAAAACCTAATTCAATTCTTACAGAAATAACTCCAGATTTCATAAGGTTTCTCTGAACTAAAACCCCTGAAAATTCATTTATACAACCACACCCAGCATATGTTTACATGTGCTGTATTTTAATATTGTAAACTTGCTTGCAAGTTACTTTTCAGTTGTTCTTTATTCATAGATCTTGGGTAAAACCTTCTTTAAAGTTCTTTCCAGAATGTCCTTTATCATTTCAAATCCTTACAGGAAAGAAGTGGGATATTAAAAAAAGTAATAAAAAAAAAAAATACTTGGCACATTGAAACTTGTGGTATCCAGTTAAGTAGGTATTCATATAAATTTTAAAGAATTATTCTACTTTAACAAATTATATTTCTGATGTAGATTCAGATTTTAGGTATCCAAAGAGCTGGTGCCTATCAGGAAGTTAATAAAACAAAGTATGTCTGTGCTTAGTAAAAGAGCAAGATTTTATTTATTGCTGTATTATTAAGAGGAAACACTATTCTGCTCCGAAATAGGTGTCTGCACTTGTTACATCCCATTAAAATATAAACAAAGAATGTGTTAATTTCATCCCAGAGGGAAAAATATTTTCAGGTAAAGCTGAACTAAAACAGTAGCTTCTCAATCAAAGATAAATGTGTGAACCGACAATATAAAGCAAGAATATGATTTTCTTTCTTCCAAATTTTCTAACTACCTCAAGTTACAATTGTTCAGTCTACCTCAAGAAGTAATTCAGATGTCAGGTTCTATATGGATTTGCCATGAAAGTTGTTTATAAGGTAAAACGTAAGCATGACATTTTGAAAATGAAAGCAGTTAGAATTAAAATTAATCGAAAATTTAAAACGAACCTAAAAGTACAGAAATAGAGTTAAGTAATTATATTTCACTGGTAGGTGGGTAATTAATCCTCACAGTTTTGGAAAACTGGTAAAACAACCATTAATATTAAGGTGCGAATGAATAATATATTTTTAGGTGACAAATGAAACATGAATTCCCAACCTTCAGTGAGTTCATGTTTCTATACATAAATGAAAATCAGAAAAAAGTAATCTTCACAGCTACCTATGTAAAGAAATATCACTATATAATCAAGTGTTAATTTCTTGGTGAAAAAAAATCTTTAAATGCTTATTCTTATGGATGCTTTTAGTTATCATCAACCCTAAAGATAAGAACTCGTAAGAGCTGGGAGTGACCTAGAACTGAGAGACAGATGAGCAACAAATTCCAAGCACCGCATTTGTCTAGTTGAGAAACACTACCCTCATATTTTTAAGCCTCCCAAGCTCTTAGCCCTCTCAGATCTGCCTAATCAAGAGTCCATTAAGTCATCTTGGCTGCCATGAAGATGAAGCTGACAGCGCAGTTACTTGAGTCAGTTTAAAGAGGCCTAGGGTGGTTGAAGGGAAGGATTAGGAGGCCTGGGGTGCTGAAAGGTCATCCAAGTTCTAGCTCCCAAAGACCCCAGTAGCACACAGCTGTCAGGAGCACGAAGCTACACTTAGAAACAACCTTTGGAGGAAAGCAGGGATTTTGCAGTCCATCAACCATTCATCAAGCACAATTTGCCTTTCCACATCTTATTGTACCGTTAATAGAATTGAAGCATTAGAGAGTTTGTGAGTTGATCACATAGCAAAGACTTTCCTGAGATTTAGGTTCAGTTATCTGGTGGTCTTAGTAGAAATTACTTGGCGTTTAAATGTGGTTTTGGTGAAACCTAGATTCCCTTTGTGAATCTTTACAGAAACTTCGTCTAACAGGTATATCCTCTTAAGGCAACGTGAAATAAGGCCCTTTGCCTCTATTTTCATAAGAAGAAGAAAGTTTTGAAGTCCGTGATAACATATTGGGCATAAATAACTGTCTTCTGGAAGGCATTATGAGTTCTATAAACTCTCCAGGAATTGCCTGGAATGTTAACACTAAGTGATACTATTATAGGTACACAATTGTTGTTGTTTCAGCAAGGGCATCCTTCCAGGATGAGAATTATTCACTTTTCAGGTACATAATTATTTGGCAGTTTTATTCTATCCTTCCTGTTGTGGTGGAAGATATTATATCACCAGCACTAACGATAACAATAATAACAATGATGAAAATTTATGCCTTTATGTTTGTCCTGTTCCTTTTGATGTGAGTTAGGATGGCAGGGAGAGAGAGGAAGGAGGTTCGTAATCATGTTCCAGGATCTATACCAAGCACTGAACAGACATTATTTTAGTTACACAATCCTGTAACACAGGCATTATTATTCCTATTTTAAAGATGATGTAATAAAGGCTCAGAGAGTTTAAATAACTTGTCAGGTAATAGTGGCCATAAAATGTAACCTGCCAAGCTCTTGCTCTTAACCACTTCTCCATGTTGTTTCCTGCTTGTTTCCACTACAGAAGGAACTGGCCAAGAAACGCCCCTATTTCTCTATTTTACCACTTTCATGTTTAGCACATCAATCATAATTTACAACTCAGTGAGAGTCAAAGTTGTATCTTAATTAAGCTGAGAAACCAACTGAAGAAAAATCCAAATAAATGAGGATCAGAAAATTTTAAAAACAAAGTATTCTTATACAGCTTTGATTCTAATTTCCTTCCTTTGTAGGCAAGGAAAATGCTCTTCAGTGATACTTGGGGTCTTTTCTGAGACAACAAAACTCACTAGTAGCAGAACATGAACCAGATCCCAAGACTTTCAGCTCAGGGTTCAACCTTTTTATCTTCAGTACTCAAATAAATCACAGCATTTTTCTCAACTTTACAAATGAAATCACCACTACATTCTTTTAAAGAGTAAGTTATTCAAATGTGTTTGATATATCATTTAATCAAAGCAGGTTTAATTTCCGAAATTTTTGAAAGAGCGCATTTTGTGAAGTGAAGAACTCTGAGTGTATTTGCTTTTTCACATGGCGACCACATGTATAGATGAATAACTAAGAGACTGTTGCAACTATACCAAGAAAAATAAAAGCTAACATTTGGGGCCAAAATTAAGCATTCATTCATAAATGTAAACCAGTTCAATCAAGACCAGCTCTGATGCTTACTCAGAACAAAGTTACTCACATTTAGTCACCTGTAGAGAAGCATGGTGTGTACAATACACTCAAGTTAATTAACAGCCATTTCTGGGAACCCTGTCCAAAGAAATAGTTTTCTTTATCTCCTATGGTAGGAATTCTTCTGAAATAGACAAGACCCAGGGCTCTCCTCTCAGGCAACCACTATTTTGAAATGTTTTTGGGGGGACTATTATTGCTACTCAATGTAAAATATTAAGTGAGATGTCAATATTTTTCAACATATCATTAGGAATTACAGTTTGGAGGCCTTAAGTTCTATTTTTGAAGCCCTTTTAGCCAGTACTGACTGGAAGCCCTGTTGAAATCAGAAGTCTTCATTTCATATAGGGCACACTCTATTTGGAGTGAATGTGATGAAATGTTTCCATGCAAATTCCTACAAGCACTTATGCCTTTATCTTTGTCCTCATAAGCCACATTATACTACCTGTTGTGTATTTTAAAACCCTGTATGATTTTTAAAACTTATCTTTCAATTAATATGTATAGATTTTCTGTCAATAATTTCTTATTCTAATTATGTGGTGGCTAACTGAATGAAACATTTATGGTTATGATATAGAATATTCTAAATACAACTACAGACAATATGGATCATAGATAAAGTAAATTATTGTTTTATGGCTCCAGTGGTTCTTCCTGGTAATTAATAAAAATAAACAGTTATTAAATATATACAGAAAAACAGCAATCTATCAAGCTTATAGAACAATTAAGAATATATAATAATCTTTAAATCAATAAATTAAAAGGTAAACATTTAATATAAAATGAATATATTAAAGGATAAAGAAGTAGCATATTATGGAACATATAGAGATTATTTTATTTTTTGAAGGTTCAACCTCTTTTAAATGGTTAGTATTGGTGTTCTTTTCTCTATGAAAACAGATTTTAGAGAAAAATGATAGTGTATTTCACAAAGCCAAACACCTCTATATTGTTATCACTCCCTATATGCATGGCCTCTCTAAAGCTGTTAAATAAAAAACTAAAGCACAAGAATGATAGTTCCAATTTCACTATACATTTATGTTTAAAAAATACTGGACACACTGGGCATTTAAATAGATGACATACAGCCAGGAAACTCATTAGACTAGCTTTAAGTATAATAAAAAATATTTTTTCTGAATACAATTAATCATAAGCATCTACAAAAACACAAGACCATTGATGCCTAGTATGTACCATAAATCACCATTTCCAGACAGGCTCTATTTTCTTTGAAAGATAAAGAAATAGTAAGCAGTTTACACATCAAACGATGCCTTTGGTTCCTGTAATTTACATTTAAACAACACTGGGTTAAAAATAGCAGCATGAAGATGATTTTAAAGTAAGGAAAATGACCTGGTAGCTAGGTTCTATGGTGCAGATAATGAAATGTTTTGTCAGCTTACCTGATAAAACAGAGCCTTATGAATTACAGCATAACAAAGCCCAGCATCCAAGATGGTTAGGGTATAACGTGTCTTCCTCTGCAGCTGTTCAGCTTTTTTTTTTTTTTTTTTTTTTGACCACAGAGGTTTACAAATTAGTTACAATTTTTTTTCTTTCTTTCTCTGTGGATAAGAAAACAAAGAGACCTTTCCAGAATCCTCTCTGCTTATGCCTCCGCTTCCTGTTCTGAGATTCACTCTATGGTACCCAACATATATCAGAAAACAGCTTTGAGGAAAAAAAAAAAGAAAGAAAAAAAGGCCGATCGCACTCAAAGTGGTACCGCCATCTACTGGCGGACACACACAAAATTGAGCCAAAGAAAAAACATTCCCATTATCCTCTGTCACAGGGAGGAAAGTAAACCTGCATGAAGCATGGGTAGTCATGAAAGTGCCCCAAGATGACAGTAGAGAGGTGATGTGAGCTAAAATTTCCCAACACACTAAAAAAATGTAACTTATCTACTACATATAAATATGTATGAGACCTTTTACATATTCAGTTATTTGCATCTCACTAATTTTTTTAAAAAATTTTATCACTTTGTTGTTTTGCATGATTGTTTCACACATAAACTACTAAAATTAAAAGATATATAAATTACTGTTTGAAAAATAGGTTTTAAGTTTACATTACCCTTTACGTGTAGAGTTTTGCGAAAGCTCCCTTGTGGCCTGCTCTAGTCTTTTGAAAACCTTTTCTCTTCCTGGGATGAATTATTTTCAAGGTGAGGAATTTGACTCCTTAGAGAACAGTGTAAACACATACTCACTGATAGTATTTTTGTGTTGCTTTCTGGTAAAACATTTGCAAGAAATATCTAAATGTAGAAAAAGATTCTATACATCAGTGAACCTAGCTAATATTATTTATTAGGATATTGAAGCACACAATACATAAAGAAAATAAAAATAATCCATCAGTTATTAAGATATTTCTCAATCCAGATGTATGTTATTGTTTCATCTGACCTTTCATATCTACTTTAGAGCAAACAACTATGATTTTATTACAGTTTATCATCAATTAAATAAATACATTCATATTGACAAACCAACTGTATGGATGGACAAAAATGATGTCAAGTATTATATTAGACTTGAAAAGACACAGAGAGAAACACACAGTGCCTGCCATAAAGGAGCTCATACAAAGAAGAAAAACAAATATAGCTGATACCATATTTCCCAGCCATGTGTTCAAGAACTGTTAATTACATACTTCGTTTTCAATTGTGGCCCCCATTTTGTCTAATGGCAGAAAAATAAATCTAGTCAGTTCCAGGTAAACTAAATTACTTGAGGCTTTTCCCAATGATTTTGGGTTTGCATTCAACCAATACATGATTTTCCTCTTCTATCTCTCCTTCTCATGGAGACTGATCTAAGTTCAGGATTGTGTACATATATAGAGAAAGCAGAGTATGATCCCGTTCCCCCTTTCTCCACATGGGCATCCACTGAGGCCAGGAGTCCTGCATGATCCATGACCATCATTATCCCTCATATCTACTAACGTACCCACAGGCCCACTGGGCCCCGGGAATAGCATCCCTCCAGCTTTGCATGGCAGCATCCCCTCTTTGTCACTTCTTCCTCTAAGGAAACTTTTGTTCCTGTCCTTTAGGAGGAGAGAAGAAAAAGCAGCATGTTCCCAGGGTCACTCTTGGCTGTAATTGGCTGACTTAAGCCTTCCTCCCTGCCCCAGGCGCCTCACACAGCCATCTCTGTTCTGCTGTTTGTAAACCATGGGATGTAATGCACTCTGCAGGCTTCAGGCAAGCGAGGCACAATCTCTGCCACACTAGAATAGTGTAAATAGATGGAAACTTCTCATCTTTTCATCTTTTTAGCTAATCCTAGATTGGCAAACTATGTAAGGAGCCCTTATCAGAGACTCCTTTCCTTCTTCATAACTTCCTTCACAGACTCAAAAGAGTTTTTGCTTGGGTCTCTTCTTTCTGTACCAAAGGTAAGCTGGAGCCACTTGTTTTCCCTTGAAATCTTTTTGTCTTATGTCTAATGTATCAGTTTACTAGGGCTGCTGTAACAAACTGCCATCCTGAGGGGCTTAGACACAGAAATCATTTTTTTCACAATTCTGGCTACTCAGAGGCCAGAATCAAGTTGTCAGCATGATCATGCTTCCTCTGAAACCTGCAGGGGAAGGATACTTTCTTGCTTCTCTTAGCTTTTAGTAGCCCCAGATGTTCCTTGGTTTGTGGCAGCATAACTCCAGTCTCTGTCTCTGTCTTTACATGGTGCACTCCCTGCATCACTGTCTTTACGTACTCCTCCCTCTGTGCATGCCTCTGTGTCAAATTTTCTCCTCTTTATAAGGACACCAGTCACTTTGGTTTAGGGTCCGCCCTCATAACCTAATTTTAACCTGATTATCTCTGTAAATACCCTATTTCAAAATAAGGGCATATTCTGAATTACTCAGAATTAGAACTTTTTGAGAGGAGGCACAATTCAACCCCTAACACAAGAATTTAAATATAAAGCACAAGAATTTGACAATTCTTCTGTCCATCTCCAACGACAATTCCACTTAGGCAATAATAGCCTTGGCTATCTGGCCAGAATTGGGGAGGGTAGGGGAAGAGCCTCAGGTAATGATGAAGACATTTAATAATATTAGTAACAATAACAAAACTAACATTTATTGGTACTATGTGCCAGACATTGTTCTAAGCACTTTACATATGTTCATTTAAACTTCACCCATATGAGGTATTATTATACACACTTTACAGGTGAAGAAGCAATGAAATGTGAGGGAAGTAAAACGTAGTTAGTACCTGATATGGTTTGGCTGTGTCCCCACCCAGATATCATCTTGAATTGTCAGATATCATCTTGAATTGTAGCTCCCATAATCCCTACATGTCATGGGGGGCACCTGGTGGGAGGTAATTGAATAATGGGGGCGAGTTTTGCCCATGCTGTTCTAGTGATAATGAATAAGTCTCATGAGAGCTGATGGTTTTATAAAGAGGAACGTGTCCCCTGCACACGTTCTCTTGCCTGCCACCATGTAAGATGTGCCTTTGCTCTTCCTTCACATTCCACCATGATTGTGAGGCCTCCCCAGCCATGTGGAACAGTGAGTCCATTAAACCTCTTTTTCTTTATACATTACCCAGTCTCAGGTGTTTCTTTATGGCAGTGTGAAAATGGACTAATACAGCACCTCACATCTCATCCCAACACAAGCAGTTGTAATCGGGTAAGATCACTCATAATACAAGCATTTGTCAGATGCTGAAAGAACACAAAGGAAATCAGCTTCCACTAATTTAGATCATTGATACTCACACGTTTAGTGTAAATTTATAACATTTCATTGTTTCATTGTGTACACTTTCTGTCATGAAAGATTCCTATTTTCTAGGCACTTTTAACTTTTTCTTCTCTACTCATGAACAAACTAGCCCTGCTCACTGTCTCTCAACTAAATGTTCATTAAGTGCCAGTCCCTACTGCTCCACACTCATTTTACCATTACTAGTAATATTTAATAGAATATTAATTCTATCACTCAGTTTTGGGTATCCAGATGCTCCAAAGAGTTTTCTGATGACGTCTTCTGAGGAACTGATTTTTCTTAGGTTATACTGGGCCACATTTTAATGAGAACTGGTTTGAACAAAATAAGAAAAGTAAATGATAATTATTGTGGCGATATTCCTCATAGAAAAAAAGAAAAATAAATAAATGCCAGCAAAGAGAGCTTTACTCTTTGTTGCTGAAGAAACTAATTTATCTTGTCATTAAAAGTAGAAAATTATATAAAGGAAGAGTGACCAGAGGTGTGGTATCATTTGCTATGATTCTAACTTCATTGTGACTTTCGTACTTTTTTTCTGTAGACAGAACGACAGGTAGTTTGCAAATCTTCAGTGAGTGGATTCTGAGAGGGTTAAGGTGAAATAGTCATTGATTACCAACATAAGGTCTCTGGAGCCTTAGTGGTGTCTGACCATATGTTGTAAACATATCATGCATAAATCACAGAAATTCACACTAGAAGAGAGCTAATAGCCTCCAGCTGGGACTCATAGGTTGCTCTGTGCATGTCTACTGTTTCTGATTACTCAAGGTCTTCAGAGCCTTTGTGGGTAGGAGCTATAATGCTGGTTTCTATTTGATTTTATAAGCTTCATAGCCAAAGAATACTTTTTGTAACATCCATAGATCTACCAAAAGATTCCCAGACTCTGGCCCAATTTTCTTGTTTCCTAGACCATTATTTCCCAGACAGTGATTGGAGGAATACTACTGTTCTGCTGGACTAATGAAGTGCCACTCCACATCCACCAGAATGGCTACAACTTAAAAAGGCTTATCATACTGTTTGTGAGAATCTAGAGCTACAGAAGCTGTCAGAGACTTCAGGTAGGAATGTAAACTAGTATAACCACTTAGAAAAATGGTTTGGCATTACCAACTGAACGTGAGTCTACTCTGTGAGCCAGCAAGTGCCACTCTTAGGCATATACCTGACAGAAATGTGTGTGTGTACAAGAATGCCTGTGGAAGCATTATTGAAAACAGGTCAAACAAGAAAGAACAGAAATATCTTGAACAGGAGAATGGATATAAGAATTGTGGTGTATTCTGAATCTATAGTATCATACTAACATGAAAATGAAAAACTGCAGCTACCCACAGAAATATGCTGGATTTCACAAATCTGAGGCTGAGGACGAAGAAGGTATGTAAGCAAAACATTATTAAATTTAAAAACAGGACTGGGCGTGGTGGCTCAAACCTATAATCTCAACATTTTTGAAGGCTGAAGTGGGAGGATCACTTGAGCCTCCAGGAGTTCAAGACCAGCCTGGGAAAAATGGCAAGACCCTGTCTCTACAAAAAAAATGAAAAAAATAAAAATTAGTTTGGTATGGTGGTGTGCACCTGTCCAGCTACTCAGGAGGCAGAGATGGGAGAATCACTTGAGCCAGGGAGTTCCAGGCCACAGTGAGCTATGATCATACCAGTTCACTGCAGCCTGGACAACAAAGCCAGATTCTTGAAAGATAAAAATAAAAACAGGTTAAATAAACTCTAATATTGGAAGTAAGAGCATTGGTTTCTCTTGAGATAAGATAGAGCTTTTGGCAAGATTGGTTGAGATAAGGGCTATTCTGGGTACTAGTAAGATCCTATTTCTTAATCTGGGTAGTAGTTATATAGGAATTCACTTCCTGGTAATTCATTGAGCCAAACATTTATGCACTTTTTTGCATGTGGATTGTACTTCAAATTTCAAAGTAACAGGCGAGTTTTTTGACAGTTGTCACCTCTGAGGAAGAAAAAAGTAATGAAAGGTGAAATAAGTGGAATTTCCAGGATTTGATCTGTATATATCTGTTCTGTTTGAACTTTGTATGCTTATTAGTGTAATAAGAAGTGCATTATTAGTGTAATTTTCAAAAAATAAATTTAAGGCATTAAAAGTACAGTAAAGATGTACCTTCATACTATTTGTACTTATTTACCTCTAAGTTATTCTCTTTTTAAGTTGAGTCTAGGATGGCATTCATCATTATTTTAAATTGAGTCTGTCCTGGAATTCCTCTTATGCCAGAAGGCCTATTCAAGCTGATACTCAGCTTCTATGCTTCTGTCTTCAGTCATCTTAGTAACAAAGTTAACTACCACTGTGTTTGCATGTATGTTAAATAAACAAAATTTACATGTCATCTACAATTTCACACCTCTATAGTCTAGTTTAGATTTGTATCTCCTGATTGTAAATACTGAGACTAACTCACTTTTGCCCACTGCCTAATATATTATGCCATAAATTACACAATGAAATACATGACCTGACAAAAGATAATAAAACACTTTTACCTTTGTTACATCTTCTTCCTTTAAAACATCTAAACAAGTTGAGAAGGGTAGATAATTTTCAGATTTTTCAGGTGAGAAAAATTGGTACAGAAATGTGAAAATTACATGATGGTTAAAAATTGGCCAAATAAAACAGGATAATTGCCAGTTTAAAATATATGCATTAGACAATATGATTTTATATCAAGGGCTCATTTCAGATATAATAACTGTCAAATATTATTTAGAAGGTGTGCTTGATTCAGCAATATTAAAAAATTTTAACCTGTATTATAAAAGAACAATAGAGTAAAACATACTTTCCAAGTGGCTTCCAGTATAGATTACCTTCTGTGCTGTAGTTGCACAGCTATGTAATAGCAATTTTTCAAAGGTGTTGGGTCACTATGCCTTTTTAGTTGCCATTCCTTTGGTTAGAAATTACTTTCCTTTATTGCCATTCTCACCCCTATTTCCCTCCAACATCTGGAAAACTACTATTTATTCTTGAAAATGCAATTAGGGTAATATACTTGATAGCTTGTCCTGATCTTTCCAAGTGTAAGGTATCAACTTAACTGTACTCCCTGTCATACTGCTATACACATCATTAATGGAGGAGGTGAAAATGATTCATCCATTAAAATGACTGAATATTCTTAGGTGCTTGTAAACGCCCATTATTTACCATGGAGTTTCATCAGAAAAGACAGGTGTGAAGCAGATAAGGGCAGGTACTGGGAGATACACGTCTCTCTGCTTCTCTCAGGAATGATGGCTGGATAATCTGTTTACCCATATGCACACACACTGTCTACTCTAGGGCTTTGTGACTGAGCAACAGGCTTTTTTTTCCCTATACATTCTTTGTTAGTATGACACTGTCAGATCATCTAAGCTAAAGGGAAAAATGTATTTTTTTTTCATGAGTTCCTAACACCTTTTGCTAATTATAAGCAAGCACGCAGGCATTTCCCTTATATAATTTCTCATTTTATCTTCTAAAATTTGGTACATGTGAGTAGCCAACTATGTCCAAATCTTTATATGATTAGGCCAATATGAAAAGAATTAAAATTTTAATTTAATATGCTCTCTTTTATTTTGGAAAATATTTACTTGCATCATATTTCCAGCTTATATTATATTTTTATTGGTTGTTTAGCATTCTTTAATACTAAAACAATAAAATAGGAAATCATGCTTAGACCACGTCTTCTAAATTTCGAAGACGTAATATGTTGAAAAGCTTTATTTCATGTATAATACATTTTCATTTAGTTTATCAATTTTAAAAGATAATTTCAACTAAAAAAATCCTTCACAGTTTATAAGTGCACTTTATTAGTGGAGAAAATCAAGGGTTTTAAAACATCAGAGTAATCATGATGGAAATTATTATACGTTCATATTTCAGAAAATAACTACTCTTTTTTTAATTTTACAAAGGTAAATTGACAAATGCAACTTTCCCATAAGCTCTGAACAAAAAGAGGGGCTGTTAAGATAAGTATGAACATGGGGGAATCAGGGGAACTGGGAGGTGCTAATGAAGAAAAAGCTAGAAAAGAATCAAAGAACTACATTATTTAAAAACTTCATCTATTAGGAAGTGGCTAAGAAGAAAAATATGGAGAGAGATGGAATGTTACTGTCATAAACCTGGGAGAAGATGATCTTATGCAAAAGTTAATGTAAGCGGAAATGGACACAAGTATATGGATTTAGAAGATATTATGGTTTATGTTGTAGATATGAATTTTAATCTATATCTATGTGTGTGAAAAATAATAGATCAACAGTAACTTCAACTTCAGTAATTACTATAGGGCACCTCCACTCAATGTATCAAAGTTCCAGAGTCTTGTGTAGGACCCAGGTATAAAGGTAGAGGTGAGGGGCTCAATCTTTTGTCATATATTTGCATAGGTTACAAGGATTCATTTATTTAACAAATATTATTGAGCATCTACTCTTTGCCAGCAACTCTTCTTGGTGCTTGTAATGTATCAGTGAACAAAACAAAGATCCCTGCCTTCATGAAGCACATGCTTTGGGAGTGGCACAAATGTGGACAATAAACAATAATATTAATGAATTAGTAAGTGATATTAAATGTCAGAACGTGATTAGTGCTAAGTAAACAAGTAAAAATTAAAATCTGGTTGAAGAGATCAGAATGTTTGATGGAGTGGTGGATTGAGATTTAAGTTAGTTGATCATACGGAAGGCCTTATTAATATGATAATACTTTAAGCCTATGACCAGTGTAGTAAGCCTAGTTCAGAGTCCACAACCTAGGCTTATAGGAGATGCTACATTTCCTTATATTCTACAAATATATTTTATTTAGATTTTGGTGCCCCATTCGAACGAAGTGGCAAGAAATCCAAATTATTTATTTTAGAACTTATGACCCCCTCTCCCATCACCAGTGATTAAGTTTCCCAAGTCTTACCTAATGACATTAGTCTTCTCTCCAAACAATTTACTTTTCAGTTTTTCATTGATATGTTTACCTCTCTCATACATCCGTGTAAGATATGCCGTGATTCCCCATGAAGTTGGAAACTGGTGGCTAAATCCCTTCTACTTACGCACATCAGGAAGCAGTCCTTTGGTGAGATAGTATTATCTCTCTAGAGGTCTTCCAGGAAACAGGCTCTCTGCTACTCAGATTCCTACAGGCCTATTTCTTTTTTCATTATTTGGAAGATTTTTCTGAACTGGAGCATCCCCTCCTGCCTCCAACCACTTCTTCAAGACACACAGCTTCTACCCCCAAAATCCATTTTTTAAAATAGACTTTGAGAGTTCATTAAATCCTTAATTTAAATCTATGGCAACTAAAAAACTATATCCCTTTCATCATTGTCATGGGTGTCTGTATCTTCAAACCCTTACAAGAGCTTGGGGAAATTATTTATCTTCTATTCTGCAAGTATACCAAAGAATAGAACATAATAGTTGTTTTCATACTAAGTATATTTTCATAGTAAAAGAGTGAAAATTCAAATTCCATCACAATATTGAGGAGGTATCATTAAACCTGATTTTGAAACTGGATAGAACAGTGAGAGAGAAGGAGGAATAATGGTGACCCTCAGGCTTTTGACTTGAAGAAAATAGTATCTCTGTATGCTACTCATGAAGATAAGTAAACATTAGCTAGACCAGGTTTGTGTCTTTGAAGATGAGTCATTTAGTTCAGGGATTTCTGTGTTTAAACTACTTGTGGGACATCCAAATAGAAATGATCAGTGACATTTAGACCAATTTGTAGTTTATAAAAGAGATCCCAGGTGAAGAGCTTGCATCAGAGAAGAAATCATTTTTCCGTTTCTGTTCTCCCTACCATTGCTCCAGATTCTGTTTCCTTCAATTTCTGCTCAAAACTTATCCTTTCTATTATTTTATATTATTGTATCTCCTTCCAACCTTCAATCATTATTTCAATCTTCAATTGTGGCATAATGCCTCTGACTATGAGCCGTTATTAAAAAGAAAACAAAATAAGGGAAGGAAGGAGAGTAGGAAGAAAGGAAGGAGGCAGGAAGAGAGGAACGGCAGGAGAGAGGAAAGGAAGCTCTTCACTAACGTTTGACAATTTGCGCCAGCAGCACTCTGTTTAGTCTTGTGCCTTCAGGGATGACTTTTAATATATGATTCCTCAATATTTTTCCAGCCTTAATTTTAATCTTCTGATTGTCAGTAGTGGGTCTTCAAATAATAAGCATCTGTCTGGCTGCCATGCCACCACCACCAACTCAACATAATCTTAAGCTGAACTGGTCATCATGCTTGACAAATAATAAAAACACAACCTTGTCTTATTCTTAATAATAAGTATTAAATACATTCCATTGCTCAGGCATGGTTTTATTCATGACTCCCACCAGCCACTTTGGATCATCCATGGTCCATTGCTCACTTCTGCCTCTGTGCCTTTACACCATTGACTTTGCCCAGCCTGAAATCTATCTTTTTGCAAGGTGCAGATCAAGTTTGACATCCTCTCTTACCTCCATTACCTAGAACTAAGCACTTCTGATCAATAACATGTCTGAGAGCCAATGGATTTTTTTCACCATGAACTTAACATAAACTACTTTTATTGATTTATCTACCCTTTTATACTTTGGGTGTTACCTTAAGAAGGACATTGGAAGTTTTTCTATCTAGTGTGATCTTGTTGTATGTCTTTTTTACGTTCACAGTGCCTGAAAGAAATTTTTCTTCCACTGAAGGCTTGATGCTATGAAATGGAGTAGCTCACTGTTTTTTCTCCAATCCATCAAATTCCTTTCTCTAAGTATGAAACTCGGTAACCACTGACATTCCTATTCCAAATTCACCAGCTATGTGATTTTGGTCAAGTTACTTGACCACTTGAAACCTTAATTTCTGCATCTTTAAAATAAAGACAACACCAATTCTTACCTTGTAGACTTCTGAGCATTAAATGAAAAAAAAATCCATGTGAAGCATTTAGCAGTGCCAGTCACAGTGTCCAACAAATATTTAGTCATAATATTCATATGGTCATATGTTTCTAATTTAACTACAGCACTCTAATTATACAACAATGGAAAACCTAGAGATGTCTTCATTTCCTCCTGCTTTCTCATGTTTCTTATCTGATCAACTGGTGATCATACAAAGTCTCTAATCAGCACCATAGCACTGCTACCACCGGAATGAAATCTTTATGACCTCTCACTAGAGATACTGCAATCATTTTCTGACCTAAGTGATTCCCCACTGATGTCAAGCCTGCTTCCTAGAGCATCATTTTCAATATCCCATTCTCCTAAACAAAATCTTTAAGAAGCCCCAGTCTCCTGCTGTAGTCAATAAAATCAATATTGAACTCCTGAACCTAATATTCATGACTTTCCACAAAATATCCACTATCCAATTCTAACAAACCAACTAGAAAAAGGCATTTTTTAGGTAAGAGAGGAATTTTGAATATGGACTAGTTATTAAATAAAAACAAGGAATTATATTTATTTTGCTATGAGTAATAATGGTATTGTGTTATGTTAAAAATGAGGGTATATTTTGGAAATGTATCCTGTATAACATAAGGATGCAATGTTATAAAAATCTGGGTTTTGTTTTAAAATAATTCAGAAAGAGAAAAACAAATAGATGAATCAAGTTTGGTAAAATTTTGGTAATGAGTGCATATGGGATAAGTCCATTATACTGTTCTTTCTGCTTTTGAATATGCTTGTTTTTCACAATACAATAAGTAATAAAATATTATAAATTATATAATCCATTGCATATGCTACCTGTTTCCCGTACTTCTAAGAGCTGTTTTTCCCTACTCTAAATCCAACCACATTCTTTTATTGCTCTTTTGTCATTTATTATCTGTAGATGTGTATTATAATTGTTAAATATTTTAGACCATCTGTTAGATTATAAACTTTATGAAAGCTTTAATATATTACTTGTCCTTGTATCCCAAAATTTTCTAATGTATTTTCTGGTACACAATAGCTTACATAGTAAATAATTGTGTAAACAAATGGGCAAGACCATAAAATAAATTACAAACATCTCTGAAAGAAAGGGTTATTTCTTTGATAACAAAACTAATGCATTTTCTAATGTTGTAGCATTTCTAGCCTGAGACCTAATTAAGCAACTGAAAAAGAAGTGGTAAAATTAAGAGCCACTGTCAGCAGGAGTACTCATACCATAAATTTTTAATTGCTGAATTTTGAGACAAATAATGACTTTTAAAAAGAGTAGACAGAGTTTATGAATAATGATTCTCAAAATCTACCCAAATAAAAGGGTAGCAATAACACAATTGTTAAGGGGACAGAAATCCCGTAGGGAAATGTTAATTGTGTTATCATGTTTTAAGCCTGGAGAACATAAAGACTTAGAAGTAACTTTAAACATACAAAGTTTGTTTCTATTGGAGAAAAACCATAACCTATTATAGACATGCTCAACTGTATGGACAGATTCAAACAATTCTTTTCTCTCCCCTTATAAATAACACTAAGTATTTGTAACATCTTTTGGAGGGCAACTGTATATTTGTTTTTCTTGCAATAGATTAGCAATACAAGTTTTGTTTTTTTTTTTTAATCTCTCTCTGGACAAAAAAAAAAAAAAAATAGTGCCTTTACTTTCCTTATAAAATGTTTCTCTAGCTGGAGATATAATTTGCCCCAAATTGGCAACGTGTAGTCTTACAGAAATTTCTTTCCCTCTATCAGCCAGCAAGACAGGTGGCCCTAGCTTTGGTCCCCATTGCTCTGTGTCACTGCACACCTGGACCTAATTGTTCAGTCTCAAGTGGAGCAGGTGAGATGAGGGTGGGCTGTTGTGCAGGAAATGAATGGACTTAACACAGTGGTTTGCTTCGGCACCAGGCAGTCTTATTTGAGTGGGTGGGCGGGCTTAGGCTATGGGAGGCTCGGGAGGGAGCCACATAGAAGGACAGATAATGCAAACACAGACTTTAGATTCCAAAATAATTCCTGGCATTAAGGAGGGCCTGGCAGCCTGCTTACATAGTAGTTAAATGCTGGTTAACACCAAGGCAGGTGCTCTGCATGGGCTGGACAATTGCAAGCACTTGGATAAATATTAGTTGTTGATTTATTATCACTGTTTTAAGAGTGTCGGTTTCCCAGCCTTCAGGTAGATTCTACTAATTTATTCTATCTATCCCCCTGTTTAATAATTTATTGAGTTTTAAGAACACCGCAGAGGAAGCAGCCATTGTTAAAGGAAGGTTTCAGGTCACTTGACCTGGGTAGATTTGTAAACATAAATAAATGTGTATTGCCTGTTTAGCTCTATTTCTTAGGGGCGGAAGCGTCCAGATAAGAATTTGTCATTCGCGTATGCTATTTAATTATTATGACAGATCAAAGAGACATGCTGGATGTGTTTTTTGTGAAAAAAAATCACATAAACTCAATGTAAGCAGGGGAATTGAGACAGGGAACCTCATCTTTAAACTTCAAGGAAAAATTTGAGGCTGTAACTGTGATGTATAAAAAATATTAAAGCTCAGGTTATTCACTTAGTTAACAAGTATTTACTGAAAGCTTAGGGTGTTCCCTGCATTCTTTAGGATGATGGGACATAAGTGAGAATAAAATACAGTGCCTGATCGCAACAAGCTCACAGTCTATAGAAGGGGACTGACAACACAAACAACATGGCAGTTTTAACATGGCTGCTTATCTGAAGCCTGAGGTATGCACAGGTGCTTTAGGATACCTGACTGCAACCGCTCTTCAAAGAAAAATTATTTCTTCTCTTGATGTGAAATAGATAAAGCTTCAAAGACGGGATAGAAGGCTTTAAGACATGTAGATGTTCTGAAGTAAATGACTTTACACAGAATGATTTATGCGAAGTGCATTAATTGGTACTGCTAGAAAGCTAATTTAAAGAAAATCATATGGCTATATTGACACGATGTGAATTTTAGAGCTCTTTAGATTGTAAGTGACAGAACTTCAGTTCAAAAGGATTCAAAACAAAGGGGAAATAAAAGTCTCATGGAGCTAAAAATTGTAGGAGCTAGAGGTACTTTGGGCACGTCTGGGCCCAAGTCTTCAAATGATGGCATCTGGAATCTGTTCCTCTCATCATTGGCCCAGTTTTCTTCTATGCTTCCTTCCTTGTTAGAGAGGTTACCGGCACATGACATACTCCTGCAAGTCCTGGCTGACATTCAGCAAGATTCAAGAACAGTGAGAATGAATATATTTTATTACCAAATGCTTCATCAGAAATCCCAGAAAAACCTCTAATAGCTTCTGATTGGGTCTGGTGTCCAACCTTGGCTAATCCCAGGAGCCAGGACAATGTGAGTCTCTAAATAACCAAACCTGGGTCACATTACCATCTTTTGAGAAGGGAATCAAGTCAGCCCACCCAAATCATGTTGACTGAGAGCAGAAGAGAGGTAGTTACCTGTAGGAAATTGGAGAGCTCTTACAAAAAGTGAGCATGGTTGCTGGACTTTTTAATTACATTTTTTTTAATTTTAAGATAATTGTAGACTCATGGGTTTTTACTGTTAAACATTTTTCTTAGATACTTAAAAATTAAAATCTATTCACTCAAAATTACTAAGCTATTCTCTCAAAGCCTGTTTTATTTTTTTACATGGGATACATATGCTGAATGTGCAGGTTTGTTACATAGGTATACATGTGCATTGGTGGTTTGTTGCACCCATCAACTCATCATCTAGGTTTTAAGCCCTGCATGCATTTGTCCTAATGCTCTCCCTCCACTTTCCCCACACTCCCTGACAGGCCCCGGTGTGTGATGTTCCCCTCCCTGTGTCCATGTGTTCTCATTGTTCAACTTCAACTTATGAGTGAGGACATGTGGTGTTTGGTTTTCTGTTTCTGTGTTAGTTTGCTGAGGATGATGGCTTCCAGCTTCATCCATGTCCTAGCAAAGGACACAACTCATTCTTTTTTTGTGACTGTGTAGTATTCCATGGTGTATATGTGTCACATTTTCTTTATCCAGTCTATCATTGATGGGCATTTGGGTTGGTCCCAAGTCTTTACTATTGTAAAAAGTTCTGCAATAAACACATGTGTGCATGTGTCTTTAGAGTAGAATGATGTATAATCCTTTGGGTATATACTCAGTAATGGGATTGCTGGGTCAAATGGTATTTCTGGTTCTAGATCCTTGAGGAATCACCACACTGTCTTCCACAATGGTTGAACTGATTTACACTCCTACCAACAGTGTAAAAGCATTCCTATTTCTCCATATCCTCTCCAGCATCTGTTGTTTCCAGACTTTTTAATGATCACCATTCTAACTGGCATGAGATGGTATCTCATTGTGGTTTTAATTTGAATTTCTCTAATGACCAGTGATGATGAGCTTTTTTTCATATGTTTGTTGGCCACATAAATGACTTCTTTTGAGAAGTGCCTGTTCATATCCTTCACCCACTTTTTGATGGGGTTGTGTTTTTTTTTGTAAATTTGTTTAAGTTCCTTGTAGATTCCAGATATTAGACCTTTGTCATATGGATAGATTGCAAAAATTTTCTCCCATTCTGTAGGTTGCCTGTACAATCTGATGATCGTTTCTTTTGCTGAACAGAAGTTCTTTAGTTTAATTAAATCCCATTTGTCAATTTTGGCTTTTGTTGCAATTGATTTTGGCATTTTAGTCACGAAGTCTTTGCCCATGCCTATGTCCTGAATGGTATTGCCTAGGTTTTCTTCTAGGTTTTTATGGTTTTAGGTTTTACATTTAAGTCTTTAATCCATCTTGAGGTTATTTTTGTATAAGGTGTAAGAAAGGGGTCCAGTTTCTGTTTTCTGATACTAAAAAGCTATGTGATATTAGGCAAATCACTTGTGTTCTCATCTTCAAATGTAATTTTTCTGGTTCTATTTTATAGGGTTGTTCACAAGGTTAATACAATGACAATATCTTTTTAAAATGGAAATTACGACTAAAATATTGTATTGTAGCATTTCTTTACAAGCATATATTTTTAAACGTGTTTTTACTCACATTTGTATAAAGTTTTATTTCTTTTATATTATCTCTACCTCTTATGTACACAGAGAAACACTTGGGTTTAACTTCTAATATGATAATTTCGCCTCTTACACTTTCAAGAAAATTAAGATTTGGATTTTCCATACTCCTTCATTGGTTCTTCATTGCTTATTTGTAGATTAATTAGCAAGCATTATTTATATTGTCACTGACAGACAGCATGATATAAGTGATGATAACTGTCAATCATGCAGCTTACTGGGTTTTTTTTTTTTTTTGAGTGAGTGGCATGAACATTTCTCTTCACTAATTAGAAATTTATTCTATACAACTCTTCCTTAGGGTTGACCAGTCCTGCCTTTCACTAAGAGACTTCTCACAATGAAAGGGCTGCCTGGGGCGCACTGGAAAGCTTAGTCAGCAGCGGAATTACCTTCTTCCTGAAGGCTGACTGAAGAAGGGAATGTGGCAATGAGCAAGAGGCTTCACAAATGACAGCTAGTCATTTGTGCTGGGCGTAGAGTCTTCTTGCCTGCATTCTAAGATGGTGGGGATGACAGGAAGCAGGTCTGCATCATCAGCTCAGCACACTGGCATGGAACCAGGAATGGACTGGGAGGCAAGACTTTTGCTTAATGTCTGAGTTTCCTTAAATCTTTTTAGAACAAAGCAGGACAAAAATTTTAAAATAAACTAGTATATGACCTTGAATACATTAAACAAAACTATTCTACAATTTTTCTAGCTTAGAACACTCTTTTAGCAGTCATTTTAAAAAACAAATTAAGATTAAGGAAGCAGTTTATATTTCTTAAATTAGTTTATTAATTGTTTTTTCCTGAGTAGTAAAGTCTTAAGCAATGCGTAGACAATTTGGTGAGCAGGTAACAGCTATAATCATAAACCAGAATTCTCACCTCCTAAGGACCACTGCCAGCCCTCCAGAGTCTGACATAAGTAAACCACACAATTAAGCAAATTCTTGATCACCCCAGTGATATAGATAGAAAAGCTCCGATAGAAAGGAAAGTCTATTCTGATTATGATGGGTTGGTGACATGGAGAAGGATTAATGATTCAGACTGTAGACAATTTTGGCTATATAGTTAATACATATATACACAAAAATATGTATATTTATATATTGAAAGTGAATAATAGCTTATATATATATAAATATAGAGAGTAATATTTAAATGACATGTAGAAACTTAAGTCCTACAATTCTATGTGTCACTGCAAAATAGCAAGCTAACTGTTGAAGAAGAAAGTATTGACAGACTCCATTCCATAGATTATAAACCTGAAGGAAATAAATGAGGTGCCAAGGCAAGCTTCTCTCCCACGTCTCTTGCATAAGTTGTGGGCATTGCATTTTCATAACACATCTTTACACCATTTTAAATATGAATGTCAATTGCAGGAAAGATTAAAGGCATTGTCCTAAGAGCTTAATTCACAGGGCGTGTCCTAAGTATTAGCAAAAGCGAAGTCCAGTATGGGTAAGAGCAAATAAAATGAGATTGCTGTTTAATAAGCCATATTTGTAATTGAACACAAGACTTTCAAGTGCTAGAACTAAAACTGCTTTCTGAGAGCTATCATATATCAGATGGTTTCCCTGAGCACTTGCAAATTAAAAGATTTTTAAAGATATAGTGCTATTCCATTTATGTGTTTTACACAGAGTTAGATTGATCACATTAATAATCAATAACATTTGGAAAGAAATGATGTTTGTTAAGCCAGCCTCAAGTTATGATTTATTTATTTTTATGTAGGGACTTTAGTTGGCTGGGAAAATGACTGCTCAGTTCTCGTTTGCCTGCCAAAAAGCAGACATTTTAGAAACAGTGATGTAAAAGTCAGTAAGAATTATGTGGCTTCAAGTGGCAGAATACCTACCTACAACCGGCTTGAGCATAGAGAGAGATTATTGGCTCATGATACTTGAAAGTCCAGAGGCTGGTATGGCTTCAGACAGGTCCGCACCCAGGGAATCAAATGAAATCATTTGGATCCATCCTCTCTTCCAGCTTCACATTGTACCCAGATGTGAAGAATTTAGAGGCTTTTCTTTCCTCACTCCTTTCCTTTCCTCACTAATGGCTTTAGTCATAGATACACTCTCCTGTCTTGTGCCACAGTGGCCTCCAGGAGCTCCATGTTTACATCCTTACAGTTCTAGTTCAATTGAAAACAGAGTCTGCCTTTCTTTAAACAGTTTCCAAGCTCTGATATTCCAATCCACTGGCTCTGATTGGGATTCATGTCCGGTCTTGAACCATGTTTGGTGACCAAAGGACTACAGAGTCTTAACCAAGTCTAACTACATTACGCATTTGTGCCAGAAGCTAAAGGAAGTGTCAGCATCACCTGGGCAGTAGATATTGGATGCTTGAGCAAGAACATTCTCTAGAGAAAAATTGTGGTGCAGGCATAAGGAGATGAGGGGTGTGTGTACAGGGTTTCAAGTATAGCAAGTGTCCAGTATAGATTTTTGTTACCACTGGTCAATCACAGAAGAGGATAGTAAAGTGAAGGGAGGTTGTCTTATGGTGACATCTAAAAGCCACTAAAATGACATTCCCTGGAAATAGTTTCTTGAAGAATTATGTCTTGTAGGGAATATGTTTGTGGAAGCTGAACACACAAATAAGTGGACGGCCCCTCTCCATGACCCAAATTCAGATACGTCTCTAGCAAAAGTTCTATCACAGATACTCTTACTATTAGTCAATGTCTTCCTATATCTTGCTACACCTCTGATTAAAAACAAATAAACAAAAAAACTTGTCTGTATGTAGAACTATCAATTTTTAGGGTGATTTCCCATTTATTTTTTCATCTGAAATGTTCTCTAAGTGCTTTCTATTTTATTAGCTAAACTAATTTTACTTTGTTTAAATTTCAAAATGATATATAGAGAGTCAAACAGAATGGCTTCTAAAATATTTTAGTTTGAGACTTACTCTGTCTGAGCAGCCCTAACTACATTTTTCTCTTTAAGATACAGTTTTATTAAACCCTATTCACTTCATACTAAATTTAATACTAGATTATTATATCCAAGGAAAGAAAAATACTTAACTCTACTAACCATTCTGTTTTATTTTCTTTTTGTGAGATTTGACTCTTTTTTCCAGCATATTGAGGTATTTTGAGGTCAAGTTTATCATGAAATAAACTTCCCTATTCCTCAACCCATCACATTATTATGTAGATTGGGTTAAAGTGAGGCTGCAATGATTTCCTCATCCTATGCAGTAGTTTCCTCTACCTGAAGGTTTCTTAAGCAAAATATCTACTCATTCCTAGAGCCAGACTTGAGAGGCATGTACCTTAGAGTTCTTGAAGCCAGGATTTATGATTCAGTTCTAAGCTGAAGATGGCGAATATTAATTGCGAAAGGATACAGGAAGAAAACCCTCCAGATTCTTCACATCTGGGTACAATGTAACATAAAAGGAGGAGCAAAGGTATTAAATTTGGGTAAGAAGGAAAGAATGTTAAGGACAGTCTAAAGATTGTGTTTTACCTGTGTATATACACTTTTAGCCAAATTGCCAGAAATAACAAAAGGAGTGATAAATTTCCTGTTTAATCCTGACTACTGCAAATTGACTGCACCCCTACTATTCCTCAGAAACCAATTTCTCTGGGTTCACTAATGACCTAAAACTGCCAAATACAAGAACATATTCCTGTCCTTATGTTAGTTGTTATTTCTGTTTTATTTTGTAATCTTGACTCCTAATTCTATGTAATTCCACTCCCTGATGGCTTTGATGACAACATTCATCTTAATGACTTTTCTCCTATTTCTGTGGTCCTGTTTCTAGTCTCTCATCATCCAAGTCAGAAACTGAGAGTCAGACTAAAGTCATCCTTCATACATGTTCCTTCTCCAACACATTCACTTTGATTTTTAACAGCTTACGTTAAGAGAACTTGCATACTGTAAAGCTCACTCATCTAAAGTGTATGATGCAGTAATTTTTAGTGTAGTCACAGATTCATGTAACTATCACCACAATTAATTTTAATACACTTTATCACCCCCAACAGGAAGCTCCATATTCATTAGCAGTCACTTTCCATTTCCCCCCAACTTTCCATCCCTGCATCCCCAGCCCTAGGAAACCACTAATCCACTTTCTGTCTTTATCAATTTGCCTATTCTAAATGTTCCATATGAATGGAATTATATATGATGTGGTCTTTTGTGACTGGCTTTTTTCCCTTAGCATAATAAACTTTGAGGTTCAACCATAATATAGGACGTATCAGTATTTCATTCATTTTATCAAATAGTATTTCATTATATAGCTATATCAAATTTTATCTATCCATTCATCAGTTGATGGTTACTTAGGTTGTTTTCACTTTTGGGGGATTATCAATAATCCTACTAGTAGCATTCATGTATAAGTTTTTGTATGAATGTATGTTTTTATTTCTCTTGGGTATATACCTAGGAGTAGAATTGCTGGATATCTTTTATAAGGGTGCTAATCCCATTTGTGAGGGCTTCGCCCTTATGACCTAACCATCTACCAAAGGCCCTGCCTCCTAATACCATCACCTTTGAGATTAAGATTTCAAAATGTGAATTTTGAGGAGACACAAATATTCAGTCTATGGCACATAGTCATATGTATTAGTTCATTTTCACGTTGCCAAAAAGAAATATCTAAGACTAGGTAATCTATTTTTCTTTAAAGAAAAAAGAGGTTTAATTGGCTCACAGTTCTATAGGCTGTACAGGAAGCATGGCAGCAACTGCTTCTGGGGAGGCCATGGGGAACTTACAATCACGGCAGAAGGCAAAGCCAGAGCTAGCATCTTCACAACATGGCCAGGGTATGAGGAAGAGAGATGGGGGAGGTGCCACATACTTTTAAACAACCAGACCTTGTGATAACTCTGTCACGAGGACAGCACCAAAGGGATAGTGATAAACCAGTAGAAACTGACCCCCTAATCCAATCACCTCCCACCAGGACCCACCTCCAACATTGGGGATTACAACTGGACACCAGATTTGGGCAGGAACACAGATCCAAACTGTATCAGCATACCTACTCTTCTTTCCAGTTTGTGACCTCTGTCATAGTTTAGGACCTCATTAGTTTTCTTTTTCTTTTTCTTTTTTTTTTTTTGAGACAGAGTCTCACTATGTCGCCTAGTCTGGAGTGCAATGGTGTGATCTCAGCTCACTGCAACCTCCGCCTCCCAAGTTCAAGCTATTCTCCTGCCTCAGCCTGCTGAGTAGCTGGTATTATAGGCATGCACCACCATGCCTGGCTAATTTTTGTATTTTTAGTACAGACGGGTTTTACCATGTTTGCCAGGCTGGTCTTGGACTCCTGACCTCAGATGATCCACCCGCCTCAGCCTCCCAAAGTGCTGGGATTACAGGTGTGAGCCACTGTGCCTAGCCTAGGACCTCATTAGTTTTCACTGGGATTGGGGAATAAATATTTATAGACATAGTGTGTGTGTGTGTTTTAGTATATATGTATGTAAGTGTATGTGGGTGTTTGTGTGTAGTCTCTTCTGTATATACCCATATATATATTGCTGTTTGTGTGGTGGTAAACTTCCCTTTTCAAGGAAGGGATTACTTTATAAAGAGTCAAAAGTTTAAAATGAAAATAATCTGAAAAGCAATTCCTCACTTTCTCACAAACTCTGAGACTGAGTCCTTAGAAATCAGTTTTTTGCTTTGTTCTTTAAGAAGTAAATGATAGGAAGAGGGCTGAGTAATTGAAATGAGGGAAGTGATCTTATTAAATAGATTTTGAATCCCAATTATACTTAAATTGTGTTTCTGTAGCCAAAAATGTAATAAACACGAATAAATCTTCTTTATCATCATTTATAATACCATCTGTACAGATAATCTAATAACCTCTATGGAATGTCTGCTCTGTTCTAGGCACTCTACATTTCTTTAACTTAATTTCACAACCTTACAAGGTAGTTAAAGATGAGTATCACAGAGGCATTAACTGATACTAGAAAGGTTAAGTGAAGTGCCCAAGGTCACAGAGCTAGTTTGGATCTGTGTTCCCACCCAAATCTTGTGCCATATTTTAACGAGGATTTCACCCAAGGATTCTCTTGCTCTAAACCCACATTCTTTCTTAGGCCAAGTACACATCAAAGCATTATTCTATTATTTAAGTGTCAGAATAATGAAAAAAAAACAAACCAGCATTTCTTAGAGAAGAAAGGTAATGTGGGCTGAGGCTGTCAAGGACAGGATCAGAAAGAGGTGACTTTTAAGCCAGCCCTTAGGAGGAGATGGAGAGAGGGTAGAGATGTTTTGCCATAAAGAATAGCATGGCTATCATTGATAGGAGCTGAATTATGAGAACACATGGACACAGTGTGGGGAACAACACACACTGGAGCCTGCTGGAAGTGGGTAGGATGAGGGGAAGGAGAGCATCAGGGAAAATAGCTAATGGATGGTGAACTTAATACCTAGGTTATGGGATGATCTGTGCAGCAAAGCATCATGACACACATTTACCTATGCAACAAACCTGTACATCTTGCACATGTACCCTGAGATTAAAATTAAAGTTGAAGAAAAAAAAACGAATAGTATGGCATAAGGAAATAAATAGTCTCATAGAGCATTCAGTCTGGGCCTCATAAGAGATTGCTTTTTTTTTGCTTCATCTCTTTGGGACAAATGTTCCTGCCTGATTTAATAGAAATGGTATATTCTCTGCAGATACCTTTGAGCCATACTCTGAGATGCAGAGATATTTTATGTTGGAACCAGCTCTGTCAGCATGCTTGAATAGGCAGAATTTTTCCTCTAAGCTATCTGAAATGGAGCTGAGTTACCAATAAGCAAATCATAACACACAAGAATGGAAAAGACGAACATTTATTCCATCCAACTAGTGCTTACATTAATCTGATTAATTAAAGCATGAATGAAAACTATTTACTTGTGAGTGTTGTGAAAGAGCAGCATTAAATTAGCCCTTCACCCTAGCAGACACACTGTGATTGTTGGCTCTCATTCTGTTTTTAGCCTCATTGCTTTCTTGTATTTCCTACTAGTGGAAGCTGGGCCAGTGCATAGCCAGTGAAGGCTTTCTCTTATTTCACTGGTGACCAGACTCAAAAAAAGCAAGGTTTTTATATTGAAATTCGTCAAGAAACTTGCCATCAGACGAGTACATATGCATGACCACAAGGTCACTACCCAAATGGAGGCAAGAAAATGAGAGTTATCTTTTGCCTTTTTGAAGATTTTTCCAGAGGGGTTTAGTTGCCAGTTGGGTTTTATCTAATTTAGTTTCCTCTAAATATTTTTATAAACAGCAAGTTTATTTCCAGTTTTCTATTGTTTGCATTAACTAGGGGGTTTAATAATTTCTCACATTTATCAGTGGAAATAAACTATTTTTATTGAATATATTCTAGCAAAAGATGCTTTGAAGTTTTTTTTGGAAATATTTAAGAACCTAAAGAATGTGACCAAAAATTCCTCATAAAATAGCCTTTTGCTCAGGGTCTTATGTTGGCTTGGATTCTGGCTTTGACCTTGCAATCTCTGTCTATAGTGACCACATTAAATGTTACTTGGACTTAATAAGATCTTCTGCCTTCAAAGATGAAGCAAAAAGTGTTGATAGTTTTTAAAATAAAGAAATGAAAGCAATAGGGTGCGAGAAGTGTCTTAAAATTGAAATAAACTCAAAATAAAATTGAATTTGTAAGTAACTGGTTATGACATGGAGTGCCATAAAACTGAAAATATTTGACTGTAGAGATTTCTTGGTAAAGAAGAGAAATATTTGGAGTCATAATTTTAAATATAATGTCAAGTTCTGTTTAAATAAACAAAGTTTATTTAAAATTTAGACAAGATAGAAGGCCAGAGAAAGAAAGGGTAGCTTTATTTAGTAAGTCAAAATATATGTTATAGCATTTATCAAATTCATAAGATATTTGACCAAGTGATAAATATGAAGCTTATGTTCTGAAAGGGTAGACAAAAAATGCAACCAGCTTTGTGGTAGACAGTTGTTTAAGTATATTGATAATATCCTTTTTAAAATTTGTCCACCTGAAGCCTCTCTTGATCACCTCCTTGCCTCCAACCTTGGAAATTTTGTTAGCTCTGCCCCTAATACTTGGCTCTCTCTATTACATCTTTAATACTTGGCTGTATTAGGAAGTATATTCCACTCAGTGGTAATCTTGGTTTTGTCTCCTTCTTATCTATTAGAAGGTGAGCAACTTGAAGCAGAGGCTTCGCTTTGTCTTTGTGTCTCTAGCACCTTGCCAAAGGCCTGCTAATAAATAATTATCATATTGAATGGGTCTACACAATGTTCTCAGTATGCTCAGACATCTGTGATCACCTTTACTTACAGAGACAGGGCAGATTTGAAATATTTGCCCCTATCTTTGAAGCTAATACCTGGAGGTGCAAACTAGGTGGAGCAGAGCCCAGGAGCTATTTCTAGGAAGAAAGCATTTCTCTGATCCTTTGCTTCTGCCCACAGTGTTAATAACATTTTGTTCTGCACCCACACTCTCAATTTCATTCCAGCTGGGACTCTTCTGATTAGCATCCTGCTCTTTGCCTTCCCAGAGACAGAATAAAAGGAGAAGGAGCCACAATAACAGAATTAGACAAATTGTAACGGTGTCTTATGTCAATGTCAAAGGGAGAAAATATAAACAAGTTCAAAACTTGTCTTGGGATAGGTTTTTTTTTTTTTTTTTTTTTTTTGAGGTGGAGTTTCGCTCTTGTTGCCCAGGCTGGAGTGCAGTGGCATGACCTCGGCTCACTGCAACCTCCGCCTCCCATGTTCAAGCGATTCTTCTACTTCAGCCTCCCGAGTAGCTGGGATTACAGGCACCCGCCACCATGCCCGGCTAATTTTTGCATTTTCAGTGGAGGCTGGGTTTCACCATGTTGGTTAGGCTGGGTTTCACCAGGTTGGGTTTCACCAAGTTGGTTTCACCATGTTGGTTGAGATAAGTCTCGAACTCCTTACCTCAGGTGATCCTCCTGCCTCGGCCTCCAAAGTGCTGGGATTATAGGCATGAGCCACCGTGCCTGGCCTCAGGAGAGTTATTAAGCATAGCCTGCCAATAACTTCAAAATAACTTTGTATTAGTTTGTGATTTCAGAAACACCTTCACAAACCTTTTTTTTTTAAATTTGATTGATCCTTATAGCAACATTGTCAGTTTGGGTGGGCGAGGGAGTTATAATGCTGTATCCACACGAAGGAATCTGCTTTAGTTGGTTGGTAAAGTCTTCACAGGACCTGGAATTTACAAGATTGGTAGCTTGATATACAGAAGATATTGGAAAGGGAAAAATGTTACCAATAGAGATAACAATGTGAGAATGAAACAGAGGCATAAAAATGTATGTTATAATTCAGAATACTCAGTAGTACAGAAACTAAGGGTACATGGTGGAGAGGGGATGGAACCTACAAAGGTAAAGCAGCCAGGAATCACATCAGAAAGGATCTTGCTTGCCATGCTAAGGGGCTTGGACTTCATCCTTGGACAGTAGTGAGTCACTGAATGCTGTTTAACAGAAGACAGCTGTGACTATTTCTGTGCTTCATAAAAATTATTCAGAAGCATTGTTGCTCATGATTAGAACAGAAGCATGCCCTTTTTTTCTGCTTCAAAATATATTCTATTCACACTTGAAATTCAATTGCATGATCCTACCCAAGGTGAAGGGCAATTACCAACCTGTTCATTGTAAATCTCACTCTTCTCCAAAGAAAGAGTCTCCAGATGAAAGTGAGGGGGACCTTTGCTATTACAGGGATAATCTCAGATACATTTAAATTTTATTAAAAATCATTTGCAACTATTAGCCCATTATCATTATTAGTAAATTAAATATGATATTCTTTATGTTTAAAACACTGTGTCTGATCAGAAAGAAATGACAGTGGAAGAAGGAAGGCAGAAGAACAATCAGAGCACTAGGTGGAGAACCAGGAGAGAGACCTGACTTATTGGGGCATGGCAGAGAACCTGAGCTTTGTTCCTGTAACCACAACTGCTACTGAATTTATCCCAACAGCAAAACTCCCACTCTTATATTTTAAGCCTTCTCTGCTGGTACCCTGTTCTAAACTTACAAGGCTGGATGACTCCTAACAAGTGTTAAAAATACTTGACTGTAGCCTAGGGACATATTTTTTTTAATGTGTGGGTAAAGAGTTTTCCTTCTTCAACAAGTTCAATTGAAGAAAGCTTCTTATGCCTATTTCAAAACACACGCACAAATTTAGGAGCAGTGAGATGAATTCTCTTGCAGCTATTTTGATTTGAGTTGTTTCCCCCTTGGAATTTGTGGATAGAAACTGTTATATTAGGCTCCACATCATTAGTTATATTTCAACTTGAACTTTAAAAGTAGGGCTGGAGACCTGAGGTAATGATTACCCCCAAGAATCCTTTTATCCTTTTAAGGGCAGATGAGGTAGATGAGTCCCTACTTTTGTAACTAGAAGAACTTGATAGGCTAATGTTTCTGATGATATCTTCTGTTAAAAAAAAAAACTAACCCTGAGATACTCTTTAGAAAGAGTTCTGTTGTCCAATACTTATTTTAAATTATTCTTATAAAAAGCTCTCTATTAAAGAATCATAATACACATCAGTGATTTAAATATCTTAAGAAATCCTTCAGTAACAAAATTAATCTGTTTAACATTTTATTGCTTGCCCTCTACTTCCTATCTTCCTATAATGGGTCAGAATGTGGACATGAATGTCAGCCAACCTCAAATATGAGGCCGAGGAAAATGCCCTAAGAGCGAACACAATAGCAAAATGGGTCCCTGTCCACCTCGCAAAGCATAGCCTGCCTTTCACCCTAGACTTTTATGGGGAGATCATTGTTTGTCCTGTTTTAGTGAGGGTTTTTAAGTTTCATTTGTTGTAATATCTCAGCTTATACACTCTTATACTCAACATACTTAAACTATTTTGACCACAGAAATTGTCTTAACGGTTTTATTGGAAAATCTGCTATCAATAACATCTTGAAGACTACATTTCTAAAAAAGATATTTTAGGCAACACTGGGCATACCAAAGGATTCTTTAATTCTGATTTCTTGATTAACAATCCTTGCTCTGTGCATGGCTTGTTCCATGATTTTCCTATTCTCTATTTCCTGGTTGGCACTTCTTTAATTGCTGACACAGGACCCATATTTCACCTATCTGATGGCTCCTGAGAACCCTCCACTGGGTCCTCTGGACCTGGCCAGGATACAGGGGATAAAAGAGTATGTCGAAGATTACTTGAGAAGTCTGGGGCACCATTATGCAGCAGGTGAACATCACTCTTGCTTAATACTGTATTGGTTGTAAGTCAGTCATATGGTCCTATTAACTGCCAGGGAACTGGGAGATGTAGTTTAGTTGCTTGTTAGGGAGGAAGGTGAAATCATTCGATGAACACAGAGAGTTGTCTCTGCTCTCCTTGAAAAATATCAGAGATTCCCATCTTTAATTCAACTCTTTCTAGTTGTTTTCTCTTTTGGAAATACATTAATGCTTCTTCAAGGAGCCAGGCAAAGCAATCAGATCACTCACTGTAATCCTTATGAGGAAGTGTATATCCTTTTCATGGTCAAGGTTGTTTTGTTTAGTGGAAAGAAAGTTGGTTGAAGAATAATGTGGTCAGATTTCTAGTTCTCTCTCTTGAAGTTATAGCTTTTTTTTTTTTTTTTTTTTGGTGAGACGGAGTCTCGCTCTGTCACCAAGGCTGGAGTGCAGTGGTGCGATCTCGGCTCACTACAAGCTCTGCCTCCCAAGTAGCTGTGACCACAGGCACCCACCACCATGCCCGGCTAATTTGTTTGTATTTTTTTTAGTAGAGACGGGGTTTCACCGTGTTGCCAGGATGGTCTCGATCTCCTGACCTCATGATCCTCCCGCCTCGGCCTCCCAAAGTGCTGGGATTATAGGTGTGAGCCAACGTGCCCGGCCCCTACATTATAGCTTTCTTAAGTCTCTATTTTAGTCAGGGTTCTCCAGAGAAACAGAACCAATAAGATAGATAGATAGATAGATAGATAGATAGATAGATAGATAGATAGATAGATGATGGATGGATGGATAGATAGATAGATAGATAGATAGATAGATAGATAGACAGACAGACTATATGGGATTTGTTAGAGAAATTGGCTTAAGGAGTTATGGAGGTTAAGAAGACCCAGGATGGACCATCTGCAAGCTGGAGAACCAGGGAAGCTGGTAGCGTGGATCAACCCAAGTCTGAAGGTCTCAGAATCTGGGAAACCAATGGTGTAATTCTCAGCCTGAAGTCAAAGTCCTGAGAACTAAGGGGGCCACTGGTGCAAGTCTAGGAGTCCGAAGGCCATAGAACCTGGAGTTCTGATACACAAGGACAGGAGAAGAGGGATGACCCTCTTCTTTTTGTTCTCTCTGAGTCTCAGCCAATTGAATGGTGCTCACCAACACTAGGTGAGGGTGGATCTTGCTTCCTTATTCAATCCAGCAAGTCCAATGCTAATCTCTTCCACAAGTGACCTCACAGACACGCAAAGAATTAATACTTTGCCGGCTATCTGAGTACTCCTTAATCCAGTCAAGTGGACACCTAAAATCAATCATCACTGTCACCTACCTTTTCTGAGGATCAATCTCCTGATATATAGAATAAGAGAGAAGTTTACATATTCACTCTGATCATAGTATCTTGTTATTTAAGAGCCAAAGTGGATGTAAGAACCAGCTGTCCCTACATCAGACTCTGTATCAGAAGCCATTTGACAACACCTCTGACAGGTGTTCAAATTCTAGTAGAATTCAGAGAAATATCTGTCTGCCAAGGCAGCTCTATTTATTGCCATCAGTTATCATTAAGTCCTTTCTAGTAATGAGCAAAAATGTAATGGTAAAATCAGCTAGAGCTTAGAGATTTGAGTCCTCCTTCTTCACCTGGTCACATGTGAGTCAACTGGCAGTCCTCATTATTCATCTTTCCACTAAATTTTACCATTTATCTTTATAATTTTTCAGATATTATCCTGCATTGTTCAGCAATCTCATCTTCAAGTGTTTGTTTCTCTTTCCATCCACTCTTCCAAAAACTCTGTCCCATCATCTTGGGGAACATTGAAAGTCACTGCTGGATATTTGACATCTGGTGACAGCTTTATCTTCTGTATGGGTGAAATTTGGATTTCAACATTGATATCTTTTATTCTTGACTCACCGTTCCATCTACTCCACTTGTACATGATAATGTGGCTTCAATCCCTGCTATAAACATGGCTTAGGATGCTGCTTCTGCATATTTTGCCCCTTCTTGCTCCATAGCCACATATGAAAACTTGTAGCTTGGACCCTAGACTCCTTTTATCCAAAAAAGGAGATGGGTTAGATTTCCAAATATGCAGGCATTTCCCCACAGGTCTTCTGCATACAGAAAAGATAAAGATAAAAATGGAAACTTAAACTAACCTCTGGCAATTCAATGGGACTCTCTTGTGTACATGATCACAAGCATCTGAAAAATGCTAGATGAGGTATTAGATCTGGGAGATACTGGTTTTATCAAGCATATCTTGTCATTTCCAAGGTTTTCTAGTTACTGACAATGAGTCACTGCTAATTTTTCCATCCTTTTTGTCACAATTACTGACCTCAAGAAGGCAAAGAGTTTCATGTGTTCTTTGAATGGAATTGAAGCCTTGTGCATCCAAAGATTCTGTTGACTTCCACCCTGCAAACTGACTTTGATGTACCAATGACTCCAGCAGGCTGGGAAGATATTACTTCCCCAGGAAAACTCTGCCCCATTTCTGTTTATGCAAGTAGCTGTCCTTGCTGAGGTAGTAGGATCAACTAAACAACAAAATCTTCTTTGAGGCCTGAGCACTTTCCTTTGGGGCCACCTTCTTGAGTTCAGCCTGCATCACTCACTAACCTTGGTTGGTCACAGGAACAGTTATGACAGTACATCTGCACAGATGTTGAAGGCATGACTAGCTTAAGGGCCTTCTATGTCCCTTCCTTTACCACTAACCTTAGGATAGAGTTTATTTCTGATAGTTCCAGCCTGGTGGTGGTATTCTACTCCTTTGCAGAACACATTTAAGCTACTACTCTGATTTCAATTCTCCTCTCTACTTCAGCATCTCAGTGATGAACTACATTCTTAAAACAATGTTAGTCCACCCAGAGGATTCTGTATTGCTAGTCAATTTTTAGAACAAGGAGATACTCACTGGAGTCAAACCCAAGGGAAGAACAATTAGGCTATATATATATATGGGTATGTGTGTATATATATTGTGTATATATATATATGTATTTGATAGATTTATGTTTATTTTTACATACATGTTAAGTACAAATTTGGAAGCATAAGATGACTTCTCTGCAATTATTTTGCTATGTGTTGCTTTCCCTTTGGAATCTGTGGATAGAAACTATTATATTAGGTTCCACATCACTAGTTATATTTCAACTAAAATTTCATAACTGGAGCTGGGTATATATGCGTCTCTACTTGATATAGCTGCATCATCCAATGATGGGTATATATGCATCATCCAGTGATGCTGGGTGCTGGAAGATCGCCATTTAGTACCCAGGTGGCAATTAATTTTGTGGTATTGTATTTCTGGGTGTTCCCTCCATTCCTGACATTCTTTATCATCTATGATTCAATTATTTGCCTGGCTCAAGAAAGCACCTTTATTTCCCAGTGAACCACGATGTGATAGAGGTGACTTTAAGTAACTGGTTTATTGTGATCAACATGGGTCAAAGGAATAGGTGTGCAGTGCCACTCCAGAAACTTACCAGAGAGTACTTTTGTCTTCTAGAAAGTGAACCTGGAGGCTCAGTTTCTCCAGAATTCATCTTCCTCTGCCCACTCCACCAACAGAACAGTTGGCATCCTTTAGACCAGGGGTCCCAATCCCAGGCTGCAGACTAATATGGTCTATGGCTTAGGCTCCATCATTCTAGGGTTTGATTTTTAGTTTACTTTTCTTGTCTGCCATACTGGAATTTGCTAATATAGCTGTGGTCCCTGTACCTTATTATGGTGTAACAAATGCAATAAGGATAGGGGCTTCTTCTGATAATTAAGACTTCCATCTGCCCTCCGTAGGTTCAACTTTAATGCTTCCTACAGATGGGCAACAGGGCTATCTGCTCAGTGCAACCCCCAGAATTCCAATTGTCTGTGCTGTCTCCACTCCATACCATAACTAAGCCTAGGAAGCGCCTCCTGAAGTTCTTCACTGGGCTGAATTAAGAACAGGATCATCGTTCTCTATCTGGGTGTTTTCTACCCCACTGAGAGAGGTGAAATTGTCAGAACAAAAATTTAGGAATTTACCAAATGCAGTTTTTTTTTGGCTGATAATTACTATTATTAACAATAATGACAATGATAAGCTTAGAAAAATTAAACACTAAACAATGGCTGCCGTAAGAACACTGAAATGACTTTATAGTTTACAATCAGTCTTTCGTCTTTCAGGGATATTTTTGTGGACATCTGGTGCCACATTTTAGTATGGGGTTCAGAGAATATCAATTTACCTGTTTCTTCATCATGCTATATTGAGTTATTTACTCCACAATAAAGGTAGACCTACTGATGAGAAATGTCAGGGCAACCTTTGTGTATTTCAGTTACCCTCAGCAAGGTGCTACCAGCTAGCATTAGTGTATTTCTGGTGTTGGTAACAGGATCATGTGAGCCTTGTAGATGAGAACTCCTTGTTGCTCAGGGGATCATGGAATGCTGCTCTCTTTCAGACAGCCATCTTCGGGGAAGAGAAGGGTCTCTGGCAGAGCTCTATGGGTCCTGCACTTCTCTTTCACCTCTCTGCCTTGTTCTTTCACTCATTAATTTCTTGACAATTTATTTTCCTTAATAACTCTAGTTCCTTCTGTTTATCTTCTTCTGTCAATCCTTGCATCCATTGCAAATCCATCACCTGCTCTGAAATACCACACTGAAGGGAGGTACTCCTAAAGACCTTCCTTCTTTTCCACTCTTGTTTTACCCTTGGCTTACACAACTGTTGAACAACTGGAGCTGAGGACAAAAAGCACATAAATTCCAAAGGTCAACGGAATCACTTCTTCATAGTTTACATCTCCTGTGTCTTAAGTAGAACTCAAATAGAACATAAGCATTGAGAACAGAGGTCTGAGTTGGAGGTCAAGACATCGTTTACTAGCTGAGGGACTTTGGCTTTATTTTTCTCATCTCTAAGAGGGAAAAGATAAAAATCTACTTCACAGACCTGTTGCTGGGAATAATGAGATAATTTATGTACAGTACTTAGCACATTGCTTGGCACATAAAAAGTGCTCAATAAATGTTATATATTTATAACATTATTTGTAACACCTCGTCTTTCAAGGAATTATGGGAATTATTCTGTTTGTCAGACTTTGTTTATGGAAATTATGTCCTTTTGATGGCCCAATTTTTCTTTTCCTTTTCTTCATCTTTTGATAACATACTATTAAATGTCAACAATTCATACTAATTGGAACTAGTGTAATAAGCTGTCCTCCTCATCAGTATTAGCAGTCTTTGAACATGGCATAAAAATATGCCCATTTTGGCTTACAGGTCCTTGATTCTCTAATGATAATAGTGCAGGAAAAACATTAGATATGGAGTTCAACTTTTTAAAACTGTCTTGATGTTGGTGACCAATAATTTAAAAGAGGTTAGCATATTTTAAGGTGACTAAAACTGTACAAATGAAATTGCCATTTAAAAATGTCTGTTCATTTGCTTTTCTCCAATGCAGATATTTTAAATAAGAAGAAGTGAGGCAAGAAAAATGTAAACAAATATTAGGTATAAACTAGGAACTTAGTCTTTTATTTTCTGAATCAGATGGATGATATTTAAAAGTCTGGGTGAATGATAAATGGTAGAAAAAAATTAAATAACAGTCAATATGCACAACTTAATGGAGGTAAAATAAGACTTACTTACTTTTATCTCTATAAATTAAAATGATTTTGAAAATCAAGCTGCCAAAATAAAGGTGTGGATTTTATCATTAAAGCAATGCCCAAGAGACATGTTATTGAGAAATTATGTGGCATTGGTTTGTTGTTACTAGCGAAATGAATGCCTAACTGAAGTTGATTTCATAAAGATTTAGTGTGTGTATGTACTTGTGTGTCTGTGTGTATATATGTATATATATATTTGTATACACACGCACACATGTCTACCATGTGACATGTTGCTATTTTTACAACTTATTTTAAAACAGCTAAAATTTTCTAGATGAGATTAAACATTTTCCATAAAAATAAAATTACAATAGTTACCTCAAAGTTTGTTTATCCTGGAAAAAAAAGTGCTAACATAAGAGTTGTTCAATAATATTTTACCAAAATTTTGTCAGAACTCCATTAAAAACAATTCAAGACCACAGTGGTCTAATTTCAACACTGGCATCATTAACCTAACATATTTATGGAATATTCACTATATGTTCTGTTTTCTGCTTAAGTATATGAATTAAACATAGTTTAAATAGTTTACTCAAAGAACATGCCATTTGCTTCATTGATTTCACACTCTCTGACGTATGTATTAATAAGAACATAGGAATCCACACACAGAAATAATAGCATTCCTATGGTGCATTAATAAAAATGTATGAATTTTCTATGTCTAGGACATGTATTCATTATTTGGGTGGGTCTTATATTTCAGGTACTGTTCTGTGAACCACGTTTATGGAAGTGATCAAAACAGGCAAACATCTCTGCCTTCATGGAATTTACATTTTTCTTGGAGGAGGCAGACAATAGACAAAATATTTAGTATGTCAGCTAAATACTAAAGGGAAAAACCAGAGGAGGGGATAGTGTGTGGTATTGAGGGTCAAGGCCAGTCTCAGTAAGAAGGCAGCTGTGAGCTGTGACAAGAATGAGGGAAGTGAGCCATACGGAGCCCATGTAAGAGATTTCCAGGCAAAGAGATTAAAAGGTGGACGCCTCCTAAGGAATGGACATACCTGCCATGTTTGAGTAATGAGAAAGAAGATAAAATGGCTAAAGTAGAGTGAGTGAGGGCAAGAATAACATCAGAGAAGTAAAGGAGTCTAGATTGTGAGCATTGTGAACACTGGGGAAGGCATAGACTATTCACAAGGAGATGGGTAGCTACTAAAAAGTTTTGAGAAGAAGAGTATGTGATATGATTTAGGGTTGAAAAGGATTGCTCCAGTTTCTGTGTCATATAACCCTATGGTCTTGAAACTGGGATATTGTATCCCTGGGGGCATGAGGTGGCGTGCCTAGAGGTACACAAAATCCCAGGATCAGTTAGTCACATCTTCCCTAAGGATAAAATTTACCCTCAAGACTATGGGGAAAAATGATTACTGTGTTAAGAAAAACATTTAAATTTTATATAAATTATTGTAAAATTCCCGTGATTTTAAAAATAAAGTATCAATAATATTTCATATTTGTGGCATCTTAGGCTTTAATCTTACAGGTTTAAGCTTCTTGGCCATCAGGAGTAATTTGTTGAAATTGCAAATTAATTTGGCAAAATTATCATAATTATGTGCCCTGAGAGCTTATGTATCTTATGATAGTGCAGGAAACTTGTGAGATGAAATAGTTGAGTGTATACATTAAAATAATTTGATCTACCAAGTCACTTTAATTATTTATTTGTTCAGTGTTAAAAATATATTTTCATAACCAAACTAATACATCTTAATAATGTTGTAGAAATGGAAGTAAGGTAAAATTTAAGAAACTGGGTTTGTTCTTCTGACTTGCTTATTAATACTGGATAAGTTACTGAAGAGTGGGCTTTGGTTTCCTCGTCTATTTAATAGTGTGGGAACAACCTTATGTTAAAGCAATCTATTCAGTATAACTTTAGCACACAGAAAATAAAATATTATGAATCCAAAGAAAGTGTAGCTTGCAATCATGTATTTTATTAAATGTATTTATCAGCATTTTGGCTTCTGATGGACATGTGTATATACATATTTTGTGGATAAAAAAATTACTTAACTATTTTTATATTAGATACTATCAATTATTCTGGCTGATCTGGGGACTTTTAATGGTAAATTTTATATCAAATCTGACAAAGACAGTATTTCAGACCCGTTTAAGACCTAGAACTCACCATGAGTTCTAAAATTGGTTCTCAGCACCATGGACAGCGTTACTGCAATAGGAAATTAAAGATCGATTTGGCCCCAAATTAAAATGGTGTTGTAAAAAAGTGGGAGAAAAAAAATGCCTATCCTTTTACTTCAAATTTTAAAAAAATGATCCTGGCCTTCACAACTGTTCATAAGAAGAATAATTAATTAAACAAACATATATTGAGAACATCATATGCTCAGTAAAACTTTGATTCTATAAATGGTGTCATTTACCAAATGGATTCTTTTGACAATTTAATTTTCTCTTATCTCTCTAAGAAGATGTAACTACACACTATAGTATACTACTACAATTATCAAATTTCATGTTGCATGTAACTTGTCGTCTGTATTTTTGTAGTTAGATTAGATTAACTAAAGATTTTTCAAGTTTGCCTTTAAGTCATTTAATTTTCCTGCCTTATCTTTAACCTTTCAACATTCCTCCAAACAATAGCAACACAAGTGTTATGTGTTAACTTCTCTAGTGACAAAAACTTATACTTCTCCACAAAGAGATGTGATGTTCATTATCAATAAGCTTGACATCTAAAATTGTTTTATAGGAGATACATATTACTTTTTCAGATGGTATATAAAGTTAAATAAATCTTAAGTTTTCAATGATGGGAAAAGCTTCCATTTAGTTTAAACATAATGTAAAGAAATTTGAATCCCCAAAATAGAATTATAATTCTAAAAATTCATACTATAATTCTTCTTAAATGTTTAAATTACAGTTAATTAAAGTAGTTGATTTCAAATAGAGTGGAATTATGGGCTGTACATCATTTAATTTTATGTGCTGACTGCTACATAGCCAAAGGAACGTGAATTAAGATGGTTCCACTTTTGACCAGGAGATGGAGCTGTCATGTAAGATGCTGCCTTTATTTATTTATTTTTCTAATTTAGCATGCTGTTTTCTAACAGACATTGGGTACCATCGAATGACTGTCAGAACAGAAAGCTAAGGCAAAGGAGGGAGGATGCTGTGGTCATCCTTTCTTGTTTTTTTCTTCTTTAATGAGGATAGAGCACATGTGAGATTTTACTTTCTACTCCAGTAAAAATTCTGAAGAATTGCATTGGAGACTGTTATATTCAACACATACGTGGATTCTGTGTTATGATTTACATTTTTCTTTATTTCAGGTAAGCCAGCATGATTCTATTTTTGACTTATCCACGGATTGTTATCTATGTTAAGAATGACATTTAATATAAGATGTGTGCTTTGTTAGCTTGTATTCAGATCTAAGAGATTCAAAAGCTCTAATTCTAGCTGTTGTGCAATTTAAAATCTTCCTAGGCTGAAATGAGCTCTGACTATGACATACCGTGTTTTATTATTTCTTTGGCTTTCTAGCTGTTGGTCTCTGTCTCTGGCTGTATTTGTTTACCTTTTAAAGGTAAAGCTTTCAAAGTGAAGGATGGGTTTTCCTTTCACAAGGGAAATACTGCTCCTTAATGCAGTGAACAAATTGTAGAGATATAATGAAGCAGATTAACATGGCAGTGGCTCTGCCAAAGCTCAGGGCTGAGCCTTCTGATTGCAGCCTCAGAGGCAAGCCAATATTCTGAGTCCAAAGGCCTTTTGAACGATTTCTGCTGGCTATGATGGTACAGATTGTTTATGTCTTTATTTTTACCTCTTAGAAATAATACGTAAGTCATTTCTCCCACATGAATCAAGATTTATGTAATGTGTTTAATAGACTTGGAATGAGACTATAGACCCTCCCTCCTCCCCCAGTATGGATGTGAGGAGTATGCTGAACACAAATTAATTGCCATGAAAATTGATTTTTTCTGTATTTTATTGGATTTGGGATAATAGAACCGTGGCCATTTTAAATAGTTGATATTATAGAAGGTGCTCACATTTTAAATTATTTTAGGTCATGTGACATTATCTGTGTTAAAGAGTGGAATGACTCAGGAGGTGGAAGTTGCATGCAACAGCCTTGCTTCTCTCTGCTGCTTCTCGTGATTTCCCTTAAATCCTTGCTTGATTATTATTAGAATAACAGGAATAAAGACATATAGAAATCCTATATTTAAAAACCACTGATTTTCATTTAGAGAAATTTAAAGAGATTTTACAAATATTTTAAAAATAGTTTTGTAAGATTGTTTTTAAATGCCTCACTTCTTTCTCCTGTGGAAAGAGCTGTGTGTGTGTGTGTGTGTGTGTGTGTGTGTGTGTGATGGTGGAGGTGGCAGGCGGTGGAGGTGCATCAGGATGTTTTTATCTCAGTCATTGTTTTCCTGTAAAGAGGTAGTTTTGCCATGTCAGAGGTTGTGAAAGCTATGGGGAATGATTTTATAAAATGGTTTGGACAAACCATGAAAAAAACATGTTTTTTAAATGTGTGGAATCTATAGAGTTTGTAGTTCTACATGGCTCCATATACATGGAGATTTTTAGAATTACAGATATTTAACCATTTATCCCCATTATCATTTAAAGAAAAGCAATTGTAATTGAGAGATAAGGTGGATTTCCCAGAGTCACGTACTAAATTACAATAAGGCAAGGCTAGAACAGTGATTGACAGTTCCACATCTTCCATAGCAGTAACACAATTCACCTCTAGTGTGAACATATCAGGATGGCATAGACCAGGTATGATGATATTCACTGTGCGTGTGTGTGTGTGTGTGTGTGTGCATGTGTGTGTGTGTTTGGTTATATTCTGTAAAATAGAGTTTCTTTCAGTATACTGTTGCTCAATGGCATATTATATGCAGTGCTCAATTTTCTTAGGTTTCTTGTCAAAGCATCCAAGAAAACTGAATGACAACTATGGAAACTCTGTTTCTTAGTATGCCTTTTTCATTATTAGGTGGTGTATACTCTTCTACCCTATGCTCATGAATGATGTGGATGGCCACATGGCTTTCCCTCCTACCTAATAGAAAAGATTGTACATATAGGTTAATCTATTGACAACTATAAGAATATCATCTCATGTCCAAGCCTTTCCTCCTTTGTTCACTTACTAGGCACAGGCTTTACCCTACTTCTTCAATATCTTGAGAAAAGAAAGGGATTAAAATGTGTCATGTCTACATATATTTGTGGAATACCACGTACCAACCAAGTGTCCATGGTAGAGATAAAGAAATAATTAGTCAAGGAGTTTACCTCAGGGAGGTTAACATGCAAATATACATGTGCAGATACCACTATATCTCAAAATAAGGAATGAAGAAAGATGAGAAAGTGAATGGGACAGGAATATCAGCACCTATCTTGTGCCAGGCACCATGTTACATCCTGGGATTCAGAACAAAACAATAATGTTAATTTCTGTCCATGGGGGGCTCAGAGGAAAAGATTTTAGGAGGATGTGACAGTTAAATTAGATCTTTAAGAGTGAGTTGGATATAAATAAAGAAAAACAGAAAGTTGCTTATTCCAGGTACATAGGTGAGGCAAGTAAATACAAGAAAATGGAGAACTATAGGCATCGTATAGGGAAACTGTAGAGAAAGGTAAATAACCCAATCTGTTTGAAGCTTTTGTTGTCGGTGTTGTTGTTGCAGTTGTTATTTTTTTTCCCCTGGGGCAGTAAAAGTAAGGATAATGAATTTGGCTTTTGGTGTTATGCATTTGACATACTGACACATACTCATACACTGGGGTGTTTTATAAGGAGCTGAACATGTTATATCCATGTATCAGATTAGTGGTTAAGGCTGAATGTATAGATCTGCATGCAGTTGTGGGACAAAATTAGGTCATACATAATTAAACATTAATGGGGAACAAAAGAGAAGTGAAGATGACTGGGGGCATAATCTTAAGATTAGGAGAGTAAAAAAGTGTAGAAAACTATTATTAAATTGTGTGAAAATAATGTGAGAAGTTGACGGAATAACAATATCATAGGAGGCCAAGCAGGTAAATTGAATATCAAAATAGGGATCAGAAACAATAGAAAACCCATAAAGGGGTTGGTTCATAAGAGGATAGAGTAAAGATGATGGATTTAGTTATCATTATTAGGTCATAAATTAATTTTAAGAGAAGAGGTTTAGTTGAATGGCAGAGACAGGGGCTCTGAGGACTAAATTGGACATGAGAAATCTGGGGAGTATATTTAAGTTTTAAGAAGTTTGCCAGGGAAAGGTAGGAGAGATAACATTTTATACCTGGAGAAAGAAGGTACTGTTGAGGGAAATTTAACTTTAGTGCAGATTAGAAAAACCTAAGCCCTTTGTAGAGTAAGGTATGAAGTCAGTAGAGAGAAAATTGAGGAAAGAAGAAACAAAAGTACACCAAGGTCGTGGAAGAGACAGAAGGAAGGTTTGAAAATGCTTTTCCTTGACACAGGAAGAAAGGGTGGTTGATGATAATGAGCAAAGCTGGTGTAACTCACTTTGGGTGGCCTGTTTTTCGAAATTAAATCCTTGTTTGTAAGATGAAGTATCTCCTCTGATTAAATCAGTTTGTTCCTCAGTAAAGGCTATTGGTGGCATATGGACTTTCTGGAAGAAATAATTAATCCTCAGTAGCAAAACACTTTCCTGCAGAATATATTTTAGTCACATTAATTCTTGAATTGGAGACTAATAACACTGTTTCACATGAAGCTTTTACATACTTCAGTTATCAATTTCTTATTCATAACCACCTATTTAAAAACAGGTTCTATTTAAAACTTGTATTGAATTAGGCCAACACATATCTATTATACATATCTAGTTTGATTACTAAGGGCTGGTTTGCCAGTATCTAAATTAATTATTCAAGTTCTTTCCTTTTTTGAATCCTTCAGTTTCATTAGCACGTTCACCAGGACTTGTGTAGAGAGAGTCAATGTCATGGCCGGGTGCAGTGACTTATGCCTTTACTCCCAGCACTTTGGGAGGCCGAGGTGGGCGGATTGCCTGAGGTCTGGAGTTTGAGACCAGCCTGGACAACATGCTGAAACCCTGTCTCTACTAAAAATAAAAAATTAGCTGGGTGTGGTGGCAGGCACCTGTAGTCCCAGCTACTCGGGAGGCTGAGGCAGGAGAATCGCTTGAACCTGGGAGGCGGAGGTTGCAGTGAGCTGAGATTGCGCCACTGCACTCCAGTGTGGGTGACAAAGTGAGACTCTGTTAAAAAAAAAAAAAAAAAGTCAATGTCAGGAAGCTCCTTTCCCTTAGGGAACTAGCTTCCTTATGAAGCTTCCTACCAGAAGTTCCTTTTTTCTCCATTTCTTCTGGCAGTTACAGAATCCTCTTGGGGCTTTCTTAGAGCCAATCTCCTCTAAGGTGAATGCATTTTCTTGCATTCACCTGTCATGAAATGGCAGTGGAAAGACTTGAAGAAGGCACAGGCGTTGGTGAGTCATATATATATTTTGCTGATAATAATGAATACCATTGGCAATATAATAGTGGCCATTGAAATATTATTTCTATTAGGAAAAGATAACTTGCATCAAGAATATGAGATGAAATTCTATTAAAAAATGAAAAGTAGATGGGCCACCGTGGCTCTTGCTTATAATCCACTTCGGGAGGTCGAGGTAGGCAGATCACCTGAGGTCAGGAGTTCTAGACAAGCCTGGCCAATATGGTGAAAACCTGTCTCTAGTAAAAATACAAAAATTGGCCAGGTGTGGTGGCTGACGCCTGTAATCCCAGCTACTCCAGAGGCCGGGGCAGGAGAATCACTTAAACCCAGGAGGCGGAGGTTGCAGTGGACTGAGATCGTGCCACTGCACTCCAGCTTGGGCGATAGAGGGAAACTCTGAGTCAAAAATAAATAAATAAATAAATAGAAAAGGAAAGGAAAGAAGAAAAATAAAAGCTGACCTCTCTATAACACTCATACGTTAGTGTTATCTCCTCTTTATCCATTTGGGTTTAGTGAAATTGGAGGTCAGTGGAAGGAGAGGTAGAAGTGGATTTTGCAAATCAGAAGTATAATTTTTTTTTCTGGTAATGTTCCATTAAACTTTTCAGTCAAAACCTTTATGTGGAAGAAGACATAATTACTAACTACATTAATAATAATAATGAAAAAATCTTATCATGTAATATCGTTTTGTTTATTAGTGAAACATTTTAGAGAAATGATTTAAGAATCAAAGGTATTTAAGTATATTTTATTTATTGGAATGTGATAAAATATTTTTGAGGGTAAAAAACTATAATTTCAGTTAACTGTTTGTACTTACTAAAATAACATTTAGGGGGATAAAATGATCTTAGGAAGAAATTGCCCACAAAAAGTGTTTTGAATTGTTTAGATTATTTTTATAGTTTTAAGTTGTTAAGTCTTTTGCTGGTATCTAGGATTAGTTGGGAGTATAATATGCTTTGAACATGAACATGTCTTGGTGTTATTAGCAAATAGGTATACAATTATGTGATTGTGTAATTACTCAGCTACATCTTGTGTTGTGTGATATGTATGGGGAAATGACAACAAAATAACAACAGTTCTCTTAAGCATATATGAAGGTAGTGCTTGAAATATCATGAAAAAAAGAAAGGGAGATTATGATAATGTTATGATAAGAGAAGACTGACACTATCCCTCTTCTCTGAATAACTGATATCAAAATGTGAAATTCTAAGGAATGAAGCAAGCTGGTCAGGGCAATGGTGATGCTGTCTCTGTATCAGCCCAGCATTTCCAGCTAGGATATTTTCCTTCTTTTCTGTGTGATACAGTTTGGCTCTGTATCCTCACCCAAATCTCACCTTGAATTGTAGTTCCCATAATCTCCACGTGTTGTGGGAGGGACCCTGTGGGAGATAATTTAATCACGGGGGTGGTTACCCTCCTGCTGTTCTTGTGATAGTGAGTGAGTTCTCACTCGATCTGATGGTTTTATAGGGGTTTTTCTCCCTTTGCTTGACACTTCTCTGTCCTGACACCTTGAGAAGAAGGATGTGTTTGCTTACCCTTCCGCCATGATTGTAAATTTCCTGAGGCCTTCCCAGCCATGCAGCACTGTGAGTCAATTAAACCTCTTTCCTTTATAAATTACCCATTCTTGGGTATTTCTTCACAGCAGCATGAGAACTGACTAACACACTATGTCTCCCCTGGATTGAGCAAATGAGGGAGCCCAGCAATTGTCAGGCAGCTAGGATCTGTGAGGAGTGCTTAGACCTACACTTACTATTTCCTGAATTAACAGTCTAGAAGACAGGAGCCTAGTTATACAGACAGGGTGACCATAAAATGTGTCATCTAAACCAGGATTCAGTTTGTTAATAATTTCTCCACAACGACAGGTATAAATCAAGATGGTTCCAGGTAAACTGGGATGCACAGTCACTCCACTTCTAAGGGTCAAGAAACTTCTACATTTAATCAGTCTATTCAATTAAATTGTTCATGATTTTGTTGCCTAAGTGTTAGAAAGTTAAAATGTGAAATGACCTATCAATTAGACAAAGGGCATTCAGCTAAGCTGCTCCAATTACTGGCCTTGATAAATCCATCAACCGAAATCTCTAATGATTCTTGTTGAATCCTTAGTTATATCACCAGGAATGATGTCACTCCAATAATGTTAAGCCTGACTTCCCAGGGAATTCAACTGTGTGCAAAAAAAAACTGTTAGTAAATTATGCTGTTATTACAAACCTAGACTCACAGCATCATAAATCTATTCAAATATAAAAGCAAAAGCAGGATAAAATATGGATTCAAATTATTTCCACATTTGGGTATGCATCTTTTAAGGAGTTTTCATGAATGTGTAATCCTTAGAAGATAGGAATTTAGCTCCAAGAACACTGGAATTTTCTCCACTGGCACTTTATACCCAAATCTTGGTAATGTCAATATGCATATGTATGGCCTCTTAACAGACTATCCTGTAAAGTAGTTAAATTATTTTCCTCCAATGATCATGTTTTTTTTACCCTTCTTCAGACATCCACTCCCATGGTTTTATCTTGAAACTCTTCATGGCCAGTAACTGTGGCCTGCCCATAATCCTTCCTTCATACATCCTACACCACCTTTCTAGCGCATTTCATCTACAACTCCAATTCATTCCTTTAATCCCACCAGGCCTCTAAATCACTGATCTCGTCATACTTTGATTATCTCTCACTAAATGTCCTCTTTCCTTTCATTAGATAAATTCCACAGTTATTCATAAAAGTCACTCCTTGTATATACATACATACCTCACAAACTCCTCCGCTCAGTGTTTTTTTGTTTGGTTGGTTTTTTGGTAACTGTCTGGCTAAATCTTCATCCTCATATTCAGTTCCCACCTTACTTCCTGCCTGCACTTTTGCAGCTGGACGCATGCAAAAGTGGGTCCTTCATGATGCCCAGCAATCATGCCACATGTCCCTAGATTGATGCCCAGCAACCATGCCACATGTCCCTGGATCACTTACTCTCCCAGGTTCTTGTACTTAGATTTCATACCCTTTCTTTTCTCCTCAAACCACCAATACCTCCTACCTTGACCTCACTCTCAGTTGACAACTTTGTTTCCTAAATCAGTGAGAAAATTGAAACAATCAGGAGAGATTTTTCCCCACAGGTTTCTATCACTGCATGTGCCTTCCTACCAGGTTCTGCACCCACATAACCTGACCTCCCACCCATTACCTTAAATCAACTATCCCTGTTTCTATCTAAAATCATTCCTGCATCTGTGCACTAGATCCTATTCTTTCTTACTTACACAAGGGCATCTCTAGAGCATTTTATTTCTCTGTCTCTCCTGCATTAGTAATTTTAGCTCTTTATTATATTTGCATACAAGCATTTTATTATTGCTCTTGTATTTGAATTTTTTTACTTCCTTCAACTATCTTTTTTTTATTTTTTGTTGTCTTTGCAATAATACTTAATGAAAGTGTTTGCTGTATTCTCTGTATCTATGACTCTCTTTCTATTCTCTTTTAAATTTACGTTAGTCAAGTTTTTACTCTTACCATTTCACCAAATCAGCTCCTGATAGAAATCTGATGACCACCCTATTGCCAAATTCATCAGTCCATCCTCAGCTTTCATCTTACTTGACCATCCAGCAATATTGGAGACAGTTCATTGCTGTCTCCCCCTTGATACACTGCCTTCCGTTGGATTTCAGGATAGCACACAATTTTGACTCTTCTCTTAGCTTATTGTTCACTCCTTCACAGTCACTTTACTCTTTACTCTGCCTTCCCAGACTTCATTATTTGGGTGTCCCTGATTCTGTCCCTGATTTTCTTTTCTTCTTTATCTACTTTCTTTTGATCCCATTGAGTTTTATGGCGTTAAATGCCATATAAATCATGATGACATCCAAATATTTACCTCCAGTTTTCTGCCAAACTGAACTTGTGTGTCTAACTGCTTATTTGGCTTGGATATCTAGAAGACACTGAAAAGTTAACATCCCTAAACTAAATTTCGGATAGTTCTTCCCAACCAACCTGCTCCAATCCTCGCTTTCCCCACCTTACTTTTTTCAGGAGATAACTCTAGTTTTCCTCATCCTCAGGCTAACAACTCTAGTATCATCCTTGATTATTCTTTTTCTCTTATATCTGACATTCAGTCCATGAGAAATTCCTGTTGATTTCAACTTCAGAATATACCCAGGATCTATGTGCTGCCACCTTCACACTGCTACCCTGCTCAAGCCACCATCAAGTTTCTCATGGATTTCTGCCTTAATTTCCTAATTGGACTTTATTCTTCTACTTCTCCTTACAATCTATTCTCAATACGGCAAGACAGAAGTAAGATTACGCCACATCCCTGCTCAAAATTCTGCAAGTGATATCCAGTTTTCTCAGGGTAAAAGGCACCTGACAATTTCCAAAAAGTCTCTATTTAGCCTGGTCTCCATCCCATTACAGTATTTCTCTGAATTTGTCTCCAGTTTTTCTTTCCCTCATTCACTTTCACTATTTCTTGAATATTGCAGGAACACTTCAATCCTTTGGGCTGTTTCCTCTGCCTAGAAACCTTTTGCCTCAGGCACTTGCATGACTAACCTCCTCACCTGTTTAAAATCTGAGCTCAAATGTCGTTTCTAAATAATACCTACTCTTAACTATCCCATTTAAAAATCTCAGCCCCCTTCCTCTAACTTCATTCTTATCGTCTCCCACATTCTTCTATACTTTCTTTTCTTTGTTATCATTTGCTTTGCTTTGTTCTTTTTTTCCTTTTCTTTCCTTTCTTTTATTTCCTTCCCTTCTAACACATCACATTATAGCATACTGTATACATTGCATTTCTCTTGTTGGTAATTTAAGCCCCAAATGGGCAGAGATTATCATCTGTTTGGTGCACTGATGTTTCACAAATGCTTAGAACACTTCCTGATCTATAGAAGAGACTAAAAATGTTTGTAGAATAAAATAATGAATCTTAGAAACTTAAATTTATTCCTTTAAGCATACTAAGGGGCACCATGCTTTCTCTTTCACTTTATTGGGCTGATTCACATTTACAAATGACCCAGTGCAATCTGCCTGATTTTTCATTCAGTATTTACACCAATAGAAATAAAATGCATATTAGTGTTATAAAATCAAACCTTAAATGACAGTAAATGTATCATTAATAGTTACTGAAGACCTTTTCCTGATATATATGACATTTAATGTTTTTCTCTTGTGACTTCATTGTTCTTTGTTTGCTTGTTCATCTTCTAGATTGTGAGCTCCTCAAAGTCAGGAACTTGGTCATCATATCTGTCTCCCAAATACCACACTCAATGTCTGGCACATAAGAAGTTTTACAAATATGCTGTTTTAGTCATAGGATGAGCATACACTTAAAATTTAATACTGGTCCTGCATATGCTGTGTCCTGAGCTTTCGCTATGTAGGTTGCTTTAATTCTTACAACCGTGTGGAGCAAAGCACTGGTCTCATTTTACAGATGTGATAAAGCTAGTTATTTTGTCCAGGACTTAATCATTGCAGTATTCTCACTGTCTAATCTCTAGTGACCATATCACAGGAAGTTAATTATGCTCTTTTTTTAAAGATAAATTGAAATAATGCTAACAATGCCAGATTTCTTGGAAATGTTTTGTTTTTAGTTTCAGTTAGAAGCACGCCTTAGCTTAGTGAATAAGGGACAATGAATGTTATTTATTTTCCTGCTCAATTCAGTTGGGAAAATTGACCTCATCGTTTTGTGTTTTCAATCCCTTAAGTGTAATAAAATTATTTACTACCTTAGTTTATATAAATCACCAAGATCTAATGGAAGCCACCCAGTTAACTCTCCTAAAGAGTCTTCAAGCATGTTTTGTTCTAAATCTCAGCTTAAGTATTTTCCATTGTTTACCACCTAATGTCTATACTACTTGATTTATAGAAAGTCTTATCTAATATAAATATGCTAACTAGCTATGATAAAATTGATCACTTTCCACATAATCATATACTGAAAAAAAATTCCACTGAATATATTTCTGCCCTCCATAGATTCCAGGATTTCAGTGAATTTTTCTTAATAATCTCTGCTTCAGAAATGTATATAAACTTTTGTCCTAATCAAATCTAACTCAAACGTCACTTCCTTTATAATGTTCTCTCTGTTTTCACATGCAGCATATACTTCCATTCTACTCTGCACCTATCTCTACACTTGTAATGTGAAGTAGCCAGATATATGTGGACCTGGGTCATCTGTCATATTTAATTGTGTACTATATAAGGACAGATATTGTTTTGTATGGTTCTATCAAGCTACCCAGTATCTACATATACTGCCCTCCATAGGAGGTAATACATATGCTGAGCTCTACTCATTTAAAACTTCAATCAAGGTACTATTGGAATTTCTTAGTTTTACAACATAACTATGTCCTACTTCAAGTGACCTATTAAAATAGCTCTCAATAGTTTGCTTTAATACAACTGCCTTTAATAGCTTTTAAATTTAGTGTTTGTTTGAGTAGACTTTATGGTGATTTGTAAAATGATATGGATATAGTATATAGAAAATTTTAACAGAAATGTAAATAATAATTATAATTTAGGGAAACGGTGCCCTCTTGCTCTATTTCACACACACACACACACACACACACACACACAGGCACACATATACACACAAAAAAAATCTCTATTTCCAAATCTTGTTCACAAGGAGCTCTCTAACTCCATGAGTAATTTTTACAACCAATAACAGATTAACCAACAATAGTCACACGAACATGTACACACACATATACACAGCCTAACTTCCCCACATCATTATTATCTATCTATCGTCAAGAATGCAGCTTATAAAATACAATGACCTGGCTGCTATAGGAAAGGATAAAATGTAGGTTGCAGTGATCTTCTGACATTGAGATGGCAAGGAATGTGTTTTTTGCAGGAATTTCAAAACCTGAATTGTAGAATGATTTGAGATACTGCCTTAACTACCAACAAATTTGATCCCATGTTCTTCATCATTTTTCTGAGATTCTGGTTTCCCAGATTTCTGACCTTAATTGACTCAACCAAAAAAATCTGCTTATTATTAAAGACCATAAGGAGTAATCAACAGAACAAAATATGATTTAATATAATATTAAATATATTTTACAACTCAAAACATTCTAAAAGATGTGATGGTTTCTGACTATAATTCAGTATATACTATTTTAGTTTTAGTGACAATGTTTCTAACAAATACAGGAAAACGTTTCAGAACCTAGTGTCCTTTACAGCAAGTAGCAAAGATGGACTCAGGAATATGTAAGCAAAATCTAGCCAAACCAAACCAACCAACCAGACAACAACAACAAAGTGTGTTGCTGAGTGGCTCATAGACAAGGACAAGTATTTGTGATGTTCTAATATAATAGGTGGTAAGAACCAATGGAACATCTGTGATTCAAGTGAGAGTCGTGGTGGTAGAAAACAAAACAAAAGAAACGATAATATGTGTAGAAATAATAAAAGAAAAAAGTCAAAGGGTGTATTTTTACAAGTACACGTTCAAATATAGCGTGATGATATTTTATCTCAGGAATTTCATGCAAAGTGCTGCGTATGTTGATATGTTAGGTCTCTTCTGGCCCAGTGACGATTATCTTGTGTGGTTTAAGTTCTCTATGCCATGAGTGAGGTAAGGGCATTTATTCCCCAGATCCTTCCCTGCCAGATTACTGTGGTTGAATGTAAACACCACAACTCCTGCCAAGTGGCCCCTACTCCCTCTGATTCTAATTATTATTTCCTCTTTTTGCCTCCTGCTGCTGCTAGCCTTGGGGTGCACTCTGCTTTGTTTCTTTTCCTTAACCCTAATATACCTTTGTAAATAATCCTTTTTTGTTTTAATCTCTCAATTAAAATCTCCTCTTGGGGTGTGTCATCTGTTTTCTGCTAAGACTTTGATTAATATAATAGCTAACATTTATGAAATATTTACTATAATACAGGCACTGTTGGAATAATTCACATGGATCCAATTTTTTTATCCTCACAACGATCATGTGAATTAGGTACTATTATGACTAAATTTAAAATATAAGGCTACTGAAGAACATAGATTTTAAATACCTTCATGATCATATAGCTAAAAACTAAGACAAAATAAAATCCAGGAGTCTGACTCCAGAGCAGAGCTTAGATGTGAAAGTAATTAATATGCTTTTAAAGAAAATCTTATATTGTTGGTGTCTGTATAAATCCCATAGACAAGATCTAAGTACGAAAAAAAAATAGAAGCAAGTCAGGAAAACTTAGTTCACAGGTAATAAAACTAGACACAGATATCTAAATTTAGAAATATCCCATGCATATATTCTGCATATCTGAATGCATCAAGATATTAATAAGCATCTTAATACTTTGGAAAAAGTATAGAGGGGACTTTCTGTCAACATTTGAAGAAAACATTTAACTAGTATAAATATATCATACAAGTTAACTGAAAAATCTATCTGCTGTCTATCCTCATGTTCAGTTATCAAGTATATATCATTTAAATTTAAGATGAACAAAACACTACTTAAATCCCAAAGACTCATTAAAGTAAAACTAGTAAATGCATTTTATTTATCAATTATTTCCCTGAAAATGCACATTCTTTTTAAATTAATTTTTTATTTAAAAAAGAGCATCATGCCATTAAACAAAAAAAGGAAAATTTTATTTACTGGGAAATTCTTGCTGATTTTTACATGGGATTGTGACAAAAAAAAGGTCAGATTTTTATTTTTATTCACAGTAAGGAGAGATTTTATCTTCAGGGATGATTACAAGGTGGGGAAAGGGCAAGGATCTCAAGAGTTAGGCAAAGATTTCTCTTTTAGAGAGAGGAGTAAACAAGGCTAGAATGAACTGGATGGGGAGAAGAGGGATTTAAGGGTGGTATGATCTGACAGAGAATGTTCCACTCTGAGACCAGCCTGCTACCTTGAGGGACTATGTAAGGGGAGGGGGGGTGTGGCTGCTTCATCTTGAAAGTAAGTCAAAATTCAGGGATTTGGGGAAAGTAGAAAATCTTAACCAAAATTTGGTTAATAGGCATTTTGTTCCCATTGGTCAGTGGGGACGGGCAGTTTAGCTTATCATTTATGAGGTAAAGAATGGGAATTTTGAAGTTCTGTGTTGGGTCTCATCACAGGTGAATGGGGGACATTTGTAAGTTTTGCCTGTGCTATATGGGGAAGGGTCATTCTTTACAGTAATTTCCTAGAACATGAAAGGATAGGGGGGTTCTTATTATTTCATCTACATAAACTGGAACAGAAGATGATTTCACTGGTTTATTAAACTCCTCAGGATCTTCTACCTGCCCTTCTTAACCTTTACATTCCAAATTCACTTCTATCTCCTTTCTAGAGCTGGTAATCTTTCTTCCATGAAGTTTATGAAATTCTTCATGACATGCATAGACTTTGACAGTTCTGTTTCTGATGTGCATAATACCTACCAGATTGATTTGTGATAATATCATTGAGAGGCCACTTATAGCCTATTTATGACTCAGCAAACCATGGTCTTTTACAGCCTCTTTTAAGATGGTTTGGAGAGATAAAGAATAATACTTCATGACATGTAAAAATTATATTAAGTTTGAAGTTTAATGTCCATAAATAAGTTTTATTGGGACACAGCCATGCTTATTTTTATATAAATTTTCCATGACTGTTTTCTTCCTACAAGGTGAGAACTGTATACTTGCAACAGAGACAATATGGCCCACAAAGCCAAAATTATTTACTAAATCATCCCTTGTAGAAACTAAGTTGCAGACTCTGGTCTATATAGTCACATTACACTACAATGATCAAGTATAGATGTTTGACAGTATTTAAGTTTCTGAATGAATGAACCTATATAGAGAAATGTATAGGTATAACTATATTACTGATATATCCTATTAATTTTATTATTTTTCTGTTGAGTTTTTAGCTTTTCTAGGTACATAATTTTGTCTGAAAATAATTAGGACAATTATGTCATGCCTTTCTTTGCTAATATTTCTAAGCAATCATTCCTTTACTTATTTCTAACTAATGTTTACCCCCAGTTATATTGTCAGATTTTCCTGGAAAATATTAATAGTGCAAATTTCCTGCTGTTTCCTAACTTTGACATAAATATTTATAGTGGCTCTTCACTAAATTACATTTACATCAATATCCTTAGTGATATATTGATGTAAATTTGATTTGAGACAGATCAACTTCATAATGTAAGGATATTTCTCTTTATGAAGAGAATTTATTATAATTTATAAATAAATGTGATATCTGTTAGATGACTTTTAAGCATCTAGATGTAGTTCATATTCTGTTTTGGCCCATTAATGTCATGTATTTCATTAATATATTTTTAAGTACTGCACCATTTTTTCATTACTATTTTGGATCTTATTTTGGGGCATTATGTTATTAAGTAGTTGTATGTTTTATTTAAGAAGTTTATAACTGTATTCATTAATGATATTGGCTGTAGATTTCATTTTTGAGGGTGTTCTTTCGGAAAAGTTTACTATCAAATTTATATTTGCTTCAAAAATATTTTTGAGTAATTTTCCTATTTTTCTATCCTTTGAATGTGTTTACAAAATGTGGAAATAAGTTGTTTCTAGATAATATCAATATTTATTTGCTAGAAAATAAAAACTCACCTGTAAACATGTTTTATTGTTATTTTAAAGTGGTTTTGCATATTTCTTTTAACTCATTTCCTTATTAATTTCCTGATCAAGTTTTCACTTCTTACATCATTTTGACAATTTCACTTTCATAGACGTACACATTTTGTAGAAAAATTCAAAGATTTTAACATAGTTAATAATTTTGTTTGCATACTTTTCATCTCTCAAAAGCTAAGAAAAATGAATTCATGTCTTCTACAATTAACAGCTTTGCATAATAACGTACTACTATTAACTTTATGATTTTATGACCAGTATATATTTATTAGAACATTTACAAGTACAAAATTACCTTACTTATCCATTTAAGTTATTTGTGTTGAGATATGTTTTCTCTCTAATAACATTGGAAAACCTAAATTTTTGTTTGTATTTGTTGATATATTTTTGTCCATTTTTTATTTTTAATTTTGGCAATCTGTTCTATGCTTCTTTCAAATAAACATCTGTTCAACTTTTGCTTTGTGATCTAATTTGGTACTTTGTGTTGGTTAATTATAAATTAACCAATTCAAAATTTATTATTTTAAATATCAGATAATATTTGATTTTTCTTCTCATAACTTGTTTTGTGGTTTCTACTTTTCTTATATTTTTCTTGATTTTCCCATAGGGGTATATCAACTGCAGTTTTTCCCATCTTTATTTTTTCTTCTTCTATTTTTTCTAGCTTTTTGGAATGCATGTATTGCCTTATTTCATTCCATTATTTTAAAAGAAACCATCAGCCTCATAAATGAAACTATCTATTAACTACCCTTACATAAGATAAAAATATTGTTTTTTCTTTCCCTTCCAACTATTTTCCAGTTTAAAAAAATGTACATGATTTGGTATTCACGTTAATTTAAAAATGTTCTCCATAAGCGTATTATTTTATAACCTTACTAACCACGATTATTAAAATATGGCTCTATGGTTTAACTCCATATCCTAACAATTATTAAAATATGGCTCTATGGTTTAACTCCATATCCTAACAATTATTAAAATATGGCTCTATGGTTTAACCCCATATCCTAACTAAGGATGTTACCATTATTACCATGTATTACCATTTCTTCTAGCATCTTCTGTAGAGCTGAAGTGTATCTTAGAGTCACCTCTTCATGAAGGAGATATTGATGATATATTTTCTCAGCTGCTGGTAGATGAAAATATTTCTGTAATGCCCTCATGTAATAATGATAATTTCAGTTGATACGCAAATATTTTTCTTAAAAATATATTTTGTTCTTTTATCCTCAGACATCTAATATGCAGAAGATAAGATACAGCCAGATTTTTCTTCCCCGCCCACCCCCCTTGGAAACAAACCATTTTCCCCTACCAGAAACTTGATGGATGTTTTTCTTTATCCTTTGACCTTCTCTAGCTCAACAGGAAATGTTTTCATTTGGGGCTCTTTTCTTTTTTTTTTTTTTTTTTTTGGTGATGGAGTCTCTCGCTCTGTCGCCCAGGCTGGAGTGCAGTGGCGCAGTCTCGGCTCACTACAACCTCCGCCTCCCGGGTTCAAACAATTCTCCTGTTTTAGCCTCCTGAGTAGCTGGGACTACAGGCACCTGCCCCCACGGCCGACTAATTATGTATTTTTAGTAGAGATGGGATTTCACCTTGTTGGTCAGGCTGATCGCAAACTCCTGACCTCAGGTGATCCACCCACCTCGGCCTCCCAAAGTGCTGGGATTACAGGGGTGAGCCACTGCACCTGGCCTATTTTCTTTAATGTAAATACTATTCCATAATCCTGTTTGATTTACAGACTCTTTTTGTTAAAAGATTTCATTTGTTCTTGAGATTAGAATTCGTTGCAACAACTGTGGTAGCCTTAGTTTTTCCTTTTCAATTTACTATCTTTAATGATAGCATCCTCAGGGCTTTTGCACCATGTATATCTTTACATTCTTAATAATTATTTCCATCTAATTAACTTTTTACTCTGAGATATTGGGAAGTTATCACAGACTTCCATTTAACAAACTTAATTTCTGCATTTTCAAATATGCTTATTACTGTTTATACTGAACTTATGAATTTAACTATTTTTACAGGTATCCACGCTATATCCAACTGGACTCCCTTGCTAACTGTCAGCTTTCCTTTCATAATTAAAGTGTCCTCTTTAATCTTAATCAGAGTATATCCTAAAATTAAAATGTTCTCTTCTGCTTCTTATTTTGAACAATGGTATCTTTTCATATGTTTGGCGATTTTTTTTCCTGCTTACTCATCATTACAGAAGATACTCTATGCTGTATAACATTTGTATTTTAGATGATTCTATCAAATATTGCTTATTTCCTGTAAACATCTAAAAGTCTTTTAGGCTGAGGAGAAGCTATAACTTTGTTTTAACAGTTACTAGTTCAACTTGTAACAAAGTTAAAACTTTTTTTTTTAACTTTGCTCATTTAAATATACAGTGGCCTAAGGAAACTAAGAACCAATCACAGCAGAGTTTGTGTAGGTTTGATGGCTAGGACCAACCATGGGAACTGACGCATCATTTCCTGAATTTAGTTGCGTTCAAGGGTAGTGGTATTCCTGTTCTTTGTCTGACATAACTGTCCACACCTAAAAGCTGGGCACAGACTTTCCCATCTGGTGGGAAATATTTCAGAAACATTAGTGACACTTGCAGTGTCCTGCTATTGCTGCAAAACTTGCTCTTCCTTCAGCCCTTGCCATGGAATTCAGGTATAATTGTGGTCTTCTATTGGCACATCCTTTATTTACAGACATACCTCAGAGATATTACGGGTTCAGTTCCACACCACCAGAAAAGCAATTATCACAAAGTGAATCACATGATTTTTTTGACTTCCTAGTCTATAAGAGACTTATTTTTTCACTTTTTAATCATAGCCATTCTGACTGGTGTGTGAGATGGTATCTCATTGTGGTTTTTGTTTCTGTGTTTTGTTGTTGTTGTTTTTGTTGTTGTTGTTCTTGTTGTTGTTGTTTTTGAGACGGAGTCTTGCTCTGTCACCCAGGCTGGAGTGCAGCGGCGCGATCTTGGCTCACTGCAAGCTCCGCCTTCCGGGTTCACGCCATTCTCCTGCCTCAGCCTCCCGAGTAGCTGGGATTACAGGCGCCCCTCACCAGGCCCAGCTAATTTCTATATTTTTATAGAGATGGGTTTTCACCATGCTGGCCAGGGTGGTCTCGAACTCCTGGCTTCAAGTGATCCACCCCCCTCGGCCTTCCAAAGTGCTGGGATAACAGGCGTGAGCCACCACACCCAGCCTCATTGTGGTTTTGATTTGCATTCTCTAATGATCAGTGATGTTGAGTTTTTTCTTCATACGTTTGTCCCATGTATGTCTTCTTGACATGTATGTCACTTGAAAAGTGTCTGCTCACGTCCTTTGCCCACATTTTAATGGTGGTTTTGTTGTTGTTGTTGTTGTTGTTGTTTTTGTTTTTTGTTTTTTGCCTGTAAATTTGTTTAAATTACTGATAGATTCTGGATAGTAGAACTTTGTCAGATGCATAGTTTGCAAATATTTTCTCCCATTCTGTAGGTTGTCAGTTTACTCTGTTGAATTTCTTTTGCTATGCAGAAATTCTTAAATTTAATTACATCCTATTTGTCAATTTTTAGTTTTGTTGCAATCGCTTTGGCATTTTTGTCATGAAACTTTTGCCAGATCCTGTGTCTGGAATGGTATTTATGAGCTTACCTTCTAGGGTTTTTATAGCTTTAGGTTTTAAGTTTAAGTATTTAATCCATCTTGAGTTTATTTTTTGTATGGTATAAGGAAGTGGTCCAGTTTCAATCTTCTGCATATGGCTAGCCAGTTATCCCAGCATTGTTTATTAAACAGGAAGTCCTTTGTCCGTTGCTTGCTGGAGAGATTGCAGAGAAAAGGGATTGCTTATACACTGTTGGTGGGATTGTAAATTAGTTCAGCAATTATGGAAAACAGTGTGGTGATTCCTCAAAGAACTTAAAGAAGAATAACCATTCAACCCAGCAACCCCATAATTGGGTATGTGCCCAAAGAAATATAAATGGTTCTACCATAAAGACACATGCACACCTATGTTCACTGCAGCACTGTTCACAATAGCAAAGACATGGCATCAACCTAAATACTCATCAACAGTGGACTGGATAAAGAAGATGTGATACATATATACCATGGAATACTATGCAGCCATAAAAGATTATAAGATTATGTCCTCTGCAGGGACATGGATGGAGCTGGGGGCTATTATAGTAGGCAAACTAACTGAGGAACATAAAACCCAATACCACATGTTCTAACTTACAAGTGGGAGCTAAACAGTGAGAACTCATGGACACAAAGAGGGGAACAATAGGCACTGGGACCTACTTGAGGGAGGTAGGTGAGAGGAGGAAGAGGATCACAGAAAAGTGCTTATTGGGTACTAAGCTTATTGCCTGGATGGCAAAATAATCTATATCCCTGTTACATGCAGTTTACCTATATAACAAACCTTCACATGTACCTCTGAACCTAAAATAAAATTTAAAAAAAGACCTATGTTTACACTATACTATAGTTTATTAAGTATGTAATAGAATTACATCTGAAAAAGCAATGTACATACCTTAATTTAAAAATATTTTCTTGCTTACAAATGCAAATAATCATCTGAGTCTTCAGCAAGTCATAATCTTTATGTGGGTGGAGGATCTTGTCTGGATGTCAATGGCTGCTGACTGATCAAGGTGGTGGTTGCTAAAGGTTGAGTGGCTGTGGCAACTTCTTAAAATAAGACTACAATGAAGTTTGTTGCATTGATTGACTCATATTTTCATGAAAGATTTCCCTTTGGCATGCAATCCTGTTTGATAGCATTTTACCCACAGTGGAACTCCTTTCAAATTGGAGTCAATCTTCTCAAAACCTGCCACTGCTTTATCAACAAGTTTATGTAATATTCTAAATCCTTTGTTATCATTTCACAATATTCATAGCATCTTCACTGGGAGTAGATTCCATCTCAAGAAACCACTTACTTTGATCATTCATGAGAAGCAATCCCTCATTCATTCAAGTTTTATCATAAGATTACAGCAATTGAGTCACATTTTCAGGCTTCACTTCTATTCTAGTTCTCTTGCTATTTCTACCGCATCTGCAGTTACTTCCTCCACCGAATTCTTGAACCCCTCAAAATCAACCATGACGACTGGAATCAACTTCTTCCAAATTCCTGTTAATGTTGATATTTTGACCTCCTCCTATGAATCATTTATGTTCTTAATGACATTCAGAATGGTGAATTCTTTCCAAAAGTTTTCCAACTTACTTTGCCCAGACCCATTCACGGAATCATTATGTATGGCACCTGTAGCCCTAAAAATGGATTTTTTTTTTTTTTTTTTTTTTTTTGAGACGGAGTCTTGATCTGTCACTCAGGCTGGAGTGCAGTGGCATGATTTCGGCTCAGCTCGCTGCAGGCTCCATCTTCTGGGTTCCCGCCATTCTCCCACCTCAACCTCCCGAGTAGCTGGGACTACAGGCGCCCGCCACCATGCCCGGCTAATTTTTTGTATTTTTAGTAGAGACAAGGTTTCACCGTGTTAGCCGGGATGGTCTCTATCTCCTGACCTCATGATCCGCCTGCCTCGGCCTCCCAAAGTGCTAGGATTATAGGCGTGAGCCACTGCGCCCGGCCAAAATGGATTTCTTAATAAGACTTGCAGATCAAAATGACTCCTTGATCCATGGAGTGCGGGCATGAAAACGTTAATCTCCTTGCAGATCTCCATCAGAGCTCTTGAGTGACTAGGTGCATTGTCAATGAGCAGTAATATTTTGAAAAGAATAGTTTTTTTCTGAGCAGTAAATCTTAACTGTGAGCTTAAAATATTCAGTAAACCATGCTGTAAACAGATGTGCTGTCATTCAGACTTTATTGTTTCATTCACAGAGCATAGGCTGAATACATTTAGCATAATTCTTAAGGGCCCTAGGATTTTTGGAATGGTAAATGAGCACTGGCTTCAACTGAAAGTCACCAGCTGCATACAGTTATCCCTCAGTATGCATGGAGGATTCGTTCCAGGACTCAGATGAATACCAAACTCTGTGCAGTCCCTGATATAAAATGGTGTGGTGGCCAGGCATGGTGGCTCATGCCTGTAATCTCAGCACTTTGGGAGGCTGAGGCGGGTGCATCGCCTGAGGTTAGGAGTTCGAGACCAGTCTGGCCGACATGAAGAAACCCCCCTCTCTACTAAAAATACAAAAAAATGAGTTGGGGGTGGTGGCAGGCACTTGTAATCCCAGCTACTCGGGAGTCTGAGGCAGGAGAATCACTTGAACCCAGGAGGTGGAGGTTGCAGTGAGCTGAGATTGTGCCACTGCACTCCAGCCTGGGTGACAAGAGTGAAACTCCGTCTCAAAAAAAAAAAAAAAAAAAGGTATGTGTGGTATTTGAATATAACCTGGGCACATCCTCCCATATACTTTCAAACATCTCTACATTACTTATGACACCTAATACAATGTAAATGCTATGTAAACAGTTGTCATATTGTAATGTTTAGGGAATAGTGACAAGAAAAAGTTGGCTGTACATGTTGGGTACAGATGCAATTTTTAAAAAATATTTTTGATCCATGGTTGGTTAAACTCACAGATGCAGAATCCACAAATATAGAGAGCCAACTATACTTCTAAATTCCATAATTCTCAATTTTATCTTTTGTAGAAGAACTGGACTAGATTATCTCTAAAGTGTCTTCCACTTCTATATTTCTTCCAGTCCACATTAATAGGATCATTGTTAGGCTGGTATCTGTTTCTAAAGTACTACAGAGTAAATCAACAAGGAAAGCAAGGTTGTCTTCTCATTCAGAAGGCCAGAGGTTGCTAAATACTCCAGTTCTGAATTGTAAGTGAAACAGGGAAGTTATATACTAGGTGATTGGTGTGCTGTTAAATGTTTTAACCTTGGCTTTGCTCTATTAACTTTATCTGTCCTTTTTAAATCACTTTCAGAAATAAAATAAGGTGAATCACCTCAAGTGGGGTACACCAATGAGTTGAGATCAATTTGGGACGTCCTTCATATTGACCTTTGTTGATACAAATTATCTTTGTCACAGAATATTGCTGTGATTCCATTACCTCCTGTTGTACTTGCCTGAGCTTCCCATTGTTTTAGTCACTCTGCATCACTGTGTACGATGTCAATTGTGTTTTAGATGGTTAAAAAAAAGGAAAAGAAACATTTCAGTCATACCAAAGTGTTGATTTGCAATAAAGAGTATAATTTACTGTGGCTCTGGGTATTGATTAATCTATACAATGAAAATGGCTTTTGAGTGCTTTGGTTATCAGTTGAAATTATCTCTATTTTTTAAGCTGATAATTACTGAAAAATGTCACAAGTGGAAAAAAGGGTGCAATACAAACTAGTGTTTTATCCAGATATCTATTCTGCCTGGGAAAGGTAAAAGGATACACATTATGGTTGCAATACGGTCTGGATGTTTCACTTCTGTGTATGTGTATTTCTTGCCCATCTCAAATAATAGGTGGGACTTTTTTTCACTTTTATTTTAAGTGAAGGGGCACATGTGCAGAATGTGCAGGTTTGTTACACAGGTAAACATGTGTGATGAGGGTTTGTTTTACCCATTATTTCTTTTTTAAAAAAATTTCAATAGGTTTTTGGGGAACTGGTGGTGTTTGGTTACATGGATGAGTTCTTTAGTGGTGATTTCTGAGATTCTGGTGCACCCTGACCCAAGCAGTGTACACTGTACCCAATGTGTAGTCTCTTATCTCTCACCCCCTCCCACCATTTCCCCTGAGTCCTCAAAGTCCATTGTATCATTCTTATGCCTTTGCATCCTCATAGCTTAGCTCCCATTTGTGAGTGAGAACTTACGATGTTTGGTTTTCCATTCCTGAGTTACTTCACTTAGAATAATGGTCTCCAATTCCATCAAAATTGCTGAGAAAGCCATTATTTCATTCCTTTTTAAGACAAAGCAGTATTCATATATATTTGTATATGTATAATTATATATGTATATACACATAGAATAATATATATATTAATCAACAAGTGATTAATGGGCGTTTGGGCTGGTGCCATATTTTTGCAATTGTGAATTGTGCTGCTATAAACATGCGTGTGCAATTATCTTTTTCGTATAATGACTTCCTTTCCTCTGGGTAGATACTCAGTAGTGGAATTGCTGGATCAAATGGTAATATCTACTTTTCGTTCTTAAGAACTCTCCACATTGTTTTCAGTAATGGTTGTACTAGTTTATATTCCCACCAACAGTGTAAAAGTGTTCCCTTTTTACCACATCCATGCCAATATCTATTATTTTTTGATTGTATCAATTGTTGCAGGAGTAAGGTGATATCTCATTGTGGTTTTGATTTGCATTTCCCTGATAATTAGTGATGTTGAGCATTTTTTCATATGTTTGTTGCCCATTTATATATCTTCTTTTGAGAATTGTCTATTCACGTCCTTAGCCCACTTTTGATGAGATTGTTTGTTTTTTTCTGGCTGATTTGTTTGAGTTCATTGTAGACTCTGGATATTAGTCTTTTGTCAGATGTATAGATTGTGAATATTTTATCCCACTCTGTGGGTTGTCTGTTTACTCTGCCAAGTATTTATTTTGCTGGTCAGAAGCTTTTTAGTTTAATAAGTCTCATCTATTTATTGTTGTTTTTGTTGCACTTGCTTTTGGGTTTTGAAGTCTTTGCCCAAGCCAATGTCTAGAAGGGTTTTTCTGATGTTCTAGAAGTTTTATGGCTTCAGGTCTTAATTTAAGTTCTTGATCCCTCTTGAATTGAGTTTTGTATAAGGTGAAATATGAGGATCCAGTTTCATTCTCCTACATGTGGTTTGCCAATTATCCCAGCACCATTTATTGAATAGGGAGTCTTTTCCCTACTTTATTTTTTTGTTTGCTTTGTCAAAGCTGTAAACATTGGGCTTTATTTCTGAATCCTGTATTCTGTCCCATTGGTCTATATGCTGACTTTTATGCCAGTACCTGCTGTTTTGGTGACTATAGCCCTATAGTTTGAATTCAGGTAATGTGATGCCTCCAAATTTGTTCTTTCTGTTTAGTCTTGCTCTGACTATGCGGGCTCTTTTTATTTTCATATGAATTTTAAGATTATTTTTTCTAGTTCTATGAAGAATAATGGTGGTATTTTTATGGGAATTTGTTGTGTTTCCATTTGTTTGTGTTGTCTATGATTTCTTTCAGCAGTGTTTGTAGTTTTCCTTGTAGAAGTCTTTAATCTCCTTCGTTAAGTATATTCCTAAGTATTCTATTTTTTTTTTTTGCAGCTATTGTAAAAGGGGTTGAGTTCTTGATTTGATTCTCAGCTTGGCCACTGTTGGTAGTATAGCAGAGCTACTGAGTTGGGTACATTAACTTTGTATCAAAACTTTGCTGAATTCGTTTACCAGTTGCAGGAGCTTTTTGAATAAGTGTTTAGTGTTTCCCAGGTATACAATTATGTCCTCAGCAAACAGTGACAGTTTGACCTCCTCTTTACCAATTTAGATGTCCTTTATTCCTTTCTCTTGTCTGATTCATCTGGCTAAAACTTCCAATACTATGTTGAATAGAAGTGGTGAAAGTGGGCAAAATCCTGCACTAACCAAATCCCACAGCATATCAAAAAGATAATCCACTATGATCAAGTGGGTTTTGTACCAGGGATGCAGGGATGGTTAAACATCCACAAGTCAATAAATGTGATACACTGCATAAACAGAATTTTAAAAAATCACATGATCATCTAAATAGATCCAGAAGAAACATTTGACAAAATCCAACATCACTTTATGATTATAACCCTCAACAAAATCAGCATAGAAGGGACATACCTTAAGGTAATAAAAAGCCATCTATGACAGACCCACAGACGACATCATAGTGAATGGAGAAAAGTTGAAAGCATTCCCCCTGAGAACTGTTGTACAGATGATTTCATCACCTAGGTATTAAACCTAGTATCCATTCGTTATTTTTCCTGACCCTCTCCTCCTCCCACCTTGTCACACACCCTCTGATAGGCCCCAGTGTGTGTTGGTTTCCTTTATATGTTCATGTGTTCTCATCATTTAGCTCCTACTTATGCCTGCAAACATGTCATATTTGGTTTTCTGTTCCTGTGTTACTTTGCTGAGGATAATGGCCTCGTGCTCCAACCATGTCCTTGAAGAGGACATGATCTCATTCTTTTTTTTGTGGCTGCATAATATTCTGTGTTGTATATGTACCACATTTTATTTATCCACTCTATCACTGATGGGCATTTAGGTTGATTCCATGTCTTTGCCATTGTGAGTAGTGCAGTAATGAACATATGCATGCATGTGTCTTTATAATAGCGTGATTTATATTCCTTTGGGTATATACCTGGTAAAGGGATTGCTGGATCAAATGGCATTTCAGTCTTTAGTTGTTTGAGGAATCACCACAATGTCTTCCACAATGATTGAACTAAGTTACGCTCCCACCAACAGTGTATAAGTAAGTGTTCCTTTTTCTCCACAATCTCTGCAGTATCTGTTATTTTTTTACCTTTTAATAATAGCTATTCTGACTGGTGTGAGATGGTATCTCTTTGTGGTTTTGATTTGCATTTCTCTAATGATAAGTGATGTAGAGTTTTTTTATATGCTTTGTTGGCCACAACATATATATTGTTGGCCACATGCATTTCTTCTTTTGAGAAGTGTCTGTTCATGTCCATTGGCCACTTTTTAATGGGGTTGTTTGTTTGTTTTTTTTTCTTGTAAATTTGTTTAAGTTCCTTATAGATGCTGGATATTAGACCTTTGTCAGATGCATAGTTGGCAAGTATTTTCTCCTATTCTCTAGGTTATGTGTTTACTCTGTTGATCTATATATATATATATATATATATATATATATATATATATATATATTGCTGTGCAGAAGCTCTTTAGTTTAATTAGATCATAATCTTTTATCGTATCCCTTAACTCAAAAAAATATTGAACATTAAAATATTGGTAGCTTTTTTCCCACTATCAACCTCCATAGTAAAACTATAGTTAGGCTTTCCTTCAAATGAAAATCCATTCATTTTTTATACTGTTTGCCTGAAACAACACAGTATTCTTTCTTAATAGTATTTTCATGTTGAGCTAAACAAACAACATTTAAATAAGGAAAAAATATTATTATTTCTTTTTTATTATACTTTTTTTCCTTCTTCTTTCTTTCTTTCTTCTTTTTTTTCTCTTAATATATGGGGTCTAACTCTATCACCCAGGCTGGAGTCTAGTGGTGCAATCATAGCTCATTGCAGTCTTGAAATCCTGAGCTCAAGTGATCCTCCCTGCTCAGCCTCTGAGTAGCTGGGACCATAGGTATGTGCCACCATGCCTGGCTCTTTATTACATTTCTGTTATAATATTTTCTCTATTATATTTCATTTTAGTTACTAAAGAATATGATTTTGAACTTTTTTGGAAAGATCATCATTTTACTCTTTGTTGTAGAAGAAAATCTATGATGGTCTAATGAACTACGGAAATATTAACATAATTTTAAGAATAATACATATATTTGTATTACCAAAGGCTATGCTTATTAGTCATTCAAACTTCAACTAATTTTTTCTTTCATGAAATACTCAGAAGTATCTATTCACCACCACCAACACTCCCTCCATCATTTAATTTCAAGCAGACTTGGGTTTATTCCTGGAAATGATTTTTTACTAGTGTTCTTAATTTTAGTCTTCTTCTTTCTCCAATATCTTAAGGCAGAATAATTTTTCTTAAATGCAACTTTCATTCTTTCTCCATAAATTTGAGGTATCTTCACATGAAATTGAGCTTCAAAGAAGATGAAGATGAGTAAGGGCCGGGAAAGCCAGGGAAGGTTTCTGTTTCCTGTGTATCAAGTTTCCCAAACAAGAATCTTGGAGTCCTCTTCAGCTTCTGCAACTCCTTCTCGATCAACATGCAGTCAAACTTCAAATTGTATTGACGGAAACTCAGAACTGCTTAGATCATTTTCTTACTCTCATTATTTCTGCGTGGATTTAGACATTCATTGTCTTTTGCCTGGGCTCTTGCAATAGGCTTTTATCTTATATCCTACCGTAAAAGGTTTCAGATGCTACACATCCTCCATACTACCAAAGTAATAGGTAAAAAATAAATCTGATTGTGTCTGTACAAAAAAACCTGTTAGAACTAATAAATAAATTCAGTAAAATTGCAGGATACAAAGTCAACATACAAAAATCAGTAGTGTTTCTAAACACTAAGAATCAACTATTTGCAAGAGAAGTCAAGACAACAATATCATTTTAAAGCATCAAAAATATTGAGGAATAAACTTAATGAGGTGAAATATCTGTACACCAAAAACTATAAAACATGGATTAAAGAAATTAAATAAGACACACATAAAAAGAAAGATATCCCGTGTTAACGAGTGGAAAGAATTAATGTTCTTAAAATACCCAGAGTACTTAAAGTGATCTGTGGATTCAATGAAATCCGTATAAAAATTCCAATGACATAATAGATATTTTTTAAATCTTAAAATTCATATGGAATCACAAGTTACCCCAAACAGTCAAAGCAATCTTAAGTAAAAATAATGAAACTTGGTTGCATCACACTGCCTGATCTCAAAATACATTACAAAGTTGTAGTGATCAAAACAGCTTGGTACTGGCATAAAAATCAGCACACAAATGGAACAGAACCAAAAGCCCAGAAATAAATCCATGCACTTATGGTCAATAAATCTTTGACAAAAGTACCAAGAACACAAAATGGGAAACGAACAGTCTCTTCAGTAAATGATGTTGGAAAAACTTGGTATCCACATGCAGAAGAATGAAATTGGACCCTTATCTCACACTATATACAAAAATCAACTCAAAATGGATTAACAACTTACAGAACACCTAAAACTGTAAAAGTACTAGAAGAAAATATAGGGGAAAACTCTATGACATTGATCTGGGCAATGATTTTTTGAATCTGACCCCAAAATCACAGACCAAAACAAAAGAAATAATCAACAGAATGAAAAGACAACCTACAGAATGGAAGAAAATATTTGCAAACCATATGTTCAATAAGGGGTTAATGTCTAAAATATGTAAGAAACTCCAACAACTCAATAGCAAATAATAATAATAATAATAACCTGATTACAAAATGGGCAAAGGACCTAAATGGACATTTCTCAAAAGAAGGCATACAAATGGCCAACAAGTGTATGATAAAATTCCCAATATCACTAATCATCAGGAAAACACAAATTAAAACTACAGTGAAATAGCACCTCACATTCATTAAAAATGGCTACTATCAAAAGAACAAAAGATAAGCGTTGGTAAGGATGTGGAGAAAACAAAAGTGTTGTACACTGTTGGTGGGATTGTAAATTAGCCATCATAGAAAACAATATGTAAATTCCTCAAAAAAGTAAATACAGAACTATTGTATGATCCAGTAATTCTACTTCTGGGTATATACCTAGACATTCAAAGAAGAATTGGTACCAACCCTACTGCAACTATTTCACAAGATAGAGAAAGAAGGAATCCACCCTAAATCATTCTATTAAGTCAGTATCACCCAAATACCAAAATCAGGAAAGGACACAAGAAAAAAGAAAACTGCAGACTAATGTTCCTGATGAACATAGATGCAAAAATTCTCAACAAAATTCTAGCTAAGCAAATCCAAGGGCATATAAAAAAGATAATACATCATGATCAAGTGGGTTTCATACCCGGGATGCAGGGATGGTTTAACATATGTAACTCAATAAATGGGATACATCACATAAACAATTAAAAATAAAAATCATATGATCGTCTTAATAGACACAGAAAAAATGTTTGATAAAATACAGTATCCCTTTATGGTAAAAAATCCTCAACAAAATTGGCATAGGAGAAACATACCTCAAAGTAATAAAAGCCATCTGTGACAAACCCAGAACCAATATCATACTGAATGGGGAAAAGTTGAAAGCATTCCCCCTGAGAACTGGAACAAGACAAGGTGACAAAATTAGTGTGATAAAGAGATATTTACACTGTCGTGTTTATTGCAGCATTATTTCCAATAGACAGGATACGGAATCAACCTAAGTCTTATCTGTAGATGAGGAACGGATAAAGAATTGCACACACACACACACGCACACACACACACACAATGAAATACTCTTCAGCCTTAACAAAGAAGGAAATTCTGTCACTTGTGACAACATGAATGAACCTGGAGGACATTAGGTTGAGTAAAATAAGCCAAGCACAGAATGACAAATATTGCATGATGTAACTTAGGTATGGAATCTAAAAATGTCAAACTCACAGAAACAGAAAGTAGAATGGTGGTTACCAGGGGCTACTGGGTAGGGCTGTAGGGGTGGAGGAATGGAAAATGTTGGTCAAAGGGTACAAAAGTTCAGTTAAACAGGAGGAATAAGTTCTGGATATCTATTGTACTATGTAATGACTGTAGTTAATAATACTGTGTTGCATATTCAAAAATTGCTATGTGTCGATTTTAAATGTTCTCACCACCAAAATATAAATATCTGAGGTGAAGGAGATATTAATTAGTTTGATTTAATCATTTCACAATGCAAATATTAAGTTGCACACTGTAAATATATACAATTTTTAATTGTCAATTAAATATAATTGAAAAATAGAACATAATAAAATATTGGATTATTAACTCTATCAGGAAATGAAGCTTTGAGTAACATTTTACTGTTTATATTTATGGTTTTAGCCACCAAGCAAACATGGTGGTCAAGAACTTGGACTCACATTCAGGTTGCCATAGTCCAAATTCAGGCTTCCCTACTCACTAATGTGTTCTTAAGCAAGAAATAAACTTATTTTGGCTTCCTTTGGTAAAATGGGATTAATAATTGTTCCTATCCTACATTTTATTGTGAAGATTGAATTAATGAAATATACACGTAAAACACTTAAGACAATTCCTGGCCTTAGTAAGATTTCAACAAAAATGGTCATTATTATGATGCTTTATTCTGTTACATTTATGGATTATTAGACAGATAAAATTGGACCTCATATGTGACCATTCTATTTTCCTTTATTCAAATGGAAAAAGAATGTCAATTCAACATAGGGAAATACTATATATGTATAAATTATTACTTAAATTTATGTTTTTACTTAAATATATGTTTATTAAAATCAAGTGTTTAAATTTATATATTAACTTTTACATTTATAACATCTTATTTCTTCTGAAAACAACCAACACAACCCATTTCTTATCAGTGATAATTCAAATGGCCTCTTTATTCTTTCCTGAATTTTTCAATCCCAATTCTTCTCTTCTGTTCTTTTTCAGCAGCATCTTGCACAGGGCTTTATGGAAAAGACTGAGGTGCTGTGGTGAATTTAATCTCCTCTGTTGTTTACTTTAATCTCTTCATCCAGTTACTCTGACTTTTCTCCATGCTTAATGTTATCCCTCTTGATTTCACAGCTTAACAATTTCTTCTTTGTTCTTGACCCCATCCTAGCCTTCTTATTTCAAAAGTCCCCTCAAGCAAGTTTCTTTTCACATTCTTAATTTCTTATTCTTAATAACTCCTTTTTTATGCCTTCAAGCAAGTATGGCTCTCTCTCATACTGAAAATGTGCTCTTCCGTTCTATTTTGCTACTGTTTTTATTCACTTAACAGTAAATTTCAAACAAGTTTTGTGCACCTAATTCTTTCATTTCTTTACAACCCACCCATTGCTTATCCACTCTTACAGCTGTACTAGAATTGTAATTTAAATATGTATCATATCAGTTTTTTTGTAACATTGATAATTTATAATATTTAACATATTTTGTAATAGAGTTTTCTTCTTAATATTTTACTTTCCTTTTAAAAAGCCTCAGCAAGTTGCCATTGACTTTCGGCATTGTATTTGATACCTCTGGACTCTGGCTACTATCGCCCTTTCTGTATAAAATCTGTAACTTGACCAAGGCAAGAACCTCCACCCCAGGCCAACTAATTTTCTCATCTGCTATTGTCCCAACCTGCTTTGGTTTCTCCTATAGGTCAGAGTCAGGTCCTGCTTGGGTTTGGGCCTTTGCTCATAATTTTCCCTTGCAATTGAAATATTCTCTCACTCCAGGCCAGCCTTTAAAGCCTAACGTAAGTACCACCACATCCACGAAGCCTCTGCACATCAACTTCAGATCTCAATGCTGTTAACCTTTTATAAACAAAAAGCAATATAGAATAAATCCTTTTTGGGAGCAGGAGTCAAAATGCTAGTTGCAGTCTTGCATCTGTCACTTATTTGCTTGGCCAGTGACGTAGCCTTATTAAAAACTCAATTTCTTTATCCAAAAGATGAGGATGTTTATACCTCCCTGATCTACCTTCTAAGATTGTTGTACATGATAAGTAAAATACTGTGCATAAAAACATTTGTAAAAATTTTAAAAATCTGTTCAAGCTTGTCATTGTTACCACAGATAAATCGGGTACTACCTTGCTGTCTTGGATTGCTTTTGTATGTTGTTCTCTTATGTTGTTACTGGACTCGGTGTTATTACTTAAATTTCTCTGTATTTATTTTGACAACTTAATTAGGTTTTGAATTCTTTGGAAGCGGAGAGTATGAATGGTATTATGAGCAAAGACCCAGAAGGAGCCACCTCCTAATTATTTTGGAGAGAATTATCTAAGAGGCCTAATTGGACTTGTGCTTCCCATTAAAGTATGATTCATATCAGAGAAGCTTACAGTCTTATTGCTGGCCACATGGAGATAGTACATAGGAGATACTCGATGGGAATTCTGTCAACTGAAAGAGAGTCAGCAAGACAGTGTAAACATGGTTAGCGTGTCTCAGCTTACCCAGCCTGGCTTGGTGTAACCAATATAGACTATGGAAAATAGGAAGTAGACAAAAGGTAGTGGAGATTGGGCTCATGCCATTTTCTTTAATTGAAATACAATTTCCATAAAATAAAATACAGATATTTTTAAGTGCATATTACTTTGAGTTTTGACAAATGTATTCCCCTGTCTGGCAACTGCTCCAATTAAGATGTAGAATATTTCTATCACCCCAGTACCCTTTTCCTGTCAATCCCTCCTTCTCCCAGAGACAATCACTGTTCCAATTTCTATCACTATAGCTTAGTTTTACCAGTTCAAAAACTTCACATAAGTAGAATCATAAAGCATGTTACTTTTTTTCCTGGCTTTTGTCACTTAACAGTTTTTTTTTTTAGATTTAACCATTTTGTTGCATATGTAAGTATATCATAACTTTTTGTTGTTGAGTAGCACTCTCCTATATAAGTATGTTATAATAATGTTTCATTTACCTATTGATGAGCATTTGAGTTGTTCCTAAGTTTTAACTAGTATAAAAAAGTTTACTATGAACATTCTTGCATAGGTCTTTTTGTGGGTGTATATTTTCACTACTCTTAAGATTGTCAGACTGGATAAAGAGCAAAGTTCAGTGGTATGCTGTTTTCAACACATATTTTAAATATAACACAGACAGGTTGAAAGTAAAAAAATCAGTAAAAGATACAGCATGAAAACACTAAGCAAAAGAAAGCTGATATGGCTATATGAATATCAAAAAAGTAGATTTTAAGACAAAGGATACTAACACAGATAAAAATGGTCATTTTATTGGGGAAAAAAAGGCCAATTTGTAACAAGGCATGACAATCTTAAAAGGGTATAACAAAGTAGAATTTCAAAATCCAAGAAGAAAAAAATGGCAGAATAAAGTAAAAAGCAGAGAAATCCACAATAATTGTTAGAGATTTTATCAATTTTATCCCAGTAGTTGCTAGAACAAGAAGACAAAAAATCAATGATATAGACAACTTGAATAACATTATCAGGGATCAAACCTGCAGACCTAACTGACATTTATAGAATATTATACCCAACAACTTCAGAATATACATTCTTTTCAAATACACATGGAACATTCCACAGGTGGTGTTATGCTAGGCCATAAAATTAGTGACACTTCATTTCAAAGAGTATTTGACTACAATGGAATTAAATTAGAAATCAATTACAATTAGATATATAGAAAAGGCCCCTTTTTACAAAATTAAGCAACAGACTTCTAAATAATCAATCCATGGATCAAAGAGGGAAATCACACACACACACACACACACACACACACACACACACACACAAATACAGTGCGCTATACGGAGTGATAATTAGAATACAACATGTTAGGAATCTCTGTGTTCATGCCTTTAACCATTTCATATTATTTCATAATAATCAAGAACTTATTAATCAAATTAGCATTTAATTATCTTCAGATGAAATGAGAAAGAGGGTGGGCAAAATGTAGACTGAAGGCTGAGAATTATAGGAATTATGGTCACAATCAGCCAGTGTTTTAACTCTACTGCAATTGTAACAAAGTCATTGGATCTTGGTTCAACCAATGGGAATAGATCCTTTCAAAATGCCAATAAATAAAATGCTAAATAAACATTTTGGCAATTTTCTCTTGATAAATCTCTTATAGCAATGTGCATAATGCTTCCATTTTCATCCAATGAAGTACTAGTGAAAATAGTCTAGATAGTGTTAATATTGATAGAAATTATAACTAAGGAATAAGTTAGATGGTGATTAAAGAGTTGAATAAGCACTCAAAGAAAGTTGTGAAATCTCTGTTCTGAGATATGTGACAAAACCATCTGTCTCTGATTTTAGTTTAATCCTTAATGAATATAAGAAGCCTGACTAAATGATCTCTTGGGAGGCCCCCTTCCAAACACAAAACCCATTATTTTAATTTGCATTGGTTATAGTGCCAACACAAAGAAAAAACACACTCAAGATCTTTTTTATAAAGTAGGGATTTAATTCTAAATCTTAGTCATATCTTACAATTTATAAATTCTTTAATGTTGAAAAATATTTTCTTTGTAGAACTAAAACCATTCTCTCTCTCTCCCTCCCTCCCTCTCTCTCTTTCTCTCTGTCTGTTTGAGAACCCAAAATAAAATGTAGTTTATAATTTGTGATTATGATTTGAACTTTTCAAAAAATGTATGAGTCATTTCTTGCCCTTTGATAATTTCCAAATGATGATGCTTTGCTTTTGCTTTTAGAGATCAGTCTTTGCTTTTAATTATTTCCATATATTTTGGTTGGGAGTGAGAAAAATAAACGGAAAATGTCACTCATGAGTGTCAGCCTGGTAATGAATATATAGAATGCAAATGGTCACTTTACTGGGGGAGACGGTAAGTTTTTCTGAGCCTTTTGCCCTTTTATCTTCTCCAGCCTGCTGTTTTTTCTGTTTTCATTTGTAGATTAAACTGGTGCAGCAATATGGTGGGGTAGAAATCACATGAATCTGACATATGTGGGCTCCTGTATCTGTGCACATGGATAGAGATGCTGGTCAAAATCCAACCATCTTATGAGTTCCAGACATACTTTTAAAATTCACATGCATGAAGCTATACAAAATATTTTAAAATACAGAATCCAAAATAAAATTTCTTTTTGTATAAAATACTCCTTCTCAATTCATTCCTGTAGGCAAAACTTGATATTTAATAATATTAAGAAAAAGAAGAAAATGAATTCGAAATATTTTATTGCTTTACAACACAAAAAAAATGGTTTACTTACTCCCAATAATCTGAATTTATTCCAATAGTATATTTATGGATTTAACCAGGAGAGGGATTATCCTTATTCTAAGTAGGGGAGAAAAAATTAAAAAAAAAAAAAAAGAAAGGAAGGAAAAACTCCAGTGGTCAAGAGATTGAGTGAACCGAGGAACAGAGTGGTTATTTGTTCTCTGTAATGTATTAGGAATGACTGGAAGTAATGGAATATGCTAGTGAATATAGCTACCCCTATATTGAATAGAAAAATACATTACCAAAACACTTTTCACACACGAAAACAAAAGAACATTTTGTACAAATACCTGATGTGTAGCTATATCATTTAGTTGCTACTATTGCCTAGTTTAAAAATTGTACCCTGGTTAAAAACAGAATCCCTTTTCTAATCTTTTAAGATTTCAACAAATATTTCCAGGCATTAAGGACAGGCAGTATTTTGCCTTGTCCACTTCTCTGACGTCTAGCTGTTTCTAGTTGCTAAATTTGGCTGCTGTACTTTTCATATCCGTAAAGCTGTTCTTGGGTCCACCCTGCAGGCAGCCATCCAGGTTTGGATTTTTCCGGGCAGCCCGGGCTTGGCTATCCTGCTTTCATCATCCTCCTTCTGTTCTCAAGCCAAGGACATAGAATGGCAGAGAGCTCCCCTTTATTTCTGGTATGATTGTTGCTTCTCCGGGTCTGGCTTGGGCTCTGATCTTGACATTTATGTCACAGGTGTCACTGGTGAAACTGCTGTGAAACCAGATGGCAGGCCTAACTGAGGTTGGCAGCAACTGCTGTTGTCCCCAGTGTCACTGCTACCTGCTCTACTTTCTTATTCCTGTTGATGTTCTACTGCCTTGTTTTATTGCATTCGTTCAATGTTACCTTCCAACAGGCCTTTTCAAATGTGAACACCATTCCATAACTCTTCTGATGCATTAATTCCCCATGGAACCCATTCATCTAGGGAGGCTCATGACTTGGCTAGATTCTCCACTTTCCTTCAGGGCTTTTGTTAAACCTCATTTCTTCAGCAAGCCTCTCCATGACCACCCTATCTAAAATTGCAATACATCCTTCTCCTCCCCAACCCTGATTATTTTTTCTCTCTTTTTCATAAATTTTCTTTCCCTGGAGCAATTTGTACCACATGTCAGAATCTATATTTGCCTTACTTGGGCATTATCTGTATCCCTCCACTGGGTTACCTAGAATATAAGCTCCACAAGGGCAAGGTTTTGTCTGTTTGGTTCATTACTGTATCCCAAGCATCTGGAAGAAGACTGGCCCTTAGTAGACATTTCAAAATTTTTGTTAAATGATTAGCTGGATTGTAAATACTGAAAGATTAGGTTTATTGTTTTTGATTTGGTTTCATTCATTGTGCTTAGTACAGTGCTATATGTAAGAGCTTGAAAGACAGAGAAAAGAGCATTAGTAGTATCTGTTATGTATACTGGATGTTTTACTTGAGTTATACCCTTTTTTTTTTCCAAGACAGAGTCTTGCTCTGTTGCCCAGGCTGGAGTGCAGTGGTGTGATCTCGGCTCACTGCAACCTCCGCCTCCTGGGTTGAAGCAATTCTCCTGCGTCAGCCTCCCAAGTAGCTGGGATTACAGGCACCCGCCACCACGCCTGGCTAATTTTTATATTTTTAGTAGAGACAGGTTTTCACCATGTTGGCCAGGCTGGTCTTGAACTCCTAACCTCATAATCTGCCCTCCTCGGCCTCCCAAAGTGCTGGGATGGCAGGCATGAGCCACTGCACTCAGCCAAGTTATACTCTTTAATCCTCACAATAATCTAGGTATTTTGACCAAAGAACCACAGCTAGAAAGTAGGAGAGTAAGATGTAAACCAGTTTTGTCTGGCTCTAAAATTACTGCCTTTTTTTGTTTGTTTGTTTTGCTCAGAAGAATTGGTCATGCCAAATAGTAATAAGAGTTCTTCAAAATGAATGATATTTCATAATAAGGTGTAGCTAGAAACAGTTTGCCAAAAATACTTAGGAAAAAAAAAAGATTTGTGAATTAGCTCCCTAAAAATACAAACGCAACAATTCCAAAAGAAGGAATTCCAAAGTTATTGGGCCATAGTACTTTTGTGTTAAGTGCCTGGCCCTCCAAGGTAACTAATTTTAATTTAAAAAAAATGTCTGGACACATATTTTGACATGTTTTGCTGAAAATATATTTATAATATGAGCCCAACAAAGACAAATAGATTCATTCTTGGTGCTAAAAAATGACAAGAAAACTTCTACGCCATTGCTCTCGAATGCTTTCTTCATTGTAGTCCAAGAAAATTTGATTAGTTGTATTTTAAAAGTAAGCCAGATTTCACTGGTAAGGTCTTTCCTTACTTCATCTTCTCCCTTGACACCTTTTGATTTGGTTGTACAAATGCAGGTTAGGCCCCATTATTAATTCAGTACCACATATTTATGAAGACCCCACATGATGCAATCAGCACTAGAGACTGGAAGTTTTTCATCAAGCCCAGTAAGCCCACAGTAAAAAGGAATCAGTCTCAATCACTCATCAGGAAGCTAACATGTTCTGTGACCACCTTCTGGATGTTGAGTTATCTCTAATCCAGAGTTTATGTCAATGATCTTAAAAATTAGTTCAATTCTGGATGGGCGCGGTGGCTCATGCCTATAATCCCAGTACTTTGGAAGGCTGAGGTGGGCGGATCACGAGGTCAGGAGATGGAGACCATCCTGGCTAACATGGTGAAACCCCATCTCTACTAAAAATACAAAAAATTAGACAGGTGTCGACAGAGCAAGACTCCGTCTCAAAAAAAAAATTAGTTTAATTTTGTCTTCATTTTTTCTTACTTAGTAAAAGATAATGTAATGCCTGGTGTTTTTTTAAGGCAATCATAGAATCTGGAGGTTGAAAATATTTGGGGAATTATACATTCTAATTATTCAGACAGGCATCCTTACTGCAGTATCTGCTAGTAATTGAGGATTATTTCATATTTAAAAATACTCATATTTTTATGCAAATCTCAGAATTTGAACATTGTTACTTATAATTGTTAAAAAGTAAATTGAGAAACAATAAAATGTTAAAGAGCTTATTTGAGCAAATGGTAATTCTTGAATCAGCTCCAAACCAAAAGTGGTTCTGAGGCCACTTGAGAGAACTCAAAGAGAAAGCTTTTATAGGGAGAATGTAGAAATAAAGCAAAGGAAATATTTAATTGGTTGCAATTATATAGTTGCCTTATTTGGTCTATCTTGCTGAAAAGTTCCTACTTGTATTACTACATGAGTTGGCAGCTTCTGATTGGTTAGCCTTAAGTTTCATTTCTCTTTAGGCATTTATAAGAAATAGTTCAAGTTGAGTTTTGCATATGTTTGCAAATCAAGCAAAGTTTAGGTTACTTCTGAGGGCCACTTGGATTTGTCTGCTCAGAACTTCTTCAAGCCTGGTCTGTTTTAATTTACTTCAACATATTTTATCAACATTTTGCTTTCTATAACATTCATAGTAACCTTAGATCTGCCCTCTAGAATCGACAGAGGCTATTTCACCCCCAGCCTCTTTTCAACATGAGAGTTTGCTCAATGCTGCTTCTATTTGAAATCTTCTGTTATTCAGCTCTTTTAATGAATATCTACTTTCTGCAAGGCATTGCTTTATGTACTGCAAGAGTTACAAAGAGGAGTACATCATAATCTTACTTGAAGGCAATTACTTAAATAGAAAAAATGGTGTGTGAAAAACAAATGTTCTTAAGCTTGAAAAAGTGAAAGTGTGTACCCAGCTGGAAGGATGTGAAAGTGTGCATGGAAAATGTATTTGAGATTTAAACTGCTGTTGTCTTCTGGGTTGAATTGGTGTCATGAACTTCAGGTAGTGAAAATAGCTTAAACAATACCCCTGAAGTGGAAACACAGAGATTAGTGTGAAAATTTAGAAGACCGTGAGCACATTATATTTTGTGTGTACCATAAGACACTGGTAGAGTATATTAGTCCATTTTCTTGCTGCCATAAAGAACTGCCTGAGACTGGAAAATTTACAAAGGAAAGAGGTTTAATTGATTCTAAGTTTGGCATGACTGGGGAGGCGTCAGGAAACTTACTATCATGGCAAAAGGCAAAGAGGAGGCAAGGCACCTTTTTCTCCAGGCGGCAGGAAGAAGTGCTGAGCAAAGAGGGGAGAGCCCCTTATAAAATCATCAGATTTTGTAAGAACTCACTCATTATCACAAGAACAGCACTGGGGAAACCACCCCCATGGTTCAATTACCTCCACCTAGTCTCTCCCTTGACACTCGGGGATTATGGAGATTACCATTTAAGATGAGATTTGGGTGGGGACACAAAGCCTAATCCTATCGTGGGGGTTGGTAAGAGGGAAGACTAGAAAGGAAAGCTGGACTAGGCAAAGTGGCTCATGGCCATAATCCCAGCAGTTTGTGAGGCCAAGGCAGGGGGATTACTTGAGCCAGGAGACCAGCGCTGGCAACATAGTAAAACCCCATCTCTACAAAATGTTAGAAAATTAGACAAGTATGGTGGTGTGCACTATAGTCCCAGCTACTTAGGAGGCTGAGATGGGAGGATCTCTTGGGCCTGGGAGGTCAAGGTTGCAGTGAGTCTTTATCACAACACTGCACTCCAGCATAGGCAACAGAGCAGAACCTTGTGAAAAAGAGAGAACGAGAAAAGAAAAAGAAAGAAGTCAAGAAAGAAAGGCAGGCAGGCAGGAAGGAAGGAAGGAATGAAGGAAGGAAGCAGGGAAGGAAGCATTCTTTACATGCCAGGAAGAGGAATCTTAGTGATGAGAAAACTGAGTCTCTGAGAGTTTGAGCCTCACTCAAGGTCACTGAGTTGCTAAATGGCAGAACTGGATTTCAATCCCAATAATTTGATTCAAAACCCATACTCTTTCCCATATACCACATTATCTAGGAGGTGTCCCAAGAGTTCTGAAGGGGGAGTTAGCTTCCATCTCAGGAGACGAAGAGAGTCTTCTTAGACCAAATGGTATTTGAGATAATTTTGATAAGTTTATGTTGAATTCATTGGTTGAGATAGGGAAGACAATTCATTTCAAATGGAAGAAACTGAGCAAAGGTACAAAGGGGAGGAAGTGGAGAGATTGGGAACAGAAAATAATTAATCTTTGGTTGAACATCATCAAAAAGGTATAAAGGATGGAAATGAAAGCTAAGATCAGAGCACAAAAGGATAACATATTTGAACTTTTACTTGGACTTAAATGATAAAGTTTTTAGACAGATTATTATTATAACTACAGCCAAGTTTTTAAAAATATTATATTAGTAATTATATATAAAATAGATGGATGGGAAACAAACGGAAGAATGGAGATTATCTGTTTAGAGTAACCCAGTTAATTATAATAAAATATTGAATCTGCATGTTGGCAATGGAATGAGAAGGGAAGAGATAGATATGTAATTTCAGAAGCACAATTCACAGAACTTGATAGAGATTAGTGGAAGGAGGAGGGAGATAGATGACATTAATTCTGTGATATGGTTTGCCTGTGTCCCACCCAAATCTCATTTTGAATTCCCACGTGTTGTGAGAGGGACCCAGTGGGAGGTAACTGAATCATGTGGGCAGGTGTCTCCCGTGCTGTTCTTGTGATAGTGAATAAGTCTCATAAGATCCGATGGTTGTATAAGGGGGAGTTTCCGTGCACGAGCCCTTTTTCTTTGCCTGCCACCATTCACGAAATATGTGACTTGCTCCTTCTTGCCTTCTGCCATGATTGTGAGGCCTCCCCAACCAACAGGTGGAACTGTAAGTCCACTAAACCTCTTTCTTTTTTAAATTGCCCAGTCTCAGGTATGTCTTTATCAGCAGCGTGAAAACAGACTAATACATTCTGTAAATTTGAATGCAGGAGATAGAACCTTTAAAAGCAATGGTAATTTGTCTTGCAAGGCCTATGTTTATCTCTACTATGTACTCAGACTATTGTACAGCCTGGACCATAGAAGGTATGCAATACGATTATTTATCTATGTACTCAATCCCTACTCTGTGCCAGGGATTGTCCTAAGCACTAGCGATAGAGTAAAAAGAAAAGAAAAAACTCTTGTTCTCATTAGTAAAATAAACATCACGTTGCTTCACCCAAACTAGATCACCTTAGTCCCTTTTATTGTTATCTCTGTGTCACTCTCCTGGCAGGTGAGTGTTTCTGCTTTTAAGAATCTGTACCTGTGTCTTGCTTTAGATAACTGTCTTCAGATTATCTGAGTCATTTTTTCCACTTCAGCACCAAGTCTGAAGTGCCGGTGAGTTTACGTGCCCCCACCCATATCCTTAGCGAAGACTGACTATTGCAGTCTTGTGAAAGTACAGATCCCTTGCTTCATATAGGGACAAACTCAAATACATAATTTGTACTCCAAAGTTGTCCTGTGGGATCATAATAAAGCCACTTCTGTAGGGCTTTGTTTGGAATTACACCTTAGCTTGGCTCCTTCCCCATCCAGACCTGCAGCTTTACCCACTCCTTTCCTGATTGATCCTAGGAGTACCTCCTTAACTAATCACTTTCCCATTAAGCCACATCTCAGTGTCTGTCTCTGGGGAACCTGACCTAAGACATGTAGTTTACATTGCAATGTACAGAGACAAATAATAAACAATATAAATAATTATTAATAAGTTTCATACTAGGCCGGGCATGTTGGCTCATGCCTTTAATCCCAGCCAGTTGGGAGGCCAAGGCAGGAGAATTGCTTAAAGCCAGGAGTTCAAGACCAGCCTGGCCAACATAGCAAGACCCTCATCTCTACAAATAAAATAAATTAGCCAGGCAAGGTGGCATGTGCCTCTAGTTCTGGCTACTTGGAATGCTGAGGTGGGAGGATCACTGGAGCCCAGGAGGTCGAGGCTGCAGTGAGCTTTGCCACTACACACTAGTCTGGGCAACAGAGCAAGACCCTATCTCTAAAAAAATAGATATTTTATTAGGGGAAGTTGAAGTTATAGAGGGAAATAAGGAAGGAGATGTGGTTAGAGTGTGTGAAAGTGTGTGTGTGTGTTTTCAGTTGTAGGGGATGGTGTTCAATTTTATATAGCATGGTTGGGGAAGGCATCACTGGGAAGGTCCTATTTGAGCAAAGACTAGTAGGTGCTAAGGGAATGAGCCATGCAAATTTCTGGGAGGAAAGCATTTCAAGCAGAGATGAAAGCAAGTGCAAAGCCATGAGCTGGGAGTGTCTGGAGTGCTTGGTGAGAAGTAGCCATGTGAGAAAGTACAGGGCAGGAGACGACATGAGAGAAGGAAGTGAGGGGGGTGGGCAGACCTTGCAGGCCAACACAAGCCATGGCTCATACTTTGACTTTTCCTCTGAGTAAATAGAGAGTCACTGTAGAGTTCTGAGCAGAATAGTGACTCGACTGTTTTTGCGTTTCAAAGGAATCTGGCTACCACATTGAGAATAAACTGAAGGAGGCCAAAAATTAAGCATGGAGACCAATTTAGACATTATTACCAGGGCTGGCTTCGTGGGCAGCCACACAAGGCTCCATGCTAAGAAGGGCCCCACACATGGAGCCTAATGCTCTGCAGTCACCATCTTGATAATTTTAATAATTTGTGTTTGAATTTAGGTTTTGTAAGTGAAAGTCATGGGACTGTGGAGCATGTTCTGGGTGCTCAGTGTCTGGTACTTCCTGCTGTGGATAGGTTCAACACTACCTGCACCCCTGCTCCCTGCCCAGGCCACTCAGTGCCCCCTTTTTCACCTTTTTCCAGCAACTATTGCCACCCTCCAACAGGGAGAATGCTGGGCTGCTGGTGGGAAGATGTCTGTGTTCTGCTGCCCTTAAGCCTGTCGGGGATTTGATCACAAGCTCAGGTCAAGTTGCAGTTAGGAATGCACCTCAGGCTGGAAGTGCCAAGGCAGGTGAGAGACTCAGTGGGAGAGAGCTTCTCACCCACCTCTAATCCAGGCATGTCAGGTGCAGAGTTCCAATGCTTTGGGGGGTTGACCTTCCACCAGTTTGGGTGGCAGGCTCATGGGAAGGGTAGATTGACTTCTCTGACCCCAATTGAGGGCAGGTTGCTTCAGTCCAGCAACTGGTGGGAAGGGGAATTTGGCAGTGGGGGATGGGGGCAGACATTATCTTCTGCTCTGAATCAGGGACACTCATATGGCTCTGTGTTTGCCCTGCAAGTGTTTCCCTGCTCCAATGAGTACAACATTAAATAGCAAATAAAAGCCATCAGATCAGTAGACAGTTTGCATAAATAAGAAAAAAGCTATGTTGCATAATCTTTTAATGGCCCCTTTTTCCTGCTACTTAAACAAGTGTCTTCCTCTTTTTTTTAGAGACAGGTCTTGCTATGTTGCTCAGGCCAGTCTCCAACTCCTAGCCTCAAGGAATCTTCCAGTTTGAGCCTCTGGAGTAGCTAGGATTATAGGTGCAAGGCACTACTCGCAGCTGGGGCCTCAACATTATCAGTTTTGCACTGTACTTCATAAATTACTGGCCCTAGCAATTGCAGTAATCTAAGTGAATGATGGTGGCAACTTGAACCAGTGTGCTAATGGTAGAGGAGGTGAGAAATGATTGGATCCAAGATATATTTTGAATATAGAACAAAAAGGTCACTAGAGGTTATGACATAGTGTATGAGAGAGAGAGGAAGGAATCAAGGATGGCTGTAAGGTTTTTCACCTGAGGAACTTGACATTATTTGTTGAATACATAAATGATGTGTCCTGTTATGTATCTGTTCATGAAACACATTGATGGTAATGAAGATGCAGTGGCAGAAGCAAATCATAGAAGTATTTCCTAGCGGTAGAAATATTAAGACTTGGTGACAAAGATCATAAATTAAAGGAAAGGGAGTGAAACAACTAAGTCAGGAAAAATACTTCTAACTTAGGAAAAAAGAAGAAAAAGGAAGGAAATGGAAATATTTAACAAATGGTATAAATTTCTAAGGAAGATAAGTTCAATTTTGGAAATGTTCACCTGAGGCTCCAAGAACCTACAGCCCAGGAGACCTTAGCTATAGGTTGTTGGGAATATGTGATAGGATCCTGAATGAGCACTCAGGACTAGGGATCTATGTTGAGGGCATCATATAAGTGTAAGCTGGAGTCACAAGAATGGTTAACTCATCAATAAATGAATATGAGGAGAGATGTATACAGTATTGCAGAAGAGAGTTCCTTGTAAATGTGTAAGCTCATCCTCCATGCCTGGGATAAGAGTACATTCATTATGGTGCATGTGAAGGTATTGAGAAAACAACTTCCGCTTTCTGGCAGAGGTTAAGCTAGTCCCATAATAGCAATAGCAAGATTATAAGGGGAAACTATGTTATTTGTACTGGGTCACAAATTTGTCTAATAGCAGTGGACCTGTGGGATTCTATAAACATCTTAGGTATAGAAAGGGATCCAGTGACTTTTAGAAAATCAGACTTATATCATATTTCCCTTCTTAACTTGTAGCTCAGTGGTGCATTTCTTACCCTGGGGGAGAAATGGAACATGGACTATATTTAGTATTTGAAATCAGACACATGTGAATTTAAACTCTGGCTCAGAGTGGCAATGGCAAATTATTCAACATCCATACACCCTGATCACTCCCACATTTGAAAAGTGACAACAATACTACTTCCTTCACAAATAATGCAAGGATCAATGAGATAACAAATCAAGAAGCCAGTAGTGTGCCACAATTTAGGTAGTGTTGACATTACATGAAGAAATGAACCCATGGTCTCCTATGCTCTCCTTCACTCCTCTCTAGTTCTCTCTCTCTCTCTTTCTCTCTCTCTCTCTGTCTGTTTTTCTCTCTCTCTCATACACACAGGCATGCATACATACACTTTGGAATGTAGCTATTTTTTGAGCATTGTTTTATTATTATTTAATTTATTTATTTATTTATTTTTTGAGACAGAGTCTGGCTCTGTCGCCCAGGTTGGAGTGCAGTGGCGCGATCTCGGCTCACTGCAAGCTCCGCCTCCTGGGTTCATGCCATTCTCCTGCCTCAGCCTCCCTAGTAGCTGGGACTACAGGTGCCCGCCACCACACCTGGCTAATTGTTTGTATTTTTAGTAGGGATGGGGTTTCACCATGTTAGCAGGATGGTCTCAATCTCCTGACCTCGTGATCTGCCCACCTCGGCCTCCCAAAGTGCTGGGTTTACAGGCGTGAGCCACTGCGCCCAGCCTGTTATTATTATTATTTCAAAGACCTTCTGATCCTGGCTCTACCTGCTCATTCATGGGGAAGATGCCCAGACATTCAGATCTACTGTTCCACTGAGGAGTTTAGAGGCTGCTTTTTCTCCCCCATAAAAGAGAATGGGGACTGATGGAAAAATTTTAGGTAGAAGTCTTTGATGAAAAGAAGAAATGAGGAAAACTGAGCTGGAAATATTCAGGTATATCAAACAAGTGGAAATACCTCACCCTCATAAAGAGAACCATATCCTGGGAAATTTTCTTTCTTACCTGATTATTAAAATCCAGAATTGGAATTCTGTGATTCCAGTATAATCCATCCATCAAAACCAAACTACTATGTAATCAGATTAGAGGTGGCCTTCCTGCTGATGAGCCATTTAGAGACGGTTGAATGAGTTCTTGGAAGTCTGCTAACATGCACTTAATACATCTGAAGATTTTAAAACGTTGCAGCAATGTATTGCCAGTCTACCTACAGTAAAATAAAAATGCTTCCATTAAAATACAGGTATATTTCTTTTATATAGTTAACTTATTTTTCCTAGGAAAGTTAGATGTAAAGTGATTATCTATACACTGAATCATATTTCCCAGAGATCATCATAGTAAGATTGGTATGCATTTCTGTTAAAGAAAAGCAAAATGTGTCTTAGGACATAACAATCATTTAATGGAATATCTAAAGAATGTTGGTCAAGCATTTTGAACAAGATGAAGATGGAACCAGGGCTGGGTGTGGGCAGTAGACTGTTCCACCAGGAGCCAAAGATGACAGTGAATATACACTTGACATCAGTCACCAATGACAACCTAATTCTACGTGGCATACTGGCCTGGATCAATGAGTCTCCTGAAGTTGAATTTGACAAAGATGGAACAATTGTGCTCAGGGGCTGCTTATTGTTGCTTTATGGTCATCCTCTTCCCTGGCTCCATTGCCTTGAAGAAGGTGAAATTCCATGAATACATTCATAACTTCAAAATACTACAAGCAGTATTTTTAAGAGGGTGGGTGATGACAAAGTAATTTCTGTGGACAATTAGGAAAAGGAAACTTTCAGGACAATTTTGAATTCATTCAGTACTTTAAGAAGTTTTTTGATGCAAACTGCAATGAAAAAGACTATAACCCTGTGGCTGCCGGACAAGGTCAAGAAACTGAAGTGGCTCCCTCTATTGTTGCTCCAGTTCTGAATAAACCGAAGTAACCTCTCAGCTCTAGCAATCCAGCTCCACATAGGACCATTTCCACAAATAACTGCAGCTTCTAAGGCTGCAGCTTCTAAGGCCCCAGGGTGGTATTAAAAAATCCTGGTGTGGGCAGTAGGAGTGCTGCAGGGTCAAATTGATGCTAGCAGGTCAGTGTATTGAAACTTGGCATTGAAGCCTTGGAGAAAGAGATTTCTACTTCAGAAAGCTAAGGAACAATGAATTGATTTGCCAGCAGAACGAGGGGCAAAATGACCCTGTATTGCAGAGGACTGTAGACATGCTCTGTGCCACAGATGAAGACTTCGTGATATCCGATGAAAGGGGCCCACAGGAGGAACAAGAAGAGTTTTAACAACCCGAACCAGGAGAGCCTTATCCGAATTCTGCACTCCAAATCTTGTGCTTAACTGTTAAATACTCCCTTTTATTATTCTTAGAAGACTCACTGGTTTCTTTTTATGAGCATGAAGTACCTCTTTTTAAAGTGCATTTTGCAGAGTTTCACTCCTTTTTTGGTGAGTTTGAGTTGGGAGTTTTACTGTGCAGCAGAGCAACATTAACATCTGGTTAGTTCACCTGGGAAACAAAGAGGCTGAACATGGGGCTCACCATGTGCATGTAGGTAACATTGATTGCTGGAGAAGGTGTTTGGTAATATGCCGAAGTGGAGACCTTGGTACAGAAATGTGAAGACTGAATTGAATTTTAACCTAATGTGAAATCTTGGTAGAGAATTTTGTAATAAGTTAATGCCTAAAGAATATTTAAAATATGCTTCCATATTCAAAATATCAAATGTAACACATCAGAACATCTTATGTGTTTGACATTGTATGTTGGAAGGAAGGGCCAGACATCAGAACCTTTGGAACCTGGTGTCATCACAGGCCTTACAGGGCTGCTTGCAACCTCACAGGCCTAGACTTTGGCCCCAAAGGAAAGTTCTAAATGTTGCTCTGTAAATCCATTTGGTGTCATTGACCAACTGCATCCAGGCTAAAAAGCAAGAGGTATTGTTGCCTGGATGAACACAGGGTGTGTTTCAGCCCTGAGATTTTTGGGTTGAAGAGCTCTATTTTCATTGAGGATTTCTCTGGAAATTTTTCCAATTATCTCTGAAATTTCTATGTATTACGCTTTTTTGGGAAATGAGGTGTGTCCAATTCTTTCATCTAACAACGCTTTTGGGGATTTGCTCACATCTCTGAGATTTGAATGGAGGTTGTTTCCCATTTTACCATCCTTTAGTTTTACATTTAACATGTCACCAGTGGTGAATCCATAGAGGTCTGCAGCAAACTTGATCCTTGCCTCGTTGGAGGAAAGAATTTGGCTGAGGGGAAGAAGTAGGTTTAAGGTAGAGGGAGAGACCGAGGCAAGTTTTAGAGTAGGAGTAAGAGTTTATTAAAAAGTTTTAGAGCAGGAACAAAAGGAAGTAAAGTATACTTGGGAAAAGGCCAAGCAGGCAACTTGAGAGGTCCAAGTGCCCTGTTTGGCCCTTGACTTGAAGTTTTATACATTGGCCTAGTTATGGCCTGGTTACGGCGTTTGCATCTCTCTTCCCTTTATTTTCTTTTGGAGCAGGCTGTACACATGTGCAGTGATCTGCCAGCACTTGGGAGGGGCAATATGTGCAGTGTGTTTACTGAAGTTGTGTGCATGCTCACTTGAGGCAATTTTCCTTTACCAGTAGAGTGTTCCTGAGAAGGTCATATGCCAGTTAAACTCTGCCATTTTGCCTCTTAATGTGCATGCTTGAGCTCACTCACCCAATTCCTGAGAACTTATCAGGAAGCCTCTGATCACCAGGTTCAGGTGTTTTTTTTTTTTAAGCCATTAGGGGACTGTCTTTACCTGGTGCTGGCTAAGACCAATTATTATTTTAGACAGTTTAGTAACCACCTGACCGTCATCTGATGGTTGCCTGACATTCCTGAGGGAGGGGCTCTCTACTGCCTTGCTCATGTCTGCCTAACTACCTACTCTAACATTGCTTCTCTTCTCTGCTCCCCTTGCCCACTGGGGACACCTCTTTGGGTTCTTAAAGTTTGCAGCTTGGAGTTGGAAGTGCAGCAGGCAGGTGGGCACACTGCAAATTCTTTGTGGACCTCTGGCAAAGGGAATAATCAGGGAAGGCTCTGGTTACCTCTGCAAAGCTGGGATGTTTTTGGTATCTGCTGTCCACAGCTCTCCAGTTCTCTGAATACTTTATCAGTACACTAATCTCTTAAGAGATAAAATTTATTAGTGTGTTGCTAAATGTTCATTTTCTTTTACAGAAAATACAGTACCATGTCTGAATTATTCATATTTAAAATTTGTTATTCCTTAACTCTCCCTCATTTGATTTGTGCACAACCTATTCCATCCTTTTGTTTGGCAGAAGTTTGCAAAATATGTGTCACTCACTGAGATTGTTCAGCCCCTGATGCATTTGTATTGATTTGTGTCTGGTGATAGCTTGTCCTAAAATGTGTGTAAAAAGTAAACATTTTATAACAAAATTGTTGTTTAATGGATGCTTTGTGTGGAATTCAGAGAAAAATCCAGATTCAGTGATTAACAATGCCAAAAAATGCAAGTAAATAGCCATTGTTCAAATGACAGTGGTGCTGTTTCTCTTTTGTGGTTTTTTAGACTTTTGTTACCTAAAATTCTGCTTTATTAGCAACTCATTTTTCACCTGATGTTTCTTGACAGGCTTTTTTTTTCTATTTTAAGTAGTTTCTAAATAATTTTTTTTTATTTCAAGAAAGAGAAAAAAGAATATTGCTCAATGCACCTAATATAAAAATAAACTATAAAAAATAAGTTAGTTTCATATTGGAACTAAACCTAGCATTAAAAAAAAAAAACAGCTTTTCTCACCAGTAAACACTGAACGTGAGTTCTTCATATTCTACTATTCTCTGTTTCTACTCTACAGCAGAAAAACACGTAAGTCTGGTTGTTCAGAACTGTCTCCCCATTATGGAAATTGTTAGTTACAGAAATGGGCTAGTGGATTCAGGTTAAAAAGAGAAGGATACATATACATGTGTGTGTGTGTGTGTGTGTGTACATATGTGTGTGTATATGCATATATACAAATATATATCACAGCAAGTAACAATCAAAAAGTTGATAAGAAAATAGACTTGAACCTATGGAATAAGAAAGCTAGAATATCTGAAAAATAAGTATTCAAATAATATTTAGCAAATCTTTTATTGGTTTATGTTTACATTACTGTAATGTACCAAAGAACCCAAAAAACTACAATTGTAGAACAGAACTTAAAAGGCCACTTCCAGAAAAAAAGACTTTCCTTAGTGTTTTCAGCTTTCTTAATTCTTGGGCACAAAATTTTCTAAGTCTTTGCGCACTTATCCACAACCACTAATTACAATATAAACTAATATAAAATTATGTCCTCATCTATGAAATTTAATATGCCATTTTCTTAGTATAAATTTATTTCTAGAGCATGTATTATTAATGTGGATCTTTGTAGAAAAAAATTGTGGTACAATGTTTATTACTACATACCCTTATTTTTTTAAATTGTCTTATCTTTCATATAACTTTTTGCTGATGTCATCATGTGTAATAACATGATTTTTTAAAATTTTAATTTAGAAAAAATATATTCCTCTTGTATAAATGAGAAAACTAAAGGAAAAGAGTATCGAAAGGAAAACATTATAGAAATATCAGAATTTAGAATCCCAATTCTTAAGATTTTTTATTTTCTGACTACTTCAAATAATATCGTTTGCCTTTCTCATTATTCATGGGTCTTCCAAATATAGTGTCTGGCCTTAAAAGTTGTAACACAAAATCTTCTGTCTGAAATGTAGTACAACTGAATGAAATTTAAAACCTTCACGTAATATATGTCATATAGAACTCTCATAAAATATCAGTATGATGTGATAACAAAGGTCAGAACAAATGGAAGAAAAACCAATGTATGATTTCTGAAAACCTTATCCTGGGAAATGAGAAACAGACTATAATTCTTTACTTACATCTACATTATGCAAAAGTATCTTTGATGTGAAAAAATACTCAGTGTTGTTCATTCGATGTTTTATATGTTTTGGTAAAACATTTTGTGTTCACCCTTTTAAATATTCCAAGACACACTCACTGGCTAGAATCAATGGGAGAGAAAGAGGTGACTCTATAACTAATATAATGTTAAGGAAACTGCACATATCTTGGTATGTTTCTGATAGTGCATAATTCCAGAAAATGTCTTAAGCATTGCATAATTGTTAGAAACATGAAATCTGCAGCCAGCAAGCATGAGTTCCACATCTGACCCTACTCTTTCCAGTTGTGAGAACTTATTTGTATTTTAAACTACTGAATTTCAGGATGCCTCTGTTTATTCCTGTTTCTTTATTTTTTAAGTTGACAGTATTTGTACATATTCATGGGGTACATAGTGATATTTCAATACATATAACATATACTGATCAGATCAGGGTTATTAGCACACCCATCATCTCAAACATTTAGCATTTCTTTGTATTGGGAACATTCAATATCCTCCTCCTACCTATTTGAAGTTCTATAATATTGTTAAGTATAGTCATCCTACAGTGCTATAGAAGCTATAACTTATTTCTCCTGTCTAGCTGTAATTTTGTATCCTTTAACAAATCTCTCCCTATCTTCCCCAGCCTCTAGTATCCTTTGTTCCATTTTTTACTTCTTCCTCATGTTTTAAAGGGAAATGATTACAGTATCTATTTCATTAGGTTGCTATAAGGAATAAATGGTTTCATAGCTCTTAAAATAGTGCTTGACAAAAGTAGGTACTATGTGTAGATTTTTATTAAAAAAAGTAGATACTATGTGTTATTATTATGACTAATCTTCTCCCAAAAATATGTTTGGTAAATCATTTCATAAATTTGTTTATTCTTAATTTATTTTGAATTAGAATCATTTGTATAACAAGTTGGTATATTGCTGAGCACATCTGTAAAGTAAGACCTGAATATGGATTTGATAATTGAAGTTGACACTCATCATAGAGATTTATGAAATATTGTGCGCTTGATTGCAGTAGGACAACTTACTATGGGGAAGGAATCTTGTAAGTATCTTGCCTGGCCAGTATACATGGAAGTTGGTACACATGGAAGATATACCATATGTATATATCCCGATATTGATAATGTTACTTTCCAAAAGTGGAGGCACTGCAAATATGATGAGAATGTGACTAGAGCACGCACTTGTTTGTTCTTTCTGTCCAGCATTAATTTCCCCCTTATTCCAGTAATAGTAACTCAACAACTCTGCTCTTTGTCATTTCCTGGTGTTTTTTTCTTTTCTTTTCTTTCTTTTTTTTTTTTTTTTTTTTTTTTGAGACTGAGTTTCACTCTGTTGCCCAGGCTGGAGTGCAGTGGCATGATCTTGGCTTACTGCAAACTCCGTCTCCTGGGTTCAAGCGATTCTCCTGCCTCAGCCTCCCCAGTAGCTGGGATTGCAGGTGCCCATCACCATGCCCGGCTAATTTTTTCTATTTTTTAGTAGAGATGGGGTTTCATCATGTTGGCCAGGCTGGTCTTGATCTCCTGGCCTCAAGCAATCTGCCTGCTTCGGCCTCCCAGAGTGCTGGGATTACAGGCATGAGCCACCGGGACTTGTCTGTCGTTCGTTCCTTCCTTCCTTCCTTCCTTCCTTCCTTCCTTCCTTCCTTCCTTCCTTCCTTCCTTCCTTCCTCCCTGTCTGTCTTTCTTTCTCTTTCTTTCTTTCTTTCTTTCTTTCTTTCTTTCTTTCTTTCTTTCTTTCTTTCTTTTCTTTCTTTCTTTCTTTCTTCCTCTCCTTTCTTTCCTTCCTTCCTTCCTTCCTTCCTTCCTTCCTTCCTTCCTTCCTTCCTTTCTCTCTCTCTCTCTCTCTCTCTCTTTCTTTCTTTGTCTTGCTCTATCTCCCAGGCTGGAGTGCAGTGGTGTGATCATAGCTCACTGCAGCCTCAAATGCCTGGTCTCAAGGGATCCTCCTGCCCTGATCTCCCAAAATGCTGGGATTACAAGCAAAAGCAACCTTCCCAGCTCCAACTCCACTTTTCAGAAATGCTTCTGTACCACAATGATAACCCTGACTACTCATAGGTTTCAAATGAGGACTCTTCCGTGTTTCAAGGCTACAGCATGTGGCTTAGGAGAGGCCAATCAAAGACGGCATTACCCTGGACAGAGTAATTACTTCAGGATGGGCATGTGACCCACCAGGTGTCAGTGAGATGCAATGAGTTTTTCGGAGTCTTTCTTCCCACTGAATTGAGGTCTGGAAGGTTGGGAGGCTAGAGCTGCTACAGCATCTAGCTGTAGGGAAGCTACGGCTAAGAGAAGAATCTTTAGGAAACTTATCACTATGAAAGTCAGAACAAAAGGATACAGCATAACTATGAGCTGGTAACATCAGCTGAGCTCTTGAATCATCATATGCCTAAGACTAGCCCTGGACAAACCATGAACCAATAAACTCCTGTCTTTATTTATTTTTTACTTCAATTAGTTTGAGACATCTTTTTCTCTTACAATCAAAAGTTATCTGCTAAAGTGACTAAAATATTATTTTGGGCTACATCTTCCCCTTGCTCATTTCCAACAAACACATTTTCTTCTTTTCTCCAAATCCTTTATTTTAGATTCAGTGGGTACCTGTGCAGGTTTGTTATGATGGTATATTGCATGATGCCAAAGTTTGAGGGCACGATTGAACCCACCACCCAGGTAGCAAGCATAGTACCCAATAGGTAGTTTTTCAACACTTGCTTCCCCCACCCTATACCCACTTATAGTCCACGGTGTCTCTTGTTCCCATGTTTATGTCCATGTGTACCCAATGTTTAGCTCCCACTTATAAGTGAGAAGATGTGGTATTTTGTTTTCTGTTTTTGCCCAACAAATACATTTTCCAATGAAAATGATGAAGCCAGAAAGTATGAAATACATTGATTTAACAATTAGAACTGTTCTAATTATAATTGATACCGGTGCCTGTTTTCTTTTTATGATTGAGTAATGATCACAGATTTTTGCTATCAGATTTTGAGTTTGAATCCTGCCTGTATGATCTTAGGAGACTTTTCCTAATCTCAGTGTATGTCCTTACTTCAGTTTGCAAATAAGGATAATGAAAGCACTTATCCAATAGGGTTGTGTGGAGGATGAAATAATACAGGGCAAATGTCTTAGCCAAGTGACTGGCACTTAGTAAGTCCTCAAATCTTCACTATGATATTAATTGAAAGCCTAGCATTCACAATCTCACTGGTTTATCAGTTCTTTTTTCTGGTTGCTTTTTAGTGACTTAAATCAGAGATAAATAAGATTGGTGTCTCACTGGGTTAATATTTTTTCTGGAGAGAGTTAACTTGTGTGGCACAGGCCATCTCTTTATTGAATTAGCAAAGAACTACATTGGATTTAAGATTATCTGGGGCTGAGGCTAATATCAAATCCTACTCTATGTTTGTAGTTCCTTGGCTACAAGCCTACATACGGTAATTGCTGTTTAATATGAATTTTTATTTTTAACCCTTACATATAGTAAGGGTTAATTGCTATTTAATATGAGTTTTTATTTTTAACCCTTCCCTATTTACGTCATGCTTTGCTTAAGGACCAAGATATATTCTGAGAAATGTGTCATTAGGTGATTTTTGTCATTGTGTGTACCTCATAGAGTGTACGTAAAACCTAGATGGTAGAGCCTATTACACAACTAGGTTACATGGTATAGCCTATTGTTCCTAGGCTACAAACCTATACTGGATGTTACTGTACTGAATACTACAGGCAATTGTAATGCAATGGTATTTGTGTATCTAAACACGTCTAAACATAGACAAGGTACAGTAAAAAATATGGTATTATAATCTTATGCGACCACTGTCATATATGTGATCTGTCATTGACCAAAAATGCCATTAAGCAGTGCACTACTGTACTTTCTCTTTACTTTAAATTTGAATTCTTTATATGGGTTGAATGACTTTCTGACATAGCAAATAAAAAGCATGAGGAGAAGCATTATCTGTTAACAAAATTAACACTTAAAATCAACAAAGTTTTAATGTTTCGTTCCAAGAAAAGCCTGTGGAAGATCAGTTCCACAACTGAGAGCTTTGGGCTGCTTCAGACATATGTCTGTGTGTACGCTGTGAAGGTGTTTCTCTTCACAGTTCCCCGCCCTCTAGTGGTAGTTACAATAATGCCATTTTGTAGTCCCTGTACAGGAAATGCCTCTTCTTACTTCAGTTACCAGAATCCTTTTACAGGAAGTTAGGTGTGGTCTTTGAAGGAGAATTAAAAAAAAAAAAAAAAAAAAAAAAAAAAGATTTTTTTTTTTTTAAAGCATGATGGAATTTTAGCTGCAGTCTTCTTGGTGCCAGCTTATCAATCCCAAACTCTGGGTGTAAAAGATTCTACAGGGGTAATGTTTTATTATTCTTATTATGCTTATTCTCTGTGATGCTTCTCTACCTTTACAGTAGTAGAATCCTTGGGGAAATCTGCAGAGGGACCACTTTCATTTTGAAGCTGCTGGCTGCATGTTTTAGCATGTCTCTTCTATTAGAGAATCCAGGCATGGCAGTTTCCTCCCCCAGTGTGCAAGGACCATCTTCATGCCTATGTCTGTCGCTAGGCATGAGGGTCTCTAGGAATGGGTGAAAAAAATGAGGGATGTTTTGGAGGCACTATAATACTGGGGAGGGCAGTCTGCTAGCTGGTAGCTGAAAGGTCCTGGTTTACTTCAACATTTTTTTTAAATAAAACTGTGCAGTAGTTTTTGTTATTTTAGGTTTCCCTCTGTTTTATCTGGTGTATGCTGCAGAAGTGAACTGCATAACACATTTCACTCTTAGAAAATGCATTTCATATATTTAAATGACAACTCTGACTCCTATAGTATGGGGGTGAAATAGATTGATTTTTTGAAAAGATGGAAAAAATAGATTAAGTGTCATTTAGGAGTCAAGATGTTGATTGTATTGTTTCAAATAGCATAGAAACTCCTGCCACTGGTTCAGAGGTAACATTTGGAATGACTGATGTGCTCTTTTGAGTTATCTACTTTAGTCTGGTGAAATATGATTTGAATACCAGTAAAAATCTATTTAGGTTATTGCAAAGACTCATATAATAAGAGTTTGCTTGAAAAGATAAACTATCGTAAACTTATTATTTTTTCTCAAGTCCAAATTCTGATATGGACACTAAGACTGTGATGCTACGTTTTTATGAAATGGGCATAATTTGAGGAAATTGGCTATCTCTACAGTATTTCCTAAGGTACTGCAAATGTGTTAATTTAAGAAGCAATTACACTAGCTAGCAGCAGGTTGCTAAGCCAGGGGGTCCGAGCTACAGACCTCTGATGTGGATGACTTCCTGCCCGGTTTGGCAGGAGCTGGGTCCCTTCCTGTGCAGCTTCCGAGCAGTTCCAAACACAACCAGGCATCTTCTGCTCCTTCCCACTCCCTTTCTTTCAAGCAGGATCTACCTATGTTTCCATAGCCTGGCATTTTAGGATTTCCAGAGATTTTTACCCAGTGAATTGACTTGGAATAAACTCTTAAATGTGATAAAGTGAGCCAAAGGGCACGTGCAAAGACTTGGAGAGATATGTGCAAGATCCTCAGCTCAGGTTCTACAATTTAATATGATGTTTCATCTCTTGTTTTGGATCTCTGCTATTTTTTCAGAAAGAATGCTGAAAAAGATGGCTGCCAAAATATTCACACAAGTGAAACAGCAGGCACAAACCAGTATCCTCCATTTCTGAGCTCTGAATTGCATATTTTCCCACAAGTAGCACAATCACTTAAAACATTTTGGGAGTGGGAGATTAGATTACCTCATAGACACCTACTGAATGTGAGAGATAGATCTCCATGTGAGCAAATGGATGCACATATGAGATTCCCTGAATACCAAATACAGCTTTCTTTGAAAATATTATAGCTATCTGAGTTTCTATGCTGTATCTCAGTGCTCAGTGTCATGTAACTGACACAATCACCTTTTATTCTAATGGTCATTGCTTTTTTTCCCTCCCTGTTTCTGTAGCACTTTCTTATGCAAGGAGCTAAACAGTGATTAAAGGAGCAGGATGAAAAGATGGCACAGTCAGTGCTGGTACCGCCAGGACCTGACAGCTTCCGCTTCTTTACCAGGGAATCCCTTGCTGCTATTGAACAACGCATTGCAGAAGAGAAAGCTAAGAGACCCAAACAGGAACGCAAGGATGAGGATGATGAAAATGGCCCAAAGCCAAACAGTGACTTGGAAGCAGGAAAATCTCTTCCATTTATTTATGGAGACATTCCTCCAGAGATGGTGTCAGTGCCCCTGGAGGATCTGGACCCCTACTATATCAATAAGAAAGTGAGTTCTTAGTCAAGTTGCCTTCACTGCCTATTTACTAATTGGTTCTGGGCTAGTCCCAGGGATGATGGTGAAGAAGGCTGGCCTCCTTCCCTCTGTCTAAAGTATCACTAAGATGCTGGATGGGCCTGACCGTGTAATGGACCAATGATCCTAGAAGTCTTTTGGAAGCACTCATTTGAACCTGCATTTGTGAGACAGGCAGAGAACTGGTGAGGCATCCTCCAGCGCGGGAATTAAGGAAGGACAAAAGCCTATTCACCTTCTTGAATACAAATTATATGCTTAAACCAGTGTAAATTGACCCTGATTCCCTAATAATGTTGAGAAGCAAAAACTGTAAACTAGGAGTCTATTTAAATTTTATTTTTTATATTTGCAGGAGTAGTATCTAAATTCCTCTTTATAGTCTCTAGCTCTCCATAAGTCACTTTGATCTTCAGTGGGTTTAATTATTCCTTTATACCATACTTTCTCCTTTCTATTGCTCTCCACAGAAGGAATAATAGCAGGTGACTTGTAGGTGCCAAATAAGATTCTGAGCAAAGAACACACCTGGAAAACCTTGAAGTTCTCATGAGAAAATTTTCTAACCAAAAAAAAAAATCAAAGCCTCAATTTTGTGCTTTATGTGAATTATAAATGCGGTTTTAAAATACTTACATTAAAACTTGATAAAGTTGCTAAGAATTCCTATGGCATTGATCACAAATTTTCTTAATAATCCTCATGTCATTTATCAAATTTAGGAAAGTTTATAGTGCTCAGAAAAAAAAAGCATCTATCTTCATGTCATATGATGGTAATTATTATGTTATACACTATTTTACAGGGCAATATTTATAAATAATGGTTTTACTTTTCTCTTAAAATATTCTTAATATATATTCTAAGTTTTATTTTATGTGTTGTGTTTTCTTTTTCAGACGTTTATAGTATTGAATAAAGGGAAAGCAATCTCTCGATTCAGTGCCACCCCTGCCCTTTACATTTTAACTCCCTTCAACCCTATTAGAAAATTAGCTATTAAGATTTTGGTACATTCATATCCTTTTTCAAATCGTCACTTAATATGATTTTCTTCTTTGACCAAGTTATTGAGCTACACATTTTCCAAAATATCTGTGGTTGGCAATGTTATGTGTTCTTTCTTTTTCTTTCCTTTTACTCAATCGTTAGCATGTTGCAAAATGAGATCACAGGTAAGTGAATTACTTTCCCCCGTCTTCTAAGTGTTTCTTCTCTACCCAACTCACTATTACTTCTTTCTTCTCTTTTCTTCTCCCTTACGAATTGCTTGCCACATCCCAAGCCTTTCTCATTAATTTTGACCATGTTACCAGGCTTTCCTCCTGTAAGTCTTCAATTTACAATGTTAGGTAAGGGAGTAAACTCCATGAGCTAATTTTCTTTACTGCTTTTACATTTGGAAAATAAATATACATAATCTGAATTACAATTTTGTATGTTTTTGGTCTGAATTTTATGACTTTCTTCTATTTTAGCATTTAAAAGCTTTGAGTTAGTAAGCGTTTACAATTGTGTCTGTAGGTATAACACCCTTTCAAATACTTTTCCAAATTTGTTTCGCAACAGCCTTCTTATTGATCTTTTGCTTTCTATTCTTTTCCTTTCTTTTTCTTTTTATCACTTGTTCCTATGTTTTATTGAAGTCACAAGTCTTGCTACAATTATCCCTCTCCAAAGGATTAATGTCTATCTATCCATATACATTCTCATTTTATTTTTTATACTCCTTATTGAAGCACCTGCTTTCCAAAAATGAGATTGATGACATCTTGGTGGGAGATGGCAATTTGATTGATTCCTTGAAATTAAATAGAGTAGTTGGAAATGAGAGATTTTATTCTAGGCCAGAAACAAGTCTTGTTGACAGCCAGTCTTGGGAATGCCAATGAAGCAAAGGCTTGGAAGACTGAAGCTGTGTGGGGCAGGGGCATTTACACGAAGAACACAGAAGTCATGGGAGGAGGAGTGATATGCTTCAGGAATCAGAGGTAAGGCAGGGGAACTGAAATTAAGCAAATCCTCAGATTAGGACAGCATGTTATTTCTTCTTCAGAAAGAATCGTTGCTTGGAATTCCATGATGTGGTTAGCCCAGGGCCTGGTATTAAGGCTTTCAGTATAAATATTCTCCACCTTTAGCAGGCCTAGAAAATATTTGAATTAGATAAGGTATGGAACTAAATTAAGTAGGGAATTCAGGAAATGGGATAAGCCTGGTACAGGGTACTTATGTCATTTCTGGGTGGAGGGGATGTAAAGCATGTCCCTAGACTTGCCTCCCAGTATGGCAAATGTTGTCTTTAGAAGTGTAACATTCTGTAAAGTCTCCTTTTAACCTCTAGGTTGTTCCTCTTCCCCAGTTTAGGTGGATATCAACATCTTTTATTTGATGTTTATGTTTCATGTTTTAAGATTTCCTAGTTTCTTGGCATTACCTTAAGCAATAATGTTTTCTTACCTCTCTCTGTTTTCCAAATAAGAGAACCCAGTAGCATGTGGGGAAAAAGATGTCTTTGAGTTAGCATTAGAAATAAATAATAAAGTTGGAATTTATATTTGGGTCTCATGATTATAAATTATGATCTATTATTATGTTTCAAGCATTTGTAATCTGTGCAGTGAATAAATCTCTGCATAAACTATTCATTATATTTTAAAATAATTGTATGTTCCTTATGCAAACGTAATTTATATATAAAATTACGTGGAAAATTCTAGCCTAGAACTAGACTTCTGTTCCTAGTAGACATTGGGAAAATATTCATTAAATAAATAAGTGACTAGTAAGTCAGAGATTAGAGAATCAGATACAAAAAAAGTGAAAAAATAAGTTTGAATGGATCAGAAAAAATCTTTCTTGTCGTGCATCTGAATGATGAGATGGAGTTAAGAAAACCCAATATATTTGTTTTTTACAAAAGCAGATTTTTGTTTTAAAACTTTTGTAATAGACCATGGAAAATCTCATGAAAACTATTGTCCCCACTTGAAAAAAAAAATCCTAGGAGATTATGAATCCCCATTTAAAACTCCCTGGAAAAGAGACTCCTGGTGGTAGAGGGTAAGGGCAGTTTAAGAAATTCTGATCAGAGAATATGAGTACTAAGGACACAGTTTGTGCCAGGACCTCTCTAGATATCCAGATACAACTTGAATCTGTGGGCTTGTATTTGCTTCCTGGGGGAAAGAACTCACCCTCCACAGGCTGAAGTCATTGGGAGGCCTGAGGAGATGCAGGTTGAAATGTGAAGCCAGCCAGGCAAATCTATTAAGGTATGCCAAGTTGAGCTGTTGATTCTCTGAGAAGTTTACAGATGGCTTAGAGTCACAAATTTATTCCAATGTAGAAAATTAGATTTTAAAAAGTCTCTAATTTCCTGACTTAAAGTGTTATATTTCAGATGTCTCACCTTGGAGCAGAGATATAACAAAAGGCAGTGAGGCTAATAGTCTAAGATACATGAATCCTTCCATGTTTTGGTGATGCTGGTGCAATTGATCAAATAGCCCAGTAAAGTTAGAGGTATATAGATGCTGTAGTTAGTAACTGATTTTCACAATAATTTTGTCCTTTATTCCTCTTGTTGCAAACCCTAGACTTAAATCCTGATTTTCTGACTTCAAGTACAGTGTCTTTTACTGTAAGTTAAAAATGCTTGGAGAGATGGTCATGGTTGTTTGGCCACAGTTGGGAGGTCATTGTATATTTATTACCACTAGTTTATAAACCAACAAGGAGCCATTCATGTTAAATAAGTTTTTATTTTAAACTTGGACTAATACCTCTATTTCAAACAAAAACCTTGACTTGTTTCTCAAAGAGCTGTTATCTATTAGGAGCTATTGTGTATCAAATTAGCTTTTTTAAAAATTTATTTTGGCTGAATGAGAAATTATGCTTGTGATATTTTTACCAGGGTGCATTCTGAAAACTGAAAATTCTTTTGATGTGCCTAGTGTCTTATTTGATATTTAAATAAAACATGATTTATTTTCTAGATAACAAACAAGTTAAAAATAATCTATGTTCCTAAAGTTCCCTACCAAGCTTTTAAATGTGTTTCCTGTCAGCTTTTATTATTTTAAGTTAATATATGCACACTCCTCTAATTTATTTTGCATTTGTTACTCATTTGTTCATTTGCAAGTACTTACTGAGTATCTACCATGTGGTAGATATTCTTGTAAGCATTGGGATGCAACATTGAACAAAGTGAAGTTCCTACTCTCATGTAGTTACATTCATGTGAGTGTGTGTGTGTGTTTGGAAGAAGAAAGACAATAAACAAATACGTCGATTGGGAGCTAGTGATAAGTGTTACTAAGAAATATAAATTAGTGTCAAAGGGAGGAGTGACAAGGTGTTGTTTTAGATTGTATGGCCAGTAAAATCCTTTCTGAAAAGGTACCAGTTGAGCAGAGATCCGAAGGAAGCAAAAGAGTGAGATATGGGAATCTAGGGATAAAGTCAGTTCAAGGAGAACAGCAAGTATGAAGGTAAAGTCTGAAGGTGGTGGTGCAACTAGTATGTTTAACAATCAGCAAGGAGACCTGAGTGGCTGGAGCAGAGTGGGAAAGGCAGGAAGCGAGAGGATGACATCAGTGGGAGTGAAGGTCAGGGGCTAAAGTTGTAGGCGAGGTGCAGTGGGTCATTGTGAGGACACCACATTTACTCTGAATGAGACTCCAGGAGGGTTTTCAGTAGCAGGATATCATGACTTGACTCACATATTTAAAAGATCACTCTGGCTGCTTCATGGAGAATAGACTGCATAAGGGGAAAGAGTGGAAGCAAGGAGACTGGGACCGATTGTCATTATGAAGGCAAGAGAGCATGGTGGCTTGGAGTATGGTGGAAACAATGAGGATGGTAAAATGTCATCAAATTTTGAGGTATTTTGCAGAAGAGCTGACAGGATTTGCTGAGCAATTGGTTGTGGTGTATAGGAGGAAGGCAGGGACTAAGGATGATTCCAAGCATTTAGTCTGGTCAAGAAAGAAAAATGGAGTTGTGTTGACTGAGCTTGGGGCAACTTGAGCAAACCAATTTGGTGGGTAAGATCAAGATCTTGGTTTTGAACATGTTATGTTTGAGACACCTATTAGACATCATTGGAGGAGTTGAGGAGTTAGGTGGCTGTGCAAATCTGGAGTTCAGAAAAGGGCTGGGCTGGAGGTGTTCAACTTTGGGAGCTGTCAGTGTACAGCTGGTATTTAAAGTCATGACATTGGACTAGGCTGCCAAAGAGCTGAGACCCTCCCTCCAAATCACACTAGTAATGCTGAACTACCTATCATTTGAAAATGGTAGGAAAATGGAAAACATAGGTTTTGGTATCAGAAAACGTAGATTCAAACCCTATCTCTAAAATTTACTTTTTAGCTATATGATCTTAGTCCAAGTTACTCCAATTCTTTCGAATCTCAGTTTCTCTATCTGTAAAATTATAATCACAGCTTAGACATTAATAATGATAAAATGTATGACAAGTATCTAGCACCAGATCCCATGCTAGTACTTAGTAGGTACTCAATAAAGGATATCTATGACAGTAATAGCTAAAATTCTAGCAGCAACTGCTGTAAGATTAGCAAAAAGGAAACTCTCATATTCCTTAAGGAATTGCACAAAGAACTTTATAGAAATCCCTACTCTGACTCTGCAAACAAAATCTTTATATAGCACCAGAGTTTAGACCTGCAACTGACCCAAACAATGTGGTCAGTTCTGTCTCATTTTGTAGATGAGTTCACTGAAACCCAGAGATATTTAGTTTTTTCTAAGGCTACATTTTCTATCAGTGGCAGAGCTAAAACTTCAGACCAGGTTTTTTGATTCTTGGCTCTTTGCATTTTGCATCCAATAGAAAACAAATGATTTTTAAACCCTCGGATTTAATATACTTGGGGCATTGCCAGTGTTCTTGTTTTATGCATTTCAAAGGTGCTTCTTAGTTGCTCCAACTTACTGATTCATTAAATAGTGTCCATACTGAGATATAAAATATCATGGTTTTCCATGAAAAGAAATATACAGGTTTATATGAAAGCAGATGACACAACAATTTCTCTTTCTTTTGTTTTCAATGCTCATATGTTATCATTTAGTTATCTACTGGCAAATAGGAGTTTGTTCATATTAAAATTAAACAATCCAATATTTAACACTGTATATGTGACATTTACTCGATTTTTCTGCTGGCTCAGAAATATGCACTGGTATGCAGAAAAAGACCTATTCTATTCTACTTCAAATTATCCATTTTTACATTAGAAAACCTCTAACATCAGGCTATCTTCTACTTCTAGTTTATATATAGGTTAAAAACTCCTCTGCAACTTCTCTGGATATTATACATTATTACAAAGTCTCTGAACAGAGCATAATGTCTTTTCCTTCCTATAGAATAACAAAGAAATGTCCTATAATTTTATACTCTATAAATGAGTTATTAATGGTAAGAAACCAATAATTATTATCTTAGTGGATAATGACTGTATACTGTAAGAAAAGTATTATCCACATTTATATAAGAAAACTGAGCCTCAAAGAATTAAACAAATTGCTGAAGCCCACATGGCTGGTAAGGGATGTATCTGACCATGGTTCATTGCTCTAAATCTCATGGTGCTTCATCCTCGCTCCACGGAGACAGGGGTGGGTGTGCCAGTGTTATGATGATCCAGGCTCCATGTCAAGGGCTACTTAAACAATTTTCACTAAAAACTTGAAGAAGTGTTTCTTCATAATATACACAAAGGAAATATTTTACATTTGCCAACTCGCAGGTTAGTATCAATCAACAGGTTTACCCACTGTTATGTATACCTGGCATAAAGAAATTAATAGATTAAAAAACATCTTTGTCCCCTGATATTATAAAAGGTTTATCTGCCTCTATTTTATTTTACATTGAAAAGTTCTTAAAGCAATATTGTTCCAGGATACAGTGTTCTTTTGAAAAATGTACTCTATGACTTGGATTACACATTTAAAAAATAATATAGGATGTATGCATTTTGCTACTAGTTTGAGCCTTTTGAAATCTGCTTTGACGTGGGGTTTCTATACTTTTTTGATGCATGGCATCACCAATGCAAAATCCATACCTACATTAAATACTTTTGTATTTGAGTTTTTGTTATTTGAGTTTTTTTTTTTTTTTTTTTTTTTGAGACGGGTTCTCGCTCTGTCGCCCTGGCTGGAGTGCAGCAGCGCAATCTCGGCTCACTGCAAGCTCCGCCTTCCGGGTTCACGCCATTCTCCTGCCTCAGCCTCCGGAGTAGCTGGGACTACAGGCGCCCGCCACCACGCCCGGCTGATTTTTTGTAATTTTAGTAGAGACGGTATTTCACCGTGTTAGCCAGGGTGGTCTCGATCTCCTGACCTCGTGATCCGCCCGCCTCGGCCTCCCAAAGTGCTGGGATTACAGGCGTGAGCCACCGCGCCTGGCCATATTTGAGTATTTTTAAGATCATCTGAAACTATTTCAGTCACTCACCAGAATCCAGGAATTTGTAAAGTATGTGACTGATGAAATAAATTAACAATGATTTAGAAACTTAGTGAATTTTAAGCCTTTCTATTTAGAGATACCTATCAAACCACAAGCGTAAAAACTTGACCCTAGTTATCTACTATTTTTCTATTAAAAGCAAAATTGTTCTTTTTATGTATCAGAAGTTTTAACTTAAGTGTATACTTTTATTAAAATGATAGCCATGAAATAAGGAAAATGCCTGTTTTCGACTTATTATCAGTGACTAATTAGAAAATAATTATTTCTCTTGTTAATGTTGAAATATATATTTTACTTTTTTATATATAACTAAATTATACCACTATAAAGAGTAAGTTTTTAAGTGTCATAAAACCATTGCCGAGTCCATAATGCAGCATAATTGCATAAGGCTGTTAATTTCCACCTTATATTTTTCTTATATTTTTACCCTCAAAAAATGTAGAAACTTGTGTAAACAATATGTATATATATTTTAGACAGAGTCTCACTCTGTCACCCAGGCTGGAGTGCAATGGCGTGATCTTGGCTCACTGCTACCTCTGCCTCCTGGGTTCAAGTGATTCCCCTGCCTTAGCCTCCTGATTAGCTGGGATTACAGGCATCCGTCACGCCTGGCTAATTTTTGTATTTTTAGTAGAGACAGAGTTTCACCATTTTACCCGGGCTGGTCTCAAACTCCTAACCTCAAGTGATCTGCCTGCCTCAGCCTCCTGAAATGCTGAGATTATAGGCGAGAGCCATGGCACCTGGCCAACAATATATTTGAAGACAAACTTTATGCTGTATTTTTAAATAATTTATCAGAAATTGTTTTTAAAAACTCCATTTAGTAACAAATGAATTGCAAAATTAATTTCATTAGTCAACTGACACTGTGAAATAGCAAGGCTATAATGGTGAATAATATAGACATGATTCCTGTCCTCATGACGCTCAGAGAGTAGTTGAGAAGATCATCATTAAAATTTGTCATTAGAGGAATAATATAAGGGCTGCTGGGGTATATAACTGGTAATAGGTCAATCTGAGTACTAAAGAAAAAGAGAGGTGACATTTCCAAGACCCTAAAGTCAGAAACAGCATATAAAACATTCATAACATTTGACAACCTAAAATAATTACAGTATTATCCAAATGGGGATAATGCAATGAAGAGAAAAGAAAATGAAACTGGAGAAGTAGACAGGGATCAGACCTCCTAGCGTCTTGACTCTGTGTTAAGACATTTGATCATCATCCTAAGAGTAATAGAAAGCTACCAAAATGATGCATATTACATTTACAATGGTCGTGTTAGCACAGTATGCAGAATGGATTAAATGGAGCCAAACATGAATTTGGAAACATCAGTTTAGAGGAGACTGCAATAATCTAGATGGACTATTAGATTTGATGCTAGTCTTGACAGACACTTGGACCATGCAGTGATATGGGGATGGAAAAAAGTAACTGAATCCAGAGATAGCAGGCAGAATTGACAATATTTGATGGTTAATTAGATATGAACGTTTAAGGGGAGACAGAAATCTAAGATTTCTCATAGGTCTCTGGCTATATTATGCACATTTTATAAGACACAGAGACGTCAAAGGAGTAAGTAATTAGCAGGAATGGAGGGGTAGATTAAAAGATACTTTTCAAAAGTTCAGTTTTAGAATTCAAAATTTGAAGTGTTGATAAGATATGTAAGTACAGATGTCCTATGGACAATCAAGTATGTGGAATTCAGAAGAGCGGTCTCACTTGGAGAGAAGTATCTGAGAATGGTGGGTATATAATGGTTATGTTTGTTGAGCAATGTTTGTTGATGGACTACACTAGGATGAGGAGAGTAGAAGAGAGGTAGATGGCTTACATACCTTATGTCTTTCTTTTCAAAAAGAAAAATGCCACATTTCAAAGAATACAGAGAAATTGGTGCCCTGAGGCATGAAGAAGCCAGGGAATTGGAACCTCCTGAAAGCAGAGGGAAGATAACTTAATGCTAAGGGGAGGAACCATCCTTGTTGAATGCTGCTTAGAAAGCATGTCAAATATAATCTCAAATTATCCTTTTGTTTTTAGTGACAAAACGTGAAGATGTTGCCATCTTTAGAAAGAAAAGCTGGTAGGCTGAATATATGATAGATATATAAGAAAAGGAAAGATAAGCAGCTCTTTCAAAAAGTTTGGCCATGATATGGAAAAGGGAGATAAGGCTGTAGTAGTTAAGGAGGGTTGTGAGTCATAGGAGAGAAATATCCTTTCCCCTATGCCAGGACAAGGGAGACGTAAGCAAGTTTGTGTTGCTGGGAAAAAGCCAGTAAGGTGGGAGCCATTAAGGATAAGAAAAGAGAGAGATAAGAGATTGCTGAAGTCTTCTGGAATGGGGAAGGTGTCCAGAATACCGGTGGAGGGATTGGAAACCTCCCCACTGTAACAGGAAGGAGGAAAGAATTGGTCTCAATGTGGAAAAGTTTGTTGATTTGGGGGTGGGAAGTGGAGGCGGGGCATTGTGATGCTGTCTCTTCTCTGTAAAGTAGAAAATAAGTTTTCAGCTTGAAATGGAGCCGGAAGAAAGAAGAGGGTTGGAAGCTGGAGGAAAGTGGAGAATATTTGAAATTTTTCTTTGCAGAGAGTGGGAGATGGAGCCTAGTAGGAAAATACAGGACTGTGTTGAGGACCACTGAGGTTTGTGACCATAAATTTAGAATGGTGCCAATCTGCCACGGGGTGTTATTTTTCCCCAATAGGGCTCAGCAGACCAACAAGCACAGGGGACCCTCTAGTTTTATATACCAATAGCAAGTCATTCTTTATTTAATTTAGTTTTTTGTTTGTTATAGCAATAAAGAAAAATTGTGTTTCTTTGAAATGGTATTTTGTGTGTGTGTGTGTGTGTGTGTGTGTGTGTGTGTGTGTGTGTGTGTGTTCTCTAGATTATAGTGCCCTCACGTGGCTGATGCACATCATTTACTTATGAGTGTTTTCATATGGATGAAAAAACTGAGAATTAAGCATGGGCCTTACAGCACAGCTACTAAAATTAAAAAATAATAATTATTATTATTGTTTTGACTAAAACCAGTACTAGATGCAAATGAACTTTCTTTCTAGATCAACACAACATTGTCCAGTTGTAATAGTGTTGATATTTCATTATGTGTAAGTAATGTGATCATTTATAGTAAAAACATTAGGAGTGAGAAAAGATATGAAGAGCACGTATTTCCTCTCTGGAATTTCTATAATTGTGTCCAGATTCACAATGATAAAGAGTGCCACTTTACATAATGGCAACTAAATCTTTATTATGCTTTTTATTAAATATGAAAGTCATTACTATTATCTGATACTGAATATTTTCTTAAATAGTTGTTTTGGTTTTTGTCTTTTGCTGTTTTTTAATGTCAAGGAAAGTGAAGGGCATTGGCTATACCTGCAAAGACAAAGTGGGATAGGGTGAAACCAACCCAATATTTGTAATAAACTGTGTTCTGTATGATCCAGGAAGCAATTCATTGAGCATCTATTACGCACTAGGGCCATTAAGTTGAAGGAGACTTACATATTTTAACAAATTTGATCTTCATAGCAATCCTGTTACATGATTACTTTTTCTTACTTTTATAACCAAGTCAATTGAGATTCAGGGAACTTAATAAGTAATTTTGCCTTAGTTACAAACCCCAGAAATGCCAGTGCTAACACCTGCCATCTTCTCTCATAGTTCAGGATTTTATGAGCAATTACAGTATATTATACCCTCTGTTTAGAAAGGACCTTATTATAAGACATTCCACCAGGGTAACTTTTAGAATGATGTTATAATACATTTAATTAATTACTTGAATTGTCTTGTTGAATTTTTGCCAGGGTTTACATATGTGCTGAACTTGCAGTTTTAATGTTCAGTTGAGTCTGTCGTTAAGAAAATTTAAGTTGATAAATTATTCACTGATGAACTACTTTCTTTGCATTTAATCTTTTTAATTGCTAAAGGTACCTAAATAGCCTCAAAATAGTTGATGGCTTGGCCTGAAGACAAGATCTAAATATGAGGTTGCTGAGTTATAGAAATGGCAAAAAAAAGGGTCAATAATAGAATAATAAGCAACAAAATAATAGTAAGCACTAAAGTTTTAAACTTCATGGTGGTGAAGGCATGGTAGTGCATAAAAGTAAGATTTTTCCATTGAACTTTGTCTTCCTTGACGATATTCTACTTTATTCAATATGCTCATTATGTGCACGATTCTTACCAACTGTGTATTTATGACCATGAGTAACCCTCCAGACTGGACAAAGAATGTGGAGTAAGTATAAATATTTTTCAATATTGACCTCCCTTTATGTTTCATATTGTGCTTTTAACACCTTGAGACCTCCTCAATTTCTTTAACAAATCATGCTAGCTACTGTTAACCAGACCCTGATTCAAATTCATTTCTGTCACTAAATGTCTTCTAGGACAAAGCTTGTAGTGGGCTCACTTAGTTGTGTAAATTACTGCAGTAGTTTGACTGCTATTATCTGCAGCCCTTTATCTTCTTTGTGAGTCTTATGTTCTTTTGAAGATCACCAGTGATTTACTAATATCTACTGATAAAAAGTATACCTAGTTTTTATGTTCCTTTTTTAATGACTACCACAGTTCTGTGTTACTAGTATATGTTTGATGGCTTTTAATGGTGCATATTTTATGAAATACAAATGCTTCACTCATTTTTGTATTAATACCTATTTGCTCAAATCGGACTGAATGCCAGTGTATTTCAGATTATGTCTTCATATAGAGCCACATTATTTGGATCCTTTAAATTAATTAATGTGGAAAATGCAATATACATTTATTTACAGTCAATGAGAATGTCTTTTGGAATTTAATGTTTCTTTTTTGACTTAAGCCCCACCTAAACTCTATATCGTAGGGGGACCAACCTGGAAGTGTCTAATTTTTGTTTGCTGTTTATGTCATCTTTAAGATATGTACTTGTAAATTAACCACTAGATTTTTAATGTGAGCTTGGCTATTTTCTCTCAGGTATACCTTTACAGGAATTTATACTTTTGAATCACTTATTAAAATACTTGCAAGGGGCTTTTGTTTAGAAGATTTCACATTTTTACGGGATCCATGGAATTGGTTGGATTTCACAGTCATTACTTTTGCGTAAGTATCTTAATACATTTTCTATCCTGGAAGAGTAAATCACTGGTGGGAGCCTATACTATATTTTCCTTGGTGGCTTGCCTTGACAGACCAAGCATTTTTCTTAGTAATCATAGTTTTCTTCCAATCAAATTATCCAGTTTGGAGAAATTAGGAACTATCATAGTAAATTACATGGCTTTGGTTTCAATTAGCACTGTAAAGTAATAAAGTTTCCCAAATAACAGAGATTATGATTGATGACAATGCCATTTTCCTCTTAATTGGGAAAGCTGATGGCGACACTCATGAAATTAAAAAGGTCTTGATGAAAGACCAAGGAAGACGTAGATTTCCCTAAATTCTGAATAACTCTGATTTAATTCTACAGGTATGTAACAGAATTTGTAAACCTAGGCAATGTTTCAGCTCTTCGAACTTTCAGAGTCTTGAGAGCTTTGAAAACTATTTCTGTAATTCCAGGTAAGAAGAAAATGGTATAAGGTGGTAGGCCCCTTATATCTCCAACTGTTTCTTGTGTTCTGTCATTGTGTTTGTGTGTGAACCCCCTATTACAGATATGTGACAGAGTTTGTGGACCTGGGCAATGTCTCAGCGTTGAGAACATTCAGAGTTCTCCGAGCATTGAAAACAATTTCAGTCATTCCAGGTGAGAGCTAGGTTAAACACCGAGGCTGACTTTAGCTACAGTGGTGCTACAATCACAGCTTTTGTGCAGAAGCCTTGTTGCTAGTTGCATATTGCAAATAAATATGTAAAAAAGCAAGAATTGGTACATCATTTTTTGGATGGATTTGATTCTTTGCTTTTTACTCGTTGCTTTCTTTAAAACTATTCTAAATCAGCCTTTGAGTTTAACAAGTGTTGCATGAGGCATTTGCAGTAACAGGCTACATGGTTTGCATCCTATAACATCAAGCTTTCCGCATAGAAGCTAGACTAAGAGACATTCAGACTGATGCAAATTTGACAGTTTAGGCCTAAAACTGGCAATCTTTTAAGCTGCAGATAAATGAAAGAGCAAGGGATAGCATGAGTGCTGCATGGGGCTCAGATTTCAGATGTCTTCCTTTTTTTAACCCATACTCAAGCTTGCAGAATTCACAAATATATAACCTCATAATTCATCGACTTCAAGATTTCTTACTACTCTATTCACATAGACTTTTCTAAAACCAATAAGGGGTTAGGGAGTAAGACATCTGCAAATAAAAGCAAAATATTTACACAAGGTTGATGTTTAAGCATGAATAACAAAATCATTCTTTTGCTCTAAAGAGTGTTTGGAAATACACATTTGGTTCATTTCCATTCACAGTTTTCTAATGAACATACAAGTTCTGCTTTCATTCATTTTCACCAGCTAGCAGGCTTTTCATGAAAATGTTATTCAATCACAAACATTAAACTAATATTGTTGGCATTCTGCATGACATTTTTATTTTCCAGGACAAGCTCATGATATTTTTGCCGGTAAAATAGCTGTTGAGTAGTATATTTAAATTCCCCCTTCTGATTTTGTTTGTAGGCCTGAAGACCATTGTGGGGGCCCTGATCCAGTCAGTGAAGAAGCTTTCTGATGTCATGATCTTGACTGTGTTCTGTCTAAGCGTGTTTGCGCTAATAGGATTGCAGTTGTTCATGGGCAACCTACGAAATAAATGTTTGCAATGGCCTCCAGATAATTCTTCCTTTGAAATAAATATCACTTCCTTCTTTAACAATTCATTGGATGGGAATGGTACTACTTTCAATAGGACAGTGAGCATATTTAACTGGGATGAATATATTGAGGATAAAAGTAAGATATACTCTATAAACCATTAAGTTGTTTAGTTCTCTAAATATTAAATATTATATATAATGGAAATTATCTCAATTTAGATGTGAATCAAGTGACTTAGACTAATTTAAGATGATTTAATACATATAAAAGAGATATCAAATGATACCTTATTCTATTTTTCTTATCTGTCCATTGATATAGTAAAAGTTCTCATTTGAAAATGTGTTGTCTTATACTCATGTTGAAAGTAATTTCATATTATGCCATATTAAAAAATGTTTATTTGGTAGACATTAATCAGGTTTTTCAGTCATTTTAATAAATAAGTCAGTAGTTTGAACTATTCAGTGTATTCCACTGAAATGTGTTAAGAAGACTGAGGGGAAATAATTTGGCCCTATTTGGTTGATGCAACATATGTATTGAGTACATATGCTATATCTGAAAATAGAGAAACCATTTATCAAGATGAAATAAGAATTTGTGTGCTCCTCAGAAGGTTAAGTAACCCTGATTTAGCCATTCACTTATTCATATTCTAATTAGTCCCTTTAGTGTCATCATTGTATTGTAGTTACCAGTTTAGTTTGATTATATTTAAGGTATGAACATCAGAATAAGCTTATGCCATATACTTCAGCATGATTTCTTAACATTGAGCCCAGCCCCTCTGTCATTTTTCATATGTGTGTGCATGTTTGTATGTGAATATAAAAATACGTATGTTTGCATGTGTGTGCATGTTTTCTGAGATCATCTTTGCAACTTACTGAAGTTATATGTCATGCCTTAAAAATAAAAACTAGATAGCTCTCCATAGCTTAAAAATAAAAACTAGATATACTCAGACAACATATCTCTCCAAAGAAACAAGTTTATTTTCTTCATTTGAAAGGCAGAAATCAAGCAAAAATTTCAAACAAAACACTTATTTACAGTATCATAAGAGGGAATAAATACCTAATCCCACTTCTCACAGGAAATTAAGTTAAAATTGGCGGGAAAAAATGTCTGAATCTATTTTGAGCCTGGGGAGAAAAGTATATGTAAGGTAAAATTTATTTGCATGAAAACACCTAGAAACAACAAGGCTTTCTTCTTTCTTACTTTTTGTGCCCAGCAATAGACTGGCAGCTCTTTCTTAATGTATCCCATGCAATTTGAGCTTATATTTGCAATGAATGCTGATATAAGAATGTTATCATAGTAATTCCTTCTGAACATTTTTCTTTTTAACATAGATTTGCTAACCATTTGTATAATCAAAAATGTTATATATTGATATTTGTTCAATATTGTGAAAAATCTCTTTAGCCATATATATTTATTAGTTTATCCATCTCATTATGATTGAAAACATTTGTGAGCTTTGCCACCTAAACAGGGTGGCTGAAGTGTTTTACAGGATTTTAATGATTCTTTCTATTCCTTTCTCTTTAAATAGGTCACTTTTATTTTTTAGAGGGGCAAAATGATGCTCTGCTTTGTGGCAACAGCTCAGATGCAGGGTAAGTGATGCTTCCTACTGAGTTTCAGTCCACACTGCTCCATCAGTGTCAATAACCTGCCACCTCCCACTCATCCAGTCCCACTCACTCCTCACTCAAAACCCTCCATAAATTCTACTTCACGGTGACTCTCAGAATAGCCAGGATAAGTGTAGATTCTCACCTCTTTCACACAGTCATTTACTGCAATTATTTTTCTATGCTAGGTCACATCTAATCTTCCAAATTAGTTCAATGTAAAATAGAGAATAAAGCAGTATAATATGCATCTGAAGCTTAATAGAATTCTTAAGCACATACTTTTTATAAGTGTCATATTTTATATATACTAATGTGTTCTCCATAGCTTAAAATGTAAGATCTCTGAAAATAATGTTAATATCTGAGACATGGGGAGTATTTAGCATATTTTAGCAAAGTGGTTACAAACATAAACTGGAGAGTCTGCATAGAGTCAGACTTTGACTCCATCATATAATCTCATTTCTTCTTGCCTTCGTTTCCTTATATGACAAATGGGTATAATAATAGGGTTTTTGTGATGATGAAGTGGATTAATAAATGTATAGCTATTTAGATCGCTCAATAAGTGCTTGTAATTGTTATTATTGGGATCATGCAAATGTTTGCTATTAAGAAACATGGAGCTAAATCCTAGGAAAATTTAAAAACACAGTTAATTTTCTTTATTTAGCAAGATTTTAGAGCCACACACAAAAGTCTAATGCACTTTCTTTGGACGATGATACTGTGGACATTAGTAGCTAATACCTGTAGCAAAATTCCCAGTGATAATAGGCTTTCCATTTGGCTCCTACGATCAGTGCTATGCTGCCTTTATCTTCAGATTCCAATGATAAGTAAATCAATTGATTTTCATTCCTTGTTTGTACTGTACTAAATGCGTTACATACAGTATCTTCTTCAATGTTTGCAAATTTGTGAGACAGGTTCTCTTATTAGCCCATTCTCACATGCGAGGTGCCTGAAGATTAGCAAGTTAAGTAACTTGCCCAAGATCGTTCAGCTCAGAAGTGTCAGGCAAGACATTGAAGCCAGGTCTGCTTGATCTTCAAGGTCCTCCTATGACATTTTTACCACACAGTGTCATTCACTCCTTGCAGCATGCCCCACCTATCCTTTTCTCACTTCTTTACCCTGTTCCCACACTTACACACATTTCTGCCTCAAGACATCCTCAGTGAAAATCAACTTTTTCCTTACAGACTTTTTTAACTGCCCTTAAGTCCCAGAAGATATTAATCATGATATGATTGCTTTTATATGGAGACATAATAAATATAATAATGACAATTATGAATCACAGAGGAATCCACAAAGTAGACCTTATAGATTCTGTTATTATATAAATCAGTCCACTTAGTGCTGAGTTAAGTACTGGGTAAGGTGAGAGAAATCGGCTTTTTTCTAGTGCCTGTATAAAACAGACATTGGCATATATTAAAACAGGAAAACCAATTAGCAGACTTGCCGTTATTGACTTCCTTTCTTTCCTCTAACCTAATTATAGCCAGTGTCCTGAAGGATACATCTGTGTGAAGGCTGGTAGAAACCCCAACTATGGCTACACGAGCTTTGACACCTTTAGTTGGGCCTTTTTGTCCTTATTTCGTCTCATGACTCAAGACTTCTGGGAAAACCTTTATCAACTGGTGAGAACAGATAAAATCATTTTTCTGAGAATCATAAAACACCGAACTCAAGAGAATTGCTGTAGAATATTTTATTACTTAGAGTGTAAGTTTGTAACATCCTATATAAAATTTATTAAAATCTCTCTTCCATTTTGCAGACACTACGTGCTGCTGGGAAAACGTACATGATATTTTTTGTGCTGGTCATTTTCTTGGGCTCATTCTATCTAATAAATTTGATCTTGGCTGTGGTGGCCATGGCCTATGAGGAACAGAATCAGGCCACATTGGAAGAGGCTGAACAGAAGGAAGCTGAATTTCAGCAGATGCTCGAACAGTTGAAAAAGCAACAAGAAGAAGCTCAGGTATAGTGAACAAGCATACGGTCCTTTGTTTTTCTTTATCTAAATTCTTTAACCTAAATGTTGAGGTCAGTGGCAAGGTAGTTGACATTAGAAATAGGTCATATGTGTTTGGTAAGTGCTAGGAGCCTGTTTGGTTATTAAGAAGTTATTACTTTATTGCAATGATCTCTGTCAATAGTGTCAATAGTAATGGCATCAAAAAATGGATAATTATAATTGCTTTACTGACATTTTTTTCTCCCTTGTGACTCCTTGAGGAAATTAATGATTAACAAAGGCCTCATGTACTCAAACTTGCAGAGTAGATAAACCTACATGTCCTCAGTTGAAGTATTTTCTTAGGGGAAGAGGAATTCAGTTACACTTGCTTCTTCATTGCAGTATCACCAGAGGTGGTAAGGGTCAGAAAACCAGAATCAAACTAAGAAAATTATTTCATTGAGTCTGGAAAGGCAAAGGCTTATTCAATATTTGTTCTCTTTTATATAAAGTGTACAAATGCAAGTTTGTGGGTTACATCAGTAAATCACTAGTGTGTAAACATATTAAAACATTAGCACTCTCTGCCTCCTACTCTACAAATCCTTTAATTTGGACTTGACAAGCCTTCAAAATAAGGCAAGAATTTCTCTAATTATATTTGCTTGACTTAATGGCATTAACTAATCCAATTGCCTATTTTTGTCTTTTCATGTATGGTGAATACAATTCCCTTTTATTACCGAGTATTCCTAAATATGTAATAAAGGTCAAAGTATATTGCTGTAATAGCAACAAAACTACTGTTATACTTTACAAGTTCATGCAGATGCCATGATCTAGGATTCTCAAATAAACACTCTGTATTATGTCTTTGCTGTGCATTTCTTAGTGAAATACCCAATTTAAATCACGGAGAAAAATGTCATTAAAATAAAATACTTGACTGAATTACATTTAATAATTCAGACTAGCACTAAATTTCTTTATTGTGTGAAAATGGAATCAAAGGCAAATGTCTACCAGGTTTAAATAGGAAGTCTTTAATTCCCATATTATTTCCTTCTTAAAATATTGTTTGAATTATAGAACATGTTATTATGATCTTTAAGTGTCTTGCTCATATTATTAGATAATTAGATATCATAGTGTGAGGACAGAGCTTGAAGGTTCTCATAAAAGTCGTATGTATCATCTTCCATATGAATGCCCATTTTACTCTTTGATTGGTCTAATAACAATGTACTGTTTTCTAAAACACAGAATAAAATGGAGAATTGTTTTTCAAGATTATCTTCATGATATTGAAGCTCAATTAAGCAGTAACATGATAATTACTTTTTAAGTTTATATGCAACTTCCACATACTTTGCGCCCTTCTAGGCGGCAGCTGCAGCCGCATCTGCTGAATCAAGAGACTTCAGTGGTGCTGGTGGGATAGGAGTTTTTTCAGAGAGTTCTTCAGTAGCATCTAAGTTGAGCTCCAAAAGTGAAAAAGAGCTGAAAAACAGAAGAAAGAAAAAGAAACAGAAAGAACAGTCTGGAGAAGAAGAGAAAAATGACAGAGTCCGAAAATCGGAATCTGAAGACAGCATAAGAAGAAAAGGTTTCCGTTTTTCCTTGGAAGGAAGTAGGCTGACATATGAAAAGAGATTTTCTTCTCCACACCAGGTAAAAATATTAAATTACATGAATTGTGTTCTCATAAATTTTTTAAAAAAATATGCCAGAATTTAATGGAGAGAAAACCGCCTTCCACCTGGATGGCACAATGCTTTCAGAGTAGTGATGATTATCAAGTGTTTTGGCTATCACTTCAGAGAATTTGTGAGTTTTGCAACTTTTTGGAATCCCAGGAAGGAAATTTTAGATCCCTCTGGGTTTGGAAAAATTTGCGGTTTTGAGGTTTTCTTAAAGACTGAAAAATCTTGGAGAAATTTTCCACATCAGGAATTATCAGCAGATGGTTCCCATCTCTTCTTAACTATTGTGCGTGGATCTAGTGAACTTTGGGTTTTCTGAGTGACAAATTCCCAGAAGTGGACCAGAGACTCTTTTAGGCCACCTGCGGGGTTGTTCCCATAAGGTGCAAACATCACTTGCCAAGTGCATTCTTCATGCCTTTGTTTCAAAGGGGACTGAAACAAAATATCTCTAAAAGTAGCCAAAACTCTCAGATAGGCAGGTACTGAGGGAGATTTATGACACGAAATAAAAAGTGGTGTTTAGTTGTACTTGATTATCTGTGTTTCATGTTAAACATGGGACTTGCATTTGAAGAATACTGTGATTTATAAACTGCAACAAATATTCACTGGATGCCTCTGCCTTTTGTACTCATGCAAGTTGTTGAAATTTTAAAATTTAGAATCTTAATTGTCTTTGAAATTACCAAGAGAATTCACAGGAATACACAGTACCTCAGAAGACATTTTCACCAGGAGTGAAACCTTAATACCTATACAGTAACAATAACAATTACAACAACAACATTGATAATGGCTAATATTTATACACTGTGTTGTTATTTGCAATATTAATGCATTAAGCCTTTCACTGCAACCCTAGGTAAGTTCTAATTTAGTTAATATCCCCAATTTTTATATGTGAAGAGAAGCAGGGGGCTGCATTCTTTGTTGAGTACCTATTTTATGCTTGGCATTCTTTCTACATTCTCATAATTAATGCTAACAGTTCTGTAGAATAGTATTATTTTCATTACTATAATGAAAAAGCTATTTTGGATCAGTAAAGTTAAATAGTTGCACAATGTCATATAGCAATAGAAAAAGTTATTATGATCTTTGAGTGTCTTGTTCATATTAGGGTTGTTGGTATTCAAATTTTGCCTGGTACTGAAAACCTTAAAGTTTCCACTTTATCAAGTTGCCTATGAAGAATGCCTTTAAAAACTGATAAGGAAATTTACAATATAACTTTATTTAAAATACACAATGGCATTATACTTTCTCTTTTACCTTTTTATAATATAGACAAGCTCACATAACCTCACATGTGATATATATAAATTTTTTTAGGTCAGCCTTATTCATTTCAAATCCAAATAACATCATAAGATTGCATACTTGGGGATTAATTCAAATTTAACATAGGATCTTTAAATATCAAAATTTACTTGGTCTCTTTCATTTTGTTGTCACAATCATGATTCCATTAGTAGAAACATTAATCAATAAATAGGAATCCTTTAAAAGGCAAACCCCCTGTTTACAGTATTAGTCATTCTGAAAAGGAAGGAAGAAAAAGAAAGGGAGGGAGGGAGGGGGGAGAGAGAGAGAGAGGAAAAAAGGGAGCAAAGGAGGGAGGAAGATAGAGTATTTTTGCCTACATTTTTACCTAAGTTTGTCTGAATTTTTGCCTGAAGTTGTCTAAGTTTTGGCCAAAATTTGCCTAAATTTTGGCCTAGATTTGAAACTTCATATCAACTTCATATCAAACACTTACCACAGAGATTCTCTTCAATTTGCCTTATTTCTAATTGAATAAAACTAATTCTAGGCAAAATAGTGAAGCCTGATAAGGCTAGGCTCTGTCCTTCCTTTTTCTGTACATTTTGTTCATAGATATGATATTCTCCCAGCAGCCTCTTCTTCATACCTCTACATACCTCCATTTCCCAGCTAGTTGGGTATTATAAGCAATCACTGACTTAGAAGACATGGCATGGCTGGCTCATATTGATACTTGTTTCTTAAGCAGTCTCTATATAAAAATAGAGTTAAAGACTTTATTTTGCTTGATAAAGAAATAGTCAAACAAATGTCTAAGAGGATGGAGAGGGAGACAGAAAAAGACAGAGGGAAAGGGAAAGAAAGAGAAAGAGAGAGGGGGGAAAGGAGAAAAGGAAGAAGAGAGGAGAGACAGAAAACCCTGAAATCACACCAACCCCACTTGGCAAGCCCTGAAAGTAATACTGAAAATGTCAAACCAGATAGAAGTACTTAATCTTGGTATAGCAATGGAGGGCCCATCGTGTCTGTTAGATTTTTAAGAGTTTGAGACCCCAAAATATTAGGAATTATTGTTTTGTGATGACATGATTGTGTTGGTAACCATCTCTGTGTTTGTATTGAAAAACTATACAATGCAAGCCTTTACTGCAAGATTATAATTTCTTTAGTAGAGTAAGTGGAAATATGAATTGTTTCTCAGACTCTGATTTGACTTGTTAGTGTGGTAAAGAGGGGAGAAGAAAGTCAAGAATGTAATCTCTAAACAAGTTTCAAGATAATCTGGATTTTTTTGAAACCTTTATAAGGTACAATTGACCTTAAATCATTACTTTATTATTTATTTGTGATAAGCTAGGAGTTTAGGAGTTTTGCTTTTTAAAGATTGGTTTGGTATGGGGAATATTTCTTACTGGCCATCTTTTTTGTGTGTTACAGCATTTGATTACTATGCATTTATGTAATGAATGTCAGCAAAAGAAGTTGATGCTAACGGATGGGGCACAATCATTTCTCATATAGCTGTCACATGTAAACTACGTTTTTGTATAGCTTAATTCATCCATGATCCTTGAGAAACATGCAAACTTATAACTTATTTTCTTCCAACCCTTCTATGGCTCCAGCTGAATGGGGTACTGGCAGTTAAAATATAAACTCTTACTAAAAGCGATAGAAACATTCTTCATTGCAAAGCATGTATTGTTTGCCTTTCTTTTTTAGCTAATGAGGAGCAGTATGTCACACATCCTGCAAATCCCGTAACTGTTATTTCCTCATAGCTAATTCGAAGTCCCTTGTTAGAGGAGAGAAAGGAGACACGAAAAAGGATGGATAGTCTAAGAAAGGCTTTAAAAAATAACTACTTGTATGGAAAATGATAAAAGAAAAGAATGAATGTTACTAATGTAGTTAATAGGATTAAAAAGCATGGGAACAACAAGAGGAGAGATGACTTCTGTTGTGGGAGCAGTAAGTCTTCTTAGAAGTAGTTCTAGGCCGGGTGTGGTGGCTCATGCCTGTAATCCCAGCATTTTGGGAGGCCGAGACGGGCAGATCATGAGATCAGGAGATGAGACCATCCTGGCTAACACGGTGAAACCCCATCTCTACTAAAAAATACAAAAAATTAGCCAGGCGTGGTGGCAGGTGCCTGTAGTCCCAGCTGCTCGGGAGGCTGAGGCAGGAGAATGGTGTGAACCTGGGAGGTGGAGCTTGCAGTGAGCCGAGATCACGCCACTGCACTCCAGCCTGGGTGACAGAGTGAGACTCCGTCTCAAAAAATAAATAAATAAAAAAAAAGAAGTGGTTCTTACTGTAAATAATGAATAGAATCACATAAGATAGTGTTTAACATTTACAGACATTTAATAGAAACTAACAGATATTATTGAGAAAAAGTAATTCTTTAGCTGGAAAGAAAATAAAAAGCATACTTATTGGTCAGTGTATTACTCTGTTTTCATGCTGCTGATAAAGTTATACCCAAGACTGGGCAATTTGGCAAAGGAAGAGGTTTAATTGGACTTACAGTTCCATGTGGCTGGCAAAGCCTCACAATCATGGCAGAAAGCAAAGAGGAGCAAGCCACACCTTACATGGATGGTGGCAAGCAAAGAGAGAGTGAAAGCCAAGCAAAAGAAGTTTCTCCCCATATAACCACCAGATCTCATGAGACCCATTCAGTACCATGAGAACAGTATGGGGAAAACCCCTACCATGATTTAACTATCTCTGACCAGGTCCCTCCCACAACAGTGGGAATTATGGGAAATATAACTCAAGATGAGATCTGGGTGGGGACACAGAGAAATCATGTCATTCCACCCCCGGCCCCTCCCAAATCTCATGTCCTCACATTTCAAAATGAATCATGCCTTCCCAACAGTCCCCCAAAGTCTTAACTCATTTCAGCATTAATTCAAAAGTCCACAGTCCAAACAAAGCCTCATCGGAGACAAGGCAAGTCCTTTCCATCTATGAGCCTGAAAAATCAAAAGCAAGTTAGTTACTTCCTAGATACAATAGGGATACAGACATTAGCTAAATACAGCCATTCCAAATGGGAGAAATTGGCCAAAACAAAGGGGCTACATGCCCCATGCAAGTTCAAAATCCAGCAGGGCAGTCAAATCTTAAAGCTCAAAAATGATCTCCTTTGACTCCATGTCTCACATCCAGGTTACGCTGATGCAAGAGGTGGGTTCCCTTGGTCTTCAGCAGCTCCACCCCTGTCACTTTGCAGGGTACAGCTTCCCTCCTGACTACTTCCATGGGCTGGCATTGAATGTCTGTGGCTTTTCCAGGTACACGGTTCAAGATGTTGGTGGATCTATTATTCTTGGGTCTGGAGGACAGTGGCTCTCTTCTCACAGCTCCAGCAGGCAGTGCCCCAGTAGGGACCCTGTGTTGGGGCTCTGACCCCACATTTCCCTTCCTCACTGCCTTGGCAGAGGTTCTCCATGAGAGCCCTGCCCCTGCAGCAAACTTCTGCCTGTACATCCAGGTGTTTCTATACATCCTCTGAAATCTAGGCAGATGTTCCCAAATCCCAGTTATTGACTTCTGTGCACTGACAGGCTCAACACCATGTGGAAGCTGCCAAGGCTTGAGGCTTGCACCCTCTGAAGCCATGGGCCTAGCTCTACATTTGCCCCTTTCAGCCATGGCTGGAGCCGCAGAGATACAGGGCACCAAGTTCCTAGGCTGCACACAGCGTGGGACTCTGGACCCGGCACATGAAACCACTTTTTCCTCCTAGGCCTCCGAGCCTGTGACGGGAGGGGCTGCTGCAAAGATCTCTGACATGCCCTGGAGACATTTTCTCCATTGTCTTGGGGATTAACATTCAGCTCCTCATTACTTATGCAAATTTCTACAGCCTGCTTGAATTTCTCTTCAGGAAATGGGATTTTCTTTTCTGTCACATTGTCAGGCTGCAAATTTTCCAAACTTTTATGTTCTGCTTCCCTTATGAAACTGAATACCTTTAGCAGTACCTAAGTCACCACTTGAATGCTTTGCTGCTTAGAAATTTCTTCTGCCAGATACTCTAAATCATCTCTCCCAAGTTCAAAGTTCCACAAATCTCTAGGACAGGGCCAAAATGCCACCAGTCTCTTTGCTAAAATATAACAAGAGTCACCTTTGCTCCATTTCCCAACAAGTTCCTCATCTCCATGAGAGACCACTTTAGCCTGGACCTTATTGTCCATATTGCCATCAGGCTTTTGGTCAAAGCCATTCAATAAGTCTCTAGAAAGTTCCAAACTTTCTCACATTTTCCTGTGTTCTTCCGAGCCCTCCAAACTGTTCCATCCTCTGCCTGTTATCCAGTTCCAAAGCTGCTTCCACATTTTTGGGTATCTTTTCAGCAGCGTCCCACTCCTGGTATCAATTTACTGTATTAATCTGTTTTCATGCTGCTGATAAAGACATACCTGAGACTGGGCAATTTACCAAAGAAAGACATTTAATTGGACTTACAGTTCCATGTGGCTGGGGAAGCCTCACAATCATGGCAGAAGGCAAAGAGGAGCAAGTCACATCTTACATGGATGGTGTCAGGCAAAGAGAGAGTGAGAGCCAAGTGAAAGGGATTTCTCCCCATAAAATCATTAGATCTCATGAGACTTATTCACTACCATGAGAACAGTATGGAGAAAACTGCCACTATGATTCAACTATTTCCCACCATGTCCCTCCCCCAACAATGGAAATTATGGGAGATACAACTCAAGATGAGATCTGGGTGGGGACACAGCCAAACCATATTAGTCAGGCATATAAAAACCTAGATATTAGTAGGTATAAAATAATGGTTTTAGTTAGTTTTGAACCTTTGGAGAGGAAAAGATCAAACCAATAATACTTAAATGATGAAGTTAGTATTCTTTCCAATAATAATTACATAAATCCAATGCAAGCTGGCTGAAGTAAAAAAGAGAATGTATTAGATGATATAAATTATGTCTGTGAGTAGCTTTAGGCATGGATGGATCCAGAAGCTCAAGACATGTTACCATGACCATGTCTTTCTCCATATCTGAATCTAGGTTCCTCCCACATGGTGGCAAGATGTCACTGCAGCTCCAAACTTAAAGCCAATATTTTTAGCAGCCTCAAGTGAAAAAGCACCATTTCCTCAACAGTTGTAAAAGACAGGGATATCTTTCAATTGACCAAGCAGGATTTCATGACCATCTTTAAATTACGTATCGAATACACTGATTGGCTAGGCCTAGGACAGTGCCTGGAACACTGGGAGACCCGAGCCTCAAGTCCTGCTGCATCCAGGAGTTGAAATTAGTGTCTCCCAGATAACCTGGTCTGAGAGTTGAGGATTATTTCTCAAGGCTGAACAGGGTACTGATTTAAAAAAACAAAAAATTAAATGGTTGTGATCAGCCTCTTAGTGAAAATTAAGTTTTTGTAAATATTGCCCTCAGATTTCTTGAGACAGAGACAAAGGGGTGAAAATTGGGGAATAAATCATACAGTTATTTCAGCTTGATTTAATTTATTCATGAAGACCATCATAAAATATGCAAAGGGAAGTGGAGAAGCTGCCCCGTGTACTATAATTAAACATCCCTACTAGCAAGATTAATTATATTTCCTCCATGGTAAGATTTGCATCAGGGTGTGGTCACTAGCGAGCTCTTACTGGCTACATTTTTGACCTCAGAGGATCTAAAGGTAGATTTGTGTTTAATTGTTTTCCATTGGGTTGTTAACTGAAATTAACTTCTAAAGAAGGGTCTATCAACAGTATCAGTTCTAGATGCCCGTAACAGGACAAAACATTATGGGGACACTTCTGACTATGTTGAGGTGTGGGTAAAGTAGGAGAAAAGAGAGCAGAAGATGGAAAATGGAGGAAGGAGAAAAAGCGAGAGTGAAATAGAAAAGGTGAACCTTGTAGAAAGTGCCAAAATGCCACCAGCAGTCATCAGAGGGGTGCTTTCTTCCACATGTCCAATGACTTATCCTTGAGTAAGTCAATGACTATGACACAATGAATCAAATTCTGTTTTTCAGAATGCCAGCTCTTAACTCTCTTCATCTCATTTTTGTTTCTTCTCTTGTTATTCATAGTCCTTACTGAGCATCCGTGGCTCCCTTTTCTCTCCAAGACGCAACAGTAGGGCGAGCCTTTTCAGCTTCAGAGGTCGAGCAAAGGACATTGGCTCTGAGAATGACTTTGCTGATGATGAGCACAGCACCTTTGAGGACAATGACAGCCGAAGAGACTCTCTGTTCGTGCCGCACAGACATGGAGAACGGCGCCACAGCAATGTCAGCCAGGCCAGCCGTGCCTCCAGGGTGCTCCCCATCCTGCCCATGAATGGGAAGATGCATAGCGCTGTGGACTGCAATGGTGTGGTCTCCCTGGTCGGGGGCCCTTCTACCCTCACATCTGCTGGGCAGCTCCTACCAGAGGTGAGGCCAATTAAAATTGCAGCTGATGTGAAGAGAGTTGTGACTGGTGCAGGCAGGAGTGTTTTTCCATTTCCACATCTAAGAATTTGTTGAGTTTGTTGCCCAAAGGCTGGGAGTTTGTTCAATCAAGCTGTTAACTGTCTTGTGAAACTGTTCTATTCAGACTTTTCTACAAAGTAATTAAAAACCTAGGTTGGCTGTCAGAGAATATAATTAGAAGTAATCTTTCATCATTATTACTATGGTATGAAACTCGCCAAAAAGCAAAGCAACAATTTATCAAGCATAATGTTTGATTAATATAGTTAAATTAAATCCAAGGAAATTAATGCTCACTAATTAAATAAATACTTAAGGATTTTGTGATTGTTGTTCATTTAAAAGGAGATTTGAATACTTCCACTTGCAGTAGATACTATTACTAAATAGATTTAAATCCCATAGTACAACATTGCCTCTCTTTGCAGGTCAGAGTGTTGTAACCTTTTTAGCATCCACTCTAATGATCTCAACCATTGTAAATTTATACATGAAGAGCCATTCAAAAAGTACCTGGTTTGGAATCATGGGCTGTCATTTTTAGAGCAGATTCCAATTTTTATATTACTGTCATAAACTCTTATTGTAAACAAAGTGGCCCAAAACCAATCACATGGAAAAGGATTTCAGCTACATACTAGACACTTACAGGGCTATATTATTGAAATTTACTTCATAAACCATAAGAAGCTTTTAATGTTGGTATTAAATAAAATTCCATTAGCTATCAAGACATATTTTGGCAATGTCACTTGATTGTATTTTATAGCATTCAAAATGTCTTCTTATGATTTTTTTTTCACATAGCTCCATTTATTATCATTGAACAAGCTCTTTGAGCCACATTAAAATGATACGGAGTTCGTTTTCAGTTACCTAATGGAGGAGCTTCTTATCTTGGATTATAAAATAGCCATTATCTTCTTCACATTTTTTGCATGGCCTCTCCCCACCTCCTTCTACCAGAGAAGTGTCCAGGTATCCTGCAGTCAGGTTGAACCATGAGAAAAGTAGAACTTTATAGTGGAGGAACCAGGAAGAATGAAGAGAGGACATCAGCTCTTCTTAAAAAATGATCATAGATAACCATGTACCAGACACTGTCCAGAACACTGTACATGTGTTAAGAATCATTTAAGCATCATAACAACCCTTTTTGATAGTTAGTAACATTATCCCAATTTTACAGAGGAGGAAACTGAGGCTTGTGCGTGGTGGAGCTAAGATTTGACCCCAGGTATGCTGGTTACTGAACCTACATTCTATCAACAGTGAAATATTGCCTCCCACTGAGTTATTTTTAATTTCTTTAAATCAAAAAGAAGAGATGGTTAAGGAAATAAACACATAAACACTTTCATTTTAACCAATGTTTCTCAAAATATACTTCACTTTCATACTACTTACATCAGAATCTCATGGGAGGCTTCTTAAAACTAGAGATTCCTGTGCCTACCCAGACCTTTTCAGACCAAACCACTGAGGAGAACAAGGTCTGGGAATCTTCTTCCTTAACAAGCATCCCACATAATTCTTATACATAATAAAGTATGTTTATCACTGATCTTGATAAATGTTAATTGGGTAAACAAAAGCAAATCTACAATTACCATGCAGGAATACAGACAGACTGTCAGTCTGTCAGAAATTATTTAGCATTTATCAATAATTATCATAAATCTCCTGTCCTATCAGAGATGATGGGACAAATCGCTGAAGGCAAAGTTGGGGCCAGCTTGAAGCAAAGCTTTGTGTGGTCCCTTTATTTCCTGCTTCCTCAACTTCATTCTTTAATCTTACAATCTTAAGTGCTTTGAGGCAGGGCACTGTACTATTGCAAAGTTGAGCTGAAGGTGCAAACAAATGAAGTAGGCTTTTGGAGAATGCAGAGGTGAAATGACAATAGAAAATAAATAGCTATGGGCAAATGACACCCTTGAAAGCACATCATTTCCTGTACTTTACACATAAATTCAATCGAGTAATGTCATTAGCAGTTTTGGAATCTATTTGAAAATTAGACAAATCTAGGTTTGTACATGTGCTTCTGTGTAGAACAGAAGGGACTAGATGATCTTCATGTGACTATTTTTTTTTTCCTTAAAACTTTGCCTCTTTCTGACAAGCTGAAATATTTTAAATTCTAAGAGGCACCCTTTGGATTAAAAGACTTTTATTTTTAGAGATAGGTTATTTCTTTTCTTACTAATTTTACTTGTTTTTTTACCTTAAAATTAATTTTAGAATGACCTATATGAATAGTTATCACCATTAGTGACAATCATATGCAATGAGTGGAAATTTTGGTTTTGAATATGTATGCATTAAAATAATTCAACTTACAAAAGATAAAATACTGCTAATTGTTCACATCATAATAGGATGTGACCAAAATAAATAATATTTTGATCATATTATTATATTTTGATCATATTGTTCTTTTAGAAATAGGGAAAGTCCTCAAAGGAATGAAACTTTTTAATTTATTATTAACACTCAGACCTGCATTTGAAATTCTTTAGCTTTACCTTTTTTTTTCCTGTGATAATTGACATCATTGTTTGATCTCCTGAAGTAGGAATAAATTTCCACCCATGTTGAAATCCTGATGAGTTTATTCTGGAGTAGGAGATTATCAGATCATTGTATCATTACTAAAAATCACAGTCCCCCACATTGGTATTATCTCCTTAAATTATAGTCTCAGTGCCAAGGGTGGATTGTTTTGTGGATTAAGTTGTTTTTCAAATATAGGACAAAGTTATAGACTAGTTCTAAAATTTAGTTTTGTAATTAGGAATGTTGGGAAATATTACCTGTGTCTAATGAATGAAGGCATTTTGCAACTGGAATTCACATTTTAGGGGAACTGTTACTGATGCATATGAAGGAGACTTTCAAACCTTTTTGTTCATATATTAAACTACCTGAATATATGTCTATAAAGATCTAAAAACTCAACCTGGGTGAAAATTAAGAAACAATATGTTTTGGTCTGAAGTCCTAAGTGGGATTGGCTGAAATGCTAAAAGGTTATCTGTCCAGTAGTGGACCTGGTCCCTCCAGCCCAAATCCCTGGGATAGAGGCATAGGAAAGCCCACCTTGACAAACCCAGGGCTCCCCAAAAGCTGAAAATCTGACAGACTTTTAAACAACCCCCAAAGAATTATCATTCCAACAATATCTTAGTGAGCTTTTTACATCTGAGAAAGCATGGTGTATATTTAGTTAAATAACACCTGTTGTAGGAATGCTTTGGGCTTTGCTGCTTTCAAAAATAGTGGTTATTTCATCTGAAATTCTACTTCTAGGGCACAACTACTGAAACAGAAATAAGAAAGAGACGGTCCAGTTCTTATCATGTTTCCATGGATTTATTGGAAGATCCTACATCAAGGCAAAGAGCAATGAGTATAGCCAGTATTTTGACCAACACCATGGAAGGTATGTTAAAAGTCCTGCGTCACAGTTACTTGGTGCTTTGGTAATGATGAAAAAACACTTCATAAATTTCAATAAAATACTTCCTGACTTGATATTGTATCATTATTACACATTTTACTAAATAACAGTAAAATCCGTGCATAACTCATGGATTCTATTATCTTCCACAGATTTTTTTTTTTTATATTTAGCCTCCAGAAAGCTGCTGCAAATGTAAGGTATATTTTGAACACCACTTTCATACATTAAATTCTAAACATTGAAACTTGTGTGCATGACGTTGAAAAGAGTGTAATGATAAATGCTTATACTTATGATGATGCTAAGCCATTTGGATTATATTAACTGCTTGAGACACAAGTTATAAAATCCTATGACTTAACCAGAAATATAAATTAAAAATGTGAATTAGGGTTTGATATTAACTTCCTTGAAGCAAAGTGTTTAAAATTTTGTAGTCCTACTTTTGCCTTTCTCTGACCAGATTCTTACAATATATCAGCTTTCTCTTTAGTTGCAGATTTTATCTGAATAGTTAACATAATGTGTAGCAGTCTGGATCTCAGAATGCCAAAATAAAGACTTTGGGGACAGCTTAATCTGTGATCAATTTCTGGCTCTGCCATATGTTAAATGTGTTAATTTGTGACTTTGAATTTCAGTCTCCTCATCAGTAAAATGTGGATGATGATGTTTAGGCATAAGGTTGTTGAATGGATTAAATAAGCCTTCTTAGATAAAACACTGATGTATTTGGCATGCAGAAGACAGTTAATAAATATTATCAATATTAGTTGTTTTGTTGTTGTTATTTTTGTTAATTCACATGTTTTTGCCTTTCCATACTGTAAGTGAATTCAAACAACTGTCAACTTCAACTACTTGGAAAATATTTTCATGTAAAATGTATTCTATCCCCCTTCCTTGCCCTCCTATTCCCTCCTCTCCCTATCTCTTTACAAACCTTCTCCCTTGTACCCCTTCCCAGGTATGTGTGTGAGTGTGAGTGTGTGTAGATGTGTCAAGGGAGAAGAGAAAAGGAGAATGAAAGCAAAAGAGAGCAAGCATACACGTCCCTTTCTTATTGATAATTAGATTTTCTCTTGAGATTGGATAGATTCCTGGAATAATTCTTTTCCTGTCTGTATGCAAAGATCCCATAATATTATTAATACCAATACGAAAAGCCTGAAAATCACAGCCAGAAAAAATTCACAGTGTAGACGACTGTGTACATCACAGACAAGTCAGTATTACAAAACCCAATTTTCATAGTGTCCTATTTCAGTATCCTAATGCAATTCACTGATTTCAATTGAATATTAAACTCTAGTACGTTCTTCCCCAACCTCGCCTGCGTTAGCTTGCACTCCCTCTTCCCCCCAGCTGCCAGTAGCTTGCTCCTCCCTGTCCCTCCAGGTAAATCTTTTGAAGATTGTCTGGCCTTCCGCTCCTTGCCATAGCAAAACCACTGAGAGGAAGCTGCCAGTGGTTCTGCTACCGATGTCAGCAGCATGTCTGCTCCCTAAAGCAGGAAGTAGAGAAGGAGACAGGGTAAGTCTAAATCAACAGTCATGCTTTGCACTTCTGATAGCATTAAGTTTGAGCTAAATAAGACATTACTTAAAAAACCTCAAATATCCACAAGATTGGACTTGCCAACTAATTAAGATTTGGAGTTCAAAATAAATGCACCCACACCTTTCTCCATGGAACTATGTGACATGGGGTTGCTTAGGATGGAAAGGATGTTCTAGGAATAAGTGCAATCTAGGAAGCTGAAGACTGAGAGTGTTTTCGTTTTATTATCTGCAGAGCTTTTGACTTGTGTATTTGTGAGAAATAATGGCCAAGTTTTTATTCTGTTTTTAATCAGTTATCTAGAATGAAAACTGACTTTTCTTTATTCAATTGTATGTAGACACATTGAGTGTGACATTTGTCAAGGTTGGTTGTTAGCAATATCACATACATGCATACTCAAGCAGACTTAAGATAGTCCTTTTTTTTTTTTTTTTTTTTTTTGGTTTCTGATAATGGTGCAAAGTTTTCCTGGTTGACATAATCTCTTTTCTTGGGGATCCTTTCTTCTATGTCTGATTATTGTTTATTTCACCTTTCCTTTTTATGAACCAGGCTTGTTGATCCGGTTGGCAATTTTTGTTCTCCTTCTTTTTAACTACAGCCAAGTCTCCGTTGTCCAGGGTAATGGATAGCCTCATGCTTAATGAAGCAGTAGTGGATAAGCAAAAATGAACCATTTGCGTTTCAAATTTTTAAAAGTGCAAAATCACATAGAAATGTTTTCTGGTCACACCTTTGTGAAGGATGGTGGGAGGGTGAGTTAGAAGCGCCTGAAGAATCAAGGTGAGCCAGCAAAAGACACAGATTTACTGTAAGTGATTCTATGTGGATAACCCATGCAGGAATAATGGAGATGTGGCTGCAGTTCTCTCCTGAATGCTTTGCTTTGTTTTAAAGTGTGAGATTCCCCCCTTTTTTTTGGAATGAATAATTGAATGATTTTATTTTAGAACTTAAACAACTTTGCTCCGGTTATTCCTACTGTCAAGATGAGCCACACCTGCTGAATTTCATTTTTTAAACTTTTCTCCAGTTTATTTTTTTTCTATCCAGTTCCTGTTTGCTTCTCGTTATTTGCTAAATGACAGCTGGCATGGAAAGAAAAAACCATATTATGGCAGTATACAGACAAAATTAAATTTTGTAGTTTCTTTTTTGTTATTTACTGTAAATAATAATACCTCCTTTTTACCTTCAATGTAAATATAAGGTTATTTGGGAGTTTAGAAGTATTTACAAAATAACTAGTGCATAATAACTATATTTTTCTCTGAATTATAAATCAAATATTATTTATTGTTTACAAAGTTATGTATTAAGGGAAATGGAAACAAACTGGGCACTTGAAGAATTTCAATATCCAAAGAGACAATTGACAAATCTATTTTTAGTGGAAATTTTAAAAACAATAAGCAATAAATTAATTTACTTAGGAAAATAGTATTATAGAATTAATTAGTGGCAAATGTTGATTAGTAGAAGAAACATTATCATCTGTGGTTGTGATTGTCCTTTTATATGCTGGTTCCACCTTTACAAGGTTTAGTTCATAGCAAACTGTGCCAGATATGGACAGATGTTCCAGTTGCCACAATAGTATTAAAGTGACTGACTAGAGTCAACTATGCCATGGATTTAAAAAGAAGAAACCTTCCCTCTATTTCAGTGCTAAGAGGTGGTGGCCACATTTTGGCAGAACAGGTAATAGGGTGTACAGCAATGATATTGACAGAAAACAACAAATTCTGCATATTTTTCCACTCATAAGTTGATGAAGAGATTATCTTGCCAAAGGAAGATGGTAGACAGTTTTTCACTTCCTAATTCCCCAAATTTCTTTGCCAATATTCACCAAATTTCAGTATTTTGGGTGTGACCTTAAAGATCTGTGCATTTCTGTCTTCTCTCCCAATGTTTGGTTGAAATTCTTCTTGACATCATTGTACATTTTCCTTGAATAAATGCATTTTAATATAAAATTTTATGTCATGTTTGATATGAGAGTTATATATTTAAATACATTTAAATAAATGTTTACCATGAAAATGTATGAATTATATGTATGTTTCACCTAAAATCCTTTGTATTTTTCCAGTAATAAATGAGTTCCACTTTGTGAAATGTTGATTTGTAACAACAGTGAGGACTCCAGTTCCTTAGGCTGGGGTATTTTCTCTTCTTTTATGCCCTCTAGTTAAATGAGAAATGTAGAGAGATGGAACTTTGTTGTGTCTAATATGCAAGCCTATAATCTAATAAAATTTAATTTGAGACTTTTAAACTGAGATTGGTGACACTGACAAAATTATCTAATTAGAAGATCACCAAAACATATCTAATCCAAGAAACTGACATTCAGTGTGACTGATTAAGGTTCTTAGGACATCTCCTGAGATATCTCTGATAACATATATACTTCTTGCTCTACCTGGAACATGGATGAGCTTTAAGTGTATGCAATGCAAGTTCTACCCATTAGTTTCTAGCAGCCTTGAAGATAAGTATCAGACAGTTTAGTGTTGCCAATAGAATCTTGGAAGCTATGTTTAGCCAGGATACATTTGGAAAGCTTACTAGCCTTTCTGTACTGATCCTTTCTATGACAGCAAACCCATTGTAAAATTTTCCCTGTTCCTCCAGCAGATTAACCCATAATATCTTTTAACAACTTTAGATTTTTTAAATTCCTTTTAATTTAAACCAAATCTGCTTAATAGAAAGTAAGCAGTTTTCATGAGGATTCTAACTTTTTTTCTTCCAGAACTTGAAGAATCCAGACAGAAATGCCCACCATGCTGGTATAAATTTGCTAATATGTGTTTGATTTGGGACTGTTGTAAACCATGGTTAAAGGTGAAACACCTTGTCAACCTGGTTGTAATGGACCCATTTGTTGACCTGGCCATCACCATCTGCATTGTCTTAAATACACTCTTCATGGCTATGGAGCACTATCCCATGACGGAGCAGTTCAGCAGTGTACTGTCTGTTGGAAACCTGGTAAGCCTCACTGAGAGTTTCTCTTCCTCTTGAAAGAGTTTATAATTGCCTTAGTGAATTTTACATATTGCTCTCAAATTAAATATCAACTAATTGGCCATGTATATCTTGACATCAAATGTTTAGCATCCCTTTTAAATAACAAAAAAATGTTGCTACCATAGTGCAAAAGAGTCAAAGAATTTATGTACAATTTGATTTAGAATTGAATTTAAATTGCTTATTTATTAGAAGATGATTCTGAATTGTCCTCCAAGGACATTGATCTATAGCAAAATTCTGACATATTTTTAAGAACCTTAGAATAGGTTCTTTAGGACATGTCTGTGTTTACTAAACAAATGATAAAATATGCCCAAGTCAGATAATTTTGAAATATCACTTGTAAGTACTTGAAGATGGACTATGTAGGGAGGGGACATCATCTGGGGGATTATTATTTTTTGTTTTTGTTTCTTCTACAGTCTTAGCAATATTAAATTTAGAAATTATTTATTTAATTTTGTTAAAATATATATTAGCATTTACTGGATACATATTGATATTATAATATAGTATACTATAGTGATAGATTTTAAAGTGGTCTTATACAGAGAGACAAAATGAAGAAAATCACGCAAAAAAGTATATTTATACAAGTATAAAATGCTTATTAAGTTCCCAGCTTGATAAATGAACATATAAGCAGGTTATATAGAGATTGTAAATAATACGGTCTAAAGTATAATATACAATATTTTTAGGCTCTGAAGTAACCACTATATTTTCGAATTATATTTCAGGTAGGACTTAACTGAATTAAATGATAAAGTTGGCATATGTTGGCCTCTTATTTTGTATCAGATATTGGACTAAATGGTTTACATTAAATCTCTCTCTCTAGATTCCCACAAAACCAGTCTTAAGATATTTACTATAAATTGTCTGTATTTCGCAGTTGGGAAACTGTATCCATGAGAAATTAACAGAGAAATGGAAGGTCTGAATGCTGTATCAGACTCTGAAAGCTATTTCAGAGACTATCATAAGCTATGGGCAAAGATCACAGACGCTTAGAGTAGGAAAGGATAATAATTTTACCTAGTTCAAATTTAGAGCTATGTAAGAATTTCTTCAACATTATTTCTAAAAAAAAGCAGGGTGGTGGGGTGGCAATTGAAACAAGAAAGCCTTTGGAGGTAATATATTGTGATCCAAATTGAATGAGCTTAAGCAAAAATAAAGGGAATTCATTACCTCACTTTACTGAAGCCCATTTGGAACTAGTTCTAGGTTCTAACCTGGCTAGATTCAGGTTCTCAGCCAGCATCATTGGGAATCAGCTTCTTGTCTCTCTTCTTCCCAATATGTGACCTTCCTCTCTGGCTGGGCATTTTCCTACTATTGCCAAGATTCTATCAACTTTTATTCTACTAATGTAGCTCCATGTACAGAAAGTTTGTGCCTCCTAACTAGTAGCTTTAATTAAGGCCCACAAATTGAATATCATTGACCTGGTTGGAGTTACATGGCCATTTCTAAACCAGTCAGTTACCCTAGCTCTTGGTTTTAATGCCATATTCGCCTAAATCAGAATCATATCTTATCACTGGAGGCAGAGTAAATGAGTGAAATTATGAAGACAATAATTAGGATACCATTACCAGAAGGAGGATGGATTCTAGAAAGAAATAAACAATAAATAGACAACTCAAGCTGGGGCTGGTCTTACGTGTTAAGGAATGTAGGATCTGTATCTAAGGTGAATTATGGAATAGTAGAAAATCCATAGGCAGGATACACATTCTTCTCAAATGCCTATAGGATATTCCCTAGGATAAGTTATAGGTTAGGTCATAAAACACACATCAATAAACTTAAAAAAATTAAAATAATACAGAATATTTTTCTGATAAAAAATAAAATGAAATTAGAAACCAATAACAAGTCAATGTGGAAAATCACAAATATTTGGAAATTAAACAACTTGCTCTTAAATAACCAATGAGTCAATAAGATGTCATGAGAGAAATTAGAAAATACTTTAGGATGACTGAAAATCAAAACAAACCAAACTGAAATTAATGAGGGCAGCTAAAACAATATTTAAAGACAAATTTATACTCTAAATGTCTATAGTAAAATAGGAGATTTCCCAAATTGCTAATTTAAGCTCCTTTTTAATAAACTAGATAAAGAATAGCAAATTAAACCTGAAGTTAACAGAAAAGACAAATATTAAAGAAGAGAAAAACAACAGAGAAAAATCAATAAAACCAAAAGTTATTTCTTTGAAAAAATCAACACAATTGACAAATCTTTAGTTGGGCTAACCAAGAAAAAAAGAGGAAAGACACTAATTATTAGAAGTAGGAATGAAGAGAGGATATTACCATGGATCTTTTAGAAAGAAAAAGGGAGCATAAGAAATAAAATAAAATTAAACGCCAGCAAACTAGATAACCTATGTGAAATTGAAAAATTCCTAGGGAGTAACAAGCGCCTGAAACTGACTCAAGAAGTAATAGACTATCTCAATATACTTATAATAAGTAAACATTGAATTCACAATTAAAAAAAAGAAAACTTCCTGCCAAAAAAAGCCTGAGCCCAGATAGTATCACTGGTGAATTTTGCCAAATGTTCAATGGAGCGTTAACATCAATCCTTAACAAACTGTTCCAACACATAGAAGAGAAGGGAATACTTCTCACCTCACTTTCTGAAGCTAGAATTACCCTGATATTAATGCCAGACAAAAATAATGCAAGAAAAGAACACAGACACAAATATAGACCAGCCATATCCCATATGAACATAGGCACAACAATCCTCAACAAAATACTAGAAGCCAAATCACATAACATATTTAGATTTTTAGATTATGTACTCTGAATAAGTGAAATTTATCCCAGTGATGCAGGGCTGGACCAGCATAAAAAATTAATGTAATATATCATATTAATTTTAAAAAACTATACAATCATCTCTATAGATGCTGTAATCACATGGAAAAAGCCAAAGTGTTTCATGATAAAAACACTCAGCAAACTTGAAATAGAAAAGAACTTCAGCCTGATAAACACCATCTCAAAAGACCCCACACCTATCATCATTCTTAATAGTTACTTTAGATGCTTTTATCTTCAGGTCAAGAAGAAGGCAAGGATATTTGCTCTTGCTACTTCTTTTCAATATTGTACTGAAAGTTCTAACCAGGGAAATAAGACAAGAAAAAGAAATTAATGGCATCTAGATTGGAACACAAGAAGTAAATTCTATTAACGAATACATAATCTTGTATTTAGAAAATCCTATAAAATACACACACACACACACACAGCTGTTAGAACTAATAAATAAGATTGCAGAATACAAGATCAATATACAAAACTCAATTATATTTCTAAACACTACTAATGAACAATCAGAAAATAAAATTAGGAAAATTCTATTTATAACAACATGAAAAATAATAAAATACTTAGGAATAAATTTAATAAAATAAGTGTGAGATTTGTACACTCAAAGCTATAAAATATTGTTGAAAGAAATTAAAGAACTACTAAATAAATGAAAGCACATTTTATATTCATAGATTAGAGGAAAATATTGTTAAGATGGCAATACTCACCAAATTAATCTACAAATTTAACGCTATTCATATCAAAATCCCAGCTACCTATTTTGCAGAAAGTGATAAATTGACTGTAAATTTTATATGAAAATGCAAGAGACTATATGCCACACAATCTTAACTAGAAAAAAAATAAAGTTGGAGAACTCAAACTTCCAAATTTTAAAACTTACTACAAAGCAAAAGTAAGCAAGATAGTTTGGTACTGGCATAAGGATAGCTATATACATCAATGGAATAAAATTGAAATTCCAACAGTAAGTCTTCATATTTATGTTAAATTAATTTTCAACAAGACCACTAGACAATTTTATTAAGGAAAGAAGCCTTTTCAACAAATGGTGCTTGGACAAGTGAATATCCACATATGAAAGAATGGAATTGAACCCTTACTTAATAACATATATAAAAATTAAGATAGGTCATAGGCCTAAAGGTAGAGCTAAAACTATGAACTGTTAGAAGGAAATTTAGAAGTAAATCTTCATGACCTATTATTAAGCAATGATTTCTTAGATATGATACCAAAAGCACACACAATAGCAATAAGAAAAAAAAGGTTCATTGGACTTTATCAAAATTAGAAACTTTCATACTGCAAACAATATCATCAAGTAAAAAGACAACTTAAAGAATGGAAGAAGACATTTGCAACCCAGATATCTGATCATGATTTGTATCTAATATATGTAAAGGATTATTATAACTCCACAACAAATAAAATAGATAACTCACTAAAAATGATCAAAATATTTGAATAGACATATTGAAAAAGGAGTTAGACAAAAGGCCAATAAGCACATAAAAGATGGTCAGCGTCACTGGCTAATTTTAGGGGAAAGGCAAATCAAAACTAAAATGAGATACCACTTCACACACACTAAGATGGCTATAATCAGAAAGAAAGCCAATACCATTTTTTATCAAGGATGTGGAAAAATTAGAATGGTTATGCTTTACTTTGAGAATATAAAATGATGCAGTCACTTTGGATAATAATTTAGCTGTTCCCCAAAAAGTTTGGGGTAGAGTTACCACATGACCTGGCAGTTTTACTAATTTCTTCGGATATATATATCTAAGAGAATTAAAAACATATTTCAACATGAATGCTTATAGAATATTATTCATAATACTAAAAATTAAAAACAATTCAAATGTCTATCACTTGATGAATGGATAAACAATATCCATCCAATAAATGTTATTCATCCATAAAAAAGAATGAAGTATTGCTACAATCTACAACATGAATAAACCTTGAATATATTATATTAAGTGAACAAAGCCAGTCACAAAATTTACATATCATATTGCTACATTTATATGAAATGTTCATAACAGGCAAATCCATAGAGACAGAAAGGAGATGAGTGGTTGCCAGGCAGTAGGGATTAGGGTAAATGGGAGCAACAACTAACTAATGGGTATGCAGCTTCTTTTTAAGGCGATGAAAATGTTCTAAAATTCAATAATGGTGATGATTTTACAAGTCTGTGAATATATTACAAGCCACTGAATTGCATACTAATATTTCATAGTATGCATGTATCACTATTTTTTCTTCCAATCACCTATTGATGGATGTTCAAGTTGATTCCAGATACTTTACCCCCATGTTGCAGTAAATGTTCTTGTATATATCACCTTTCATAATGCTGTATTAACTTCTAGAAGATAGATTTCCAGGATTGAAGTATTCCCAATATTAAACATATTCATGTCACATAAAAATTAGATGATATGCAACGAAATAGGGAAATGTGACTCATAGTTAATAGATTAAAGCGGTACATAGAAATAGATCTGGACAGGAACAAATTGTTAGAATAAACAAAAAAGGACTTTGGAGGCACTATTGTAAATATGTTGAGCAATTTAAAGGAAAAAAAGGGGTCATAAGGAATAAACAGAGAACATGAGCAGAAAAAAATGAAAACTGTAAAAAGGAATAACTCAGACATTTTATAATTGAAAAGTACACATTCTAATATGAAAAATTCACTGGATGTGTTTAAAACAAAATTGCAGATGTCAGAAGAAATAGTTGTTAACTTGGAGCACATTAATAGAAATTATCCAATTTGAACACTAGAGAATTAAAAGGAAAAATGAACTGAGTCTAACTATAATATGGGATAATATCAAGTAGTCTAAATATTTATATAATGGGAGAATCAGAAGGAGAAAATAGAAAGAATGGAACAGAGCAAATATTTGAAGAAACAATGGCCAAAAATTTCCCAAAGTTGGTGAAAAATAGTAACTTACAGACCTTAATGTTACCTTATAAAATGTTAGTGAACATCAACAGGATAAATATAAAGTAAGCCATACTTAGGCACATCTTAGTCATGCTGCTGAAAACAACAATAACAAAAAGCTTTGGAAACAACCGGAAGAAAAATATTTACTATATACATGAGACTAATGTCTTACCAGAAATAATTCAGGCCAGAAGAAAGTGGCCAGATAAAATAAAGAAATAAAAGCCCATTATTCTACAGAAAGTGAAACTATCCATCAGAAATTAAAATGAAATAAAGAATTTTAAGATAAACAAAAACCTAAAAAAGCTGTTACCACCAGAACTACACTACAAGAAATGTTAATGGAAGTTCTTTAGGCCGAATAGGAAAAATATCAGATGGAAATTTGTTTCTGGGAATGATGGTCACTAGATATGAATAAATGTGGGTAAATACGAAAGACTATCTTTTTTTCCTTAATTTTTTTCACATTTATTTTAGGTTCAGGGGTATGTAGACAGCTTTGTTGCATAAATAAATTGTAAATCACAGGGGTTTGGCATACAGATTATTTCATCATCCAGGTAATAAGCATAGTACTCTATAGATAGTTCTTCAATTCTCATCCTCCTTCCACCCTCCACCCTCAAGTGTCTGTTGTTCCCTTCTTTGTGTTCCTGTGAACTCAATGTTTAGTTCCCACTTATAAGTGAGAACATGCAGTATTTGGTTTTCTGTTGCTGTGGTAAATTTTTTAAAAAGACAACTGATTGTTTAAAGTGGGGATTTATAACATAGGTAAGTGTAAAATTATGAAAAGATTTGAACTTTTTTTTTTTTTTTTGAGACGGAGTCTCGCTCTCTCGCCCAGGCTGGAGTGCAGTGGTGCGATCTCGGCTCACTGCAAGCTCCGCCTCCCCGGTTCACGTTGTTCTGCTGCCTTAGCCTCCCGAGTAGCTGGGACTACATGCACCAGCCACCAAGCCTGGCTAATTTTGTTGCATTTTTAGTAGAGACGGGGTTTCATCGTGTTAGCCAGGATGGTCTTGATCTCCTGACCTCATGATCCGCCCGTCTCGGCCTCCCAAAGTGCTGGGATTACAGGCATGAGCCACCACGCCGGGCCAGAACATTTTATCTAAAGTGTTACAATATTAATTTTACATAGAAAATTACAAGAAAGTATCCCTCATGAACACAGAAGCAAAAAATCATTAGCAAAATATTATCAATAAAATCTAGCAATAGAGAAAAAAGTAATAAATACTTCTTAAACATGTGGGGATTATCTCAGAAAAGTAAGATTCATTTAACATTTGAAAAGTGATCAATTAATTGGCCATATTACCTCTAAAAGAATAAAGGAAAGCCTAAGATCATCTCAATAGATGCAGAAAAGGATCTGACAAAACTCAACAGTCATTTGTGAGAAAAACTGTCAGTAAACTAGGAATAGAAAGTAGCTATCTCAAGTTGTTAAGGACGTTTCAGAAAACCCTACATCTAGCCGGGCGTGGAGGCTCACGCCTGTAATCCCAGCACTTTGTGAGGCTGAGGCAGTGGATCACTTGAGGTCAGGAGTTCGAGACCAGCCTGGCCAACATAGTGAAACCCCGTCTGTACTAAAAATAGAAAAAATTAGCTGAGCGTGGTGGCAGGCGCCTGCAATACCAGCTAACAGGGAGGCTGAGGCAGGAGAATTGCTTGAACCCGGGAGGCGGAGGTTGCAGTGAGCCGAGATTAAGCCACTGCACTCCACACTTCAGCCTGGGCAACAAGAGTGAAACTCTGTCTCAAAAAAAAAAAAAGAAAAAGAAAGAAAACCCTACACCTAATATTTTACTTATCAGTGAAATGTTGAGGTAGTGAATTCTTGCCCCTTAGAAAAATTGAGTGCTTTCCCCTTAACATAGACAAATATGTCTATTTTTACCATTTTTATTTGACCTTGCACTGGAAGTTTTATCAACTGAACTAAAGGAAAAAAAAACAAAACAAATAAAATGCATAAATATTGAAATGTGGTAAATTATCTATTTCATCAACATGATCATATTGTAGACAATCCTAATAAATCTTTAAAACTGATTAGAAATAAACGCGATATTAAATATTTTATTTACCATAATATCAAAAAACACGAAGAATATAGTAATAAATTTAACAAATCATTTCGAGACACCTATTACTAAAAACCTCAAAACATGGCTGAGAATAATTACAGAAGATTTAAACAAATGGAAATATATATGCCATGTTCATGCAATGGAAGATTCAATATTATTAAGAAATTAATTCTACCCAAATGTATCTATCAATTCAACCCAATCCCAGTAAAAATGTCACAGATTTTCTTTGTAGAAATTGATGAACTGACTTTCTATGCAAATACACAGTGCTTAAAATTGCCAAAACAATACTGATAAAAGAATAATGAAAACATTAACCTACCTGACTTCAAGGCTTGTTATAAAGCTGTACTAATCAAGAATCTACAGTATTGGCATAAACAAAGATATCAATGGAACATAATGCTGAGTTCATAAATAGATCCAAACTACATGTCAATGGATTTTTTGAAATAAACACTACAGAAAGGAAATAGAAGAAAGGAAGTGTTTTCAACAAAATATCAGGAACACATAAATAAATGTATGGAAAATAAATGAACCTCCACTTCGATCTTATGCCAAGTGCCAGAATCAATAAGGATTGTAGACTAAGCAGAAAAGCTAAATCAATAAAACATCTGAAATAAAACACAGGAGAACATCTTTGAGACCTTGGGGTAGGCAAAAATTTATTGGAAAACAGACAAAAAGTGCTATCTATTATTTAAATGTCCATGAAATTTCAAACAATGGAGACCTACTGAACAAAAAAGAAAAGTCTAGTAATATACACATGGGTGAATTTCAATTTGAAGTATTCAAGTAATATTTGGAAAAGTCACTAAGACTGTCAGGTCTCTGAGGTAACCACCTAGGTAGAGAGAGATTCCATTTACTGAGTTAGCAAATATCAGAAGAGAAGCAAAACTGTGGAGAAAAAGCAGTAAGATGAATTTTGGACCTGTTGAATTTGAGATGCCTGGGAGATAGTCTTTCAAATGTAGGTATTGAATAGGCAGGTGGGTATGTATTTCTAGAGACTAGGAGGTATGCTTGAACAGAAAAATAGATTTTGAAATATGAACTATTATAAAAATGTAACTTATTATAAAAGGAAAACTAAAGTAAGAGGGGTCTAGACAGAGAGAGTTCTGAATAAATCCAGTATCAAATGATTTGTTAGAGGAAGAAAATCAGGTGAGTAGCATCCAGGGAGGTGTGGATCACAGAAGCTAAGGGCAGAAAATATTTCAATGAACAAGGAACAGAAAACAATGCCTGAAACTTCTAAAAGGGCAAGCAAGCAAGATAATTGTTTAAAAAATTTCGTTTGGATTTATTGGTGATGTCGGTCTTGTTGGTGAAGTTTGTTAAAGCCATTTGGTGGGTTGTGGAGTAAGGTGAAGAAATGGAACTGGCAAGTGTAGACAAGTATGCAATCTTCGAAAGAAATCTGGCCATAAGGAAAGGATAGATGGTGGCACCTGGAAGGGGAAATAGAGTGCAAGGAGAGTTTCTCTTATGACAGTGGTGATATATATATTTTTTGTTTGTTTGTTTGTTTTTTGAGACGGAGTCTTGCTCTTTCGCCCAGGCTGGAGTGCAGTGGCGCTATCTCGGCTCACTGCAAGCTCCGACTCCCGGGTTCATGCCATTCTCCTGCCTCAGCCTCCCGAGTAGCTAAGACTACAGGCGCCCGCCACCGCGCCCGGCTAATTTTTTGTATTTTTAGTAGAGAAGAGGTTTCACCGTGTTAGCCAGGATAGTCTCGATCTCCTGACCTCGTGATCTGCCCACCTCGGCCTCCCAAAGTGCTGGGATTACAGGCGTGAGCCACCGCGCCCGGCCCACAGTGGTGATATTTTTAAGGGAGAGAAGGACTCGGTAACTGTTACTTTCTATAAAGAAACGGGAAGTAGCCAGTAGTAGAAATGTTGGTTAATTGAGAATGAATTCCTTGCAAAGTCCAAAGGAAAACACATAACACAATTTGAGAGATTAGCTCAAAACAGGGGCACTTCTTTCATTTTAACAAGAAGAGAAAGGCAAAGCACAGTTACGGATGTAAGTAGTCTAGTAGATAAAGGGAAACAAAGTTCAGGCTGGCTGACTTTCATCACCTCTAAGACGCTGAAGTACTGAGACTGTGCTTCTCAGATGGGAAGGCATAAGCAAAAATGGCTGAGGTTATGTGCAGAAGAGAAAGTTTGAAATAGTTTTAGATAATAGAAATGGAGAAAGGAAAATACTGCTTCCCTTTCGCCAACAAAAGGAAATTTTTTTAAGAGTTCTTACTATCTGTAGAGCTAGCCGTGAGCATGTTTATTACAGCTTACATGACATCTTAGCACCAGTCTCATCTGCAGGGCCAAGGGAGGGGACCAATCCATTTGGCTTGGTGATGGAAGCCCGCACTGCTAGGTAATCATTTGGTAAGTTTTTGGAGGGCTAGAAAGATCAGAGACAGAGCCAAACAGTTGATCACAATGAGTCAGTTGCACCTTTCATATGAAAATAATATTAATTTTATTGACTTAATCCGTGTACTCTTTATCATTTGATAAACATTATATATAGTGAACAATTATTGATTTGAATGCAAAGCATTTGTAGATACTAAGTTGTTGGACCTAAACCAATTTTTTAAAATCAGAATTTAATTTATATTTGTTGGGAGTAAATTAAGTTGCTCAATAATTATTCGTGTTTCAAGAGTATTTGCTCATATAATGAACTACACTTCTCATTTAGGTCTTCACAGGGATCTTCACAGCAGAAATGTTTCTCAAGATAATTGCCATGGATCCATATTATTACTTTCAAGAAGGCTGGAATATTTTTGATGGTTTTATTGTGAGCCTTAGTTTAATGGAACTTGGTTTGGCAAATGTGGAAGGATTGTCAGTTCTCCGATCATTCCGGCTGGTAAATTAACTGGGAGTGTTCATAAAATGTACTTTGTAATTAATTAGTCTTCATTCTCATCTAGTAAAAATGGCAAGATTTCCCATCATTATAATATTATTTGAATACACTTCTAAAACAAATTGGATTGCCATACCACCAAATGGTAGTTTCTTCTTCATCATAGCTTTAATAAAGTTCACTTAAATGAATAGTCTACACTTCTCTTCTTAGTTATTGAATGGAAGGCTAATAGAGAGGAGGAAACAGGGAGTCACAGATAAACTCGAATCACAATTAAACAACACCATAGTCAACTCTCAGTTATCTGAGGTTTGCATAACTGCGTACAAAGCTTCCTTGGGACCTAGGATGAGCTCCCCTTTCTGCCAGGAACTAAAGAATTATGGAATTGTTCATTGCTCACCTTGTCCCCGTAGAGGAAAGAGTTAAGACAGGGGATAGTGTACAAAGGAGAAGGATAAGCAAACAGAGCTCCCCATATGACTGCTGCCACATCAGAAAATCACCAAATCACTCTTTGAAAGAGTTAACTGTACTATATTTTGTTAATTTTAAAGAAAGTATCTTTCTTTGATCTTTTATAAAAACTATTAGATCTTAAAATTCAGAGATAAAATATCACTTGACACATTTCCAGTGAAAGTTTGATATGTTTTGTTATACTATTACTTTGAGTTGGCTCTAAGTTAGTGATTTATTTTCAAATAACAGAGGCTGTACACGGTTACTAAGGACACGTTCCTATAGATGATTTACCTTAGTAGTGATTAGGCTGAAGACTTTTTCATGAAATCTGTTTACAATTTCCCTTTCTGCTTTCAATGTTCAAATTTGAGTTGTAATCCTTAGAACTATATTTCCTTCCCTAATCCTCAAAGATAGTTATGAATCTAATTTGAATCTAGAAGGATGCAAAAAACAGAACAAAAATTTAAAATGATAAAACAAGTAATATGGGCAAGAACTTAAAAAAATATATTTAGTAAACCTTCATGATAGTGTGATGCAGTTAAGGGAAATAGGAAGCATAGTATCACTAGAATCTTACTTAGTGTGTCAGGCTCTTTTGCATAAATTATTCTCTGGAATAAATTAAATACTTTGGTGCATGTATTTACTCCTTTGGGTCACTTTGATGCCATTAAATAATGCACTACTTTCAGCCTGACATTTACTGAAGCATCAGAAATAAAATGCTGCTGCTCTTTAACCATAAATGGTACTTCAGTGAACTCTAAAGCTAATACAACCAATATGTCAAACACAATGAGAAAGACATTTACACACTACACTGAATTAAGTCTATGAAGATATAAAGGTTAAAAAGAAGCCTAGCGTTTTACTTAAGTTTAAGTATTTTTGTATTTGAATATAATATATGTTTAAAATATAGCCTAAAGTTACAGCAAGCTAAAGATATAGCTAGATTAAAACAATCTAAAGACAAAGAAATTAGTTCATTTCTGCTTCCACTTTATGTAATTTAAGTGTTGATATTATTCTCACCTGTGCATTTCAGCATATTTAAAGTACACTGAAAACTATATCTGCTTTGGCCTTTTAAAAATAATGAGAGTTCCTACTTCTCTGAAACTGGATCTCTGCTAATTAACCACCATTAATCTGAAATATCTTAATTCCTTAAGGAGAAACAAAAGTGTATATTACATATGCTTATGTAGGATACTTGAAAATTTGGTGTATCTTATTAAACTGCCAATTTAAAAACTGTATAATTTAATTATTTCATTTACAGTATGGACCATTTCAAAATGAAAAAAAGAATGCTCTATGGTAGCAAGTCACTGCTATATTTGTTAGTGATCATTTGACAAATAAATAATTCATCATTCTATAATTGAGACAGTTACCTGTACATTTGCCCTGTTAATAAAATTACAGATTTTTCCCTTCCTGTGTCCATGTGACTAACCTGCACATTGTGCACATGTACCCTAAAACTTAAAGTATAATAATAATAAAATAAAATAAAAATAAAAAATAAAAAAATAAAAATAAAATAAAATTGCAGATTTTTTTAGAAATGCAGAGCATTAACACTGTTCTTGCTTTTATTTCCAGCTCCGAGTTTTCAAGTTGGCAAAATCTTGGCCAACTCTAAATATGCTAATTAAGATCATTGGCAATTCTGTGGGGGCTCTAGGAAACCTCACCTTGGTATTGGCCATCATCGTCTTCATTTTTGCTGTGGTCGGCATGCAGCTCTTTGGTAAGAGCTACAAAGAATGTGTCTGCAAGATTTCCAATGATTGTGAACTCCCACGCTGGCACATGCATGACTTTTTCCACTCCTTCCTGATCGTGTTCCGCGTGCTGTGTGGAGAGTGGATAGAGACCATGTGGGACTGTATGGAGGTCGCTGGCCAAACCATGTGCCTTACTGTCTTCATGATGGTCATGGTGATTGGAAATCTAGTGGTATGTAGCAAAAACATTTTCCTCATTTTCATTAAAAGATAATGTAATCATTAAAAAGTGTGTTCAACTGAAGAATATTTTGTATTTTTTAAATCAAGGCCACTTCCTATTGTCTATTACTCATGACTGTAAGAGCCATGTATAGTTTAGACCATTGTAATCCACACAAACCCTTAAACTACCTTTTGAACCAAAGTTATTCTTTCTTTCATTATCCTTCTTGCTACAAGGAGAGAAACTTTTCTGTTATTTATCTTTCAGTTCTTGTACTAGAGCATGGAAGTGTTACTTAGAACACTCATTTTATTTATAAGTACTAGCAATAACACCTGAAAACGTTTCAGATTTGGTTTTCTACAAATTTAAAAACTAGCAACAATCTCAGTTTATTAAGAGCTCATGGGGTTTTCGGTGCCTAGAAACTATGGTATGAGCAAGTAACATTGTCTCTAAAAACATTAATTGTCATTTCTGCATAAAATTAACCACCCCTAACACCATATATATTTAGGATAGTTAGCTCTTCTTGTTGCATTGATCCCTTTTACCATTATGTAGTGTCTTTCTTTGTCTTTTTTTAATCTTTGTTGGTTTAAAGTCTGTTTTATCAAAGACTAGGATTGCAAACCCTGCTTTTTTTTTTTCTTTCCATTTGCTTGGTAAATATTCCTCCATCCGTTTTTTTTGTGCCTATGTGTGTCTTTGCATGTGAGATGGGTCACAGCACACCGATGGGTCTTGACTCTATCCAATTTGCCAGTCTGTGTCTTTTAATTGGGGCATTTAGCCCATTTACATTTAAGGTTAATATTGTTATGTGTGAATTTGACCCTGTCATTATGATGCTAGCTGGCTATTTTGCTCATTAGCTGCTGCGGTTTTTTCATAATGTTGATGGTCTTAACAATTTGGTATGTTTTTGCAGTGGCTGGTACTGGTTTTTCCTTGCCATATTTAGTGCTTCCTTCAGGAGCTCTTGTAAGTCAGGCCTGGTGGTGGCAAAATCTCTTGGCATTTGCTTGTCTGTAAATGATTTTATTTCTCCTTTGCTTATGAAGCTTAGTTTGGCTGGATATGAAATTCTGGGTTGAAAATTCTTTTCTTTAATAATGTTTAATATTGGCTCCCACTCTCTTCTGGCTTGTAGGGTTTCTGCCGAGAGATCTGCTGTTAGTCTGGTGGGCTTCCCTTTGTGGGTAACCCGACCTTTCTCTCTGGCTGCCATTAACATTTTTTCCTTCATTTCTACCTTGGTGTATCTGACAATTATGTGTCTTGGGGTTGCTTTTCTCAAGGAGCTTCTTTGTGGTGTTCTCTGTATTTCCTGAATTTGAATGTTGGCCTGTCTTGCTAGGTTGGGGAAGTTCTCCTGGTTATCCTGAAGAGTGTTTTCCAACTTGGTTCCATTCTCCCAGTCACTTTCAGGTACACCAATCAAACTTAGGGTTGGTCTTTTCACATAGTCCCATGTTTCTTGGAGACTTTGTTCGTTCCTTTTCATTCTTTTTTCTCTAATCTTATCTTCATGCTTTACAAATTTAACTCAACATGGATTAAAGACTTAAATGTAAGACCTAAAACCATAAAAACCTTAGAAGAAAACCTAGGCAATACCATTCAGGACATTGGCATGGGCAAAGACTTCATGACTGAAACACCAAAAGCAATGGTAACAAAAGCCAAAATTGACAAATGGGATCTAATTAAACTAAAGAGCTTCTGCACAGCAAAAGAAACTATCATCAGAGTGAACAGGCAACCTACAGAATGGGAGAAAATTTTTGCAATCTATCCATCTAATATCCAGAATCTACAAAAAACTTAAACAAATTTACAAGAAAAACACAACCCTATCAAAAAGTGGGTGAAGGATATGAACAGACACTTCTCAAAAGAAGACATTTATGTGGCCAACAAACATATGAATAAAAGCTCATCATCACTGGTCATTAGAGAAATGCAAATCAAAACCACAATGAGATACCACTTCACGCCAGTTAGAATGGCGATCATTAAAAAGTCAGGAAACCACAGATGCTGGAGAGGATGTGGAGAAATAGGAATGCTTTTACATTGTTGGTGGGAGTGTAAACTAGTTCAACCATTGTGGAAAACAGTGTGGCAATTCCTCAAGGATCTAGAACCAGAAATACCATTTGACCCAGGAATCCCATAACTGGGTATATACCCAAAGGGTTATAAATCATTCTGCTATAAAGATGCATGCACACGTATGCTTATTGCAGCACTATTCATAATAGCAAAGATTTGGAACCAACCCAAATGCCCATCAATGATAGACTGGATAAAGAAAATGTGGCACATATACACCATGAAATACTATGCAGCCATAAAAAAGAGTGAGTTCATGTCCTTTGCAGGGACATGGATGAAGCTGGAAACCATTATTCTCGGCAAACTAACACAGGAACAGAAAACCAAACACTATATGTTCTCACTCATAAGTGGGAGTTGAACAATGAGAACACATGGACACAGGGAGGGGAACATCACACACTGAGGCCTGTCGAGGGGTGGGGGGCTAGGGGAGGGAGAGCATTAGGAGAAATAACTAATGTAGATTACGGGTTAATGGATGCAGCAAACCACCATGGCAAGTGTATATGTATGTAACAAATCTGCATGTTCTACACATGTATCCCAAAACTTAGAGTATAATAATAATTTAAAAAAATTAACCATACCCAACACTAGTGTCCTGAATCTTGAAGGCATGGAGAAGTTGGGAAGGCATGGGAAGATAAATATAACAAAGTGATATAACATGTACTCAAATAGAATTAAAAATAGGAAGTAACTAATATGTGTCCAAAAATATGAAAACAAAGTGCCATGTGTCAAGTTTACAAAATGTAAACCTTGCTTTACAATAGGAAGGTTGATCAGGGAAGTCTTTGTCAAAGAGTTTGGACCTAAAATATATTTAACTGAGATGTAAGATTTAGCTTGGTAGGAAGAAAGACCATCCCAAACAAGGAAACAAGGTACCCAGTGACTGAGGGATACAGGACAGTAGACTCTGTGAGAAGTATCAGGCTCTTATGCTTTAAATATGAAGTAATTACACCGAGTTGCTTAATTAGAACCCAAACCAATGGAATAGAAAAATGACTACCATAACAAGTAATTTAATGTATATACTCTTGCCAGGCTCAGTGGCTCACGCCTGTAATCGCAGCATTTTGGGAGACTGAAGTGGGCGTTTCACTTGAGGACAGTAGTTCGCGACCAGCCTAGTCAACATGGCAAAACCCCATCTCTACTAGAAATACAAAAATTAGCCAGGCGTGATGATGCACACCTGTAATCCCAGCTACTTGGGAAGCTGAGGCACGAGAATTGCTTGAGCCTGGGAGGCAGAGGTGGCAGTGACCCGAGATTGTGCCATTGCATTCCAGCCTGGGTGAAAGAGCGAGACTCTGTTGCAAAAAAAAAAAAAAAAAAGCATATACTCTTTAGACATGATTTCCTCTCATATAAAGGTAACCTCCAAGTCCCCAAAGATAGAGAAAGGGGAAGGGAAAAAGGCAAAGTATTATTTTATTTTTATTCATTGCCAAATTTCAGCCTCTTCAACATTACTTTTGATAATTCTGATCTATTTTTAAAGTAACAAGAAACATAAACAGTGTACAATCTAGAATTATAAACAGTGGCTTAAAACAATAAACACTGATTACTTCATAGTTTCTGTGGGTCAGGATTTGGGGAATAAGTTAGCTGGGTGGTTCTGGTTTAGGATCAGTCATGAAGTTGCTGTCGAGATGTTAGCTGAGGTTACAGTTATCTTGACTGGGGCTGGAGGATCAGCTTCTAAGAAGGCTCAATCTCATGATTATTGGAAGGAGGTTTCAGTTCCTTTTTGGCAGTTAGTTGAAGGTCTCAGTTTTTCTCTGCAGGACCTTTTCCATAGGACTGTTGAGTGTCCTTATGATATGGCAGCTGGCTTCTTCCAGGGAAGGTGATGTAAGAGAGAAGGCAAGGAGAAAATCCTCTTTATGTTCTACTCTTGAAAGTCACTCTTCACCACTTCTGCCATATTGTATTCATTAGAAGCTAGTCACTAAGAAGAGCTCAAGCTACTATAATCCCCAAGACAACTTTAAAATGTTTGCTTTCAGAAAAGTATAAGATCACATAGAACAGAAAGTGCCATAGGGTTACATAGAACAGAAACAAAGAAAAGATAATATAATTATGTTATAGATTTGATTTCATTTTCTCTGTATGTATATTTGGTATATGTTGGAAGAAGAAAAGAAAACGCAGAGAACAGAATCCTTTATGACAACATGAATGATCAGACAGCAATGGGGAATTAAGAAATATAAGTTTGGGACCAGATTGGGTAGAATTTAATTTATGAAAAGGCTGACTGTGCATAATAAAATGTATTTTCCTTTAGGCAATTCAAAGCTACAGATGATTTTTTATCAGGAAAGTGACAGTGAACCAGTGATATTTTTCAGAAATATACGTAGCAGGAGAATGCAGAATAGATTTAAAGAGGATGAAACTCAGCCCACCACATGTTATCTATTAGTTTACTGAAATTAACATATCTCTCTAATGTATAAATGTGCAGAAAATTGAAGTTGAAAAGAGAATTTCAGGAAATATCAAGTACTTATGGTTGACATCAGTATTAATTTAGATTGTGATGTATGCATAAAAAGATATAGTTTATAAAATAATCATTTCCATCTACTGGGTGTAAATTTAATTTTTGTTCTTTTAAGAGAGAAAAATTAAAGGTTCTCCTTTCTTTTTGACTATCAGTTAAAATAACTTCTTTGTCTTGTGATAACCTGGGTATGTTTCTGGAGTAGCTAAGGTAGTCATATATATCATGTTTACCACTATTAAGGAAATGTGCTTATATAACATTTGCTTAAGACTGAATGAACTTGATATACTCACTCCTTACTACAATTCTTCCTTCCTATTCTCACTGGAAAAATGGGAAAGGTGTCCCAAAGACAAAATGGCATAACTTCCTTTTAACACACATGAACTATCAGATGTGGCTCCACCCAAATAGATGTAGTAGTCACAATGGATGGGACTGCCAGCCTAGTCTACAGACAAGACAGAGCTGGGACCACAAACTACTGTTTCCCAGACCAGGATTTTTATGAGCCATTCTTAGTTTCCAGACACGATGGCAAGAGACCCTTCATTGGTTGAAGATAGGTGCTGCAGAAAAAGAATGTGACTTTCTGAAAACTGATAGTTCTAGAAGCAGAGAAGACAACTTCCTCTCTCCCTAAGTGAAGGTGAGGCAATAGCACACAGGAGGGATGTGAAGGTTTTGGCTTCCTCTCACAAGTTGGGAATCAGGATGGAGAAACAATTAAAATATGTAATATGTTTCAACCTTGAATTCAAAATGGAAATTATGGTAACATTTCCATTCCAAGAGGCTAATTTGAGACACAAGAAAGAGTTGATTTCATTTACTGAGCTAGCACATTTGTGAAACAGGATTCAGGATTTCAGTCCCTGAGTGAGCTTGCTGAACTGTTTTCTTTCTTTTTTTTTTTTTTTTTTTTTTTTTTGAGACGGAGTCTCGCTCTGTCGCCCAGGCTGGAGTGCAGTGGCGGGATCTCGGCTCACTGCAAGCTCCGCCTCCCGGGTTCACGCCATTCTCCTGCCTCAGCCTCCCAAGTAGCTGAGACTACAGGCGCCCGCCACTACACCCGGCCAATTTTTTGTATTTTTAGTAGAGACGGGGTTTCACCGTTTTAGCCGGGATGGTCTCGATCTCCTGACCTCGTGATCCGCCCGAGGCCTCCCAAAGTGCTGGGATTACAGGCGTGAGCCACCGCGCCCGGCCTGAACTGTTTTCTTAAATTGTCATGGATCACACCAAACACCTGTGCCAGCTGTTATGCGCATACCCTTCGGTAACAAAGGAAGTCCAGAAAAAGAGAATAACTTGACTCACACAAATATTTCTAGGGAAATAAGGTAAATAAAAAGATAGTGTTGTGGAGGATAAGTTGGATAATAGTAAGTGATAACAGCTAAACTTTCTCAAAGGTTCACTATGTGCCAAGAACTGTGCTGAAAGCCACATGAATTCTGTCACTGAATCCTTTCAACAACCTTGTAAGCTGGGCACTAGAAAAACGATTACATTTATTTTATAGATGAGGAAACTGAGGCTCAGATTGGTTATGCTACTTAGTAGGTAACAGAAAATCGATTCTTACCTAGCACTCGAATTCTAAAATATGTGCTCCTCTATGTCAAGTAATCTATAGAACTAAGATAAACATGCTGATGAAAGTTAGTGTCTAGTGGGTATTAATAAACGCGGTTTCAAAACTGTGTCACCACGGGTAGATTGGCTGCTTTAAAAAAAATAAAAACTTCAATGGATTTATGAGAAAGAAAAGTCATATGTTCCAGGGATATTTATTTATTTTCCTGACAGTGGAATAGCATTGAATTGAGTTATCAATTCATAAAAGATCAGAGAAACAATTCGAAAATTAATAGTAAACCCTATTATACTGACTAAATATGGTAGCAGTTCAAAGAAAGGAAGTATCGGTAAGAGTAAACATGGAATACTGTTTCCTCACTTATTCTGCAAACATCACAATTAGGAGAAAAGACCTTGTAGTTAGACTTTCAAAAAAAAAAAAGCTTCTCTACTTATTAACTGTGGTCTTGGACAAGTCATGTAAGTTGTGCAGAAGCATTTTCATCTGTAAAATAGTAATAATTCCTGCCTTATAGAGTTGTGAGAAATAAATCACATAAACCTTGAAAATGCTTTGCACAATAACTGGTATTTACTAAGAGCTCAACTAAAAAGCTGGTTTTACTTTTATTGTTATTATGATCTGGTATTGATACTGCTCTAGGACTTGGCTCTAAGGCATGTTTCTGACCAAAAGATCTCCCAATCTATCAGTAAAGCTGTGCTTGTTTTTTTTTTTTTTTTAAAGAATCCAATATAATGTGATAGGGATGTGGATGAGAAATTTAACAGGACAGAATGAGAAATGGGAGCAGGCTATATAAATGTCACAGTAAATGACATTTGTAAATAGAGTATTTGTCCAGTACAGAGGCAATATAATTGGCTCCCGCCCTGGGGAAGGATTGATGGATGTGTATCAAGAAAAATTTCCAAATAGACAAATGACAGAACTTTAATATACTTTAGGAAAATAAGTCTAGGAAATAGCACCAAAATAGATAAAATAAAAATTTTACATGCAATTTTTTCTTCCTTTGTCTGTTTTTTTAATCCAAATAATAAGTTCAAAAGCAAATTACAATAAAACATAATTTTATTGGTAAATTCCAGAGGCAAAGGAGCAGGTCTGGTCTTAATGTGATTATCAGGAGTCATAGTATAGAGACTGACAGATTGTCAGTACACTCTCAAAATCAAACGTGGTCTTCATTGGATCTTACATATTTTTACTTTAAAAAAAATCACCATTGGTTAGACTAACTTACAACTAATTAGACAAAGGTGCTGTAAGCCTCATTAGCATGATAGAAGCATGAGAATATAGCAAGAATGTAGAATCCTTTTTATTGAAGTTTTACTTAAAAATTTTCCTAAGATTCTACTTTTGTACTACAGTTTGAGCATCCCTAATCTGAAAATTTGAAATCCAAAATGCTCGGAAGTTCAAAGCTTTTGAGCACCAACCTGATACTACAAGAGGAAAATTCACATCTGGCCTCCTGTAATGAATCGCAGTTAAACCACAGTCAAAATGTTGTTTCCTGAACTAAATTATTAAAAATATTGTATAATATTACCTTCAGGCTATGTGTATGTGTATGAAACTTAAATGAATTTTATGTTTACACATGTGTCTCATTCTCAAGACTTGTCATTATGTACATGCAAATATTTTAAAATCTAAAATCCAAAACACTTCTGGCCCCAAGCATTTCAAATAAGGGATATGCAACTTGTATTTACTTTGTGCATTTGCCCCCCTTTACTGCTATATCTTTCTTTTGTTCTGTATGTTATGTGTGCTTAAATAATCAGGAATTCATTGATATTGTCAATCAAATCCTGAAAAAAAATTATATGACTCAGTCTTGTACCCCTGAGAATGTCTGATTTCTTCGTAAGTTGTCTTTTTTTTTTTTTCCACAATAGTGAGTTTAATGTCATGAATCTTTTCACTCATTCATACTGGTGGAGCCTATTTTTAAAGACCCAATTTGCAGACTGATTACTGTCCTTATTCATGGCAATACTTCAACTCCACAATCTTTAATTCAACAATAACATCATAATTATTGTATAATAACCATTTTATAGTATTTCTCACTATTGTATAATTATAGTAGCCATAATTGTCTTAATAAAAATTGGGACTTTTCATCCAGCAATAAATACGTTTTTGTCTGATTTGTCCAGTTATCTAGGTACAAAAAATGGTACAAAGGCACAAAAATAAAATCATATTTAAATATATTGGGATAATTGTTGATTTTAGGAATAAATTATCAGTGTTTCCGGAAATCCAAATTACATAGTCAAAATAGCATCTGTATTAGGCCATTCTTGCATTGTTACAGATAAATACCTGAGACTGGGTAATTTATAAAGAAAAGAGATTTAATTAGCTCATGGTTCTGCAGTGAGCTTGGTGCTGGCATCTGCTTGGCTTCTGGTGAAGTCTCAAAGAGCTTTCAATCATGGCAGAAGGCAAAGTGGAGCAAGCATTTCACATGATGAAAGCAGGAACAAGCAAGAGAGAATGTGGGCAGGAGGCACTACAAACTTTTAAATAACAACATCTCATGAGAACTCACTAACATGAGGACAGCACCAAGGCATGAGGGATCTGACCCCATCATCCAAACACCTACCACCAGGCCCCACGTCTAGTGCTGGGGATTACAATTCCACATGAGACTTGGGAGGGGGCAAATGTCCAAAATATATCAGCATCCCAAATAAAAGGGTTTTTTTTGTACAGTTGTCTATATTTATCTTTTGGAACTGAGCTTAATAGAAATGTTTCATTTAGCAATGATTTCAGTATTTTCTGCAATGACTAAAAAGCAAATAGTGATAATAGTATTATTTTATATTGACCAAGCATTTTTATTTCATTCACTTTTTTTCAGAATAGTGTATCATGAATTAGCAGAAATGCATGTTAGAATAAAATAAGGTGTCAAGAACAATCTTAGAAAACTAATGATGGAAAGCAATTGAAGCAATAGAATGTTTTGATCACCTGTTTTTCCTGCTGTGTTTCAGGTTCTGAACCTCTTCTTGGCCTTGCTTTTGAGTTCCTTCAGTTCTGACAATCTTGCTGCCACTGATGATGATAACGAAATGAATAATCTCCAGATTGCTGTGGGAAGGATGCAGAAAGGAATCGATTTTGTTAAAAGAAAAATACGTGAATTTATTCAGAAAGCCTTTGTTAGGAAGCAGAAAGCTTTAGATGAAATTAAACCGCTTGAAGATCTAAATAATAAAAAAGACAGCTGTATTTCCAACCATACCACCATAGAAATAGGCAAAGACCTCAATTATCTCAAAGACGGAAATGGAACTACTAGTGGCATAGGCAGCAGTGTAGAAAAATATGTCGTGGATGAAAGTGATTACATGTCATTTATAAACAACCCTAGCCTCACTGTGACAGTACCAATTGCTGTTGGAGAATCTGACTTTGAAAATTTAAATACTGAAGAATTCAGCAGCGAGTCAGATATGGAGGAAAGCAAAGAGGTAAAAATGTTTAAATAAGGAGATATTTTGGTGTTATATAATTCTGTTGTTTAAAATTATCAGGTGTTTTTAAATTGCGTGTTTCCTTCCTGTTAAGAAAATAGAAAATATCTGTCTAGCAATATATTTTCCATGGAAAAGTTGGTAATAAATAAATTAATGATAGATTAAAATATAGCTAGATTAACAATATGCTGACTTATGTTTCCAATACTGACATTTTGAATTCTTGACAGTATTCTTGATATGAATTTTTTCAGTATTTATAAATAATTTTAAATTTCTCAAAATGCCTCAATTTCTCCACTTTCTTCCTTGTAATTTGCCCACAACAGTGTTTTTTGTACGTACTGGAAAAATATCTGATGAGAGGGTAGTTGCAATTCTCATCTTGCTATGTTCTTAGTTCTTAATTCTTACGAAATACGTCATAAAATAGTATTGTATTTTGTTTGCACAGACATATTTACTCAAGGAAGATCTGATTGGGATCTTGGCTTGATATTTATGTATAGTTTATCTTTCCTGAAGTCAGTCAGTTTTTTTGAAGAGAAGGTATTGATGAGGAATCACACTAAAAACATATTTAACCCTACTGAGCTCAGTGTTCACTGTTTAAAGAAACAAAAATCCTTAATACATTATAGAATGTAAAATTCTGAATTTACCAACTCAGTAAGTCCTGGTAACTTAATGTATTCTTTGATTTACAAGAAGGGTATGAGCAACAGAATATATTTTTTGTTTTGTTTGCTATTAACCTGTTGCTCAATAAGTACAGAGTTGGAGGTAAAGAGAGGAATTTAAAACCTTGATATTTAATTGTTTATACAAAAATGAAGACAAGATTTCCAGTAATTAAAGTTTGCACTAACTAACAAAAATAACAAGGAAAAACAAAGATTCGTTCCTTCCTCATACGAACTGTTTGGCGAGGAAGATAAAAGCTTCTATTCCTGATGTCGGGAAAGAAAGAATGACGACATGGGGGAGTGTGGGCACTGAAAGGTAAAATTTAAGTAGCACAACATGATCATGATAATTAACAATCAGCCAAAATTATGAGGGAAAATATAGTTATAAAAAAAGAACAAAGATGGGTGGATCACGAGGTCAGGAGTTCGAGACCAGCGTGGCCAACATGGTGAAACCCTGTCTCTACTAGAGATTCAAAAAAATTAGCCAGGCGTGGTGGTGCGTGCCTGTAATCCCAGCTACTCGGGAGGCTGAGGCAAGAGAATCGCTTGAACCCAGGAGGCAGAGATTGCAGTGAGCCGAGATCACCCCATTGCACTCCAGCCTGGGCAACAGGATGAAACTCTGTCTCAAAAAAAAAAAAAAAGAACTAGCTATTTCAGACACTTTTTCTGTATTTATTTGATAAAATTACTAAAGAGTATGTTATTTTCCATTTTTTCTTGTTTGTAAGTTACGTAGTATTGCTGTTAGTGATTAGGTAGAAGTAGATGTTTAATGGGAAATTCAGACAATCTTTGAATATAGGAAGGTATAAATAACAGGGACATAGGTATCAGTTTCACAAGAAATAACTGATGAGATTCAAGGGAAAAGTAATAAAACCTTCTGTCCTGGGGCAAAGAATTACTTTAATTGGTTGAACTTAAATTTTTACTAACTAGATTATTGTTTGAAAGTTGAATAATATCTTAAAATCTTATTAACAAAATTTTGAACAAGTGTTGTTACAATAGTTGGGTTATGCTGGAAGGGTGGAGTGGCCCAATTTCATATACAGTGTACTGCTCTTATAGAAGCTGAAGTCGGCATTTATAAAATAGAATTCGGTCATTTGAATTTTGATGTATATTCCCCTCTCATTATTTTGAAATTATGCCTAATGGTGAATATTTCCCTAATAGTAAAAAAAGTCAATTTTTATTTTCACACATGTTTAGTTTTAGGCTGTCATATAAACTAAGAATGAATTATACAGTATCAAACGTTGAAGCCATTGGCTAGTTTAATCTTTTAGCTAAGTTTCAGTATCTTTTGAGGAATGTTTAACTTGACATCCAGTCTTCTTAACTTTAAGAGATTTTACAGCCGTGGGTTTTCCAAAAGAGCGTGTATTTTGCCTTAACTTAAGCCATTATGTCTGAAGTAAGAGGGAAGTCCAGTGATGTGGGGTTTAGAGTAGGGACATCTCTTGTTTCTCTTGTTATCATTAAGCTTTTTGATTTGTTTTCCCATTAAGTTAGCTCTGAGTTAAATACTCTAAAATAATATTTGTGAATTCAGTATTTCAGAATTGGAGGAAGAGAACTGACCTGCCAGGTGGAAGCAGACAGGATTATTTTATTGCTTGAGTTGTGGAGTCCTTCCAATACCTTCCCAGCATAGAGACTGTTACTTCAGTGTTAACATTATTTGGAGGGGTTTTTAATTCTGGCTTTATATCAAACTTTCTAGACATAAATTTATAAAATAATAAATGATGAGGGTTATCGCCGTGAAAGAGGTTATGTGTAGGTTTTGATCTTTCAGAATTTTACCTGGTAGCTCTACACTAAAAAACTAGAGAATTAAAACAATTATTGAAGAATTTCAGACACTCGCATTTGAAATAGCATTTCTTGCCTGCCTTCTAGTCATTTTTGTCTGGTCATTTTTCTAACTGGGGGACAGGATTACATTGTTAAATATCACAAAGTAGTAAGAAACATCATGAGGCTTATTACCAATCCTTTCTAAATTAATTTTTTAATTAAAGAAAAAATGAGGCTTTTTTACTGGAATGTCTAAATGAATTTTTTTATAAGGCAGACTGAGTGGACTCAGAGGTTTTTTAGGTGTTCACAGTAAGTCCTCTGCAATGTCTTTGCTAAATTTGTATGATTCTTCAGTAGTTTTCTGTAGATTCTCTAGAGTAGGCCATTTAAAATCATGTCATAATCCCCTATGCTTTAATTTTAATGTTATTTCGATTATATTAATGTAATTCCTTTTGTGATTTTGAATGATTGTTTTTTCTTTTAGAGTATTTAATAATGTGGAAGCCATGCTTGAATGACTATTTTTCGAAGTGAAATTTAGTAGTGCGATATGGTGACCTTCACCGCTTACCATTCTTACTTCTCACAGGAGTAAAATCAAGCTGGAGCCATCAAGAATGCAGCTCTGGTGTTTTTTAACCAGCCAGAGGCTCGTGCCACCACTTTTACCCAGGTTACCCAAGCAAGTTGTACATCTATAAATATAATCAGTTTCTAAATGACTTTTGACTGGCCTGCATGTTACTCAGCTACGTTCCTTGCCCTTCCATTGGCAGTAAAATAAAAACATGCACAGCTGCTATTATGCTGAGTCATACAAAGCATGGTCAGGCAAGTCTGACAACCCTAACTTAAAAAAAAGTGATTTAGCTGCTAATTTTCTTACATAGATTTTAATAGAAATTTTATTCAATGAAAAGTAAAAGTGCATGCCTTTATGGATTATTTAATTTCCTTTTAATGTTACAGAGTTTTGAACATATTAGGAGCCCAAAGGAGAAATGTAGGTGCTCTTTGAAAACTTGCAAAAATGCTTTTTATCCTCTGTCTTTAAAAAAAAGATAGCCCAGTTACTGTACTTAAGTCTTGACAGTTTTTTATTTAGTGTAATGTTTTTCTGAAGGGTAATCTTCAAATTAAAGCAATCCCTTATTCATATGCAAACTTCCCAAAGGATGTTTTAATGTGATAATAATGTAAATGAATAGGAATGTCTGTGTTTCAGTTGCTAGCAGCATGGGTATAATATTTATCTGCTTCATTTTAGGGAAAATGGCACTGCTTTATTTAGGAGTTGACCAACAGTATTTTGTATTTAGAATATAATTTCTTTGGAAAGTCTGTTTATATTTACCCTTAAAACTCTTAGACTGAAAGAAAAGGAAATCATGTCTTTTGTATACCAAATAATAATAATAATAGTGATAATGAGAGACTTATAGATGGTATGCTCCTTCTAAAAATAGATTTAGAGTCCATCTTCTTCATTTTCTTGGCTCCTCTGTGCTTTCTCTCCCCTCTATTTTATTGAGACCTGCTGGAAAACTTTCTCCCGAAGAATATTATTTAAATTTATCATGATCCACAAACTCCTGTATAGGAAAAGAATCAGAAACTCTTGCTCCTAGGGTGTTTTTAAAATGAAGAGACTTCCCTATCATGTGACAATAGCAATAAACGTAACATCATTCTATGGGATCCATTAGTCGACCTTCATTTCTTAATGTTGAAATCACAGTTTTATGCACAAATATTTAACCAAAATGCCTAAACCCAATTTAATCATTTTTAAGAAATGTTAATTATTTTGTCACTTAGATACAGTTTCCTCTCCTTTTGCCAATAAAACTATAAAACAGCACTAATATAAAAGTGTAGTTGGCTATTTGGAAGAAGCAATAATCATGCCATTCCTGGAGCATTCTTTTATACTTTGGAACAAAATATTCCATCACTGGCTCTCCAGATTCATGAGCTATAATGCCTCATATATTGGAGGAATGGGATGTAAAATGGGATCCAAGATGCGTAATTGTTTACAGTTAAACACAGATGCGCATATACACAGGGACTACAGATAATTACTTTTTCCTATTATGTATTAATTCTTCAGAAAAGCATGAGATTTAGGCACTTTCGGATAATAGCTTGTTTCTCGGAAAGAGGCAAGGGTAGTTTCCTTATTCTCTGAGTATCCCATTTTGCCAATTTCCTGTTTAGAAAGATACTTGAGGCATATTATCCATCAACGTATCTAGGGGATTCAGCTGGAGTAAAGGTGGTAGAATAGAAGCTAAGAAGGAACTGGTTCGTTTATTTTCAATCCTCACATTATGGCAATTTTTGATTTCCTTGTAAAAGTCTATGATTCTCCCTCAGGAAACATTGTCCACTTCCTAAAAAAATATACTAATTTCTAATACAGGGGTTTGGAAAGGGGACAAAAATGTGCAGGGAAGGTTTGCGTAAGCAATGGTGGAATGGGTTCAACAGACACCTGTCTATGACTTTATCCTGGAGAATGTGTAGTCCTCATGGGAAAGTTTTCCAGTGGGATAGTGATTAAGATGGAAAAAAATGCCCAAAATATCTTTAATATAAGAACAAAATGGGCCAAACACGTGTCTTTGGGTCACTGGTAATCTACTGAGCAGTAGGACATCATGACATAAGAGTTCCTTTTGCCATCCGAAGAAAAATATTTAAAATCCTATTATTTGTGGTTTTAAAAATGTTATAATGTATTCATTATAAACACTAAAATGACTTTCTGGATAATATAGTATACTGTGAGTAATTATTTTGATTTTACCATATTCTTTTTTAGTTCTCAGAAACCAAAATTGTCAGATATGGGATACTTGATTTAATCTGTATTTGAAGTTTTCTCTTTTTTAAGTGCCAATTTTTTAATTAAATTAAATTAAAATCTCTCTCTCTTTTCCCAAATTATATACAATATCTACTAATTATGTTTTCTTCGAAATGTATCTTAGCTTCATAATGAGAAGTGAGTGTGCCCATGAAAAATTTAATAGGAAGTTATGTTTTCTCTTCCATTTTCTGTTGTGATTCATTATTTTTGAAAATAATTTACTTTCATTTGCTCACATTTGCTGTCTAAAGAAAAACTATTCATCTGGCACATTCATATTTAGTAGTATTATTAAAGCAGAAAGCATAAGTTGGAAGTATAATATCTAAAAATACAAAATGAAGTATTGTACCTTGATGTTTATTAGATCATTAAGCAAAATATGATTCTGCCCTGCTTAAATCATTTGATTATAATTATCCAGCATATAAAAGAATCACAGTAGATTTTCAATAGGAAGAGTCCTATAATATTAGGTATCCACCAAAAACATTGTTCAAGTAATATTTCCACCTGAAAGTAAATGATTGCCAATGCTTTTTTTCAGAGCATATAAAATTGGCTATTCCTATTTGATCTCGTTATTGTCCTGGCATCCTTATTTTGTTAAATTTTAACTAGGCAAGGGCTATGCTACAAACATCAGTTAGTCCGCTAGTTTCCTGATAAATAAGTACAGGTAATTAAAAAGTGAACCTAAATATCCAAATTATACCAAAGGGACATATATAGAACTTTTTAAACTGGATCTGCTTCTAGCCAGTTCATATTTTGGTCACTTACTAATGTAGTATTTCACCATAAATTATGCCTAGATTGGAGCATTTACAGGCACTCTTTATCTGAAAATTCTTAAGTGCATGAGTTGTAACAGTTTCACATAGTGATCATCTCACTGTTCTAATTGGTGACTATGTACTACAGTTAGGTTGATCGTAATTATGACCTTAAATGAAGCTGAATATTTTTATATTCCTAATTTGATTAATTTTATTTTATGGGCTTTTACACATTTTAACTGCTTTAGTCAACATATTTTATAATATTATGACATTTGCCTAGAATGTAATTTTAAGAAAGTCATTTAATTGATGTTATCAAGAAGGGTTTTATAAATCAGAATTTCCTGCCTATGTTTCAAGATCATTGCTTAAAGAAAACTTTTTGTTCATGTAATATTCCAATGTGTATTTAGCTTTACTCTACATTAAAATATGTTAACAACTATGAATATAACTTGAATTAATACTAAAGTTCATGGTTTTGAAACATGGAAATCAACAATATCATAAGCACTATCTTGAACCTACAATATTTGATTACATATCTAGTCTACTAAATGTTTTAAATTGATAAACATTGGGTTTACTTTTGAATCATCAAAAAGATTCTTTAGAGAAGCTTGGCAGAATGGGGTGCAGAAGATCTGGAATCCAACCACTGATTCGCTATAACTTTTCACAAGACGATAAAACTCACATTTCCTTCTCTAAATAAATACTGGATTGGCTGACATTAAGGATCAATGTGCTGCCTAGATTCTTTGTTATTTGTAAATCAAGTACCACAAGTGGAAAAGTATTCAAGTAACACATGTGACAGATCCTGTGCTGCTCCGCTTCAGAAGACAGTGGGGAAGGATAAGATTGCATTCCTTAAAGAGGCCCCATTCATCACTGGAGCTATAGATCCTTGTATACAGAGTGAAAAGAGGGAAAACACTGTCAAAATGATTTAGTAATAGTTTTCCTGACTCCACAGTTAAACTACAGTTCACCTCATACACTCACATTAGGTCCGAATAATTGGCAGACTGGTTTTAAGACAATACTCCTAGTTCTAAGAGTTGTTCGTCATTGCCCACACAATTCAGAATCTTAAAAGATTTGTGTTACTCTGCAATTAAGAGAAAATATTGTGTGTATTCTTTTGAATGTGAAAGTAAATATCAGATAGGAAGTGTTAGTAGTTAGTGGTTGGATAAAAGAGTCCTCGCACTGGTCATTCATTCATTTACCCAAAATTTATTAAACACAAACATTGGTGCTAGAGATACAAGGGTGACGAAAACATGATCTTTCCTCCAAAAAATTAAGTCTGATGAGATGCATTTTCTAGAAACACAAAATACTTTTGAACTGAACCTTGGAAAAAGTAAAAACTTGACCTTTCAATAGATAAATATTTGGCTTTAGGAAAAAGGTATCTTAATTCTACATCAGAACTAAGGTAGTGCACTAAAATGAAAGGGAGCAATGTTAATTCTTCTACTTTTAATGTGATTTAAATAAGAGAAAATACAGGAATGTCTTTTATAATTTGAAATTCCAGAGAAAATGAATAAAAAAGCAATTAAAAAAAACACCTCAACATGCTTCTCATTTTCAGCCAAGTACAGCAAACTCTGTTTGATATTCTCTGATTTTAACCTTGGATCAAACTATTTGGCAAATTGCTAATTTGAACAGGCTATTGAAAACAGACAGTGTATCTAGCAATTCATTCATTCATTCAATACTTAATGAACAGCATTTTGGCAATTCAAAGCCTGTTCCTTGTATTGAACTATATTGGTGTATTATCCATATGGCCTAGAGTACATGTGTATTATTCATATTATCCATATTGGTGTATTATCCATAGGGCCTAGAGTACGTGGCTTCTGCCCCCAAATGTCTTACAAGCATGTTAAAGTACCCAAAATCCATCCAACTGAAATAATTTGACCCATACATTATCAAGGTTCAAGATGTGTGATAAGCCATGAAAAGGTTGGTGAATAGCCTAGGGTGCATATGGTGAGTGAAGATGGATGGAAGAAATTAGGAGTCCAGATTTATTGGGGAGACTTTATGAAAGCAAGGAATCATGATTGTTGCAAAATAGACAGTGAAGAAAGAAATGGTGTGGTGGTGAAAGTCTTCCCAAAGTCATTTAAAGTATTGGCAACCCAGATACTTGGCAGCAGGAGTGATAATTGATGTTACAGGAATCCTATGTAAACTTTTGCACATTTTAATGAAGATTTTCTATAATATGCTGTCTGGTGACTTCTCCCAATCACTGTCAAGGGCTAGACTTCATTATTTTAAGATGTCTTTCATTCATTTATTCACTCACTCATTCTTTTTTTTAAGCAAAATTTATTAAGACCTGTAACATACTTAGCACTGATGTAAGCTCTGATACAGTCATTCAGTAATGTCAGCCTGAGCATTTGCAGAACCCTGAATATGGATCCTCATTTTTCCCTTGGGGTCACCCGAAGTCTTACCCCGTTCTGTGTTTACAGTGTGAACCTTATTCTTATAAGGAATATTTTTTGTTTCTTATTGTGGATTGTCTGTACTTCCATCAGATGTGACTCAGCTTCAGTTTTTCTGATTACCTGTGTTATTTTCCAACATGTTGCAAGTGATAAGATCAGTATTATCAGGTCCCTAATAGCATAACAGGTTCGTGTGAATTAGATATATTAAAATGAGAAGATTTTTAAGTCATTTTTTAGTCAATTACGTGTATAGAAACATAGTTATACTTATCTCAGAAAGATTCCAATTCAAAGGATAGGAAATTAGAAAAACATGTAATGTTTCTTCTGAGAACAAATATATTCAAATTTTAATGACAAAGATATTAGGATTATTTTTCTAGTAATTTGATATACCTGATAAATTAAAATAAGAAATCATCAACCTTCAAGCACCTTATAATATATAATCTTTGATTTAACTTTTTTGGACAAATTAAAAAATAATTCTCTAACTCAAAGCAGGCAGAAGTATCTAATATTTATGCTTCCATCATTAGTATTTTTAAAGTACAAGAGACAAAAGCATTTTTAATCTCATGTATATCATACATCAATATTTTTTAAGTCATCAGCATCACTATGCTAAGGAAATATTTTATATAAAGAAAATTATTTTCATAAAATAAAGAAACCATCTTTCTAGAGAAAATCCACATAATCCTATGCCCAAATATAAATATAACATTTACAGTACTGACTACAGCATCCATCTTATTCTAGTTTAACATACTTCAGTGTGCATTTTATCATGTGCTTACCTCATCCTTTTTATAAAGTATCTCTTATCAGCTCAACCATTTCCTAATGTTATGCACTAATGGTAATAACATTGTAACAGGTCCGAGAATGCTGTGGCCCAAACTACTCTGATTCCTGTGTGGCACTCACACCTGGCCCTGCATCATTTCTAGAGCATTTTAAGACCAGGTTAAAGACTGGGATCCCTTCATGTATGCTGATCCCAAGAATGGACCGACCTGGCTAAAGTTTATTGCATTTCAAGATATAAAACAACTTCTATTATATTTTTCTTTTGGTGATATTTGATTTAACCTAAAGGAAAACAAAAGAACAACTAAATATTCATTTCTGCCTGTACTAACAGGGCAGGTAAGAGTGCCAGAGTAACAAGTAGTTTCCAAATGCACAATGAAACACAGGAGTGCATTGGCCAAAGAGAATGCAAAATATCAGCTCTTGCTATATAGCTAACAATGTGCTGCTCTTTTTGGAATTAGAAAATTATAGAATATATTTAATAACAATCTGGTATATGTTTTCATGTCAATGAAAAGTGGATAAATTTAGATGGTTGCTGTTTATGTGCATTTGATCAAATCTTTTCTGAATTTGACATGAAAATACACTTGTGCAGCTTTCATTGGTTGGGTCACAATTTTAGAATAAAACAAACTATTTGAAAACCATTTGCAAACTAATGTACAAAAGCAAGATCGCAGATGATTATATGACTCTGGCAGCTTACATAAGCTTTCTGCAGGATTTTCTTTCAGAATCTCTATACATAGGCTCAAACAGAAGTTATTTCCGTTGTTAGCACCATATTTTAAAGAAAAAAAATACTATGGTGTTGTATCTAATCTTGTGACCCCTGACCTTTACCAAAGCGGATTGGCATTATGTTTAAGTTCTTAAATTACAGATCAAGAAAATGCATACAGAAGATGGGGGGGGGGCACACCTAATTAATTTTTATATTTAGATTAAAGAAAATAATTAAATGTGTTTTTTTGTGGGATTGATTTTCAGAAGCTAAATGCAACTAGTTCATCTGAAGGCAGCACGGTTGATATTGGAGCTCCCGCCGAGGGAGAACAGCCTGAGGTTGAACCTGAGGAATCCCTTGAACCTGAAGCCTGTTTTACAGAAGGTAAGCAAAACAATAACATATGTGGTCTTGAGTATCCTCTTTTCTACCCATTTTTTCCTATTTATTTAAATGTCTGTTTATTTGTCTACCATCTATTATCTATCTATCTGTATCTATCTATCTATCTATCTATCTAGTAATCATCTATACCTATCCAACAACTGTACATTTATTTGTTTTTTTTTGCATTTGCTGTTTGAAAAAAAATGCAACTTTTTAAAAGGCAAAGTTTAATTTATGTAATTAGATATTTTCATTTTTATGAATCATTTTTAACTCTAAGAAATTATTAACTGGCTTTTCTGTGGCCTTCTAAAATATCTTACAGGAGAGAAAGCCAAATCACACACATCTCTCTTTAGTTTAAAAATTCAATAAATAAGAAAGTGAGAGAAGTAATTTATTATGTACTATTTTGTGATATTATAATGGGTAATAATTGATAAGTGTACATTTAAATTTGTCCTTGACTGAAACAGCTCCTATTTCAGTCAAGGTCAAATATTTTTTATTATTTCTGAAAAAAGATAGATCATAAAAATGCCAAAATATACTATGAGTCATATGATATGGGGCAATATGTCACTGGAGTAATCGCAAAAGGATTTTCTGAAGAAAGCTAAAATTATGTAATTTGAGGTATGGATCAGTTATATATTGTAATAGCAATGCTGTGTATCAAACCACCAAAAACCCTGGGCTCTAAGCTGCTTTTCTAGTTTTGACTCCTATTTCCTTCTGTGTAACTCACAGACTTTCTTGTCACTAAGTTTTACTTGTATCATTGTTTCTCTATTCTTACAGCTTCATTTTCTACATATGTCTCTTATATATCCTTCAAGATCTAGTCTCAAATCCATTTCCTCCATAAAGCTCAGAAATTAAAGTTTACCAGAAAACTCTCATAATACTTTGTTTTGTGATAATTGTTGCTTTCCATAACTATAGAATTGTAGACAAATTGCCCCAACTTAAAATGTACATTCTTTGAGGACAAGGCTATGTTTTACATGTTATAGTATTACAATTTGTTCTATGCAATTTTTTGACAATAGTAGATACTCAATAAGTATTTGTTGAAGAGCCTTTGATCTAGCAATCCAGAAATTATACAAAGGTGTTTATTGGATTGTTATTGATAATGGCCAGATTTAAAGCAAACGAAGTATTCAATAATGGTGGAATTGGGCTGGGCACAGTGGCTCACACCTGTAATCCCAGCACTTTGGGAGGCCGAGGCAGGCGGATCACTTGAGGTCAGGAGTTCAAGACCAGCCAGGCAAACATGGTAAGACCCCATCTCTACCGGGCGTAGTGGTATGTGCCTGTAATACCAGCTACTTGGGAGGCTGAGGCAGGAGAATCGCTTGAACCTGGGAGACAGAGGCTGCAGTGCATGAGCCGAGGTCAGGCCACTGCACTCCAGCCCGGACAATAGAGTGAGACTCCCTCTCAAAAAAAAAAAAAAAAGGTGGAATAGTTATATTAATTATAGTAATCATATTTAGAGAAATATTATGAAATCTTTCACAAATTTATTTACTTATAATAAAGATGGGAAATAGTTATACCATTAAGTGAACTAATCAGAATTCAAATATGTAAAGTGTCCATATAGAGTGGAATTACACTCATAGGATAAGGACAGGATGGAAATACCAACTTTTGGTAAGTTTATTTTCTTTTTGGTTCTTCTATTTTTTATATATTGTGTTTTTGTAATGTAATCCATTATAGTAGTGCTATAAACATAAAAATAAATATTTATTAAACAAATGATTAAAAAGCCATATAGATGATTTTAAGATAGCTTTTGTAAGCGGAAGCTATCTTAAAAATTAATGTTATTTACAATGTATTATCAGGTAATAATGTAAATGAATCTCCCACCAACACAAATATACCTAATCAAAGAGTAATTTTTTGTCTTCATTTTTTTCCCACATATTTTAGACTGTGTACGGAAGTTCAAGTGTTGTCAGATAAGCATAGAAGAAGGCAAAGGGAAACTCTGGTGGAATTTGAGGAAAACATGCTATAAGATAGTGGAGCACAATTGGTTCGAAACCTTCATTGTCTTCATGATTCTGCTGAGCAGTGGGGCTCTGGTAGGTGATGCATGATCCACTCCTTCACCTTTCATCTGAAATCTTTTCCCTTTCCCTTCAATCAACTCATATTACCCACTTTTAAATTAAGGTGTTTGTAAGAATGAGAAGAAATATGTGTGACGTGTTTAGCACATATGAGAGGCTTAGTAAATAGCAATTTTTGTCACTCTGTCTGGAGTAGCCCTCGGGTGGAACCAAACTCAGATCATTATGGTTTCTTATAATGTTTAAAGAAGGATCTTTCTGACTTTCAGTCATCAGAGGCAGTTCTTATTAAGACTGGTTATGTAGACATGATGTAGGATTATCAGCTAAATATCAGACTGAAGCACGATATTTCCCTGACCCCTTTGCAGGTGAGAACTAGAGTGCATGGGTGCCGGTAGGAGCGAACTCCACTCACTCACTGCTCCACCCCTCACAGGAGGGGGAGCGCAGGTGACTGGGTGCAGGAGCCAAGGCAAATGCATTTGGGCACTGCAAGAGTGAACTCCATACCGGCCCCACAGGAGCGTCTAGGGGAGGGTGCCTGCGATCCTTGAAGCCCTAGAGGAAGTGTTACAGTGCCCTTTTAGCTTTGCCATCCATGGATGGCTTAAATGTTAACAGTTCAGTGGAGGGTCAGAGTGACAGCCTTTTGCACCCACACTTGTGGTACCCAAGTTCATGTCCGGCGTCCAGGAGGAATGAGTTTGTACAAATGACTTGAAGATGGTAAATACAGGGGATTTTATTGCCAGCGAAAGTGGCTCTCAGAGGGAAGAGGAGCTGAAAGGAGATGGAGCAGGAAGGTAATCTTCCCCTGGAGTCTGGCCATCCCCAGCCAGACTCCTCTCCGAAGCTATGCTGTCAAGCTGTCCCTCTGATGTCAAGCTACTTCTCTCTAATGTCCAACTGTAGTCTCTGATGTCCAGCTGTTCCTCCTGTCTGCCTGCTGAGTTCTGGGCTTTATATAGGCACAGGATGGGGGCAGGGTGCACCATGGGTGGTTTTGGAAAAGGCAACATTTAAGTGAGAAAACAGGGATGTATATTCTCACTTTGGGCCACGGTTCCAGGCTTGAGGGTGGAGCCCTCGCCAGGTACCCGTCCTCTTCTGCCCAGAATTTCTCTGCCTCTTGTTCCTGTCAAAATTGCTTAACATAAACTCCATGCTGCAGGGGACTCCTCTGTCTTCTTCACACTGATTCGCTATTGCCAACCACAGTGAATGATAAGAAGTAGACTCACTTAATTACTGACTAGCAAAAAAATGATGGCATTACAAACTTATGTCTGATTTCATTCAATGAAATGATCAACTGGATCAAAATATTAATATAATGAAAATGATATGACCTATTTTCTTAATTGGTGATACAAATGTGGTTGCATTCCTTTTACTGTTTCAATTTAATTAATAACTAGAGTGTTTGGTGAGTTGATTTCATTAGGAGAATTACTGCATTGGATCTGGAGGCCTCTAAGGCGAATTCTGATTTGACTAAGAATCCTGTGTCCTGCCATATACTCAGTTTAAAGAGGATCAGCCATGCTTTATTTTCTTTACCTTTATTATTATTATTATTATTTTTTAGACAGTCTTGCTGTTGCCCAGGCTGGAGTGCAGTGGTGTGATCTCGACTCACTGCAGCCTCCATCTCTTGGGTTCATGCCATTCTTGTGCCTTAACCTCGCAAGTAGCTGGGATTACAGGTGTGAGCTACCACACCTGGCTAATTTTTGTACTTTTAGTAATAGAGACTGGGTTTTGCCATCTTGGCCAGGCTGGTCTCGAACTCCTGGCCTCAAGAGATCTGCCCGTCTTGGCCTCTTAAAGTGCTGGAACGACGGGCGTGAACCACCGCACCTTGCCAGACATGCTTTCTAAAGCCAAGTAGAGAGAGAACTATGAAGTCTCATTAGTGACTAGTACCTTTGCTGTAGGAGCTCTTTGTTCTCAGTTACACCCAGTCAGTGCTCACCAAATTGCACAACGTGCTGGCACAGTGGCTGGCTCCTCAGGGGTTTACAGCTTCAGCTATAAGCAAAGCCCAGAAACCTTTAGGTCCTTGTATGGAGCTCTGGTTACAAGCCCTGATTCTTGTTATCTAAAAAAGAAAATGTTCCTTTGTCTTTAATCCAGGCTGCCAGGTTTTCCTGATAATTTTTCCGATAAGAAGATCAAGTTAGATAAATAGTCTTTTCATTCTGGAAGCCTCAGGAGTTCCTGCAAATGAGTTACCCACTCTTTCCCAAGGGCTCTGGAAAATTCTGTCAAAGGGAATTTCCAAACGTACACCCACCCGCCTCCACACACACACAGACACACAGAGAGAGGGAGAGAGACAAGAAAGTGAGCAATGACAATCCTTTCCTTTTTCTGTAGGCTGAGGGACCTCCCTGCTTTATATCTGCATTACTAGAGGATGCATTCCATTGAGTCTGCACTGAATGAGACCAATCTACTCCCAGGCGTTCCACTGCCTCCTGATGTAGAGAGAAGCAGCTGGCAGTCTCTCAAAAATTTTAAGCTCTTTGGGGGTACACTGAGACCAAAATTTAAAAATTACTGAAACCCTTGGTTGACTGAAATGCCCAGTCAGCAGTCATTTATGATCAGATAATGATAAAGTAAAATTCAGCCATGGGAAACATTAAACCTTCCAGCCTTAGGCACCTGATAAGAGCTTGCATCGTTTCCTTTTTTAAGAAATCATCAATTAGAGACTGTTTCTGATCATAAAATTTAATAGAATTTTTTGACTTACAGGCCTTTGAAGATATATACATTGAGCAGCGAAAAACCATTAAGACCATGTTAGAATATGCTGACAAGGTTTTCACTTACATATTCATTCTGGAAATGCTGCTAAAGTGGGTTGCATATGGTTTTCAAGTGTATTTTACCAATGCCTGGTGCTGGCTAGACTTCCTGATTGTTGATGTGAGTATGCTGCACTTTGCTGCTTTATTCATTGGCATATATGTAATAGTTCTAGCAATGGTGCCTGACACAGTGTAGGCACTCAGTAACACTGTATCAGCCCAAATATAAATTATGTTTCTCATTTCACAGTGAGAGGATGCCTCAAAACATTTTTTACCAATTTAAATACATATACATTCATAGATAAAAATCAAATGCCATCATACTATACTTATTCACTTAATTTCAAATTAATATTTAAAATCTCAAGTTATGCAAAATAAAATATGAATTTAGAAATTTTGCTTTTTGCACACTCACATTTCGCAAAATAACTTGTATTTAAATTTTTCACAGGCATCTTTGACATTAGTATGTTTGTCATCACTAAAGCCTGTTGAGTTTAGGTCACACAGATGAATCATTAATTACAAAGAAATTTGAAAGTCCAAAAAGCAAGAGACACCACTTGATTTGTATGATATAGAAGCAAATTGGCTATTGACCAAGTAGCCAAAGATTTTATTAAACCACATTGGTGTTGAAATAAAATAAGATAGAGTACTAAAATATGAGGGTTTTTATATAATTGAATATGAGGCAAATCTACCATTAAATGTACTACTACTATTAAATGTATAAAGGTTACATGCAGAATTACATTAACAGTCTCTGGCAATAAAGGAAGACAATAAATAATATTTAGAACTACATAAGTGTGGACATTACAAACAATAGAAAATGCACCAAAACTATAACCATTCTTTTATTTGTATAATGGGATTATGCATGATACTATTTCTTTTCTCTATTTTCTGTATGTACTTATCATAGGTTGGTAAATCCATAATAAAAATATCTGATACTTGATATATCTATGTTAGGATAAAAGTATCAAGTCAGCACTGCTTGAATATAAGGAAACTCTTCAGAGAAATCTAGTTGTCCTGCAGCTAATGATCATATTACCCAAAGTACTCTGATATTTACCTTTTTAGATTTAAGAAAACTATTATGATAGTATATGAAACTGATCAACACTTTGCCTTAAATCAAATATGCTTATTGCTCATCTATTTCATTATGAAAGATACAAATATAAATAAGTCATTTTTCTAGTCCTGCAGTAGCTTACAGTTGAAAAGTGAGGACAGCTGCGTACACAGTAAGTCGACACCTGTATTACAAGTGCCACCTCTTTACTTGAGGAAGGAGGAAAGGCTTCAATAGGGAAGTGGAGTGTGAGCTGGAGCTTGAGAGATGTGAATGCTAGCAGGCACAGCTGAGGGAGGAACACGGATTCGTTAAAACGTTGGTGCATGACATGCAGGGCGGGTTCCAGAAACAAGTAGATAGGGTGAGGTAAGCCTTTGTAATGGGATGATAAGGTAAGAAAGATAAGTTAGAAAAGATCTGAAGAACCTGAGATGCCATCCAAGGAAATTTGGACTTATTATTTAATACAGAGGAAGCTATTGAAGAATTACATATAGGGAAGTGACAAGACCTGCTTGTTCTTTTAGTGAGGGAAGTTAGGTGGAGGTGAGAATGACGGAATAGAAAGGAGATTTATTTAGAGATCAAAACACCAATTAGGAGATTGCTGCAATGTCCCAGAAAGAGAAGGCCTATATGTATCTTCTTTTCCACATTTAGCTACACAAGTCACATAAAACTGAATATTTTACAACTTCTTTTCAGCCAGTAAATACTACCCCATTCAAAATATTTTCCTCTGTCTAACTTTTATCTTTCATCCTTTAACTTATGCTTATCTCTTTTTGGTTCTGTCTTCAGAGAAGGTAAAGTACTACAGGTCCTTATATCTTAAATACAGAAAAGCTTCACAACTCATGATAATTCAGTAACTATTTTTCAATTATCTGTTAAAAAGGGACTTACAAAGCCTAAGAGTTTGGATTTTAAGGGAACTATATGAACTATGTAAGACATAATTTTACAACTCATTGTTTTCTGTATTCAAGAGGCTTCACTTTCAAATTGCATGTGCAAAATTATTTTGAATAAGTTGTTTTTTGTAACAACTTTCAATGTGCTTCACTTATTTTCCTTAAAAAATATATTTTTCAAATATATTAACACCATACTCTTAAAAGCTGTATTGCATATTTATTTTTATTTATCTGCTTTTGAAATTCAGGTGTACTTTAGAACAAAATAGCTTATATAATTTTAATAATTTTTCTATATGTTTTCAAGGAAATTGGACATGTGTATGTCCCCCGACCGTTTTTCTTTTTCTTTTTAGCTAAGACTTTATAATTTTTCTCAACTACATTAGTCAACTGTATGAATAACTAAAGACAACATTGTTCTTGCAATTTCTAATTTATCATAAAATCTCAACTTTTTTTATTCACTAATTTTGTCTGACCTAATTAATGATATTATGCCCTTCAAACTGAAATTTACAAAAGTCAAAGCTGCTTTTTAGAGGCCTATTCCTTTTTAAATGTGTTCATGCTCATATTCACCAGTGGTTTGTATAGTTTACTTGTGTATCAAATGTTACTTTCCATTTCAGATCTGCTCAATATTATTAGAAATGATACAGAAATAAGTTTTACAGATCTGTAGAGGAAGATCACATTTCTCTCTCTTTTTTTTCTTTACTTTTAATTTTTTAAAAACATTTCCTACCAAGAATCTTGAAAAAGAGCACATATATGGGCTTCTTTTTTATAAGTGTTCGCAGACTAGTATCATTAACTTCACCCTGGGAACCTGTAGAAATGCAAATTCTTAGGCCTTTCCCCAAACTTACTAAGTCAGACTCTGCTATTGGTGTTTTTAACAAGACCCCTGGGTGATTTTGAAACTCATGAAAGTTCGAGAATTACTGATTCATTGCATAGAGCAAGGCTGAACTGTGTAGACATTTTTATATGTAAATAAGAAAATTGTGTTGCTTTTTCTGTATAGGTCTCACTGGTTAGCTTAACTGCAAATGCCTTGGGTTACTCAGAACTTGGTGCCATCAAATCCCTCAGAACACTAAGAGCTCTGAGGCCACTGAGAGCTTTGTCCCGGTTTGAAGGAATGAGGGTAAGACTGAATGCCTTAGAGTTTGTCAGAATTATTATTGAGAGCAGACTGACACTTTGTACCATGGAAATGTCAAATTTATGGAGAATTTGTGTCTTACACATTCATACTGACATAGCTAATCAATCAAAAATAATATTTACCAGATGCCCATAATACTTGGCACTGCTGGAGTCACTCACAGAGTAGTATATTGCCAGAGGGATTGTTTCTGATTAGCTAGATTTTCACTTCTTGGAAAATCTCTATAGTTATGCTGCTGATTTGAATCAAGATTATTTATGTTCACTTCATTTATAAATGTGCAGGAAATCCTACTCGCTGTAGTTTAAGCCTACCAAATCATTGCTCATCATTTCTTCACTACTCCGCTGTGATACACTTTGAGCCTTTTGATGTTTGAATCAGGCCTTTTAGTTCTTAAACACAGGCTGAAATGGCTAAAAAGTAGGTCAACTGGAAATCTAACGCTCATTTAGAAGGGTGGTACAAAAGAACAGAGGAGTTTGTGCTGACATTTGTCGTCCCCTGAGGCACAAAACCTGAGACCACATACCCTCACCACCTAGAAAATGATGATGCCTTGTCTCAGTTGTTTTAGCTGGTTCAAAGAGGATTTTAAAAAAATGATACTTTTTGTGATATTTGAAAATAAGTTGCTTAGACTTTATCTGCATGTTATAGTGATACTAGCTCATATTTTCTAACTAAGAAAATAGTTACTTAGACTTTATCTAGTGTTACAATCACAACTAGAGATGAATGGTGTGTGTAGATGTGTGTCTGTATATGCATGGTTACATAGAAAAGTGTTATTAGCGGTAAAATTCTTTTTACTTTACCAATTAGAAAGAACAGTTTTTGCAGTAGAAGGCTTAATAAACAAAAGGTATCAATCTTTCAGTACCAGAATACTGTTTATATTTTCTGTGTGGAATTTGATCCCCAAGTGGTCTCTTTTACTCTCAAATTTTGGACAGCAAATTGTATGGTTTGTATGATTTTTTGAAAGTGATGTTCACTTCTATATTCATGCCACTGTTTATACTCTTAATTATTTTTGGCATTTGCTGTTAGTTCCATCCTTTGAGGTAAATTTGCTACATGTGTGTTATTACCTCTTGAGAAAACATTCTCCAATATAAAATTCGTTGTATACTCTTCTGATTTATAATTTTAAAATTCTTAGTTGGAGCTACCAGAGTCTAGTTTCTACCCAATATTCAACTTTGAAACAGATTTTTTTAATCATTTGACTGTTCTTTTAATAATGTTTAAAAATAAGTAAATATTTGTTGTTGGCTTTTCACTTATTTTTCCTTCTCATCCTGTGCCAGGTTGTTGTAAATGCTCTTTTAGGAGCCATTCCATCTATCATGAATGTACTTCTGGTTTGTCTGATCTTTTGGCTAATATTCAGTATCATGGGAGTGAATCTCTTTGCTGGCAAGTTTTACCATTGTATTAATTACACCACTGGAGAGATGTTTGATGTAAGCGTGGTCAACAACTACAGTGAGTGCAAAGCTCTCATTGAGAGCAATCAAACTGCCAGGTGGAAAAATGTGAAAGTAAACTTTGATAACGTAGGACTTGGATATCTGTCTCTACTTCAAGTAGTAAGTAATCACTTTATTATTTTCCATGATGTGTAATTAAAATGAGTCTAAAGTTTTTCTTCCTCATAATGAGATATCCACCTGTTAGAATGGCTATTATCAAACAGATAAATGACAATAAATGCTGGCAAGAATGTGAAGAAAAGGGAACCCTTGTACATTGTTGGCAGGGATGTAAATTAGTATAGCTTTTATGGAAAACAGTATGGAGGTTTCTCAAAAAACTAAAAATAGAACCACTATGTGATCCAACAATTCCATTACTGGGTATATATACAAAGGAAATTAAATCAACATGTCAAAGAGATGTCTGCACTCTCACACTCACTGCAGCACTATTCACAATAGCCAAAATATGGAAACAACCTAATTGTCCATCAACAGATATGTGGATAAAGAAAAGTGTGTGTGTGTGTGTGTGTGTGTACATATATGTATATGTATATATATACACACACGTATTTCTATATACACACGTATAGATATACACTGTATATGTATATATCTATACACATATATAGACATACACAGAAACAGTGTTTGTGTATGTGTGCGTGTATATAGAAGTAGTCAGGGAAGGGGCAGAGCCTGTGGCACTAAGAAACTGAGAAAATGTACAAGACTTTTGTTTTCAGAATTACTATGTCCGCACAACAGAAAAAGTATTTCAAAAAGTAAATGCGCTTGAATGTATTTGTTTTCAGTTTAGGAAACTGCTTCTTTTTGTAGAGTGCCTTAAAATAGTATGTTCAACAATATTAAAAAGATTTTCAAAAATAAGCCCTCGTGATTGATGATTGGTAATAATCATTTAAAAACTTATTGGATGTATATATATGTGTGTGTATACACGCACACACACACACACACACCCCTATAGACATACACAATGAAATAGTATTCAGCCTTTAAAGAAGAAGGAAATCCTGTCCTTTTATACAACATTGATTCACCTGGAGGAAATTAAGTGAAATAAGCCAGGCACAGAAAGACAAATGACACATGATGTCACTTATATATGGAATCTAAAAAACACAAACTCACAGAAACAGAAAGCAGAATGACAATCACCAGGGGCTGGGGGATGATGGGAGATGTTGGTCAAAGGATACAAAATTCAATTCGACAGGAAGAATACATTCTGTAGAGCTATTGTACAGCATGGTGACTATAGTTAATAATAATATATTATATACTTGAAAATAGCTAAGTGAGTAGATATGTTTTCTCATCAGAAAAAAATAAGTATAAGAAGCGATAATTATATATTACTTAGCTTGAGTTAGCCATTTCACAATATATATATATTTGAAAACATCATTTTGTACAACATAAATATATTCATTTTTATTTGTCAATTAAAAAATGAATATATTTTTGAAAAGCAATTAAAATAAAAATGCATATACATTTTAGGAACTCTATATAGATGCACTAAAACTATATAAAAATGATATAATACTATACAACAATAAAATAAAATTTTTCTTCCTCTGTGTTTACAAATACTTCCTTAGGCCCATCTGCCTAGATTCCTCTTACCATGATTGAACTATCTTTTCTGCCCCACGCTGGAAACATGATGGTTCTAAAAACTTTATTGTCTCCCTGACTATGCATTTGGTAGCATAGCCAAGTCCTTTGTTACTGGGAGTTTAATCTAGGCACTCATTGTTTTCCTCCCTTCCTACTCTGAGGAAAGAAGTGCTGGCCCCAAGGGGGGTTGAAAAGGGGTGTGTGTGTGTGTGTGTATGTGTCCACACGCGTGTGTGTAGATAGAGAAAGAGAGAGAGACTTTCAAATAGGAAAATTGCTCTCTTGCAAATGAAAACTTTCCAATTAAGACTATTGTGTCTGCTATGCACTCATAATAATTCATTCAGCTATTCAACTGACTGCAGTATTAAATCTCCACTAGCTCCTGGACACAATCCACTTACACGATCCTCAAGACTATTAAAATAGTCAGGAAAGGGGAAGAGCCTGTGGCACTAAGGAACTGAAAAAATGTACAAGAGTTTTATTTTCAAGATCATTATGTCAACGGAGCAGAAAACAAATATTTAAAAAAGGAAATGCAGTAGAATATATTGTTTTCAGATTAGGAAACTGCTTCCTCTTATAGAGTAATCACCTCAAAATAGTATGATCAACAATATTAAGAAGATTTTCAAGAATAAGCTGTCATGATTGGTGATTGGTGTAATAATCATTTAGAAAAGAATAAGTAGAAAGGAAGCATTAAGATAAATAATGCAGCATACTTTTGAGCTTGTCTCATGCTGCTACTATACACATGAAATTTTTTCATCAAAGTTCATGATATATTTTTATATAAACACATCAGAGTCAAAGATTGTTCATATTGTTTTTATGATAGCATATTGTTACAGTAGATCATTATTTAATTATATATGCTAAATATCCACATAAGATGTTATAGAGGAATATAAATTTGAAGTATTTTCAATGCATATCGCAAAACATTGCCCCAAAAGTGAATACAAATTTCAAGCTTATTTATATGCCTGTATTGAATACATGTCAAATAGAATTTTGATCAATTATTCAATTTATTTTCTAAAATTATAATTTTGGGAAAAAAGAAAATGATATGACTTTTCTTACAGGCCACGTTTAAGGGATGGATGGATATTATGTATGCAGCTGTTGATTCACGAAATGTAAGTCTAGTTAGAGGGAAATTGTTTAGTTTGATTAAATGTATATTTCTACAATATTGTAATTTAGTGATATTGTCAATAAAATAAAATTATGTGCTTAATTTATAAAACCCATCTATATTATAAGGATAAAATATTTAATCATACTATTTCTTTCAAAATTATCATAGGATGATTTTCTCTAATCACTCTGTATCTTTTAACATATCTTTTCTAGTATTTAGCAAGGCACCTGACACAAAACTTTATTGTATGTATTTTCAAAATGAGACATTTTATTTTTGGCTCTGATAGTCCTGGTCATTTGTGCATTAGAAGTTCTCACAGGCAATATTTTTTATCTGTAATATATTTCCTCCAGCTTTTGATCTTCCTTATAATAGGAAGGATATGACTAAAAACGGGGACAAAAATAAACAATTTAGTGTTTCTCTTGGGAAAGTGAGATTAAGTGGTAGAAGGGAGGGACTTCCCTAATCTACTTTATACATACCAGTACTTTGAATTCTTTTCTATAATTTTCATTAATTTCTCACTATTTAATGAGGAATGAAGTCACATTTTGAAAAAAAAAAAAAAAGAGATTGATTTCTGGTATGCCAGAGCATGATAATAAAGCTCAAAATGCTCTTTCCCTAGCACCAGCAGCTAGCTTTCTGAGTGAAGAATTCCTGAGGTTTTTTTTTTTCTTTTTTCCACTTCATAAAAACAGAGAGGGAGCAAGAAAGCATGAAAAGCCCTGCATTGTATCTCTATAAGTGCTATCAGGAATTCCAGTTATGAGATTTTTCTGAATAGTAATAATAATTTATTGATTATCACTATTCACTGTGCCAAGGACTTTCTCACATTATCCCATTTAATCCTAAATGACAACCTTATTGTATAGGTGATACTAGCTCTATTTTACTACTGAAGCAAAGAGGCTTAATGCGTTAAATGGGAAAACAAGTTTTTGAACCCTGACCACAAATAATGGCTCATACCCACTTTCCACAGTGGTTCTTACCTTTTTGATTAATTAATTCAATGCTCTCTCCACCTTCCTTATCAATAGCTTATATGCCATGAAACATTTTCAGTTTCTTCTTTAATAACTTAGCAGACCTTTTCCGCTGCAAAACTCCTGGAATTTCCAGCACATTACAAAAGATGAAAGCCAATTGAGCACTACATTTATGAAAAGTTGCTGGATCTTGAACTTTAATTAGTAAATTGCATCAGATAAATGCAAATTTAAACCAAAATAAAACATTATCTACACACCTACCAGATTGGCAATACCAAAAAGTCTGACAATACCAAGTTTTACCAAGGATAAACAGCAATAAGAACACTCGTACAATGCTGATAGGAAAAAAAATAGTTAAATAATCCTTTAAAAACAGTTGGGTATGATCACATTATTTGAGAAAGTTAAAGATATTTTTTAATACTGCAATTCTACTTTGAACAACGTATCCTAAAGAAACTTATGCACATGTTTAGGATAATCTATGTACAAAAATGAATATAACTTTTTTTTGCACTTGCAAAAAACTGGGAGCAACTCAAAAACAGTAGAAATAGGCAAATAATTGAATACTATATAGTGATGAAAATGAATGAATACCGCCATATACAACCACATGGATGAGCCTTAAAAATACAACATTGAGTTAAAGAAACTAGACACATACTATAATTCTACTTATATAAAGTTCGAAATTGACAAAACTAAGCTTATTGTTCAAAACTGCATACTGAGGTGTTAACTTGAAAGAAAAAGCAGGGACATCATTACCATAAAAGTCAGGATAATGATTACCTCCAGCAGGGATGATGGAGTTTATGTTTGAGAAGGGTACACCAAGGGTTTCTGAAGTTGTAGCAATGTCCTGGGTTATGGATTTCACTTATAAAACATATTATATTTTGCATTTATGTATTATGCACTTTCCTGTATGTATATTGTCTTTTAAAAATTTTAAAAATATAATTTTACATCACTGTTAACTAAACTCACATACACAAATAAAATCTCATCGAAGAATAGCAGTTTTACAATATTCCTGATATTTTCCATTTTGCTGTATTTCCTTAGAAACAAAATTATGCTGGTCATAATCCTCTAAATTGATTTCATAACACAGTGGGTTATAACTTGCATCTATTATCATCATCAGGGATTGGTTAACTGAGTTGGTTAGAACAATGTCCTATTAGACCTGTGAAAGCTTACAGCTAAGGCGCAAACCTACTATCACACAGTTTTCTAAACAAAAGTGGATTAGACAAGAGATAGTATCATTGTTACAGAAACAGTCCCTACTGAATAGGATAAAGCAATAGATTCATTTTCAGAAAGGAAAGATCAACCTATATACCTACATGCAGACCTACTACAATGATTCTTGCCTATCTAAAGAAATGTATTATACCAAACCCTTACACTTAGCAATTACTACTGGCCGCCACTGTTCTAAGCATATTTATATGTTAATATAGTTAATCTTCACAACCACACTATGAGGTTTAAGTTTGATTATTTTCATCTCACAGATGAGAAAACTGAGTCAGAGAAAGTAAATCTTAAAAGTTTTGACATAGAATAATGTGACGCTGACATCTCTTTTGTAAGAAGAGGAAATCTTTAATTTGCATGCTGTGTTGGGAACTTTGCTTAGAAAGGAAAGTGCATTCATAATCTGGGCATTTGTTGGGTGAAATTGTCTATAATCATTCAGACTTCTATATGGTTATTTCATTTTCCCAGGTAATGAATAGTCTTGCAGAACTCTTCAATAAGCATGTGAGATTTGAAGGTTCATAAAATCTGTTTAGTGTTTGGTTTATTTTCATTCCAGAGATTAAAACATGCTTAGATAATTAAAAACTCACTGATGTACTTTTTGTGAAACAAGTACTAGATATAATGGTTACAATTCTTCATATTCTTTAGGTAGAATTACAACCCAAGTATGAAGACAACCTGTACATGTATCTTTATTTTGTCATCTTTATTATTTTTGGTTCATTCTTTACCTTGAATCTTTTCATTGGTGTCATCATAGATAACTTCAACCAACAGAAAAAGAAGATAAGTATATTAAAACTTCATCCTTGCTCTGAAATATGAACTAAATATTTCATACTCTTTCCTTTAGCCTCCAAAATGCAATCACCAAAAAAAGAATATAAAATTCAGAAATTATTTTGAGACATTTGATAATCGATAAGCTTTTAAGCAATTAATAATTCAGATAGCATGTTTTTGATATTTTTAGTCTAGAAATATGACTAATATGGCATAATTTATATATTGAATAAAGGCATCTCTATAAATACAGATATTAGTAACAATAGAATGAAATGTGGGAGCCAATTTTCACATGATTACTAAGGTGGATTTTATAGCCAGCAAAGAACACAATTTTAACAAGTGTTGCTTTCATTTCTTTACTTTGGAGGTCAAGACATTTTTATGACAGAAGAACAGAAGAAATACTACAATGCAATGAAAAAACTGGGTTCAAAGAAACCACAAAAACCCATACCTCGACCTGCTGTAAGAATAACATATTTTCATTGCCTGTTAAAACTATATTACCTAACCGTTTCACAGCCCGAATTTCTAGAAACTAGTTATTTTTGTGGATTTGTAACACAAAGTTTTTTACCTTAACAATGGGACTAGCTAGCCTAAATAGCTTGAAAAATGTACTTTACATATATAATATGTATAAATTATATAATGCATAACATATTTTATATGTAAACATATAAAATACATAGAAATAAAATTTGCTATACTTAAGTGCCAGTGGTATCATACAAGCTGATGTCATTAAGACACTTCTAATAACATCAAAAATAAAATACATACATACATAATGTGAAAATATTAAATGTTCTCAGAGTACAGAGGAGACAGATCGGAATAATTGGTACGTCACAGATTGGCCTCAGTTTTTGTCCAACTCTGCAGATTGAATGGAATCATTAATGAAACAGGCCACAGGTTTTGCTTTTTTCTGGTTAAACAAAAAAAAGACAAACCTCATATTTTCCCCTACTATCCCACCCTTAAATGAGATGATATCATTCTTTGTAGGGCTTTTTATTGGCTCTTCCAGGTGTACATTTGCCAGTGATACTGTTCGTTCAGTTTGGCTGCTGCAGGGAGTTGCTGCCAGGAGAATCGCTAAGTTTTTCTATCACTCCTGAAGGACTAGCTCATATATTAAGTCTCAGAAAATCTTCCCCAACGTATACGTGGTATAAAACACTTCAGTGTTTCTCAGAAATCTTGACTCTATAAATCTATTGGTGACAATATAAAACAGACCGTAATTAAGTGTTCAGTTGGTAAGCCGGCCAATAACTCAAAGAAAATGGATAGCTATATTGGGTCAAACACAAAGGGTGTACAACTTGAGCCTAGTCTTTAGGAAATAATACAATTTGAATGAATAGAGAGAGAAGCAGAGAACATTTACTGTATGAGAAAATGTATACTTCATAGCCATATAGACAAATATATCAGTGCAGAATAGTGATGCATTTGAATTAGTGAGTAGTAGACACTGGTTTTCCGAGTTACATGAGACAAGGTTACCATACGAGTCTGAAGAAATTTGTTCTAATTAAGCAATACAAATGCAATATAGTTAACAGAACAGCCTAGTAATGTGAAAAGAAAGATTTTAGAGAGTTTAACCTAGAGACTGGTGTGGAACAATATTAGAGGCAAAATAACCCTCGGCCATAGACAAGAAGATAAACCCTTACATACAAGAAGATAGTCCATAATCTGTGTCCAACCAGCAGGACTGGAACTACTCCAGGAGTGAAGTTAGCCAATAAGAAGACTCAATTGGGATGAAACACAGGAAAAGAGGGAGGATGCAATGAAAAAACTGGGTTCAAAGAAACCACAATAACCCATACCTCGACCTGCTGTAAGAATAGCATATTTTCATTGCCTGTTATGAAACACAGGAAAAGAGGGAGGATATGTAAATAACAGAGAATCTAAAATATAAGCTAGTTGATATTTTGTGAAACTGTTGGTTCCACTATCATATACTGAAGTCATATGAAGGCACTGGGAAAAATAGTGTTAGAGCCTATGAAATGTCCAGACTGAAATAAGGATTTTAGCATTGTCAGAACAAAATTCAATTGAGCTCTGAAACACAGATTCATTTTTGAAAAATAATTAGAATAGAGAAAAAAACAAAATTCTCAGAATGAGGCCTTGCATACTTCATCAAGATATAGGAAGAAATAAATCAATGAAGAAATGAGCTTGAGTTTGTTTCCATCAAATGACATGGATTTACCTGTAGTGGTAGGGGTGTGTGGAAAAAGTTCAACACATTCAGCTAGAATATTATCAGTGTCAATTTGGCAATTTAGCAAGTAACTAGTAAAATCCATTTATTCCTGCATTGACAATATGTACTATGTAGTATGCTAAGCATTTGAACTTAAATATCGAACAGTATGGAGTCTAGTTAATGCAACGGATAGTAATCAAATAGTCCTGCCAAAAAATGGAAGTATCCCAGAAAAAAAGGGATACTTTCAGCTGTGAGAGCTGATTAGGGGGAAGGGGCTGATTAATCAGGGAAGTTAGGGAAGGCTTTATTAAAAAAATATACTAGCTGAGGATGGAAAAAGAATAGAAAGCATCAATAGCCAGAGTGGGATGAGAAGAGCCCTGTAGAAGGGGAATGAATTTGTGAAGGTCCTTATGTAGGAGGGCTGGTGAGACTGGAGTGCAGAAAGTCAAGGTTCATTTGGGACACACTGAGAATAAAGAGGTTAGGATAAGCCCAAACTTTTCTGGGCCTTGGAGGCCGTGTTAAGGAGTAGTTTTCATCCTAAGAGCAGTAAGAAACCGTTAACGTGGACCCAGTCAGTCTGGGCTTTGTGGTGATCACTCAATCAGTTTCACAGAGGCCGTGTGAATACATTGTAGACTTGTTTTGGAGCTATTTCAGAGATGGTAGGTAGCCTGAACCATAGCAATGTGCAGATTAATAAAAGTGGATGGATTTGTGAGCTATCACCAGAGTGAAATTTAAAAGTTTGTCTATTAATTGAATATGGGAACTAAAGAAGGAACCAACAAGAATGACTGGTGTCTTTCTGCTTTGCACAACTGGATAAATACTGATGTCATGCAGGAAATGAAGAAGGGACAGAAAGTGGTGAGAAAATTGGAGATGCTAGTTTGCAGAATTTGGCAAACGAGTCAGAGTGAGAGAGTGAGAGGAAGGAGGAAGGGAGAGAAATGATGAATATTTAGAAGTAGCAAAATAAAGGTTTCTTAAGATTCAGAGATTAGGTTTAAAGGAAAGCAAAAGGAATTTTAGAGAGGAAAAGATCGAAGACAGAGGGAATAATTACGGCATAAAAATGCACAAGATGTGGGACAAGGACATAGTGGTCTAGGGTAGCTTTAGAAAGAAAAAGGGGCTGAGTCCTCTAATGAATTTGGAGTAATATATGAAAAGAACATGGAAATTAAAATAATATGAAATGCAAAAGGAAACAGAGGAGTTTATTTAAACTGTTTAAATTTAATGTTCTAAAAAAAGTAAAAATAGAGGGCAAGAGAATGGAAATTTATGAGAAGTTTGGAATTATCTTTGGAGCAAATGAAGGACAAAGGATTGCTAATTGTTAAATCTGAAGGGCCAAGATGAAGTTAGAGAACATAAATTTTTGGTGAATAAGATCTTCAGAATTATACATCTTGTTCCAGCATATTTGACACCCTAGGATTTAAATGGGAGAACAGAACACAGAGACTCGAGACTGGAGTTGTACATTGAGATGTCTGTCTCATTGGACAACTCTATGAACAGGGAATCTAAACAGTTTTTTATTAGTCATGGTGATATTAAAATTAAGACCAAATTTCTGCTTTTAAGATATTTTGAACTTACTATACTCTAGGAGCCATATCTGAGAGAAAAATGATACTGCTCCTGCTTTTGAGGGGCCTCAAAACAAGTGGAAGGGAAAGAAAACTAAAATTGAATAAGAGCAAACCATTTGCAATACAATGCCATACATTTTATGATCAATGAAAGCACTCAGTTTTCTGAGAGCACTAAGTGCTTTAAACTCAAAACTGAGTTAGAATTCATGAGACAGAGAAGGAGTGGGGGACATGTGTTTTAGACAGAATAGTAGACAGATAAACTATGTAAAATGATACAGTAGAACCTGCCTAAGCTTCTAAGAGTGGTAGGCAGGAAATATCAGAGGGTGGAAGTAAGGGGAAGATGCCAGACTTGGAAAGTTAAACTACAGTAAATTAATAATTAATAAGGAAGGGTTTGAACTAAAAGTAGACACATTTATTGGGTTGAAAAAGGCCCTGAGAAGACAGATCCAGCTGGAGTAATAGAAATCTAGTTCAGCAGGCCAAATACGCATTCAGAGAAAAGAGCAAAACAAAATAGAACAAGTAGTGTTTGATGTCCAAAAATCACCATTGGAAGTAATAGAAGCCTCCCAATAGAAAGAGGGCAGAACACTAAGATGTAGAATCCAGGCCACTAAAAGTGTCAGGATCTGGGAAAGCAAGCCATTAGGTGTATATGTAGCAGAGTATTAGTCATTCTAGTTGAGAAGGTAGAGAAAGGCAGCCCAACAGAGGTTAAGTCAAGACCAGATCCCTAGATTACCTGAGAAACAAAGCAGATACGTGCAAAATGGAACAATACAGAAACCAATGATCAGAACTGGTTTACAAGTTGGGGACTTCATTTCATAAGCAAGACATAAGGCAATTAGTACTTGGAAATAAGGTCCAAATAGACTAGGGCAAAGATTGAATATTTCCATTGTGACTTTTTAAAAGATAATTTTATTCTTACAGAAGAGTTACTCATAATGAATACTCTAATGAATCTATACACAGTGTCCTCTTGTTTTAACATCTTATGCAACCATAGATCAGTTCTCACAACTAAGAAATTAATCTTGATATAATACCATTAAATAAAATACAGAACTGAGTCAGATTTCACCAGTTTTTCCACTGAAGCCTTTTCTCTAGAATGATGATTTTTAAAACATCTTAGCTGAACTTTAAAATGAAATTTAAGATGCTGTAGCTTTAGTGAGAGAATATAAAGTCAGAAATCAGACGAAAAATTTAAAAAGAGAGAGGAAAACTTGGAGAAGTATTTATTTATTAGTTGCTTAAAGTAAAATTAATACCCTCCCAACACATGGGATAAAAAATTTTATTACATGACAAATATTTACTAACTGTCCGTCATAACATGATGGTGTTCTGTGCACTGAGAACATAATACGTGAGTTTATAAAACCTGGTATCAATGTGAGTATAAATAAAACAAATACATTTGAATACAGTTGAATATACAATATACAAAATTTTCTTCCAAGTATAAAACGAAAATAAAATACACTACTTTCTTTAATAGAATAGAACATTGTAATAATGTTCCATTGCATTTGACCCTCACATAAATGCTATGAGGTAGCATTAAGAGATAAGATTTGAGGCTGGGCATGGTGGCTCATGCCTGTAATTCCAGCACTTTGGGAGGTCGAGGTGGGCAGATCATTAGGTCAGGAGTTTGAGACCAGCCTGACCAATACGGTGAAATCCCGTCTCTACTAAAATTACAAAAAGTAGTCGGGCATGGTGGCATGTACCTGTAATCCCAGCTACTCAGGAGGCTGAGGCAGGAGTATCGCTTGAACCCGGGAGGCAGAGGTTGCAGTGAGCCAAGATCGTGCCACTGCACTCCAACCTGTGCAACAGAGCGAGACTCCATCTCAAAAAATAAAAAAAATTAAAAAAAAGAGAGAGAGATAAGATTTGAGATCTGACATGGAGCTTCCCTATTTACACTACTTACCTGCTTTGTGACCTAAGGCAAGTTACCTCAGCTCTCCAATCACTGGTTTTGCAAGGAATTTTTTTTTTTGTAAAATGTTGTGAGGATTAAAGATGTGTTTTTATAAAAGCTACATTTTTTGTTGCTTTCTTAAAATCAGAAGAATTGAATTCGATTTTTTTTAAGGTTTCTAATGGAACTTTTACATATTATTTGTTCCAGAACAAATTCCAAGGAATGGTCTTTGATTTTGTAACCAAACAAGTCTTTGATATCAGCATCATGATCCTCATCTGCCTTAACATGGTCACCATGATGGTGGAAACCGATGACCAGAGTCAAGAAATGACAAACATTCTGTACTGGATTAATCTGGTGTTTATTGTTCTGTTCACTGGAGAATGTGTGCTGAAACTGATCTCTCTTCGTTACTACTATTTCACTATTGGATGGAATATTTTTGATTTTGTGGTGGTCATTCTCTCCATTGTAGGTAAGAAGAGGTGCTTTTATTCAGTTAAGGAATATAGTGGTAAAAATATGTGTTTTAAAACTTTAGAGGTGTTTTTCACTAATCTTTCTCATTCATCCCAAACTCCCAAATAAAAATCTAATAGTCCATTGTTTTAGTTTTAGTTTGCCATTTCTCTAATTGCATGCTGTGCTTGAAATGATGAGTGGAATACAAGGAATTTATATTTTCAGCTTTCATTTATTCTCATTTAATATTTTCATCTGTTCTCATCTCAGAAGACAATAACTGCAACTTTGGTAGAATAGTCTTGTACCTGGTCATACTCCTGTGGTATTGACAGTTACTGCTTTGAATAAACAATCAATCCACACACATATATACATAAATCATTTGAAGTAGTCACATAATTCATAAATATGACCTCTTAAATAATTGGAATAGTGTATATGTGCAGTTATATATATAATAACACATATATAAGTTTCATGTTATCTTTGGGTGCAGACAGTTTTCTGTGGTTTGCAATATCTCTTTTTGGAAGCAGATAGTTTGTTTGAAAATCCAAAACAGATTTGTTATCATCAATGATACATTAATGTTAGGATACATACATACATTAAGTCCTAGGAATGCAAAAGATTTATTGGAAAAAATATATATATACAGTGTTTATGTATAAGATATTAAATGAGGTACTGGAAGTAAATATAAGAAGATTTAAGAGAAGGTTCTACCTATTTGGGGAAACAGAACATTCACATGGAGGGGAAAATTATATAGCACTCTTTAAACTACTTTCTTTAGTCGAATAGAACATTGTAACAATGTTCCACTGCATTTGATTCTCACATAAGTGCTATGAGGTAGCATTAAGAGGTAAGATTTGAGATCTGACCTGGAGCTTCCCTATTTACACTACTTACCTTCTCAGTGACCTAAGAGAAGTTACCTCAGCTCTCCAATCTCTGGTTTTGCAAGGAATTTTTCTGTAAAATGTTATTGTGAGGATTAAATCAGATTATGTATATATATGCACTTAGCACTGTGCCTAGCATGAAGAAAAGACTTAGTAAATGTTCAGTTTGACCACAAGAAAAAGTTGATATTATCACCATTTACTCATGCATAAAAGCAAGTGCCAGGATTCAGTCCCAAGTACATCTGTCTCCAAAGCCTATGTTTTCTTCTGTACATCACGCTGCCTACTCCCAAATAACATAGAATCTCAGAAAGTAAAGAACTCTCATATTCCTGACCCAAAATCATACACCTTTAGTTCTTATGCAAATACTAGAACTAGTATTTTGGACATATAAATTAATTTCTGTACTTGGCCACTGTATGCTTCATGATGTCTTTGGACCTTCCAGGGTTGAGTCATTTTTTTGATAGATGCTTTCCTTGAACTAGGAAAAATGGCCCTTATTATCTTCATTTAATATAAAGATGTAAATGTTATAACACCAAACATACCAGTTTCATTTTGCTCAACAAACATTGCAGATTATTTGCATATATACATGTACCTAACTGTCCTGTTCACATTTTGTAAAACTAATGTACTTATGTAAACTTTCATTTGCTACTATTAAGTATAACAATATTTTTGTTATTTGTTGATTTTCTACAGGAATGTTTCTGGCTGAACTGATAGAAAAGTATTTTGTGTCCCCTACCCTGTTCCGAGTGATCCGTCTTGCCAGGATTGGCCGAATCCTACGTCTGATCAAAGGAGCAAAGGGGATCCGCACGCTGCTCTTTGCTTTGATGATGTCCCTTCCTGCGTTGTTTAACATCGGCCTCCTTCTTTTCCTGGTCATGTTCATCTACGCCATCTTTGGGATGTCCAATTTTGCCTATGTTAAGAGGGAAGTTGGGATCGATGACATGTTCAACTTTGAGACCTTTGGCAACAGCATGATCTGCCTGTTCCAAATTACAACCTCTGCTGGCTGGGATGGATTGCTAGCACCTATTCTTAATAGTGGACCTCCAGACTGTGACCCTGACAAAGATCACCCTGGAAGCTCAGTTAAAGGAGACTGTGGGAACCCATCTGTTGGGATTTTCTTTTTTGTCAGTTACATCATCATATCCTTCCTGGTTGTGGTGAACATGTACATCGCGGTCATCCTGGAGAACTTCAGTGTTGCTACTGAAGAAAGTGCAGAGCCTCTGAGTGAGGATGACTTTGAGATGTTCTATGAGGTTTGGGAGAAGTTTGATCCCGATGCGACCCAGTTTATAGAGTTTGCCAAACTTTCTGATTTTGCAGATGCCCTGGATCCTCCTCTTCTCATAGCAAAACCCAACAAAGTCCAGCTCATTGCCATGGATCTGCCCATGGTGAGTGGTGACCGGATCCACTGTCTTGACATCTTATTTGCTTTTACAAAGCGTGTTTTGGGTGAGAGTGGAGAGATGGATGCCCTTCGAATACAGATGGAAGAGCGATTCATGGCATCAAACCCCTCCAAAGTCTCTTATGAGCCCATTACGACCACGTTGAAACGCAAACAAGAGGAGGTGTCTGCTATTATTATCCAGAGGGCTTACAGACGCTACCTCTTGAAGCAAAAAGTTAAAAAGGTATCAAGTATATACAAGAAAGACAAAGGCAAAGAATGTGATGGAACACCCATCAAAGAAGATACTCTCATTGATAAACTGAATGAGAATTCAACTCCAGAGAAAACCGATATGACGCCTTCCACCACGTCTCCACCCTCGTATGATAGTGTGACCAAACCAGAAAAAGAAAAATTTGAAAAAGACAAATCAGAAAAGGAAGACAAAGGGAAAGATATCAGGGAAAGTAAAAAGTAAAAAGAAACCAAGAATTTTCCATTTTGTGATCAATTGTTTACAGCCCGTGATGGTGATGTGTTTGTGTCAACAGGACTCCCACAGGAGGTCTATGCCAAACTGACTGTTTTTACAAATGTATACTTAAGGTCAGTGCCTATAACAAGACAGAGACCTCTGGTCAGCAAACTGGAACTCAGTAAACTGGAGAAATAGTATCGATGGGAGGTTTCTATTTTCACAACCAGCTGACACTGCTGAAGAGCAGAGGCGTAATGGCTACTCAGACGATAGGAACCAATTTAAAGGGGGGAGGGAAGTTAAATTTTTATGTAAATTCAACATGTGACACTTGATAATAGTAATTGTCACCAGTGTTTATGTTTTAACTGCCACACCTGCCATATTTTTACAAAACGTGTGCTGTGAATTTATCACTTTTCTTTTTAATTCACAGGTTGTTTACTATTATATGTGACTATTTTTGTAAATGGGTTTGTGTTTGGGGAGAGGGATTAAAGGGAGGGAATTCTACATTTCTCTATTGTATTGTATAACTGGATATATTTTAAATGGAGGCATGCTGCAATTCTCATTCACACATAAAAAAATCACATCACAAAAGGGAAGAGTTTACTTCTTGTTTCAGGATGTTTTTAGATTTTTGAGGTGCTTAAATAGCTATTCGTATTTTTAAGGTGTCTCATCCAGAAAAAATTTAATGTGCCTGTAAATGTTCCATAGAATCACAAGCATTAAAGAGTTGTTTTATTTTTACATAACCCATTAAATGTACATGTATATATGTATATATGTATATGTGCGTGTATATACATATATATGTATACACACATGCACACACAGAGATATACACATACCATTACATTGTCATTCACAGTCCCAGCAGCATGACTATCACATTTTTGATAAGTGTCCTTTGGCATAAAATAAAAATATCCTATCAGTCCTTTCTAAGAAGCCTGAATTGACCAAAAAACATCCCCACCACCACTTTATAAAGTTGATTCTGCTTTATCCTGCAGTATTGTTTAGCCATCTTCTGCTCTTGGTAAGGTTGACATAGTATATGTCAATTTAAAAAATAAAAGTCTGCTTTGTAAATAGTAATTTTACCCAGTGGTGCATGTTTGAGCAAACAAAAATGATGATTTAAGCACACTACTTATTGCATCAAATATGTACCACAGTAAGTATAGTTTGCAAGCTTTCAACAGGTAATATGATGTAATTGGTTCCATTATAGTTTGAAGCTGTCACTGCTGCATGTTTATCTTGCCTATGCTGCTGTATCTTATTCCTTCCACTGTTCAGAAGTCTAATATGGGAAGCCATATATCAGTGGTAAAGTGAAGCAAATTGTTCTACCAAGACCTCATTCTTCATGTCATTAAGCAATAGGTTGCAGCAAACAAGGAAGAGCTTCTTGCTTTTTATTCTTCCAACCTTAATTGAACACTCAATGATGAAAAGCCCGACTGTACAAACATGTTGCAAGCTGCTTAAATCTGTTTAAAATATATGGTTAGAGTTTTCTAAGAAAATATAAATACTGTAAAAAGTTCATTTTATTTTATTTTTCAGCCTTTTGTACGTAAAATGAGAAATTAAAAGTATCTTCAGGTGGATGTCACAGTCACTATTGTTAGTTTCTGTTCCTAGCACTTTTAAATTGAAGCACTTCACAAAATAAGAAGCAAGGACTAGGATGCAGTGTAGGTTTCTGCTTTTTTATTAGTACTGTAAACTTGCACACATTTCAATGTGAAACAAATCTCAAACTGAGTTCAATGTTTATTTGCTTTCAATAGTAATGCCTTATCATTGAAAGAGGCTTAAAGAAAAAAAAAATCAGCTGATACTCTTGGCATTGCTTGAATCCAATGTTTCCACCTAGTCTTTTTATTCAGTAATCATCAGTCTTTTCCAATGTTTGTTTACACAGATAGATCTTATTGACCCATATGGCACTAGAACTGTATCAGATATAATATGGGATCCCAGCTTTTTTTCCTCTCCCACAAAACCAGGTAGTGAAGTTATATTACCAGTTACAGCAAAATACTTTGTGTTTCACAAGCAACAATAAATGTAGATTCTTTATACTGAAGCTATTGACTTGTAGTGTGTTGGTGAAATGCATGCAGGAAAATGCTGTTACCATAAAGAACGGTAAACCACATTACAATCAAGCCAAAAGAATAAAGGTTTCGCTTTTGTTTTTGTATTTAATTGTTGTCTTTGTTTCTATCTTTGAAATGCCATTTAAAGGTAGATTTCTATCATGTAAAAATAATCTATCTGAAAAACAAATGTAAAGAACACACATTAATTACTATAATTCATCTTTCAATTTTTTCATGGAATGGAAGTTAATTAAGAAGAGTGTATTGGATAACTACTTTAATATTGGCCAAAAAGCTAGATATGGCATCAGGTAGACTAGTGGAAAGTTACAAAAATTAATAAAAAATTGACTAACATTTTAAGTTGTGCATCTTTTCTCCTTCCTGTCCACCTATTGTTCTTTTTTTCACTTTTCCATTTCAATTTCTTCCTTATGTATTCTTGATCTACTTTTCTTTATATCCTTCTATCCTTTCCTTGCGCTCTCAGTATTTTTCATTTAGGATATTCTCCTTGTTTCTTTTCTGTTCACCAAATGTCTTGTTTATTACAGCCTATAGATCACTTAGATTTAGATCCCTAAAATTTGCTGTCACTCTGTAAAGTGCACATAGTATCTGCGTATTTATTTTTACAATTTTCTTTACAAAAATTCTAAGAAAGCTTAGACTGCAACTTTTCATAATATATAAACAAAATTCCAAAATAGCACAGATTTGACTTTCTCATTTAATTATGAACAGTTTGGGAAATGTTTCTCAATTCTGAATGCATATTAGAACTACCTGAGAAGCAAAAAAAAAAAAAAAAAAAAAGCCAGTGCATGGGCCAAGACCAGGACCAGACCAATTGAACTCATATCTCTGGGTGAGACTTAAGCATTTAATTTTTTGAAGGCTCGTCATTGATACTGATTCATACCAAGGACTGAGAACTAGCAAATTTGGGTCTCCTTTGCCCAATAGGAAAACATATTCTCCGGAAAGTCCAAACTGTCCTTCATTACATAACTTATCATGTACAGAATAAAGTTCCTAAGAGGATGGCTTTCGGAGTATTTATATTGCAGATTGAGGGATTGACATTGATCTAATTATAATAGAGGTTCTTCTTTAGGGCTGTAGTTGGTATAAAGGGAATTCTATTAGAAAAGTTTAGGGAGACTGTGTTCAGGTAACACATGCACACACACACACCCCATATGGCACCTTAACTATCCCTAGTGTATACTGGGTGGAATGAATGTGGGATGGTCTAGGAAACAGTATAAATTTATAAAATAGTTCCCTCCAGTGAATGCTACATGCCCTGTTGCATGAGAACCTTTAATCTGGACCAATAGAAGGCAGTTCATGGTGGCCAGTCAGAAAGCCATTCAATTTGTCATTACCAACTCACAAATCTAGACAGGAAAGATTCTCATTCTCATCTTCTCCATTCTTGGCGCATCTCACACAATCCCTTGTTTTTCTGAGCTCTGTAACATACAGACCTATTTACAAACAGAAGGGAGGAGACAAGAGAGGTAAGGGGAAGTAAAGAAAGAGGAGAAAGGAGGAGAGGGAACGATAGGGGAAAGTAGGAGAAAGGAGGGGAGTGTAAGAAATGGGATGTTTCATGAATTATAATTCTGAAAAAATGTCTGGTGTGGATACCTCCAGCAATGGTGAGGGAAGGAGGAAGAAATGTTGCTTAGTTGTCAATATGTTAGATCTAAAATATAAACATGTTTCTTCTCTTATTTATTTTTATTTGTATTTATTTATTTATTTATTTTTGAGATAAGGTCTTGCTCTGTCACCCAGGCTGAAGAGCAGTGGTGTGATCATGGCTCACTGCAGCCTTAACCTTCTGGACTCAAGTGATCTTCCCACCTCAGCCTCCCGAGTATCTGGGACTACAGGCATGTGCTCCCACACCCAGCTCATTTTTTTTTTTTTTTTTGTATTTTTTGTAGAGACAGGGTCTCCCCATGTTGCCTGGGTTGGTCTCAGATTTCTGGACTGAAGCAATCATCCTGCCTCAGCTTTCCAAAGTGCTAGAATTACAGGCATGAGCCATTGCACCTGCCCCTCTCATTTTTTTAAAGAAAAGATACCTGTGAAAAAAGTGAAGAGGACATTATACAAGAAAATGTTACAATGATTCCATGGATTCAGGAATATTTTTTTTTCTTTTACCTGAACTAAATACATATTTGAGTGTCTACTATATATCAACTTTGCAATAGCAGCTAAGAGATCAAAGAGGAATATAACTATCCAAAGAAAGGCTATAACCAGAGGTGAAGAACCTGGAAAGCCATGCTAGAGTTTGGAATTGATTCTGTGGCAAAAAGGAGTGATTACTCCTGAGAAGTAGAAGGAACAGTGAAATATGACACATCTGTAGCTGCTGAATCTGGTAGTAATAAGGCTATGCTGCCCATTTTTTCTAGTATTTTACAGCAATCTCATTTTCCCAATTATTTAAATGGGTTCTTATCTCTTGGTATAGTATATAGATTTATTAAGTAAAAGAATATAACTAGATTTTTAAGTCATCCAATGTGACACTTCCTGCTAATAGCCTATTTTAATCAAGTTACATTTTTTATATTTACAGATACATCTAATTTTATTCCTATCACTTTACTTCACACTTTCCACTTTTTGAGGTTTTTCCTTTTATTCTCCTCTTCCTTCTTGTCCTCTTTTGCTTTGTGTTTTCTGTTTCTCTTTCCCCCATCTCTGATGGAAAGTTACACATCATCTCCCTCCATTCATCCCTCCCTCCCTCCTTTCCTTCCTTTCTTCTTTTTTCTTTCTCTTTTATAAGTGATTACTCTTAAATTTTAACATGCATACTTAATTAAGGTGAACTGTAATCAATATTTGTGTCCTGATCTGGAAAAATGAATTTTCCTAGACTGATGACATATCATTGCTCTCCTCTAATATGTTATTTTTGTGTAGTATCTTAACTCTACCTTAATTTGAGATAAAACAAATTAAACAGTATTATTACATGAATTTGTAGGCAGTACTTATTTAGACTTACATACTAATTATTGGTAATTTTTTCCCTCAAATTTGTTTCTTCAGCCAACTTTTTCATTTTGTGTTCTATTTCTTTCTTGAAATGTATCCTTCAGGAATTCTGTCAGATCTGCTAGCAGCAAAATGACCCCGTTTTTCTTTTTCTGAAAATGGTTTAATTTTGGCCACATTTTTAATTAGAATTATTTTTTGTATATATCTACTTATATTAATATAATATATATAATTATATATAATATAAATATTTATATATAAATAATATATTTATATTAAATAAATATATATTATATACTTATATAATATATATTTATATAAAAATAATATAAGTAAAATTATATATAAATATTTATGTAAAATTATAATATTTATATTAAAATATGTATATAAATATTTATAATTTGTTTTTTATTTCTATGAGCCTATGAAATTATTTTTATTAATCTGGCTCAGAATTTATGCTAATATAAGTTGAGGATTCACATATTAATATCTTTAATTCAGAGAATTCCAAGGAAATTATCAGCTTTTAACACTGCAAATAGGTTATCATTCCATATTTTTTTATTCTCTCTGTCTGGAACTCCTTAAGAATATATGTTAAATGTCTAAATCATTTCTCCACATCCCTTAACATTTCTTTTTTATTTTTTAGTGGTCTCTCTGGATAATTTGTCAGGTTTTGGTATAAAAATAATACTGGCTTCATAAAACAAGTTGGGAGGCATTTATTCTTGAAAGAGAGTAAGAGAGATTATTTCTCCCTTAAATATTGATAGAATTCACCAGCAAAGCCATCGGAAACCTGAGTCTTCTCTGTGGGAAAGTTTTTAATTAAAAATATCAATTTCTTAAACAGGTATGTAGGATGACTACGATTTTTTTTTAGATTTGACAAATTGCATTTTTCTGAGAATTCATTTGTCTAAGTTATTGTTATTTGAATTTACTGTATAAATTGTTCATATTATTCCCTTATTGTGCTTTTAATATCTGTGACATCTCTAATCATTTTTCCTTTAATTTCTGATTCTGACAATTTGTTAATTATCTCTTTTCCTTGATTAGCCCATATAGGAGTCCTTCAATTTTATGAATATATTTTTAAAATTCAACTTTTGGTTTGTTGATTTTCTCTATAGTTCTTCTGCTTTCTATTTTAATTATTTCTGCTCTTTCCATCCCTGCTACTATAATTTTCATTTGCTTTTCCTCCCTGCACTGGCTGAACATTAGTTGTAACATTGAGGAGGTGAGGTGATAGTGGTAAGCTTTGTTTTGTTTCTAATATGAGTAAGGGAGGTTTTAATAACTAACTATTAAAAATGCCAGTTGGTATAGATTTTTTAAAAATAGATATCCAGTATCATCTTAAAGAGACTCTTTCAGTTCTTAATTTTCTAAAAGTTTCTAGATGTCATTAATAAATGCAAAATTTTATTAAGTTTTTCTGCATCTTATTTAGAAAATCATATATTATTTTTCTTTTGTATTTTGATATTGTGGTACACAGTGATTGATTTTAGGATATTAATCCTAACTATGCTCCTAGAACTTAATCAAATTTGGTCATTTGAATTATCAATTTCATATATTGCTTCGATTTTCTAATGTTTTGTTTTATATTCCTGCATCTATATTTCTGAAAGAGTTTGGCTTGTAATCTGTTTACTTTAATGTGCTTGTTAGGTTTTGAAATCAAGATTATGCTAACCTCTTAAAACAAGTAGGCAAAGGACTTTTCTTGTTCTTGTTCTCTGGTAGAGAATAACTAAGACTGGTGTTAATATTTTTCTTAATTCTTTGGATAATTAATTAGTAAAATCTGAGCATGAATTGTTTTTATGTACAGGTTTTTAATTATGTATTTATTTTCTCTGATAGAGGACCATTCATATTTGCTGTTTCTTCTTGTTTCACTCTCTGTAATTTGATAAAATTTCAAGTTTATTTACGTAAAATTGTTTATGATGATATTGTTTTTTAAAACTCTATAGGATCTTTAGTGGTGACCCATCTTGATTCCTGTTATTGGTATTTTGTGATTTCTCTTCTTTACTTATTTAGTCTTTTAAGGAACCAACTTTTGCCTTTTAAAATATTCTGTACTGTATGTTCTTTCCTATTTTTATTTGCTTTTATATTTATAATTTTCTTTCTTTTATTTCTTTAGTTTTAATTTACTATTGTTTTCTAAATTCTGAAAATCTCTATTTCATTCATTGATTTCAACCTTTGTTCTTTTTTTAGTAAATGCACTTAAGACTATAAATTTCCCTCTAAGCATGGCTATACTAGCATCCCACAAATCTTAGTATATTTCATTTTGTTAACATTCAGTTTAAAATATTTTCTCACCTCTATTTTGATTTTTAAAAATCTTACTAGAAACTTAGAAGAGAACTGCTTAATTTCCAAATACTTGAAAAAGTTTCTAGATATATTTATTTAGATTTCTAATTTAATTTCCTACATTCAGATAATATCGATAATATACTTTGTATAATCTTAATTATTTAACTTTTGGGGGAAAATGCTTTGTAGCTCAGCATCTATCAAATGTGTCATGTATTTCATATGTAGTTGAAAATAAAGTACATTTCAGTTGTTAAGTACAAAATTCTATATATTTTATTCATGAATTTGAAAGAAATCTTCATTTCTTTTGGCTGTTTTTACTATCCTTTACCAGAAGGGGTGTGCAAAAATTTTCCAATATGATTATAAATTTATTTATTTTAGTTCTGTTAACTTTTGCTATATATTTTAATTTTTATGTAGTTATTTGATATTTATTAGGTGCCTAAAATTTAAATTGCTACATTTTTTTCCCAGTAGATTGACCCTACTGTCATTATGGACCAGTCCTGTTAATTTCTAGTAAGATTGCCCTAAGTTCATTTTGTCTGATTATTATTATGCCTACAGTGGCTTTGGCTGGGTTGGTGATTGCATGGTACATACTCTTTCATTGTTTTACCTTAAATGTTTCTGTAACCTCCTATTCAATATTGAATATTCATGAATTATATTTTATATCCAGTCTAACAATATTTCTCTCTCTCTCTCTCACACACACACACACACACACACACACACACACATCTCACATTTGGATTTAAATTTTATGACTTCTTTTGGATTATTTGTATAATTCAGTTTTATACATTTTGTTACTATATTGTTTATAGTTACCCAAGCAATTGCCACATTAACTTTTTAAACTCCAAAATGAGTTAGTATTTCGCTACTTTCTGGACATTGCTAGGACATGAGAACACTTTTATTCTATTTCCCCCATTTCATCTTTTGTACTATTATTATATATTTTCATTTTACATGTAGTCTAACTCTGGAAGACATTATTATTACTTTTATGAAGTCAACACTTACTTAGTGTATTAGTATGTTTTCACACTGCTATAAAGATACTACCTGAGACTGGGTAATTATAAAGGAAAGAAGTTTTTGTTGTTTGTTTGTTTTTACAGACAGAGTCTTGCCCTTTGCCCAGGCTGGAGTGCAGTGGTCCACTCTCGGCTCACTGCAACTTCCACCTCCCAGGCTCAAGTGTTTCTACTGCTTCAGCCTCCCAAGCAGCTGGGACTACAGACTCCTACCACCACACCAGGCTAATTTTTGTATTTTTAGTAAAGATGGGATTTCACCATGCTGCCCAGGCTGGCCTCGAACTCCTGATCTCAAGTGATCCGCCCACCTCAGCCTCCCAAAGTGCTGGGATTACAGGTGTGAGTCACCATGCCCAGCCAGAAAGAGGTTTAATTGACTCACAGTTCCCAGTGGGTAGAGAGGGCTCAGGAAACTTACAATCATGGTAGAAGGTGAAAGGGAAGCAAGGCACACCTTATATGGCAGCAGGAGAGGGAGAGAGTGTGAGGAAGTGCCACACTTCAAAACCATCAGCTCTCGTGAGAACTCACTCACTATCACTGGAACAGCATGGGGGAACCACCCCCATGATCCAGTCACCTCCCACCAGGTCCCTCCCTTGAACATGGGGTTTACAATTCAAGATGAAATTTGGGCTGGGATACAGAGCCAAACCATATCACTTAGTTTTCCCAAAATATTTAGTTTTTTATTCTTTTCTGTATTTTCTACTAATCTATGGATTATTTCCCTTCTGCCTGAAAAAAAGATTCTTTTTAATATTTCCTTTACTATGGGTCTGCTCTTACTGACTCTCTCAAGTTGAATTTGTCCCCTAATTTTTTAATTTTCACTTTTGAAAGATATTTTTACCAGACATGAGTACCAAGATACTTTTTCTATTTTAGCATTTTGAGGTGACAGTCATTGTCTTCTGTAAAAAGAATTTCAAGAAACCCCCAAAACCATAATTTTCATGAAAATGAACACATGACCACATGTCAAAGATTTCATTTAACTCATTAATTAATGAGAAAATCCATAAGAACTAAACAACAGGATTAAAGGAGGATTTGACTTATAGAGATCCATGAACTCTGCTTGACAACTTTTATTTGCTTTGTCATGAACAGGAATCATTTCCTGGCTACAGGTAAAATTATCAGAAACAGAGGCTCTGTGGTCTCTTGATGGAAATTCCTTCTCTAAATGTTGCTTCCAGATGTCTCTGATCTATTGGTCTTTTGGGCAGTTTCATACCCTGCTTTCTACCCCTCCCCATGCCAAAACTCCAAAGAAATTCTGAATCCTCTTTTGTGCTAGGTGCAGACCATGTGGCATTGTAGCCATGCTCTTAGCCTCCTCCTGTACCTGCACGATGGCACCAAGGCTCTCCAGGGCTATGCTAAATGTGGGTCATTCCTCAGCATCTTGCAATTTTCATGGTCTATGTTCTGTAAAGGGAAGAACGTGCCCTCTGCTTGTGAGTCCCTTAAATGTTTCTATCTTTGAACGTCTACCACCAGCACCACCCCCAGTTCTAGTTTTAATCATGAGGGAGGAAAATCAGATCACTCATATATAATCCTTTACTCTTAATTTTTTTCTCTTACTTTCCAGCATCTAGCAACAGTTATTTTCCTTCCCTTTGAGGCAGGAATTTTCTTTACATAATATACTATTCTTTGTATTCTGGGATCCATACTTTGTTCAATTCTTTGAACTCTGGGTCTTAATATGCAAAAATCTGACATTACTATGGATTTATAAATATCAAATTAGAAGGTGAGTGATGTTTTTCTATTGTTGATATAATTTTTATCTGAATTCCTATTCTTTGAAAGAAAAGGCTTCATGGTCTTCATGATGCACAGGATTCAAGAAAAGGAGAGAAATTTACCAGAAAAGTAAAATGCAATAGCAGACAACTCAAACACTACCTTAATATAAACAAATACATGCACCTATATTTTTAATTTGATAAATCTTATAGCATACTATTGGAGCCAGTCTTCAGGATGTTAAGAGGGATTATCACCTCATTCCCATTTCTAGAAAGGCTTTATATAAAGAATTGGCATAGAAAGAACCACAGTTGTGTTTAATAACTATTGTCATTTTTTTCAATACTAACCAGCACCTTTTGACAAACCTGCCAATATTTTAGAAAACCATATTTTGATGTACCTGATTGCCCTTTTTTGACAGTTCCTCAAAAAGTTTAACACAGAATTATCCTATGACCCAGGAATTCTACTCCTAGGTATACACCCAAGAAAAATGGAAACATATGTCTAATATAATCCTGTACACAAATATTTATAACAACATTACTCATAATAGAAAAAAAGATGGAAATAACCAAGTGCCCAGCAATGGATGAATAAACAATTGTGGTATATTCATATGACTTATTCAATCATAAAAGAAATGAAGTATTGATACATGCTACAATTTGGATGAATCTCAAAGACATTATGAGAGGTGTAAAAAGCCACACACAAGAAATCACATATTATGTGATTACTCTTATATACCCAGAATGGGCAAATCAATAGAGATAGAAAGTAGGTTAGGCTGGGCGTAGTGGCTCACACCTGTAATCCTAGCACTTTTGGAAGGCCAGGTGGGGAGGGTTGCCTGAGCTCAAGAGTTCCAGACAAGTCTGGGCAATATGGCAAAACTCCATCTCTACAAAAATTAGCCAGTTATAGTGGTGGGGGCCTGTGGTTCCAGCTACTTGGGAGGCTGTGGCGGGAGGATTCCTTGAGCCCAGGAGGTTGAGACTTCAATGAGCCTTGTTCCTGCCACTACACTCCAGCCTGGGCAACAGACCAAGACCCTGTCTCAAAAAATAAATAAATAAAATAAAAATAGATTAAAGGTTACTGGGGGTGGGAGGACAGCCGAATAGGAAGTGCTTACTTAATGGTTATGGGATTTTTTCTGGAGTAATAAAAACGTGAAACTACAGAAAGCTTGTACTTGCACATGTGGCTACAATAAATACTAATGAATTGTACACTTTAAAATGGTTATGTTATTTGAATTTCACACAAAGGTAGTTATGTGGGAAAAGTAAGTTATTATTGCAACCCTATCCACTAGAGGGCGATGCTTCCATTAAGAAACATGACTCGTAAATTCGGCTGGTGGAAGAAGGGCAGTTAGCCTTGCAAATACATTTTCTGCTTATTTTGCAACTATTTTAGGTGTAAAACAATTAAAGTAAATATCCACTTTGGAAACATTGCTGGAAAAATAATGTTTACATTTGAATGTGTCTCTTCAAGAAAAAACAGTTTGTGAAGCATTTGTACTGAGAAAAGATTTCTTTCCTTGGGCATAGATCTCATAGTGCAAAAATTAAACAAACATGAGCAAATTATGAACCTAAAGACATGGTTAATGGAAAGGATCTCAGCGACTAACATAAAACTGAATGAGCAAAGTGTTGAAGTATTCATATCAATAGAGAGTTTCAAGTAACTTTATCACTATAAGTACTTGAGAGTCTTGAAAGTGTTTATCCACATTTTCATGAGCACGGCAAAATTTGGTTGTCTAACTCAGCACGTGTCTTAAATTCTGTCTCTAATTCAGAAATAATTCATCACTTAGTAAAGCTACATTTCTTGAAGGTGCATCAGGAATAAAATAATTAACTCATCATATACCAGAGATCCTGTGGCCAAGGGTTTTAAGAGAGTAACACAGGAAGTGTCGTGCATGCTCATGTGTGGAACACTTATTTTCAGCTCCAAATTCACACAATAAGTTATTCTCCCTACAAAGGGAATGTGTTTCTGCCACTGTTCACAACAAAATTGCAAATGTAACAGAAAAATTAGCCAAGGAAAACATAGTCCCTAAAGTAAATCTGATCCAAAACAATCTGATTAAATCCATAGAATTATAGCATTGTAAAGTCATTCTTGGGTTATTTATAAAGTCAGCAGTCAGCATTTCCCAAGGCATACTAATAGGAAGCAAATCCTTGCTCAGGAGCCAGCTGATAAAGACTATAAAGCTTATCCTCGGAGCAAAACCAGAATGATGTCACTACTAAGTCCTCCATAAAATAAGAAGCAGGCGTTTTAGTGCAGGTAGTTTGGGGCAAGAATCAATACGTGGCTTGGGAAGAGAGTCCAAAAATCCAGAAACATAAGCTTAATCCTAGGCTTTTCTTTAGAAAGGTTTGGATGTATACCAGAACCTACTTTGTAGTCAATATAAGAAATCATATACTGTATATATTTTCTAAGGTGTCTCAGTTTATTCATTTTAAAAACAAACAAATGGATATCCTTTTGTCATCTTTATGACATAATCTTCAGATATTGTTATTTATTATAGCATACTGGTTTTCAATTGTTAAATAACCACACATGCAGAGGCCCAGACAACACATCCAGTATTTATTATCCTACAGTTTCTTTGGGTCAGGAGTCTGGGTACAGCTTACCCGGGCCCTCTTCTCAGTCTCACAAGGCTGCAATCACAATGTCAGCCAGGACTGGAAGCTCATCTGAACCTTGGAGTTCTCTTCCAAGTTTAAGCAGCTGATGGTAAAATTCGTTTCCATCAGCTTTAGAACCCATGGCAGTTAGTTTCTTCAAGACCCAGGAGAGTTTCACTGCATCAAGTCTTTGAGCTCAGGGAAGACCTAAACCCTCTTTTAAAAGGCTTATTTGATTTGGTCAGGCTATCCAGTATAATCTCCTTTAGACTGACTCAAAATCAAACTGTTTCAGCACCTTAATTACATTTGCAAAATCCCTTCACTTTTGTCGTATTCTATCAGCTGGAAGCAAGTCACACATTCTGCCCACATTCAAGTGGAGGGGAGTATAAGAGGGTAGTGGTCTAAGGTGAGTCGGCCACATGTAAAGATAGCTGGATTAGACGAAACCTGACTATCCTAATCAAAATTGTAATGGCTACACAGGACAGGCCAGGAAGAAAGCATCTTCTGCAACCCTCCCTTCATTATAGAGCAACAAGGCTTCTTTCTGTCCAGTGGCTACAAATATCACCCAAGCGAGTATTACCAGTCATCATACTTTATGCCTTCACACTAGCATACTCATTCATGTGTACTACAAATAAACTTATGTTTCCCCATCAGACAATGCCCTAAGCATTGAAAGTTAAAATGGTTTTTATCCATTTATGTATTCATTATTTGTGCCACTACAGGGAACGTTTGGGTTAGAAGCAAGCAGCCTGATTTTAAAAATTGAAATTAAATTTCTACCAGTACCTTAGTAGGAAAATCAAGTCGAAGTTATCTAGTCATAGTTTTGGCATGTCTCTTTTATTCAGGATATGAGGAATTGCTGGAGCTTTTTTCTTTTTTGCAGTTTATCCTATTAAACACACACACACACACACACACACACACACACACACACACAGAGCACAGTAAGTTAATTCCTACACCACTTAACTTTGCACATAACTGTTTTCTCAAGAAGGCACTGAAGTGAGCTGGCAACCATATATTAGTTACTGCGTTAGTGAAGAACAGTGGCTACTCCATACAATCCCAAGCATGAAAAGTCAGAACTTTGAAGAAAAAAAATCAAAAAAGCAAAACATAAAACTGAATTAAATTTAAGCCACAAAGCAATAAGGAAAAGTAACAAGTAAAAGAACATTCTTAAAAACAACGTTAAGCTTAAAGAGCCTTATGTGAGGCAGTAAAGATATTGCAGATATAGACATTGGAGAGAGCTTGCAAAAGTAACATTGCTGGAGGTTGGTTTTAAATCCTGCCTGCATGGTCTTGCATAATTTGTTAGTCCTGGGAGGGATGCACAACATTTGGAATAACCATTTGAAATGAAATTTAACTCTTACTTGAGGATCATTTGTAATAATGATTTAATGTGTTACCAGAAATGATAAAGTGACCAAGTCAATCAATCAGTGTTTGCTTAAGCCCAGTTACATGTCCGGTGTAATGCTAGACTGCAAAATATGGAGAAAGGGGTCCTTTCTCAATATTGAATGCTAGACTTTCTGCCAGAGACCAGAATTTGGTATGAACTAGTAATGAAGGTGTCAGAATATTGAAGAAGTCTTATCATCAAACACAAACCAATGAACATTTAAGTGTCCCATGGCACAATGACTTGTCACAAACGCTTTGTTGTATATTAAAACTTGAGTTTTTGTCTTTATACAAGTGAGAGAGCATCTGGGAATCTAAAGTGGTCACCTTTGGGATGGTCACTAACCAGAGAGACTCATTGCTTCTTGGCTCCTTTGGAAGACTTCAATGCCAGTTACTCATGAATAATCAGCCATTTGTGTCAAAATAGGGAGGGTACCAATGTATTGTTCCACCATGCCCATGCATAGAATAGTACCAAACATATAGCATGTATTCATTAAATATTGCTGCAAAGTTGAGGGAGTGAAAATCTGTTTATGAGCTTTCTGAAGTGTTTGGGACAACTTGGACTTTGTAGCAGTTTGTGCAGCCCTCATGCCTTTCCCATTAGAACTTTTCTCTGCCCCAAATCCCATAGCAGGGACAGTCAGCAGACATCCTTCCACTGTGTGACTGCACCTTACTGCTCACAGTTGATTGCAGCAGGGATGAAGACTGGACCCAAGCTGGTCAATCAGATTCTCTTCCTTAACTAACTGTTTGAACTAAAGACACAGAGACTGGGAATTGCAAGTTTAACTATGTAATAGCAGAGTTGAAAAAGCCTCTGTTTTTCCTGAGACCTGGTTCTTCAACGTTTCTTTGGATTCTGTGAAGTATCTCTTCTACAAATCCTTTTTTTCATTCTTTTTTTTTTTGTTTGCTTGGGTTTCTTTGAAAATTTTATTAATTTTCACCAAAGATGCCTCAAATAAGACCTCTGACATGCTTTTGGAAAGTGCTGGAGACTGAAGAAAGAAATGTGAGACATCTGTGCATGAATCAGCTTGTTTCTGTACTTTTCTCACTTCAAGCATAAAAATCTCTCAAACTTTAAGCTTTTAAGACATTGCAGTCTCCCCAGGAGGAAGCAATTTTAAACTCAGACAATTTTATTTTCTGAGAACTGGTTTTGTATAAATTCATTCAACCACTTACAACAGTGCCCCACCTGAAAATGAAAAGACCACAACATAAAATTTTCCATAAAAATAGGTTAAGGTAAAAGAAAGTGATGAGCGTATTGTAAGGCTCATGAAGAGATTTAGTAGCACTGATCATTTTGTTGAGCATTCAATATGTTTTCTATGTATAAGTCATAGTTTATAAACTCATTCTAGTTTGTTCAAAGATACAACAAAGATACATAACATTAAATGAACATATACATAGATTTTAAAAAATATGTTAATTGTACCATTTTTTGATTTTTCACAATACTTAAACCCTGAGGACCACAAAGAAGAAAGGGTTGCAAAATATCATTTTTTAAACTTTTTATTGAACCACATTATTTGTAAATTTCTATAACACTTTTTAAAAATGATATCTGAGACTACTTTTTACTTTTGTTTTCTTAGATATTTTTCATTTTACTTTTAAACATACTTAAAATATAAAAGACATATTTTAAACTATAGAAGACGTATATTTAAAGTATAACCTATGATAAAATTCACCTGCTTTAGAGAGTATATAATTGAATTGATTATATATGGCTAATTTTTGCTCTTCCTTGCTGAAAAAAAAAACGTAACTTGCAGCAGGCTAGAGAGGATAATTTAAAACTAACTGTTTGTTTTGGTGTTTTGAGTTATTACCATATTTGGTATTTAGCCATTGGGATAACAATTAACAATATAACAGAAGCACATCCAGCCCACTGTGTTGCTGTGGGTCACAGGGGTCTGTCTCTGTTATTGCTTTGCTCTCAGTGTTAACAGCACTCCCTGTGGTTAGGGCTCAGCCTGACCCTACAAGTCTTTTTCTGACTGCTTGTAGCTCAACACAGAGGAGTGATTAAAATCTCCGCTTGTCACTCATCTCTTATGCCAAATTCAGTAGCGAAAGGTGGCAGCATATACTTAAACTGGCAATGAGCCCAAACTTCAGAGTCTGAGATCTTGTCACTCTTAGGTCATCATCTGGGTATGCAGATGGTGATCACTGCAGCTTAAGGCTGAGGAGGCAGAGTCCTGTGGTGAAGCTTGACTTCCGGCTATGAATAGGTAAGGGGAGCTCTGTCAATTAGATAATGTGAAACATGGTAGGAAAACACTGTTCCTTAAACAATCTAGGTCTGACATTACGTCCTCTGGGTAGCCTTCCTGGTGTCTCGTTTCCCAAAACCTCAGCTAATGATATCCATTTCTTGCATTCCTGATGCTGCCCTTTGGCCAGAATGTTTAGCCCACATGGTCCTCTTGCTGTATGCATTTTACTTGAGATGTGCAGGAAAAACATTGTGGATGGTGGATGGAAAAAGGAGAAAGAGAGAGGCCTTTGACGGGGAAAGCTTAAGCTGGTGAGAAGAAAAAAGTTTTGAGAAGAGGAGGAAACACAGAGTGACTTTTACCACCAAAGGAAAAAAAGCTTGAATATCAGTCTATAATCTTTTATCTTTCTGAGGAGAATCACTGGTTACCACTGTAAGCTTTCATAGAATAAGTCCCCTATGAGTTCTCTCTCCACTATATTCTTTGAGATTCTTCTTTCACAATTATCTCTACTCCTCACCTAGAAATAATAGTATTATTATTACATATTAAATTATATTCCAATATATAACAATACTTTTGTTATATTTATTATTATTATTGCAAACTTGAATTTCACTGTCAGACACTCTTCCAAGTAATTTGCCTCATTTACCACTCCCATAAAAAAATAAGTATAATAATTTCTACATTTCAATTGGAGAAACTGAGGCACATCAGATTGGGTAACTTGCTTAACTGCACAGAATTGAGTGGCAGAGCCAGGATTTGAACCTATGCACTGTGACTCAAGCGTGTGCCCACTGAAATGTGCCGCACATGTGAGTCTGACTCAACTCCTTTTTATTCTAGCAATTTCTTAACTCACTCAATGGTTTTGACAAAGCAGCAGGTCAAAGTACTCCTGAAGCTTTTTCCCTCTCCAAAAATGTGAACAGCCAACATTTCCACTCAGGTTAAACTATCCTAGGGAAAAAAAAATTGTCATTTTTGCCAAGTGTCTTTACAACTGTTTGAACTTTTTTGAGGATTTGGGAACAAGAAATAAGATGGGCTGAATGAATGTAACAATAGAGGCTTGTTTCTGGATTTATTCAATGATTAGTTCAGCAAGTATTTGGATAAGCACTTGTTTTGTATCCTAGAGACTGAGGATTACCCATGAACAAGTTGTTCCTTCATTTGGGCTTGTCTGCTCCCAAATCCAGACTGTTTCCTGGAGGCTGTCTATTAAAAATAATTTTTGAGGCAAGTCTGTAAAAGCAAATTGTAAATAAAAACTAAAATATCTGGCTGCCTATGGTGGCTCACACCCATAATCCCAACACTTTGGGAGGCCAAGGAGGGATGATTGCTTGAGCTTAGTAGTTCAAGACCAGCCTGGACAACATGGCAGAACCCCTATCTCTACACAAAATACAAAAAATTAGCCAGGGGTCGAGGGGTTGTGCGCACCTATAGTCTCATCTACTCAGGTGGCTGAAGTGGGAGAATCGACTAAGCCTGGGAAGTGGAGGTTGCAGTAAGAAGAGATCGTGCCACTGCACTCCAGCCTAGGCCACAAAAACAAACAAACAAAAACCCCTAAAACATCCATGTATCCCAATTCCGTGAACCACTGGATATAATAAATAGTGCTTTAGGATTCCTCTAACATATTATATCTCCACTTTCCCTTCCAGCCACTTCATCACTTCACTGTTGCCTGACTTTGGTTTCGGGAAGGCATCTCTGGAGCCACATGGTGGAACATGCCTGTGGACAGGAGTAGCTTCAGAGACTGGGGACCCTGCCAGAGCAATGTGGACTCAACAAACAGTACTGGGAGCATGAAAAGAGAGGGTGTGAGCATCAAGTATGCTCACTTGACTGCCAAATCCCCAGCTGCCTTCCTGTCCTTTTCCTGTCCTGCTCATAAAAAGCATAGACAAACAGGAAGGGGAATACGACGTTGTAACAACCATCTGGAGGTTGTATGTAAGAGAAGGTAGTAAAATCCACATTTTATAATGACCTTTAATTGATCCAACCTGGATATTTCTTATCCAAAAGTATGGGCCCTGTGGGTGAGGCTGATGAGCATATTTTACACAGTGTTATGAACTGGGGTTTTAGAATTCAAAGTAGCATCGGCCAGCTTTCATCAATTTGGACCCTGTGACATACGAATAGAGTGAGTATGTGTAGACCCCCAGAAATAGGGTCTAAACAATTTTTTTCCAGCATACATCTCAAGAATGAAGGTTGTCTTAGATTGGCTTTATTGACTCTACTGCACTGCAGACCAAGCAGAAATAAGCAGGCAAAGATATTTATATGGAAATATTTCAGCCATTAGTATTAAGTGAAAGGTTTTTTATAGCTTTCAGAATGTTTTCCTGAGGCTACTATTAATACTTCTCCAAGGGGAGTGGGGGAGTAAAGGAAGGGAAGACAGGAAAGGGAGCGTCCTTGGACAGAATACAAAGAATAGTATATTATTTAAAGAAAATTCCTGCCTCAAAGGGAAGGAAAATAACTGTTGCTAGCCATTGGAAATTAAGAGAAAAAAAGTAAGAGTAAAGGATTATGGAGAACTTCTGTTAGGGCAGTGTGGAAGGGAAATGTTGGGTTGGAGCCCCCACACAGATTCCCCATTGGGGCACTGCCTAGTGGGGCTATGAGAAGAGGGCTGCTGTCCTCCAGACTCCAGAATGGCAGATCCACTGACAGCCTGCACTGTGTGCCTGGAAATGCTGCAGACTCTCAATGCCAGCCCATGAAAGTAGCCGGGAGGAAAGCTGTACCCTGCAAGGCCACAGGGGTGGAGCTGCCCAAGACCATGGGAATCCACTTCTTGCATCGGCATGGCTTGGCTCTGTGTCCCCACCCAAATCTCACCTTGTAGCTCTCATAATTCCCACGTGTTGTTGGAGGTACCCACTGGGAGATGATTGAATTATGGGAGCGGGTCTTTCCCATGCTGTTCTCATGATAGTGAGGTCTTTCTGTTCTTTCCCATGCTGTCCTTGTGATAGTGATTGGGTGTCATGAGATGTGATGATTTTTAAAATGGGAAATGCCCCACACAAGCTCTCTCTTTGCCTGTTGCCATCCATGGAAGATGTGACTTCCTCCTCCTTGCCTTCCACCATGATTGTGAGGCTTCACCAGCCATGTGGATCTGTAAGTACAATTAAACCTCTTTCTTTTGTAAATTGACCAGTCTCGGATATGTCTCTATCAGCAGCATGAAAATGGACTAATGCAATGGTGAAGCCACATCTCTACTAAAAATACAAGAAAATTAGCCAGATGTGGTGGCAGGCATCTGTAATTCCAGCTACTTGGGACGCTGAGGCATGAGAATTGCTTGATCCCAGGAGGCAGAGGTCGCAGTTAGCTGAGATCGTGCCACTGCATTCCAACCTGGGTGACAGAGCAAGACTCTGTTTCAAAAAGAAAAAAAAAAAAAAAGAAAAAAAAATGATGGAGGAGGAAGAGAGAAAGGAATGGACATGGAAATGGGTACACTAAACTTCTTCAAAAGATTAGCTAAAGGAAAGACTATGGATGGATACAGGATTTAGAGTTGTGAAAACTGGATGTCTTTACTTGTTGCGTTTAAAATTTTAATAATAAGCAATTCTGTTTAGATATTAACTTTACATTTTTTTCTTGTAAGTGAAAACAAAAGAATACAGATGAACAAACAGACAACAACTCTCTACATTGAGGTTCTGATTTTGTACAAAAGTATTGAAAGATGAAGGGATTAAAATTCAATATTCAAGAAATTTTGGAGTTTAAAAAATGGTGTTCTCTTTGGAAAGTTATCTACTTAGGTAATTGTTAAAACTACTTAAGTGGAAACAGAAAGCTGCATCATTGTAATTGCAAAAGATCCTCTCCTTTTATGACTTTTAAATATCAGTGTTTGTGAATATTACATGCATATGTCTAGTCAGGCAATATGATCTCTGTTAGCAGGCTGCAGCTATAAATTCACCAATGAAAATTTGCAGACTCCAGCAGAATGCTCACATTAATGAGTCCTTTGGGATAACATTTGCTTGAACTATGTTTATCTAAACCAAAGTGTTAAAATCAATTAACTTATAAATAATAATGAATTAAGTTTCCTATTTCAGCCACAGTTATTCTCTATTAGCTGAAATGCTCCTTCTCTCGCGCTCTCTCTCTCTCTCTCTCTCTCTCTCTCTGTCTCTCTGTCTTTCCCTCTCTTATTAGATTTCTACATATAACTTTTCCTGTTTCAGAGGGAATTAATTTTTTTTCCCAGTATACATCCCTTCTTTGGAGAAGGAAGATTGTTTAAGATTGGCTTTATTGACTCTACTGCACTAGAGACAAAACAGAAATAAGTAGGCAAAGGTATTTATGTGGAAATGTTTTAACCATTAGTATTAGGTGAAAGTTCTTTATAGCTTTTAGAATATTGTCCTGAGGCTACTACCCCTTCAAGGGGCTTAAAAGCTCCAGACCCGGGCCGGGCGCGGTGGCTCACGCCTGTAATCCCAGCACTTTGGGAGGCCGAGGCGGGCGGATCACGAGGTCAGGAGATCGAGACCATCCCGGCTAAAACGGTGAAACCCCGTCTCTACTAAAAATACAAAAAATTAGCCGGGCGTAGTGGCGGGCGCCTGTAGTCCCAGCTACTTGGGAGGCTGAGGCAGGAGAATGGCGTGAACCCGGGAGGCGGAGCTTGCAGTGAGCCGAGATCCCGCCACTGCACTCCAGCCTGGGCGACAGAGCGAGACTCCGTCTCAAAAAAAAAAAAAAAAAAAAAAAAAAAAAAGCTCCAGACCCAGCTTTTAGTGAAAGTTCTGAACAGCCAAGTTGGAAAGTTATTTTTTTAAGCTGAAAGTAAAAGGTAGAAAAATGGATAGTATAATAGAACTAGAATATTTTCACTTCTTATTTCAGGGGTTGTTTTTTACCTGATTACCCTAATTGATCTTATAAAAATGTGACTATAGTTTGTGTTGTTGTATTATTATTTTTGTAATAATTATAATAATATTTTTTGAAGATCTGAACTTCAATATTTGATAATACAATAATAACATTTGAATAGCTCATCTCTATAGAGTAATTCATTACTTCAAAGTACAAAATCGGAGGAAGCTGCATGGCATATTGAAACTCCTGTGTTTATCTGCACTAATCACTTCCTGGTACCATTGTGCTCAATGTTACATGAAATACTCTGACATAAAAACAAAAATGTACTTGTAATAATAAACATATTTGCAAAATTATAATAAAAATGTACTGCAACCCACCTGTGTTTTTGTCCTTTGCAATTTGAGTTTTATCAACCCTATAAAAGGACCCATGAACACTCTACTACTGTTATATTATAATGTCATATACATGTCTCAAATGGCTATTAGTTTGTTTTTCAGGTATACTCTCTTAGACCTCTAAATAATTCATGTTGAGTTAAAGGTTTGCCAAAAATTCTTCAATCTCCTAGATTTCTTTGTCACTGGTTTAGTTCAAACTGCTTAATTATCTCCGAAAGCAAACAGCAAGGCCAGGGACTGCTTTGCCTATTTTTTGCCACTGTTGCTTTTTGTGCGATTTATACTTCTGCATCCGGTGCTTCTGAAAAACAGTCTCTGTGCTTTCTTGCTCCAGCAGGTGATTAATCTATTTCTTACATACATGGGTATATTATCTCAGGCTAGGGATAGAGTCAAAAGATGCCACCTGAAATATCCTGATATTGGCACATATAGCTGCCTTAGAAGACAAAAGAGAAGAGTCTTTGAACAGGGAAAATGGAAAATAGCACTTATTATAGTTTTAGTTTTTATTTTTTTAATCAAGAAAGGAAATTATCAGGAGTGTAACTTTTTCAGTGTAAAAAAACACAGACAACAAAAAAACACAATGGCAAAAATTCCACTGACTCCATTGGAATAATATGTACATAGGTTCAAATATTAGTGACTTTAGTTAAGACCTTGAGTCCTAAAATTGCCATCCCTTGGAGAGAAGTTGAAATATCTTTCTTTAGACACACAGAACGTATTATTCTGATGATGCTGGTCAGGAAACATCATCCTAACCAATAAACATGGAGTTGATTCCAGACCATATCCAATAAAGATGGAACAAAATCAAGAAGGAACAAGGAGGAAAGAAGAAAAGCACAAATACCACACTGCTTCCATGGACACCCTACTTCTGTGTTTTGTAAGTGAATCATATTAGTCTCTCATGGCCTAAAATGAAATAACTAGCACATTGTAAACATTCTTTCATGGTAAACATCAATAATACCTAAAGCTTTGTTCAGTAGGGTAACTTGAGGAGATGGTTTGGTACAAGAGTGAATAGCATATAATATCAAATTTGGTGGCAAGGAACCCACACAAATGCACACATTAACAAGTTCTTATATTGGAATAGGATTTTATGCCAATAAATGGAAAGTATTAGTATAAGTGGGTCGTTCTAAGGAGCATTCAGTCACTATGGCAATGGGAGTTAGTTGCTGGTGTCACCTGCGCCCCAATTATATCTACAGGAACCCTCTTAACTCAGAATGTTGCCATTTGTACTATTTTCACTAAATCACACGACGGAACCTTGAGAGGATGGGTGGCACCAAATCTCAGGTCACAACAAATGCACCATGATCATGTGCGTCAAGGATCCCGACAACCCCCAGGTTTCACAGGACTATAGATGAAAAGATTCACAGGACTCAGCATATGGTTGCACAAAATTTTAGACTCTCAAAGGGAAACCACAATGTAAACAACATTATTTGTACAAACACTTTAGGCACAATAAGTCACTGTGACCTTTTGGGAAAAGTTACGTATAGTTGTAGGGAATTGTTTTCCAGCCAAGTTCTCCTGTGTCAGCCAGGGGCCAACCTAGCATGCAGATCCTTCTAAGGAGAGCAGTCACAGGTCTACTGTGAGAATTGCTTTCTGTATAGCTTGAAACCTACATTTATTGTCAAAACCAATAATAATTTTTTTTAAAAAAAGAGAAATAGAGAGAGGTTAGTCGGGAGAGATTCTTAGTGGCAAATAATGACTAAATGAGTTTCTATCTATCATCTATCTATCTATCTATCTATCTATCTATCTATCTATGTATCTGTCAATGAATTGACATGTAAATCAGCATCATTATTGTTGTTGGAATTACAAATAAATGGAATAACTTATTCCATTTGTAATTCTAAGACAGCCTTAAAATCATTGGGATACTAAAATAATAAAGGTAATTTTAAGTTTATTAAAAGTAGCTGAAATAAAAATAAAATAAATAAATAAATAAAAATAAAGCTGAATTTCTTTTTAAATTATTATTATTTCAATAGTTTTGGGGGAACAGGTGGTATTTGATTACATAGATAAGTTCTTTAGGGTGATTTCTGAGATTTTGATGCACTCATCACCCAAGAAGTGTACCCTGCACCCAATATATAACCTTTTATCTCTCACCTGCCTCCCACCCTTCCCCTCAAGTCCCCAGAGTCCATTATGACATACTTACATCTTTGCATCTTTGTAACTTAGCTCCACTAATAAGTGAGAACATATGATGTTAAGTTTTCCATTCCTGAGTTACTTCACTTAGAATAGTGGTCTCCAACTCTATCCAGTTGCTGCGAATGCCATTATTTCCTTCCTTTCTATGTCTGAGTGTATTCCATGGTGTGTGTGTATGTGTGTGTGTGTATACACACATATATATGCATACACACAAACACATACACACACACCCATATACTCAGCCATAGAAAGGTAAGTAAGCCATAGAAAGGTAGTTACAACTATATGTCACTTTCCCAAAATGATCACAATGACTCATTGTGCCTAAAATGTTTGTACAAATAATGTGTTTACACTGTGGTTTCCCTCTGAGAGTCTAAAATTTTGTACAACCATATGCTAAGTGTGTGTGTGTATATATATATATATACATCTCACATTTTCTTTATCCACTCATTGGTTGGTGGGCATTTTAAGCTGGTTCCATATTTTTGAAATTGTGAATTTTGCTGCTATAAACAGGTGTAGACAAGTGTCTTTTTCATATGACTTCTTTTCCTCTGGGTAGATTCCTAGCAGTGGGATTACTAGATCAAATGGTAGTTTTACTTTTAGTTCTTTAAGGAATCTCCACACTGTTTTCCATAGTGGCTGTACTAGTTTACATTCCTACCAGCAGTGTAAAACTGTTCCCTTTTCACCACATTCACACGAACACTTATTATTTTTTCTATTTTTTTTAAATTATAGCCATTCTTGCAGGAATAAGGTGGTACCTCACTGTGGCTTTGAATTGCATTTCCCTGATCATTAGTGACACTGAGCATTTTTCCTTATGTTTGTTAGCCATTTTTATATCTTCTTTCGAGAACTGTCTATCCATGTCCTTAGTCCACCTTTTGATGGGATTGTTTTGTTTCTTTCTTGCTGATTTGAGTTCCTTGTAAATTCTGGATATTAGTACTCTGTTGGATGCATAGTTTGAGAAGATTTTCTCCCACTCTGTGGGTTGTCTATTTACTCTGCTGATTATTTCTTTTGCTGCACAGAAGCTTTTTCATTTAATTAAGTCCCATCTATTCATATTTGTTTTCATTGCATTTGCTTTTTGGTTCTTGGTCATAAAGTCTTTGCCTAAGCCAATGTATAGAAGGTTTTCTTCTGATGTTATCTTCTAGGATTTATATGGTCTCAGGTCTCAGATTTAAGTCTTTGATCCATCTTGAGTTGATTTTTGTATAACGTGAGAGATGAAGGTCCAGTTTTATAATTCTACAGGTGGCTTGCCAATTATCTCAGCACAATTTGTTGAATAGGATGTCCTTTCCCCATTTTATGTTTTTGTTTGCTTTGTTGAAGATCAGTTGGCTGTAAGTATTTGGCTTTATTTCTAGGTTCTCTATTCTGTTCCATCAGTCTATGTGCTTTTTTTTTTTTTTTTTTTTTTTTTTACCAGTACTATGCTGTTTGATGACTATATCCTTATAGTATAGTTTTAAGTCAGGCAATGTGATGCCTCCAGATTTGTTCTTTTTGGTTAATCTTGCTTTGCCTATGTGGGCTCTTTTTTGCTCCCATATAAATTTTAGGATTGTTTTTTCTAGTTCTGTGAAGAATGATGGTGGTATTTTGATGGGAATTGCATTGAATTTGTAGATTGCTTTTGGAGATATGGTCATTTTTACAATATTGATTCTACCCGTCTATGAGCATGAGATGCATTTCCATTTGTTTGTGTCATCTGTGATTTCTTTCACTAGTGTTTTGTAGTTTTCCTTGTAGAGGTCTTTCACCTCCTTGTTTAGGTATATTCCTAAGTACTTTATTTCTTTTTTTGCAGCTATTGTAAAAGGGGTTGGGTTCTTGATTTGATTCTCAGCTTGGTCGCTGTTGATGTGTAGCAGTGCTACTGATTTGTGTGCATTGATTTTGTATCCTAAAACTTTACTGAATTCATTTATCAGATCTAGGAGCTTTTTGGGTGAGTCTTTAGGGTTTTCTAGGTATACAATCATATCATCAGTGAACAGCAACCATTTGACTTCCTCTTTACTGATTTGGATGCTCTTTATTTCTTTCTCTTGTCTGAGTTTTCTTCTTCCTCAGGAGTACTAATTATTCTTATGTTTGGTCACTTAACATAATCCCAAATTATTTAGAGGCTTAGTTCATTTTTTTAATTCTTTTTTCTTTGTATTTGTCTGAATGGGTTAATCCAAAAGCCTTGTCTTTGAATTCTGAAGTCCTTTCTTCTACTTGTTCAAACTTCTATTGTTAAAACTATCTAGTGTATTTTGCTTTTCTCTAAGTGTGTCTTTCATTTCCAGAAGTTGTAATCGTCTTTTCTTTATGATATCTATTTCTCTGGAGACTTCTTCATCCATATGCTGTATTTTTAAAAATTTCTTTAAGACAATTTTCATCTTTTTCTGGTGTCTCCTTAAGTAGCTTAATAATCAACTTTCTGAATTCTTTTTCTGGCAATTCAGAGATTTCTTCTTGGTTTGGATCCATTGCTGGAGAGCTAGAGTGAGTCTTGAAGAACCTTGGGTATCTTACAGAATCTTACTTTGCTATGTGACCAAAATTACTTTTCTGGTTCCTTCTCATTTGGGTATACTGTTTCAGTGGAAAGATCTGGAACTCAAGGGCTGCTGTTCAAGTTCTTTTGTACCATGGGGTGATGCCTTGATGCTGTGCTCTTCCCCTTCCTCTAGGGATAGGGCTTCCTGAGAGCCAGAATGAAGTGATTTTTATTTCTATTCTGGGCCTAGCCACCCAGTGGGGTGGCTGGGTTCCAGGCTGGTGCTGGAGAATGTCTGCAAAGAGTCCTGTGATGTAATCTGTCTTCAGGTCTCGCAGCCATGGATACCAGCATCTGTACCATTAAAAGTGGCAGGGGAACTAATTGGACTCTGTGATGGTCTTTGGTTGTAGTTTTGTTTAGTGCACTGGTTTTCTCAAATGGTGGTTATGATAGCAGTAAAGTCATGTGGACAGACACAGGTCCTCTGGTGAGGCAGGGTACTTCAGGTGGTGGAATTAGCTCTTATTTTCTCCTTCTTTGAAGCAGGATTGTTCTGTTCTGAGTTTCTGTAATGGCTTGAGTTGGTTGACCTCCAGCCAGGAGGTGGCGCTTTCAAGAGAGCTCCAGCTACAGTAGTAGAAGTGGGGTATAATCTTGCCTTGTGTTGGCCAGGATGAGTACTGGGGCCTCTCAGGTGATGGGCAGGGCCATAGAGTGGTGAGCCAGGCTGAAATCTTGTCCCAGGCTAAAAGCTTCCCTGCTGAGAAAGCAAGCAGGTGTCTCAGGCCTCACCTCTGCCTGCCTGAACCTTAGGTTGCAGCTTCTGCACTCATATCTGCACTTCTCTTTCACCACCCAACCTCCCAACCCCCTGCCCTGGAGTCTACTCAGGAGAGTTCATGCTCGGTCAAAATTATTACAAAGTTCAGCAGGAATTTCCTTCACCCTGTGGACCCTCCCCATTTCTACTGGCTGCCTTCCCTTCCCTGTACACCTGTGTGAGATAAAGCCATGAATGGTCCCTGGGGCTCAAGCTGAGGACCAGGAGTGCCTACAGAGTTCTTCCTGCTGCTTCTACTTTTATAGTTTACTCAGTTCTCTAAATCCATTTCAGCTCTAGATAAGGTTAAATGCTTCTCCTGTGATCTGGATTTTCAGGTTCCCCAGTAGGAATGTGTACTTGGAGGCCAACTTTTTTCCCTCTCACACTTCGGGAACTCACAGTTTTTTGGCTGTCTCATGGCGTTTGCAGTGGCAAGCCACTTCTTTCAAAGGGTCTGTGAATTCTTTTGGTTTTCCTGGTATGCTTCTTTGGTGGTTCTTGTAGCAAAACTTCACAATGTGAGTCCCAGCGGGACTGTCCATCCAGCGGGAGGTGGATGTTAGTCCTGTCTCCTAGCCACCATTTTTTTTTTTCACTTATGAATTTCTAATATTTCTTCTTTTCACCTCGCTCCACACACAAAAAGATTTACGCCAGTTAACTTAAACTATGTAAATCCTCCAACATAATTTTGGCCAATACCCAACCTACCAATCACAAATGGTAGATAAAAGTAGGATAAAAAGCATCATTCTGTTATTTATGGATTTCAGTAGGTAAATATTAGATATGACTTGATTACCAGCTCCCCCAAGTAGCTACATGAAGGTTAACCTCCCCTCTGCTGTTTTGTCTCTGCCCCAAGAACATCTAGCTTTCTCCTAATATTGAATATATAGAAAGATGAGGGGTAGCAACCTCAAGATAAGCATTTGGGAATTCACTGATATAAGCAGAGAAGGCAATATAACATGAATGTAATGTCAACCATGTGGTGACCAGGCAGACCCTTGAAAACTCCTTTTAGGAGGGAAGGCTCGAGGACTCAGTTACACAGACAAGCACAAGCAAATGATGAATTGAGATTTGGGAGGATCAGAGAACCATTCTAGCAGCTCCCTATCAACGTGGTCTCTGTATCTTTCATGCAAAGAAGGCATAGACTATTCTCAGGATTGGAAGTCTGGCAGTTTATCTCTTGGAGGCTCAGTGCTTGGTTATAGAGTGGCAGACATGTGCAACAGCAGTAAAGTCAGACTAACTGGAGTCACACAGCTTTAGAGATTTCTTAACACCAGATAGGTAATACTATACCAAGCAGAGAGGCAGTGATGTGCACTCTACCCAAAAAAGTAGGAAAGTCTGACAACAAAGTAGCACACAATAGAGAGTAGCATCTATTGGAAACTCCTATGCAGGTGGAACAATAGCAGTGTCAGCAGGAATAGAGATGAATATATATGTGTGCTCATGTGAAACACACACGTGTGAGCACAGATGAAACTTAGGAATCTCCCAGAAATATTTATAGAGAGGAATGTTTCTGAAGCTAGAGAACATGTAGGAACAGAAGGAACGAGAACCAAAAATATTTGGGTAGCTGGGGTCACCAAGCATTCAGTTTAACTTGAGGATTTCCTGGGTTTTAGCACTGAAAGACCCAGGGAAACTCTCCCATTCTCAAGCAAATGACTCGTTACTCTAGTTATAACTCTAACTGTGATCCAATTTGTGCTATGTCCTGATTGGTCCTGGGGAAATTTGAATTATATATCGTTCAATTATACATACTTTTAAAATTTTCTTAGTTAAAAATTTCAGAAATGGAATTGCTGGGTCAAAGATTACACTTAATTTTATGATTTTTTTTACACTTACTTTCAAATTGCCCTAGGAAACAGATATAACTCCCACCAGATATTAAGGCATTTTCAAAGCTATAGGAATTTAAATAGCTTGTACTGGCACAGGAGTAGGTATATCAGCACAATCATATTCACTCAGATCAGAAATAGATCCAAATATATATAGGGATATAGGACATGAAAGATATGATATTTCATACTGATTAGAAAAGATAGTTTTGTAATGCATATTGTTGGGAGGCTGTATGGTTTTTCTGGAAAAGAAATGGATCCCAATATCTGTCCTTAGAATAAATTCCAGACATCCCAAAATTTAAATATTAAAGATAAAATCATTAAAGAAGAATGCACAAGCTATATTTTTTGGTGTTATTTTTTAGTGGGAAATGACTTTCTAACAAAAATCCCCAAAGTCAAAGGCAAATGACTAGTACTGTTGAATATATATAAATATTTTTTGAAATATATGTATATGCAGGAAAATATACTGTAAGTTAATCCCAAACATAAAAAAGTGACAAAAGAAAACATTTTTTGAGATAGAGTCTCGCTCTGTTGCCCAGGCTGGAGTGCAGTGGCGTGATCTTGGCTCACTGCAGCCTCTGCTTCCTGAGTTCAAGAAATTCTCCCACCTCAGCCTCCCAAGTAGCTGGGACTATAGGCGCCCACAACCATGACCGGCTAATTTTTATATTTTTAGTAGAGATGCCATTTCACCATGATCACCACGCTGGTTCTCAAACTCCTGGCCTCAAGTGATCCACTCACCTAGCCTCTTAAAGTGCTGGGATTGCAGGTGTGAGCCACTGTGCCCAGCCATGAATACAGTAGTTTTTAAACCCATAATATTGGCAAAAATAAAAAGATTTTATAGTATCTAGTCTAGTATCAGTGTGGGAAAATCACTTTTTTTTTAAACATGGTTCCTGTAAATTGAAACAACAAATTGGGATGGCAATTTCACAATATTTATGACATTTTAAATCAACATATCCCCTTTACTCAGCAAATCCATTTCTAGGAGTTTATCCAATAAATATATTCATGCAAATACACAAAGATACATGTAGAAGAATGTTCACTGCTGCATTATTTATAAGAACAGAGAACTGGAAATAACCTACTTGCCCATCAGTAGAGTTCTGGTTAAATAAATGATGTGACAACTACCAAATACAATGCACTGCAGCTGTTAATAGAATGAGGAAGATTTGTATTAATAGAAATAGATAGCTGCTGCAAGCAAGAAAAGAAAGAGTATGTTTAGTACAAGTTCATTTATATAAAAAGATGTGTATTTAAAAATAAATACTCTGGAAGGCTATGCCTGAAACTGTTAAGAATCATTACCTCTGGTAAGCAGAAATGGAGACTAGACGTTGGGGCTGAAGACTTTGACTTTTTATTTAATACTCTTCTGTACGATTTTGTTCTTGCCACAACAAAATGGATTTTAAAACAATATTATTCATAGGTTCTGTAAAAAGGTGTACCTAACTGTTCTACTTGTTTGCTATTTTCAAGATATTCCCAACAACCATGGGTATTTCTTGAATGGCTTCATTCAGTTTGATTGAGTTGAACTTCAGAAAGAGGAGGAAGAACATCAGCCTCTTGGCAGGGGTGATGTTTGCTCTGTTTGCCCCGCTCCTATTAATTCTTTCCAAACTGGTGCAAATAAAAAGGCACTGAATATATCTCCTAACCTGGATATACTGGAAAAAAGCTCTTAAACTCATAGCAAACAAAAAAGACCCCTTCTACCCCTACATCTGTATCTTTTTTTTTTTTTGGCTTTTTATTATTTAATAATCAAATATTTAAAAAGTGACCCCAGATAGGTGGGTTGTATTGTTTATTGCTCAGTAACAGAAACTCACTTATGCTACTTTAAATTGTTTGAGTTTATTAAAAAGATATATGTGGCAAACAAGGGAGGCAAGACCCCATAGGAACCCAGGAACTGATGAACAAATGTTTGATGCTCGTGGAAATGGAACATAAGTAGTGGAATTGTCCACACAGTATTGGGGTTCCATTGATTTGGTTGTCTTCTTGACTGAGTGCATCATTCCTGGGCAATTATGGAACTCATCTTTTGATCTTGCCTTCCCCCAATCAGCTCATTCTTCTCCCTTGCAGCTTCAGCTTCTTCATATCTTTACCTCCCTCATGGCTTCCACAGGTCTCGCCACCACATGCCTCCTGGAGTTCCTCTCAGCTTCTGCTACCACACGCCCTGCTCTTGCAAATTCTGTTTCCCGGTTTAAATTCTAGAGAAGGAATCTGGCTGACATAGCTACTTACTTGTGTTTAGAGCACTTCCTGTCAGGCCACTTTGGGTGGTTGCCCTTGAGATAGGTATCCATCTTCCATGCCTAAGGGATCAGGAAATAGAGAACTTACTTACCCTGGTTTGGAACCAATGTCTTAAAGACATTTTACGTTAAAATGAGAGAGATAGTCTGGATTCTTTATCTAAGTGGCTTAAAAAGATCCCTGCAAGGGACTATGAAATTTACATAACAATGAGAAAAAAAAATCACACTTTCACTTACTGGTTAGACCTCTTTTTCACCCAGATAATCAGGTAAAAGCAATGAAAATCTAATCATATTATATTAGTCTGTTCGCACACTGCTATAAGAAATACCTGAGACAGAGTAATTTATAAAGAAAAGAGGTTTAATTGGCTCATGATTCTGCAGACTATACAGCAAGTATGGCAGTATCTATTTGGCTTCTGGTGAGGCCTCAGGAAACTTAAAATCATTGTGAAAGGCAAAGGGAGAAGTAGGCACATCTCCCACGGCCACAGCAGGAGAAAAAGAGAAAGAGCGGGAGGTGCTACACACTTTTAAACAACCAGATCTCACAAAAACTCACTCACTCACTATCACAAGAACAGCCCCAAGGGCATGGTACTAATTCATTCATGGGAACTCCACCATTATGATTCCCACCAGGCCCCTCCCACCAGGCCCCACCTCCAACACTGGGGATTACAATTTGACATGAGATATGGTAGGGACACAGATGCAAACCATGTCATTTTGCTGATGGCCCCTCCAAATCTCTTGCTCTTCTCATATTGCAAAATACAATCATGCCTTCCCAGCAGTCCCCCCAAATCTTAACTAATTCCAGCATTAACTCAAAAGTCCAAAGTTCAAAGTCTCATCTGAGACAAGGCTAATCCCTTCTACCTATGAGCCTGTAAAATAAAAAAGAAGTTAGTTACCTACAAGATACAATAAGCGTATTAGCATTGGGTAAGTACTTCTGCTCCAAAAAGGAGAAATCAACCAAAACAAAGGGGATCCAGGCCCCATGCAAGTCTGAAACCCAGCAGAGCAGTCATTAAATCTAAAAGCTCCAAAATAATCTCCTTTGAGTCCATGTCTCACATCCAGGCCACACTGATGCAAGGGGTGGGTTCCCAAGGCCTTGGGAAGCCCTGCCCCTGTGGCTTTACAGGGTTTAGCTGCCACAGCTGCTCTCATTGGCTGGCATTGAGTGTCTGTGGCTTTTTCAGGAGTGTAGTGCAAGTTGTTGGTGGCTGTGTCATTCTGGGACCTGGAGGACAGTGGCCCTCTTCTCACAGCTACATTAGGCAATGCTCCAGTGAGGACTCTGTGTGTGCACTCCAACCCCACATTTTCCCTCCACATTGCCCTAGTAGAAGTTCTTCCTGAGGGCTCTCCCCTTGTAGCAGCCTTCTGCCTGGACATCCAGGTGTTTTCATACATCTTCTGAAATCTAGGCAGAGGCTCTGAAGCCTCAACTCCTGCACTCTGTACAACTGCAGGCTTAACGCTGCATGGAAGCCACCAAGCTTATGGTTTGCACCTTGTGGAGCAGTGGCCCAAGCTATATCTGGGCCCTTGTGAGCCACAGCTGGAATTGGAGCTGTAGCAGCTGGGATGCAGTGAGCATTGTCCTCAGACTGTGCAGGGCATCAGGACCCTGGGCCTGTCCCACAAAACCATTCTTCTCTTCTAGACCTCCGGGCTGATGATGGGAGGGGCTGCCAGGAAGGCCTCTGAAATGCCTTGGAGGCCATTTCCTTTCTGTTGTCTTAGCTATCAGTACTTGGCTTCCTTTTAGTTATGCAAATTTCTGCAGCCTGCTTGAATTTCTCCACAGAAAATCGGCTTTTCTTTTCTACCACATGGCCGGGCTGCAAATTTTCCAAACTTTTATTCTCTGCTTCTTTTTTAAATATAAGTTGCCAGTTTCAAGACATTTCTTTGCTCACACATATGAGATAAGGCTGTTAGAAGCAGGCAGGCTACATCTCGAACACTTCACTGCTTTCATATTTCTTCCACCACATACCCTAAATCACCACTCTCAAGTTTAAAGTTCCACAGATCCCTAGAACAGGGACACCATGCACCCAACCTCTTTGCTAATGCATAACAAAAGTGACCTTTGCTCCAATTCCCAATAAGTTTCTCATTTCCATCTGAGACCTCCTCAGCCTGGACTTCATTGTATATACCACTATAAGCATTTTGGTCACAATAATTTAACAAGCCTCTAGGAAGTTCCAAATTTTACCTCATCTTCCTATCTTCTGAGCCCTCCACACTGTTCCAACCTCTGCCTGTTACACAGGTCCAAAACTACTTCCACCTTTTCAAGTATCTTTGAAGCAATGTCCCACTTCTTGGTACCAATTTTCTGTATTACTCCATCCTTGTATTGCTATAAAGAAATAACAGAAGCTGAGTAATTTTTAAAGAAAAGAGGTTTAGTTGGCGTATGATTATACAGGCTGTACAGGAAATATGATAGCCTCTACTTGGTTTCTGAGGAGGCCTCAGGAGACCTATAATCATAGTGGAAGGTGAAGGGAGAAGCAGGAATGTCTTACGTGGCTGGAGCAGGAAAGAGAGCATGGGGGTTGCAGGGGTAGGCACTACACACTTTAAAGCAACCAGATCTCACAAGAACTCCCTCATTCACTATCACAAGAACAGCAGTAAGGGCATGGTGCTAACCCGTTCGTGAGAACTCCATCTCTGTGATCCAATCACCTCCCACCAGGCCTCACATCCAACACAGGGGATTACAATTCAACATGAGATTTGGTGGGGACACAGATCCAAACCATATTATAAATCTAATAAGAAGTTAGCCAAAAACAGTAGAAATTTTGAAGAATATACAAGTATTATTTAATTTATCCTTTTTATTTTCCAGTTTATATATGCTTTATAATATACACAATATAGTAGTATATTAGTAGACTATAATTAAGTAGATGTGTGTAATATGAATGTGTTTAGTAGTTAACTGATATTGTTTATAATGAAGCAACTTCTAAGCCATTAGTCTATAAGTTTTATGAGCTTGTTTGTTCATATTTATCACTTAGTACCTAGCAATTAAGTCATGTACAGAATCTCTCAAAGCCAGGCCAGATGCTGTTTTCTTTATTGTATACCACAATTCTAAAGACCCCTGTTTTTTGGAATAGAGTAGATTAGTATAATAGTCAATTCAGCCGAAGTAGTTAGTATGCAGATATTGTGATAGAATTAGTGTGCTCATTGTATACAATGCATCATGCCATGGCCAAGCAGTGTGCCAGGGCAGAAATAACACTATGTGACTGAGAGCTGAGAGCTGTAAGGGAGTGAAAGAGCAGGCATATAAGAAAAATGCAAGAATGCAGAAATTAATGCATTATTATGGAACTAGTTATTTCTTGTCCTTCATGGCCAACTTGATAATAGGAGGATATAATTAGGCAGCTGGTTATGATGGAATTGTGAGAGGTCACCTATACGCAAGCTGAAGGGTCAGAATGAACATTGATAGTTGAGGTGCAAAAAACTATTTTAGGGAGGATCCGTAAAGCTGAAATCCTAAAGAAAAATTGAGTCAGAAAACAAAATGGATAACTGACTAGCAGAGACAAAAGCAGATGTAGAATCCAGGGTTGGAGCTAAATAGGTAATCAGAACTAAGAAGTCAGATACTGACTTGTATGGAAGCATGAGGGCAGCTCTTGTTATTTTGGTTAAGCTGTTAGTCTCAGAGAATTTTCACTGGCCCAGTTGCAAATAATATATAAGTTAGATTTTTAAGAAACATGGTTAAACCACATTCTTCTTCCTGACATCTTTTGAATTGCCATAATCTTACTAAAATAGAATTCAGGTTAAAGCAGTATGGTAACAAATATATACAGTTATAGGTAAAGATTTGCTGTTATTAAAAGAATAAAATATTTAGGCTATTTTCAAAGATCTCCGATAAAATGTTCCCAAACTGCTTTTCTGGACTTATTATTTATTTTATGTTTCAAAATACTTTGGAGTCAAGCCACTCCTGACTAGAAGTATTTATTCATGCAAAACATGCATATTCAGGTGTCTATATTTCAGTGCCTATGCGTTTGATCTCTGTAGTATAATAAAGAATTTGGCTGGTCTCCATCCCCAGTTTATGAGAAGTAGCCTCAAAATCCTTGGAATTTCCTGAGTGACAGGAGTGTTTATGGTATTCATGGTAGACCTTGTTTATACTAGTGAGGTAACTCATGGTGGACTCTACATGTTTTATACTAATGAGATGACTCGGGACAGGTACTGGCAACACCAGAAAGACCAACCATGTGATGAGAGGATTGGGACTTTGATATTAGCTCAATATCTGGGGAGCATAAAGGGGTCAGAGATTTGGTTTAATCACATGGACAGTGATTCAATCAATCTTGCCTATGTGATGATACTCCAACAAAAACTCTGGACAAACCTCAGGTGAGTCCCCTGGTTAGCAAGTCTCTATGCACTGTCATACATCAATATGCTGGAAGGGTATCCTGACTCCATGGGGAACAAAATGGAAGCTTTGCTTTTCAGACCCTTCGAAACCTCATTCTATGCCTCATTCCCTTTGGCTAATTATATTTTTGTATCCTTTTACTATAATAAAGCTATAATCATAAGTATAGCACTTTCCTGAGTTGTGTGAGCTGTTCTAGTAAATAATTAAGCCTGAGGGGTTCGGGGGAATCCAGTAATTGTAGCCAGCTGGTCAGAGTACGAGTGTCCTGGGGACCTCTGAATTTACAGCTATTATATAAGGTAAGGGCAATCTTGTGCCCTCAATCTATGAAATTTGGCTACTATGGTTAATTGGCACCAGCAGTCACTGAAGTCTCTGTTTTCAAATGGCCCTTCCTTCACTTATTTACACAAAGCAGTGGTTCTCAAAGTGTGGTCCCTGGACCAATAGCATCAGTATTTCCTAGAAACCTGTTAGAAGTAAAACTTATCTGGTTCCACCTCAGACCTACTAAATCAGAAACTCCAGAGGTGGGACAGGAAATCTGTTTTATTAAGCACTCTAAGTGATTCTGATAAATATTGTATTTAAGAACCATTGAAATAAAGAAACTTTACTCAACCTTCTGATGGGAGTTGAGGCCCGCCTGGAGTGGCCACTACCAAGATGCTGGCTGCAGCAGGGGAGGCGTGGCTAAGGCTGCATGTTCCGCAGAGCTGTTGGGGGCTAGGAACTGGGTGCAGCTGCAGCCACCCAGCTGTGGCTTTGGACCCGGGCATCCCTGTGCCTTCGGGGGGCCTGAAAACCCCCACCCCCACTCCTGCAGGCTCAGAAGTGCTTGCTTCTGCTCTCTGGCCTCACCCATCTCCTGGCACATGGTTCAGTGCAGAGCAAAGTTGTGGTCGAACCTGGGCACTGTCATGACCTGGCTGGGTGTGTACATGCTTGGGGCAGCACAGACATGCCAGCCCCCTGCTGCCTTGTCCCCCTCTGGACTTTGGGTGCCACTGATCCTGGGAAGGAGGTGGGGGATGGTGAGGGCAGCTCAGTGCATGCCTGCAGGTACCCCTCAGCATGAACAGCCTAGTGCCATAGATGGCATGTTGATGGCAAAAGGCAGATGGGCTCCTGGGCAGAAAGGGGTGGGTCCCTGGTGAAACCCCACCTTTAAGCCAGAAACAGCTTGAAGCCTGGGGCCTGGGCTGCCATTTCCAGATTAAGTCCTTGGCCTAGGGTGAGAACTTATAGTGCTCTTTCTGGGCCTGTCCATAGCTGCCCATGGACCAGTAAGCACACATTTACTCCCTCTGACCCCATAAAAACCCAGACTCAACCAAACTCAGACAGACATCAGGACTACCAGCTGCAGGAAGAAGCTACCCATTTCAGGTCTCCTGAGAGCTGTTCCGTTGCTCAGTGACACCCCTCTCCACCTTGCTTACCCTCTAGTTGTCCATGTACCTCATTCTTCCTGGATGTGGGACGACAACCCAGGATCTGCCAGATGGTGGGACTGAAAGACCTGTAATGCAAACAGCTGAAACATGCCCCCCACTCACCACATTGCTGATGATGAGGAGAAAAGAGCTGCAGCCCTTAAACGAGCCCAGACCTAGGAGCTCCCTGAGCCAGGGCTGTGATACTGTCTTTGGGGCTCTGTGATTCCTGGTGTCTGCAAGCTTCTGGGAGCCACCATGTTCCCCAGTACCCACAGTGGAAGCTGTTTGTGGTACACCTGGTCCATCCACAGCCTCGCATGGTGCTGGCACCTGTGGCAGCACCTGGAGCTGCCTACCACACTGCAGCCAGCAAATGCCTGCTCGTGTACAGTGGCTGGACCCCACACATGCCCACACACCCCTCGCTGCTCTCTGTGCCTGTCTCACCCTTGGCAGGTGTGGGATCCAGGCCGGTAGCATGAGCTGAGCATAGCCTGTCAGGCCAAGTGGGCTGAAAGAGCCCAGCAGGCCTGAGCAAAACTTGGGCAAAGATGCCACCAGCCACAGAGGTTTCTAGCTGGAAAAATGACACCCCAAGGATCCCATGACACTTCCATGACAATCACATTTCCCTTCCTGCAATGAAAACTTCCCAGACTTACAAACCTGGCATCCCCGCATGAGCTCCCTGATCTAATAGATGTATTCTAATACAGCAGTTCCCAAATTTTGTTTCCAAGACAATCTTAAACTTCTGGAAAATCCCAAAGAGCCTTTGTTTACATGGACTATATTTACTGTATCAGAAATTAAAACTGAGATAATTGTAAAATATTTATTTTAAAATCTATTTAAAATAACAACAATGAACTGAATATGTGTTGGTATAAATAATTTTCTGTGTGTAAAAAAAAAAAAGTCGCTGTTTTTCAAAACAAGTGAGAAAAATGGCATTGGTTTTTATTTTTGCAAATCTCTTTAATGTCAGCCTTAATAGAAGACAGTTGGATTCTCATACCAGTTTCTGGATTTAAAGTGTTGAAATATGTTGTTCTAGTTGAATTATATTAATAAAAATTATCTCACATTGATATGTAGTTGAAAAAGTGAGAAATATGTTAATAACCTTTGTAGATTATTGTGAATATTATTTTATTACTATTACAAAAATTGACAAGGGTAGTTTTTTTTAAAGGTTAGCTGCAATGTGAAATTTGAAATTATATCAATGAAATCTTTGCACTCTGCTACATTAAAATCTTTTCGTCTCTCTTGCACTTTGAACACATATTTTACAATGCATTGTTTTGTAACATCATGCTTCGTCATTTAGAAAATATTCATTCATTGAGTTAAATGAATGTCCTTGATGTTGACACATTTTATTAGACAATATCAAAATCACAGTTGTTAATGTTACCATTGTTCTCAGAAAAAACTTTAAGTGTTGGGAAGCCCTCAAGTAAACGGTGGCAGAAACAAATTTCCAAAATTCTAATTTTTTGCTTGAAAGCTCAGATTTTATCTTTGGCAACAAACCCTGAGTTTTCTTTGAAATGACAGACTCACTTCCTTCATATCCAAGAAACTGCCTGCCAAATACCCAAATCTAAAACACCAGTCTGCCAGTCATTCTTTCAAGTAAAAATGGCTTTTCATGGGAAAAAAAAAAAGACAGCTTGTTTAGCTCCTGACTCAATCACACATGTGCTTTTCCTTGAGACAACTATCATACTTTGGTATGAAGCAGAAGTGGTTTATTCATACTTTCCATTTAATCACAGAGAACATTTAAAAAATATGTACTCAAGGGTTAAGATTTTTTTTAGAAGCAGGGTCTCCTGACTTCTTAATGATTGCCATTCTAACTGGTGTGAGATGGTATCTCATTGTGGTTTTGATTTGCATTTCTCTGATGGCCACTGATGATGAGCATTTTTTCATGTGTTTTTTGGCTGCATAAATGTCTTCTTTTGGGAAGTGTCTGTTCATGTCCTTCGCCCACTTTTTGATGGGGTTGTTTGTTTTTTTCTTGTAAATTTGTTTGAGTTCATTGTGGATTCTGGATATTAGCCCTTTTTCAGATAAGTAGGTTGCGAAAATTTTCTCCCGTTTTGTAGGTTGCCTGTTCACTCTGATGGTAGTTTCTTTTGCTGTGCAGAAGCTCTTTAGTTTAATTAGATCCCATTTGTCAATTTTGGCTTTTGTTGCCATTGCTTTTGGTGTTTTAGACATGAAGTCCTTGCCCATGCCTATGTCCTGAATGGTAATGCCTAGGTTTTCTTCTAGGGTTTTTATGCTTTTAGGTCTAACATTTAAGTCTTTAATCCATCTTGAATTGATTTTTGTATAAGGTGTAAGGAAGGGATCCAGTTTCAGCTTTCTACATATGGCTAGCCAGTTTTCCCAGCACCATTTATTAAATAGGGAATCCTTTCCCCATTGCTTGTTTTTAAGAGGATGTGGAGAAATAGGAACACTTTTACACTGTTGGTGGGACTCTAAACTAGTTCAACCATTGTGGAAGTCAGTGTGGCGATTCCTCAGGGATCTAGAACTAGAAATACCATTTGACCCAGCCATCCCATTACTGGGTATATACCCAAAGGACTATAAATCATGCTGCTATAAAGACACATGCACACGTATGTTTATTGCGGCATTATTCACAATAGCAAAGACTTGGAACCCACCCAAATGTCCAACAATGATAGACTGGATTAAGAAAATGTGGCACATATACACCATGGAATACTATGCAGCCATAAAAAATGATGAGTTCATGTCCTTTGTAGGGACATGGATGAAATTAGAAATCATCATTCTCAGTAAACTATTGCAAGAACAAAAAACCAAACACTGCATATTCTTACTCATAGGTGGGAATTGAACAATGAGAACACATGGACACAGGAAGGGGAACATCACACTCTGGGGACTGCTGTGGGGTGGGGGGAGGGGGGAGGGATAGCATTGGGAGATATACCTAATGCTAGATGACGAGTTAGTGGGTGCAGTGCACCAGCATGGCACATGTATACATATGTAACTAACTTGCACATTGTGCACATGTACCCTAAAACTTAAAGTATAATAATAATAAATAAATAAATTAAAAAAAAAAAAAAGAAGCAGGATCTCACTTTATTGCCCAGGCTGGAATGCAGTAGCACAATCATAGTTCACTGTAACTTAGAACTCCTGGGCTCAAACAAAACTCCCACCTTAGCCTCCTGAGTAGCTGAGAGTATAGGTGTGGTGCGGGCCACTATGGCTGGCTAATTTTTAAAATTTTTGTAGAGACAGGATCTCACTATATTGCCCAGGCTAGACTTAAACTACTGGCATTAAACAATCCTCTTGTCTTAGCCTCCCAAAGCACTGGGATTACAGGTCAGGATTTAATAAAACTAGTTATTTTTACATTTTATTTTATTTTAAGTTCTGGGGTATGTGTGCAGGATGTGCAGGTTTATTACATAGGTATCCAGGACATTCTTAAGAGAAATTTCTCTCTCTTTCTCTCTCTTTCTTTCTCTCTCTTTCTTTCTCTCTCTCTCTCTCTGTATCTCTCTCTCTCTCTCTCTCCTTTCTCCTCCAAGTGTGTGGCAGTAAGAATACAATAATCAAAGGTACAGAACAATTTGGTGTCACAGATGATATTCCTGCTAAAGCACCAGCAGTTTCACACACCATGGCTTCTGAATCATCTATGCAAATGTCAACATAGTGAAAAGAAGCAGATAACATCTCAGTGTAATTATGAACAGTATTTTGACCTCATGGTGCCTCTGAAAGGGTTTCAGGGACCCCCAAGGCTCTGTGGACTCACTTTGAGAACCACTGATCAAATAGAAACCCCTATTGCTTAGTTGTGCTTACACTAGAATAGAGCTTTTTGGGGTCAGGGATTTTATCTTTTCATCATTTTATTTAAAAAGCCTAGAAAGGCGTTCAGTTCAAAAAGTGCAATATAAATATGTAATGAACACATCAATTTAATGCTCACTATATTTGAAGCTTATTCTGTACTGTTTTGCTTTTAGTCTTCCCCTAGTAAGTGTCTATTAGCCAAAGTGGCTGATAAAAAAAGCAAAAAACAACTGAAAAAAACCCAGACTATATAAAGTATGCCTCTTAGAAGGCTTCCCTCTGCATGTGGAGATATCCTAAAAAAATACGTAGTCATAAGAAATTGGCTCTAATTCCACAGGGACACTAATCTTCAGAAATTAGGATATGTTTCTGAAGCACACTCTAGTAATTTCACCATCAGTAAGCCCTAAACTGAGATTCAGCTTTTCCATGGAAACCTCTTTAACAAGTGATGAAAACATATTCTTTCCCTTTTTCTTTCTTTCACAAAAGCTTTCTTTAAAAAGGTAGTGTGGAGAGTAATTATAAAACATTTAATGTCCACTTACGCTTTCGAGTACTGTTTATCTTTTTTCAAAATTACCTGCTTCTTATTTCAAGTATTAGTCACTGTGAATAACATAATAGTATTTCTCACAGTAACTCTATTTATTTCTCCTGTAAAGAACTTGTCAATGGTAAGCATAACACCTACCTCAAAAACTGCTACCCAAGAGCAAATGCCTCCACACCTTTGAACATGCAGTTTTCTCTGCAAAGAATATTCTCTCTCCTTTTTCTGATAGGCAAAACCTTACCATTCCATTTAAGCTCCAGCTAAAAATTTACCTCCTGTCTATGGCCTTTCACTCTTCCCCATATGCAAATTAAATTATGCCTCTGTTCTCCCCTGTGATTTATACATACCCTACTACAGTATCTTACAACACTTATCACAACAGATTTTAGATCTTAATTTATTAGCAGGAATTCTGTAATTTTCAGCTTTGGATCCCCAGGACCATATATGGTACCTGGAACAGAGTAGCTGTTTAGAAAATAGCTTTTGGGGTTATTGGTTTTAAAAAAGGAAACATAATTATCTTGTTGAGAGAATTGCAGTAATGTTGTTTTATCTTCTCATTATCACTAATATACCATGACACATGCCCTAGTACAACATTCATGCCTAAGAGAAACTGTAGATTTCACAAATGCTGTATAAATCTTGCCTGGAGTAAATGCAGAGAAATAAAGCAGCAAGAAAAAATAATGAAAATCAATTAAAATCTTCAGTGTTTTTCAGAAACTTCAAGGAAAGGGTGCATTCCTAAAGAGAAAAGGAAGAACAGAAAGGAAGGCCAACTTTCTTCAAGGAAGGAGTGCATTCCTAAAGAAACAGCCCTCAGCCCTACTCTGCTACTCAAAGTGTGGTCCCTATCACTGGCAGCTTGGTAGAAATGCAAAATACCAGATTCCACTTCCAAACTCTGCATTTTAACAAAATCTCCAGGAGATTTGTATGTTCATTAATGATCAAAAAGCACCAGTCTAACATCTTAAAAGTCTCCTTCATTCATATCTCTCATTTTAAAGGCAACTTAATAGCAGCTATCATATTACTGATCTCTTAGTGCTTTGTGATTCTGAATTTCTGTCAATGAGTAACAGATAAATTTCTGAAAAAGAAAACAAATCCTCAACTACCCCTATTCTCCTAAAAGGGAAGAAAGGACAGTGAAGATGAGAACAAAAGGGTCCTGAGGAGGATAAGGAAGAATAAAAGCAGCAGAGGGAAGACGCTTGTAGAAGGTAGGAGTCTGGAATGTCTATGATTTGTATGGCCAGTGAAAAAAGAGCACAAAGCTTATTTTCTTTAACTGTACACTCTTGAACACTCTTGAAGAAAACTACTTAATTTGTTAGAATTGAAATTACACATATTCAAGTTTTTGGAAATAATATTAATTAAAATTGCTATTGCTGTTGGTAAAAATAAGATCACATATTAGAAAAAACACTTTAAGGTCTCTGATCTTTAAAGACTATATTAATGCACTATATATTTATTATAGTTGTTTTATTTCACCTTGCCTGTATATGATGTGATCTAGCAACTCAGAGGGGTCTTAAAAAAGGTGTTTTTCTCTAAATTTATTAAACTGTTCTTTGTGGCTCTAACTCACTATGTGAAATGGTCTAGATGTTGGAGGAACGGCCTGGTGGGAGGTGAATGGATCATGGGGGCAGATTTCTCCCTTGCTGTTCTCATGATACCGAGTGACTTCTCACGAGATCTGGTTGTTTAAAAGTGGGTGGAACCTCCCCCTTCACTCCCTTCCTCATTCTGAAGCCATGTAAGACATACCTCCTTTCTCTTACCCTTTTTCCATGATTGTAAGTTTCCTGAGGCCTCACCAGCCATGCTTCCTGTACAGCTTGTGGAACCATGAGCCAATTAAACCTCTTTTCTTTATAAATTACCCAGTCTCAGGTAGTCCTTCATAGCAACAGAAGAATGGGTTAATACACTATGCTTAGCAAGCAACATGAACTTCAAGAAAAGTTAAGTACAGACGACCTAAGATGCCTCATATGTTACTTTTTCACAATTGAAGCAGGGTTGTTGTTGTTGTTGTTGTTGTTTGCATATATTTGTAGTGTCAGCTGAAGAACGACAGGGGTCATAAATTTGGAAAAGAGAGCTCTATTTCTCATGCACGTTGCAGCCTGCAGGGTGGTCACTCTGACAGGCTGGGAAGTGCAGCCTCTGGTCAGAAGCCAGAAACTGGCCCTTACAATCCCAAGCCCACCCCTTTGGTGATAGTCTCTGGGAGCATGCTTGGATAGTTTTAGCAGCACAGCATTGGCAATGAAAAGCAGATAGGGTCCAGTGGGATTTCAAATTAGGGAGCTATACAGGCCTTAGGTGAATCATCTTTAGTCTTCAGGATATCATGATTCCAGTTTATCTGGAAGAAGTAAAACAAGAGATTAAGTAACATTAATAATTTGAACACTAGAAGAGAATGTGTGTGCCAGAATAGAAAATGGAACCTATTTTATTAGGTAGCTAAGTCATGAAAATCTTAACCTGTTTCAGCTTTGAAGACTTATTGTAGCAAATAGTAAGAACCCAAAAACAAAGGTTCGGCTGGAATCTAGCATCAGGTGTGTTACAGTTTTCCTTTGAAACACTATTCTCTCTTCCTATAATCTTTCTCAACCAAGGAGAAATAATAATAAGACCAATTTATATACAAAATAAGTTTTAGGCTTATTATATTAGGCCTCATTATTTGCATAATGTGCCACACGAATAGTCATTGGCCATGTAGGCTCTTTTTAAAGTTAGTTTTGCTGGAAATTTGCCTGAAAATATGTTGTTCTGGTCAAAGCCTTGGTAAAATAACCAGCATCTCCAATTGTGACCTGTTTCAAAAGAAAACACATTCTTACTGAATTTATGCAAATAACTATATTGCCATAAAATAAGAATACTCACAAGTAATTTCCACATTTTGGAGAACTCAATTAGAGAGAAAGGTAAATTCTGTTCACAAAAGTACACTTTACAATCAGAGTAGCAGCCTTCTGAACAGGATGTTGTCCATTCACCTTGGAACTGCCATCCACAAACCAAGCAACCCTTTGTCAGTCAGGTGAGAGCTGTTTATCAGGCACGGTAGGAGCCAGCAGCTCCTCCCCAGGTTCCAGAGTCAGTCCTAGAGAAAAAGAGGCTCCCTGCTCATGAGTATCTCCTTTTGAATTCCCCAGGCAGGATGATCCTATATAAACTATTCCCATTTTATGATGGAACCCTCTGGACACTGCTATCCCTCTTACAGTGTTTCTCTGACATCATCCCAGACAGCATGGGTATTTCAGATGTCAGATCATTTTATGTCCTCCAGTGACAGGGATGGTTTCAGTTAATGTCCCATAGCAAGGCAGTAAATTCTTCTCAAGTGGAAATTCTCTAGTTCAAAGTCCCATTAGTTGTCTTTGGGAAGCACTCACAGGGTTTTGCCATAAGCCCCAGTAAACATTCCTCAAAGGGCTATTAAGTGGAGAATTTGTCCCTACCAGCACTTCAGCTTCTACTCTACACCCTGTGAGCTTGGAAAATTTTACTGGTTCTCATTTAGCATGTCTAATTAATATTGCTTGAAGGGCAGATTTATATATCTTCTGTTTTATAGTATCAGGTAAGTGAAACATCCTCCAGTCAAATACAATATCTATTTTCCTAAAGCCTTTAGGTAAAGGAGTCAAGACTACTTCATGTTAAGCTTGTTTAAACATTCCAACTTCGATAATCCTATCAGCCCTTACATTTTTATGTTCTGGTCCCAAGAAACTTTTTCTTTTCACCCCCAGACCATTTTATCCTCTCTGGTGAAAAAGGATTTGGGTTCCCAGCAGGGGGTTGAGCTGAGACTTTGGCCCTTTTGTCAATCTTTATCTGGATTAACCTGCCTCAATATTGCCTCAGGCAATTTTTGGTCAGCTTTCTCATTGCAATCTTTGCCTTTGGATTTCTTAAAAAATAACATCTCTCTGGGGTAAAGACAGAAAACTGGTTTGGAGCCCTTTAATGTTGGGAGACCAGCAGGAGCTCCCTTTGGTCCACCCAACCTTCAGTGGTGTTATACTAAAAGCTTTGTTTTAACCTCATAAATTTCCATTTTATTTATATCATTTCTTAATATCCCTCTAAAGATTTTCCCTGCCCTGGGACAAGTCCCATGACTCTCCTCCTTCTTTTCCATTTTTTGCGTTAATTACCCTAATGTTTTATTAGCATCTGTAAGACCTATGAGGGGAAGCTGAGACAGCAAATTTGATAAGGCTTCCCAAACTGTTGTGCCATGGAGAAGGGGCCCCCTCAACCACAGCATTTATCACCTGGGTAAGAGGCATATTTAATGGGCTAATATCCCAGTCATTATACAGCCAGTCCCCCATGGTTTGTATATGAAACGTATCAGCTGCCTCATCTGGGGTGCTCCACTTGGCATTTATAAGGGAGTTGGTAGTCCCCCTTCTCGGGATAAATAGATATTACAGTGGCTTTTATCCAGTTCACCCAGCTGGCTGCCCCCTCAGGATTAACCTCCTGTGTGTCTCAATTACACATACCGGTCCACGATTGTTCAATAGTGAGCTGTGGGTTCTGCATCAACTCAAACATGTTTTTCCACTCTGCAGCATTTAAAATCAAAGATATTGCCCCTAAGTTAGCTACACTCACAGTCCATTTTAGTAAAGGTTCCTTAGGAAGCCGGTGATAAACTGGTGATCTGTAACATAAAATGGGACAATTCGTTAATATTACACCCTTTGGTTTCAATACTGTTTTGCCCTTTCCCCACACTGACTACATTCTTGGTAACCACAGGTCTCAGAGGTACTTTCTGTTGCCCTGGCATAATTTTCCCCTTTGTGGGTAGCTTTGAGGCTAGTGACCTGAGCTCAGGCAGATTCACATCTGAGCTTGGTCCATTCTCAAGGCCCAATCCAAAACTTTTTTACTTTCATTTTAGCTATTATAGATAACAATAACCGAGGGATTAAATATTTTGCTGTTTCCTTATTAGTCCACATTTCCTTATGCATCCAGTGAACCAACTCCCCAGGAGTTGGACCCATCTCTAAATTTTTCTGGTGCCCTTTATCTTTCGTAACTGAATGCAGCCCAGCTGCAGCTCCATACCATGGGTGACCACCTGGCCACCCAGGAATCAAAGGTTCCTAATTCCCCACACTTTTATCTTTTCTCTTTCTAGCCATTTAGTTTTATTTATATTATTTTCCCCTTTATTTTGAGGCAACCTTTAAATAGCTTCTCAACTAGACAAAATTACTTTTCCTTCAGCAAAAACCACATCCTCATGTTTTTTTAAAATTAAATTTCACCAAAAACACATCTTACTTTCTTTAGACACTGTGTATGTAGAACAGTTTCTTATATTTGGTAGCTTTAATTACATATAGTAATTATTAGTAGCTCTTAGTAACTTTTATTTCCCATGAAAAAACAAGGATTTCTTAATTAAACATAAAATAACTTCAAGTTTTTGTTTTGTTTTTTTTTGTTTTTTTTGAGACGGAGTCTCCCTCTGTCACCCAGAGGCTGGAGTGCAGTGGCGCGATCTAGGCTCATTGAAAACTCTGCCTCCAGGGTTCATGCCATTCTCCTGCCTCAGCCTCCCGAGTAGCTGGGACTACAGGCACCTGCCACCATGCCCGGCTAATTTTTTGTATTTTTAGTAGAGACGGGGTTTCAGCGTGTTAGCCAGGATGGTCTCAATCTCCTGACCTCATGATCTGCCCGCCTCGGCCTCCCAAAGTGCTGGAATTACAGGCGTGAGCCACCGCACCTGGCCAACTTTAAAATTTTAAATTACTAGAGCGAATTTAGAAACCATTGTATTTACCAAAGATTATTAAAGTCACATGAACTAAAAAGCATTTGAGCTAGATTCTATTACATAAAATATTTGGTTTAAGCACTTACTTTTCTTTAAGCCAATTGATTAGAGTTTTTTTCATGTAATTTGGTAGTAAAATATCGCATATACATGACACATATAAACACACAGACATACAGACACACAGGCAGAGGCAGATATTATAGATTCATAATATTTTTCATTTGCCAGTTTTTAAATCATTTCTCTAACTTTAGAATATTAATCTCCTGGTTATCTGTTCCATGCCCCAAACAATTGTTAGCAAGGCAACTCAATTTGCATCTCCAAAGACATGCTCTTAGGTGAAACAAGGTAGAAAATGTATAACTCAGAGGCATAGAACTTGAATCTAAACAAAGACAAGGTGTGTTATATAAACGTAAAGCCATTTTATTCCTCATAAAGTACCATTCCAGACATACCAGACAAGAATTAGCATGATTTAACCATTATATACTTATTTACTCAATAAAATTTTAGCAAATGTGAGATGAAATCACTTTGTATAATCTGTAAAACCATATTAAATACTTACTGGTATGATAAACACTCTTCTACTCAGTTCAAGCTGCTGTAACAGAATACCGTAGACTGGGTGGCTTCAACAACAGAAATTAGTTACAGAGACTGTGAAGTCCAACATCAAAGGCACAGGCAGGCTGGGCATGGTGGTTCACGCCTGTTAAGCCCACCACTTTGGGAGACTGAGGTGGAGGATCACTTGAGGCCAGGAGTTCAAGACCCACCTGGCCATCATGCAAAAACCCCATCTCTACCAAAAATACAAAAATTAGCTGGGTGTGGTGGCACACACCTGTAGCCCCAGCCACTCAAGAGGCTGAGGCATAAGAATTGCTTGAACCTGGGAGGCAGAGGTTGCAGTGAGCCAAGATTGCACCACTATACTTCATCCTGGGCAACACAGCAAGACTCTCTTTCTCTCTCAAAAAAAAAAAAAAAAAAAAAGAAAGAAAGAAAAAAGAAAAAAAAAGGCACATGCAGATCCAGTGTCTAGTTTTTGTTAAAATTCAAGCAAATCTTAATCTTCCCCAGTGTTCATCAGTTTTTCTTGTAAACTAATCAGGTGTTAATTAGCTTTAAACAATGCTTCAGAACCTAAGGAAAGCCTTTTGAAGACTTTTTATCAAGTCAGAAAATTTGGTTTCCATGTTTTTAAGTTTGTAGACTTTCAGCAACAAAATTATATAATAATGAAAACATCCATTTTCAAAATGCTCTTTCCACAGCCTGTGTTTCTTTCAGGAAATAATTATTTTCTTTTTATTGATCAACTTCTTGTAAGATCTTAGTAGATTATTTCTCTTAATAAGGTTGATAAAGAGTTTGTACTGAGAGTAAAACAATTTGTCAGCTCTTCGTTTTCAGGTAGCTCACTTGCGGTTGCATTATTTGTAATATTTTTATTCAATCGACGTTCTTTTTAAGCCACTAGTTCATTTCTGAAGGCTTAGGTAAGTGGAATCTCGGAAAAAAAAATCCATAAGCCCACCTAAATGAGTCCAATGAACTCCTGTGTGTTCTAATAATACTGAAATGAAAGCTTTACTGACAACCCTTTCTCCAAGTTGAAGGCCCATCCTTCCCTTCCATGTGGACTCAATGTGAGAGCCAGTGTATGAGTAAATCTTAATGCCTTTCTTAGTTTTCAGATTAAAAAAAACTTTAAAAAGATTTCTAGAAATTTCTTCCTCCAACTTCAGTAGATGTCTTGAACATCTCACTTTGATGACTGTTTGTGATCATGTTCACCTGGTGATATTTTATAAACTTTCAAACTACTGGGTCATCCAGACCTACTGATTCTGAGTAGCTGGGGCAATGATAAGAATTGTCAAACAAACTTCACAGGTGATTATTTTACACCACAAAGTCATAATATGCTTCAAATTAGTGGTTCTCAAACAAAGTAGAGGAACATGCTTGCATCTGAATCAACTTGGGATGCTGGTTAAAAATATCCAGGCACTGAGTTCCATCCAAGACCAGCTAAAACCAAATCTCTAGAGATGAAACCTGGAATTTTGTATTTTAGAAGTGCTTTCTCAGGCGGGGCCAGGTATAGAAACCATTGTAGTCTCTATCTTTGAAATGAGCTTTGTAATAAGACCTGACATTTTTCTTACTCCTTTCAAGATTTTATTGCTAGCAAGCTTTTAGAATTCTTTGAGGTTCTTGGTGTAAATCTGTGGCTCTCAAAATGTGGTTAATGGGCTGGCAGCAATCTGAGAACTTTAGAAATACTGATTCTCAGACCCCACTCCAACCTACTTTGGAGGTAGGGCCCAGGAATCTGTGTTTTAACAAACCCTGGCATAAGCTTCAGTTTGAGACAATTGGTTTGGGTCAAATAGTGAAAATAATTGCTCTGCTTTGGAGAGGGGGGTACCAAGAGAGAGTTTATAATAAATAATTTCATGTTTAAGAACTAAATTCCTCAATAGATGCAATACTGGCAATGAAAAAAGTCACCTTTTCTCTGTGTGTTTTCCTTTATGTTGTGTGCTGCAGATGTTGGCAAGAATAGCAACATTTTACATGTTTGCAGTAAGAGAGTCTGAGATCAAAACTGAGGAAATCTTTTAAGGTTAAATTCTCTCAAATACTTCCTTCCAAAGACCTTGTGCCAGCTTGTGATTTCCAGGCAGATGTTTTCCATTATACTGCTACTGGGTCATGACAGAATCTCCACAGTTTGCAGTTGCCATGACAACCTCATTTTTTTGTGTCTGCAGAGAATAATACACAGCTCAGAGGTATACGTTTTCTCTTAGTAATGGAAATGTTGATCCATCAAAGGAATTGATTAGGTTGACAACTGTACATTTGATAGATCAGCAGTAAATGTGAAGGATTACATTTATTATCCATGTTTTATCTGGTGGACAGTGTCTTATTTCCACTTAGTTTTCTGGACAAATAAAAATCCTGTGGCAAGCATATCAGTCTTTAAAACTATAAAAAGCTAGGAAAAATGTTTTATTATTAGTATAAGTTGTATTTTTCAAGTACGAGAAAAAGATTCTAGGGAAAAATAGCCATAAATTTTAGTGATTTGTATTTACTGTTTGACATTCATTTTGAGCCTGTTTTCCTCTTGGTCACTTACAAATGAAAGCAAGTATTAATTTGCAAGGCAATAATAATTTAATAACATTGTAGACTTGCAAACAGAATACATGGCATCTAATTGTAATTTCATTTGGGAAGTTATTGAGGCTATCATTAGGTTTTACATATACAAATATACTATAGCAAAACATTTTCAGAATTAAGGTCCTTTGAAAAATAAACCAATTATCATTTTTAAATTAAACCAGGAGAATTTTTTTTCCCTTGCAAGTGTGTATTTAGACATGATAATTTTTCTGTCAGGTGAGGTGTGGAGGCTCACGCCTGTAATCCCAGCACTTTGAGAGTACAAGGCGGGAGGATTGTTTGAGCCCAGAAGTTTGAGACCAGTCTGGGAAACATGTGAGACCCCACCTTTACCAAAAGTTTAAAAAAAAAAGAATGGGGTATGGTGGCACGCACCTGTTGTCCTAGCTACTTGGAAGGCTTAGGCAGGAGGATTGCTTGAGCTCAGGAGTTTGAGGCTACAGTGAACTATGATCCCACCACTGTACTCCAGCTTGGATGACAGAGCAAGACCCTGTCTCTAAAAAAGGTGGGAAGATCACCTGAGGCCAGGAGTTCGAGACCAGCTTGGGCAACATAATGAGACCACATCTCTATTTAAAAAGTAAATTTTAAAAATAAAAAAATATAAAATTTGGTAACTCTTTCTGCTTTGGTATTATTTTCGATTCCACATCGTCTGGTAAATACTGTGGTGGTGTTTGTATGTTTTCTCACCTTCCACCCCTCTGAAATTATGGATCAAAACAAATTATGGATCAAAAACAAAAACAAAAAAATTCTTTCAAGTATTATTCATAACACACTGAAATCATATTCTGGTTGGTTTATGATCTATGGGAGAATAAACATCTTTCAAACAGAGGTATTTTAAATTATGGTAACTACTTTCAGTGCTAGGCCCCATGAAGCCTGGGAGAAAGCACAATGTTCATCCAGTAAGCTATGAAACCTCGTTTCATTTCTTTTACACAAACAGTGAGTAGGCAGGGGCTCTATTTTCTACTTATCTTCACAATACTTAATTTTTTATCTTAGAATAATTTTGATTAATTATAATCATATACATGCATTTCAATAACAGGCTTTTTTTTTCATTTTAGTCAATATTTTTATTTTTTGAATTGTGCTATTTGGCATAATGGTGAAATTTTGAATTTCTTTAAAACTGTTTGGAAAATAATTTTTTTTCCATTATTTCATTGGCAAGCTTCTCTGAATTACAGACCAAATAATTATTGTATTTGATAATTTTCTTTTTGCCTCCTTTTGCTTTGCATTAGTGGTATGTGTACTTGTATTATTCTCCCATCATAGATTTTGTGCCTCCAGAAGCCCAATATTATTTTCTTGGTTTGTCTTTGTATCCCTTCTAGTACCTTGTAAGTGTGTATTAATGCTTGTTATAATCAATTGAATAAAACCACTTTATCCCCTGTAAATTCAAACTATAGTACCACAATTTGTAAGCCTAATGCTTAAACCATAGCTTGCAGGTTTAAGCAATACATATTATATATATACACACACATAAATATGATATACATATATATTATCCTTAGGATTTGAATTGAATGGATGCTAACCTGGTACTATTTTATACATTTTTGAATTTTCAAATATTCTAAAATTAATATGGATGAGTTTTTATAATTTGAAAGAGAACAAATCTAAATTTTAAAAATAACTGGGCGTGGTGGCTCATGCCTGTAACCCCAGCACTTTGGGAGGCTGAGGTGGGAAGATCACTTGAGCTCAGGAGTTTGAGACCAGCCTGGGCAACATAGTGAGACCACATCTCTCTTAAAAAATAAGTAAATAAATTTAAAAAATAACAAAAATAAAATTTAGTAGCTATTTTTCTGCTTTGGTGTTATTTTCAATTCCACATCATCTGGTAAATATGATGGTAGTGTTTGTATGTTTTCTCACCCTCCACCCCCTCTGAAATTATGGATCAAATTTTGAAAGGATTAAATCTGCTTATTCAAGAGAGATTTTACATCCATACCCTGTCAGAGAGTCAGAGAGGAAGTCTAGAATTCCCCTCTTTCTTTATTCTGTTCTATCCCTTTACATCCTCCTCCGCTTATCTCAGCAGTACGTGTTAGGCTTTTAGGAAAAAGAGAACCATAGGATTTCAGAATTGGAAGAGATAGAAGAAGTTATTAGATTATAGATTTCTAGCACAATTTCTAGTGCTCCTGGGGCCACGCAACACTACAATTCATGGACTTGCTGTGGCTTCTGATGTCTTAGAGAGCACAATCCCTGTCTAAAGAGGATGAGCAGTAAAGACTCAGCTCCAGCTAATTGTTGCCAAGGGAGAATGTAGGCCAGATCTACCAATGTTTAAAAGAGAATCCAGAAATGGGCTTTTATATAAACATTCTAATTTTTAAATGTTGGCCACAGATGCATACAAAAAAGCACTGCCGGTCAAATAAAACATATCTGCAGGACAAAATTAGCCAATGAGATAACAGTTTCCCAAGAATGGTTAGACCAAACTCTTATTTCACAGATGAAGGAACTAAAGTTCAAACTGACATAAAAGCTTGCCTAAAATCATCCTGGATATCAAACAAACATTTCAGTGCTCTTCAATCTTAGATGTTTGTGATTTGATGTAGCTATTTCCTTAACAAGTCAGGAGGGAAGTTTGAAAGCACATCCTGTGTGAGGATGAAGTGTCTGGGAGTTGTTTCACAGCTTTGATCATGTAATGAAAGCATTTGTGTTTATGGGTCAGGAAGTGACAAGAAGGTTTTGTTTGAGTAGGTGGTAAGGTCTGACACCTGAGAGGCAGGCAGTGTAATAATATCTAATTGCAATACAATATTCAGCTTTCAGGTAGGGTTTTGCTAATGGAAGAGAATCGGTATATTCTGTATTTCTTCTACCAGATTATTATCTGATGAATGCCTTAGAGACTACCCGTAATTCAGAGAGAGAGAGAAAATTACATAAGCAAATTGCAAGAATAATCTCTTTCCTTGTGCTTATATTATTACATTGCATTTTGCTTTCTGCATTTAAAGCACCCTTTTTCTAAAGACTCAAGAAACTTTTAATAGACCTTTGTTAGTATAAACCAGATCATTCTTATGAGAAGTAAACTTCCTATAGGCATACTTCATTTTATTGTGCTTCATTTCTATTGCATTTTTTAACAAATTGAAGGTTTGTGGTAACAAATAGCATATGCTCACTTTGGGTCTCTGTGTCACATTTTGGTGTTTCTGGCAATATTTAGGCTCTTTCATTATTACTATATCGGTTATGGTGATCTGTGGCCGTTGATCTATGAAGTTACTATTGTAATTGTTTTGGACACCACAAACCATGCCCATGGAAGACAGCAAAGTGAATCCAGAAAGGTGTGTGTTTTTACTGCCCCACTGACTGGCCCTTCTCCCATCTCTCTTCCTCTCTTCAGCCTCCCTGTTCTCTGAGACACAATAATGTTGAAATGAGGCCACAGTGGCTTATAAGTGTTCAAGTGAAAGGAAGAGTTGCATGTCTCTTACTCTAAATCAAAAGCTAGAAAAGATGAAGCTTAGTGAAGATGGCAGTGTGGAAAGCCAAGATAGGCCAAAAGCTAGGCCTGTTGTGCCAAGCAGTTAGCCAAGTTGTGAATGCAAAGGAAAAGTTCCTGAAGGTAATTAAAAGTACTACTCCAGCGAGCACATGAATAATAACGAAGCGAATAAATAAATACAAAGCGAAACAGCTTTATTGCTGATACGGAGGAAGTTGTAGTTGTCTAGATAGAAGATAAAACAGCCACAACATTCCCTTAAGCCAAAGCCTAAACTGGAACAAGGCCCTAAGTCTCTTCAATTCTGTGAAGGCTGAGAGAGGCGAGGAAGCTGCAGAAGAAAAGTTGGAAGCTAGCAGAAGTGGGTTCATGAGGTTTAAGGAAAGAAGCTGTCTCTATACCATAGAAATGCAAGGGGAAGCAGCAAGTGTTGATGGAGGAGCTTCAGCAAGTTATCCAGAAGATCTAGCTAAGACCATTGATGAAGGTGGCTACACTAAACAACAGATTTTCAATGTAGATGAAACAGCCTTCTGTTGGAAGAAGATGCCATCTAGGACTTTCACAGCCAGAGAGAAGTCAATGCCTGGCTTCAAATCTTCAAAGGACAGGTTGACTCTCTTACTAGGAGTTAGTATAGCTGGTGACTTTAAGATGAAATTAGTACTCATTTGTCATTCCCCAAACCTAGGGCCCTTAATAATTATACTAAATTTACTCTACCCAGACTCTATAATTGGGACAACAAAGCCTGAATGACAACACATCTGTTTACACATGTTTTACTGAATATTTTAGGCTCATATTGAGACCTACTGCTCAGAAAAAAAAGATCTCTTTCAAATATTACTGCTTATTATCAATGCACATAGTCACTCAAGAGCTCTGATGGAGATGAACAAGATTAATGTTGTTTCATGCCTGCTAACACAACATACATTCTGCAGCTCATGACTCAAGAAGTAATTTTGACATTCAAGTGTTACTCTTAAGGAAACACAGTTTGTAAGGCTACAGCTGCCATAAATAGTGATTCCTCTAATGGAACTGGGGTAAACAAATTGAAAGTCTTCAGGAAAAAATTTCACCATTCTACAGACCATTAAGAACATTTGTGATTCGTGGGAGGAGGTCAAAATATCAACATTAATGGGAGTCTGGAACAAGGAGATTCCAAACTTTGAGAGGCAACTTTAGATCAATAGATGACTTTAAGGGGTTCAAGACTTCAGTGGAGGAAGTAACTGCAGATGTACTGGAGATAGGAAAAGAACTAGATTTAGAGGCAGAGCCTAAAGTGTGACTATATTGTTGCAATCTCATGATATAACTTGAACGGATGAGGAGCTGCTTCTTATGGATGAGCAAAGAAAGTGGTTTTCTGAGATGGAGACTACTCCTGATGCAGATGCTGTGAATACTGTTGAAATGACAACAAATGACTTGAAATATTACAGAAACTTAGTTTGTAAAGCGGTGGCAAATTTGAGATGATTGACTCCAAATTTGAGAGAAGTTCCACTGTGGGCAATGCTATAAAATAGCATCACATTTGATAGCACTGCAGAGAAGAGAATAGCTTATCAAGGTGGCAAACTTCAATGTTTTCTTGTCATAAGAAATTGCCACAGCCACCAAAACCTTACCCCACCACCACCCTCATCAGTCAGCAGTCACCAACATTGAAGCAAGACCTTCTACCAGCAAAAAGTTTAAGACTTGCTGAAGGCTTAGATAATCATAAGCATTTTTTTTAGCAAGAAAGTATTTTCAATTAAGATATGTACATTGATTTTGTAGACATAATGCTATTGCATATTTAATAGACTATAGTGAGGTATAGATGTAGCTTTTATATGCATTGAGAAACAAATTCATGTGACTTGCCTTATTGTGATATTTGCTTTATAGCAGCAGTCTGGAACAGAACACACAGTATCTCTGAAGTGTCTGTATTTCCTCAGTTAATGTTTTGGCCACTGATGAGATTTTATATTCCGATGATCCAGCAGGCATCGCTCCTTGTTTCAGAAACTACACAAAATTGGAAACAGAATCAACCAGGCAAAAGATGACTAAAATCTGCAGAGGGAAGTATGGCTGGTAAGATTAGAGAGGACCTAAACCATACAATATATCACAAGGTGCACTTCAAGGGTGTAATTAAGATGACTCTCTACATAGGTGATTCTTAGCCCAGATCATCTAGGAAACTGAAACAAATACCAGTGCTCAATCAACGGCCAGAGATTTCTACTGAATTACTCTGGGAGGTGGGCACACAGACATCTTAGCCAGTTTATCTCCACATAGTGGTAATAACACATGATGAAAATATGGTGGAAATAGTAATAGGTCCAGAAGTGGACTAAGTCCTCCTCTAAATCCCCACACCAGGCCCTGTAATGCATTCCAGGATATCCAGAATCAAGATCTCATGAAGAACAACCAATCCATCTCAGTCCCATATTGCCATGCTGACAACTGAAGAGAGAATCTATAAAGCCTTAGCTAATTGCATTCTAAGTGCCAAAGATGGTTTAGTTCATAACCACCATCCAGGTGTCAATTTTCCTTGTTCTGTGGCAGGGCTGCTAGGTAAAGTGGCCTGGGTCTCTAAAACTAAAGATTCTTCAATTTTCTCAAAGCTCAGATGTAAGAAGTAGAGGAGATAGGAGCATTGATGGAACCAGGAACCACTTGCTGGACATGCTGAAAAAGATGGTCAGAGTAGAGCCTAGTATAAGATCATTCCAGAGACAACACCAGAATTTGTACATGGTGGGAATGGGAATAGTCCTTCAAAAACTGTCTTAATGTTATAATTGCATAGCAAAAAACACTCCCTAGACAAAGCTTTTTTTGCAATACAAGAAATTATGGAGGCATGAGAGGCTGATACAGATTATGGGGTAAACCACACATCTGAGCCCTCTATTTGTGATGCCTTGTGATGGCTTCAGAATTGGCTTTCTGTAAATGCAATGCTTGAACCCAAAGGTCAGCAACAGAGGGAAAGGATGGATCCTCTAGTATGGTCACTGCCACAAGCCTTGAAGTGATGCTTTTGGGATAAACAGCAGTCGTCTAACCAGAGGGTTATAGTTCTTAGAGTTTATTTCTTTATGTTTACCAACACAATCACCCCTCAAGGTGTTGGGTTAGTATTGTTTTCAGAAAGTGCCACCTCATGGACTCAGAATCCTCATCCTCTACTTTTTCCTCATTGTCTACTTTGATAGCTAATTTTTTGACCCTGAAAGCATCAAAATTTTTATTATCCTTATCTACAGGACAACTTGCCATGTACTTGCTCCTCCAAGGGAGACTAACTCCAGGGATTCCATGGTAATTTTCTGTCTTAATATTTAGAGTTGCCACTTATCACTCTAAAGTTAAGAGAAAATATGGATACATAGATTTATTTACATTTGAGTTCTGAGCAATTCCATAATTTGCATTTAATCCCCTGAGCACCTTCAGATAGAGGTTTACATACACAGTAGGGATAATTAACTTTTATAAATGTAGATGCTTTAATATTTAAACTTAAAAGAATACATCTAATGAGGACAACACTTTAAATCAGTGTTTCCCAAACTGTTCTGCAGAACTGGGAACAAACAGTATGCCACACACACATAACAAACAGTTAACACACACATGCACACAGGATTTACTGGTGTGGGAAATGCTGTCTTAAACAAATGTAAACTGGCTTATTTACTCTAAGATTGCAAAAGTTTGTGCTAATTAACATTAGGAGGATATATTTTAACACACTTTTCAAATGTATTCAACCAATCAATCCATTTTGAATGATCATGAGATGAGACTAGTGTTTTTTAAAAAGAACTTCAGAAAATGTGTTCAACATAACGAACTGGGAAGCCACGAACTTCTGAATCCCAGACACAGTTCTCATTCCAACTCCATCACTTTCCCAGCTGCATGACCATAGTCAAACCACTTGATTTCTTGAGTAGAAACAGGATAAATAAAATCTGTCTCACAAAGTTGCTCAGAGATTAAAAGAGATGAATTATGTAAAGACCTTGGAACACAGAGGTCCTCAAGATATTAATAAATCTGTATTCCCTCCCTCCCTTTACTTCCTAGTCTCGTCATGCACATGCATGTGTATTTATTACTCTAATCAGGTTTCCCATATGGATCTTGTTCTTATTTCACTTAATAATTTACTGTGAATATGCATCTGTATGGACAAAGTGCATATGACTTAATAAACCAGCTAGTATCCCATGGTATCAAACATGAGTTTCACTGGACAATCGCTTATTATTGGACATTTGAATTCTTTTCAAATTTTCCTTTTTTAAACAGCTTTGTACGAACAGCTTGGAACAAATTACTTGTTTGCTTTAAGATTATCTTCTGGGAATACATTCCCCAAAGTGAAATTACTAGGTCAAAGGAAAAAAAAACATTATATAGCTTTTTGTTACAAATAGCTTTGCAGAAAATTTGAATCAATTTACAATGGCATTTAAAATATATGCCTACCTTTTTACCGTAACCTGTCACCAATGGATTCTTATAGCTTTTGCTCATTTAATGGATATGTAATGATATCTTAACTTTTTCTTAAGGCAATTTTATTAATTCTGTGGATTTTTTAGTATGCTACTTTAATATCTTATTTTTGTATGTTCAACCTGTTTCTTTTACTCCTTTGGTATTTATTGACTACCATCTGAATTTTATGACTATGGAACCTACAGACAACCTTATGCTTTAGGGCAAATATTGTAACATATAATAACTGCTTCTTTAGGACAACTAGCAAGCTTTGTCATGTGACTCCCATCCTTCTCTGTCCCACCACTTCCCCTTGCCCATCCCACTCTCTGAGGTTGATAGAGCTTCATGGATCTTACATTTTTTTAGTACAAGAATGATACTACAGAATATCCAGTGCTTAAATCTCTGTTATGGCTGGCCAAGAGTGTTTGTGATGTCAAAATTTCTTTTAAAATCCAGAAGAGTCATGATCCCCAAACTTACATCAATAATTCACAACTATGGGTATGCTGTTAAATGAAACTCTGATAATTTAAACATTAACATGGAGAGGGACTACACTAAATTCTGTAAGATAATTCCAAAGGACTATCTATTTCCACATATTGTCAAGCTCTGCCTATGGTATGTTTTCCCCATTTCCGAGGCAACTTGACTTCTACCTGCCCTATTCTTTAGGAGCAATCCTGACTGTAGACAACAGGTTCCATTTCATAGCTAAGTTACTGGTCTTACTCATCCAGTCTTGATCTGTAATTTCAGTATTGATTATTAGTCTATCTGCCTGAAACCAAAAGATTAAGGGCCCCTATTTGCCCCTCTCAGGAATAGTTGACTATTCCTCAAAACTGAAGCGTATTAGTGGGGATAGTGTTGGTCTTTAACCTGTTGGCTGACTATAGATACTGACTTCCTAACTCTCTTAAGCCTTAGCAACTATGATGTTACCTTATTATTTACTAACAGATGAAAAGCTAGGTGAATCATAATCCAAAATCTGAGGCTCTACCATTGTTTTCCAGAGAAAAAAGTGTGTGTTATTTACATGGCACACAGAAAAGCTCTCTCTTGCCAAGGTGCACAAAATAAGGACTCTCATATGCATATGCACAGCTCAAATACTGCCTTCTTTAGGTTGGGGAAACATGCATGCTTTGTAAAGGAACAGGCATGTTAAGGACTGTATACTGAAAGAAAAGAGGCAAGAGAAAGAACAATGATGGTAATAACCAGCAATCATTTGCAGAAACACTTCACTAGATGTCACCCCGCACTGAAGTCAAGATTAATGTTTTTCTGACAGAACACTAGCAGGAAGGTGCTGTTTCCTGCCAAAGACTCTTACTTCTCTCTGAGCTTAAATTGGTGGAATATCTGTGTGCAGAAAATGATTCCAAGTCATAAAGCTAACTTTTGGCTTTAAGAAAAGGATTTCAATGTTCATGAAGTTTTGACATTTGAGCAATGATGTATTATGCTAAATTATTAAGTAATTTTATATAATGCATACTTATTATATAAAACTTTGAAAATGCAAATAGGCATAAGGAAATTTTTAAAAATTACCTTATCTCCATAAATAAAAATTTCAACATTTCAATATATTCTTCTAGAACTTTCTCTACACACACACACACACACACACACACACACACACAAACGTTAACTTATATGTACTCTTTCAATGTCAATAAATAGGTTTTTACTGTGAATATACAATGCCATTTACATGGCACAATAGTGTTCTAGTATTTGTTCACCAGTTTCATACAATTATTGATCCTAGAAGCTTGAGATTCTACTGTGTTGAAAAAAGATGTGAGCCTTAATGCACTTTACTCATGTGTTTTATATTGATGTGTATGGCATCATCAAGTCTTACTTCAACCATTTTAGCATTTTCCTTTGAAGTTATCATGCAGATCTTAAAAACAATCTGATAGTAAGCTGTCTATATCCACGTACTTAATTTAAAAAATCTCTTGTTTACTACTAAGATTTTAATTCTAGGGAAGAAAAATGCTTGCTTGGGGTGAGTGAGCATTCACTCTGAGGAAGCAAGATATGACCCTGGATCTTATCTGACTGTAGGTGGGATTGGTCAGTGGGGGAAATCTATGGACAGGTTTTGTGTGTATGTCTTTTACTGGGAAAAGACTCATTCTACATGGTTTTTCAAAGGGATTAGTGAAATATTTTTAAGAGCCAGATGTTTCTGTGTTAAATTCCTAATGGGGTTAATTCACACAAATTACCGAATTTCTCTGATCTCATTTTCCCACCTGTAAATGTGAGGTCGTAATACCTATCTTGAAGTGTCATTGGAATTAAATGAGCTCATGCCTTTAAAGTTCTTGTTCATAAATGCACCAGGAGTTTATTTCTTATTCTATAAATGCATCTTTCCCTTTTTCAGAAATATAATTCATGATCACTCCCATCAGTTGAGTGAATGAGTAAATAATACACGATTAACTCTGGAAAATGCTTAAACATATTTTATCTAACTGCACAGCAATGAGTAAACAATACTGCTGCTGTTATTTCTATGTGGCTTTTATCAATATGCTTTTGATCTGTTTGCTATAAGCACTATACATCCTTATGATTTTTCTCTTTCTCTGACATTTTTTCCCTCTGTCTTTTAATTCTTTCCTACTTGGCAACCTAATGAAATCATTAAGACCATCATGAAATAGGTCCTATTGGGTTATAAATATATCATTTCCATTTCTATTGATATTTGCCATGCGTTTGTGGAATCCGTTGTTTGGGTTTTGAAAGAAAATAATGAGGTGATCACTCTGACAGCTCACCCTCCACACTGTACGATTGCTTGAGTAACGATAGGAAAGTGGTTGCTTTTCTTTGACAAAGCTTTTTTTATTATCTGGCCCAGTTCAGCCTCATAGCTTTAGTTGCAACTACTCAGAAACTGAAGGAATAAAGTAAGAAAACTTCCTCTATCCCTTCTCACTAGAACACGCATACATCTTTTTAATATTTTCCCAGAGTGGATATTGTGTTTAAGGAATGCTGTATTGATCTTTTGTAGTATCTTTATCAGAAATAGTCTCTTTCGCAGGCATGCTATTAAATAGAAAACACACCACTGATCTTGACTTAGCACAGAAATAAATGAATAAAATGTGTGTGCTTGGGGATGGGGTATGTACATGTACTTGATTTTATGTATATAAAATTCAATTGCTTCTCAAAATTTATCCACCTTATAAAAATAATAAGGGAAAAAACTCGGCGAGGTGGGAATTGGCTAATCTCTATTTGCCAGCCTTGCTATTATACAATTCCTTCCTTCCTTCCTTCCTTCCTTCCTTCCTTCCTTCCTTTCCTTCCTTCCTTCCTTTCTTTCTTCCTTCTCCCCCACCCTCCCCCCATTCCTTTCTTTCCTTCTTTCTTACTTTTCCCCCCAGGTTGGTTTCTTTGAATGTTTCCAGAAGAAGTTATTAGGTGGCAACTTTCATCTAAGCCTTCAGTGCTCAGCATTTCTGCTTTTACCTTGGGCACTGTGCACATTGTGGCACCCAAGCTGTTGTACTATTTTAAGCTTTACTTGCTCAAACTGCTTTGCTGTTCACTACTGCTGCAACATCAAGACCTAAAAATTTTAAAGAGAGGTCAACACAACCACATTGTTCCTTTATTCGGTGTTGTTTATGGAGTGTTTAATATGCACCAGTTACTACTTTTGTGATGAAATGCTCATTTCTATTATTAAAGTCTTACTATTAAGTGTATTTATTCTCACTTCTGGAAGAAGAAAATCTTTTTTCATACTATAGTATTATATATTATATTTAATATATACCCTAAAATAAATTTTCTGCTCATTGCATCAGGCATGAAACAAACCATTACCACATGCTAACAATATTTCTACAGTGGAGGTGATACCAAGGACAGTAGCGGCAGAGGGAAAGGAGACCCTGAAGCTCAGTGTTTCTGAAAGAAAGGGGAAAGGCTTCAGAGTCCTATCTGAATTTCTGCAGCTAAGTGGAATTTTGCCAAGCTTTTCAGTGTAAAGGACTAGAAGAAAGAAAATGTATGAACACACGGGAGTGAGAGAGCATCACGTAATTACAAAGTAATAATGAGTTTAGAATTTCAGAAAACAAAGTTGTGGCAGGTGATAAGGCAGGGAAGGCATGCAGCTTTTGAGACATCCAGAGGGAAGTGCCTAGTTTGGCAATTTTTGAAAAGCAATCTAATTTCACAGAGGTAGATCAGATGACCCATCATAACCAACAGAGGAACCAGTCTGGGTTAAGTCATGTGACTATTTCTTAAGAATGGAAAGTTATTTGACTTTCATGTGAGAAATTACACAAAAATATTGTGATTGATATTGTTTAAGGGGAACGCACGTTGTTGAGACCATTCAAACTATTTTTATGGAAATTAGTAGTCAGGAAAAACACACAAAAAAGGAGATAATCAATATGTATGTACAGAGATTTGGCTCCAGATAAACACCCATATGATAACATCAGGTCTACTCAGCACATTAGTGAAATTTGGCAAGATTAATGATTTTCTTAGCAACCTCCCCAGGAAATGAAGTTTGGCTGATGCAGTGCCATCTTAGGAAAGGCCAGATCTGCATATTATTAACATTTGTGTTGGTGGGTTCCCAAAAGTGGGTGTAGTTTGACCCAAAATGAGTGTTAGAATAAAAACCCCACTTGCTATAAGAGTGTGAAACCATCTGAGGGAAGCCAAAAATTAGACATTTCTTCAAGCACAAATGGCTGGTGTCAAAACTAGTTGCAACAGTGCTATGTTCAGCAGCTGCGCCTGCACGGTAACTAGGGAGCTATCTGGCTATGAATGTTTGTTTCACACATCAGAATTTAAGGGAGAGGGTAGAATACACTGGGCAACACCTCATGAAAATAAGGTGGGGTTTTCTTTCTCTCTCCATAACTTGAGTCTGAAGACTTAAAACGGGAGCAAACCATGATATAATCGTGTTTTCATCTTTGGAAAAACACGTATTTTTCTATCCTACCAATGACATTTTAAAAAGAAACATGCCTATTTCGTCATTGCCCATTCCTACTTCATAGCTATCTTAGATTTCCTTTTTAAGCCATCTTTCCTAGAGACCAAGATTGGCCCAAGACCAATTTGTTTACTCTGTGCCAAAAAGTTATTTCTCATTTCTCGGGCCCAATTATCTAGAAAGCTTATAAAATGTCTACCTTGGAAAGCCCAAGAAATAAAAATTTTAAAAATAAAGTTTCTCAGAGGAACTCACAGAATGTTCAATCCAAGATTCTTTTCTGGTTGGAGAAGGGTGCACAGATAGGAATCATAAAAAAGAAAAATGAGGAGCATTGTCTGCTTTGCAACCCTAGGTGTATTTATTTTGTCAGTTCCCTCTTGGTGTGAGCCTGGTGTATTAAAAGGAAGAGATCTAGAGGCGAGGATCTCCTACAGCCTTCTTACACAACACCACCACAGTTATTTGGGTAACTTTAAGGAAAGGTCTAGAAGTTAGAGGCAGACCAAGGACTCCTTTTGCAGCTGCTTGAGCCAGATGAGTATGTCAAAAGCAAAGAGGACCAACAGGTGAGTCTGGGCTCCATATAAGGTGGAAGTCCAGGAGACTGGTAACCACTGAAGACTTAGCTTATTTATATGCCCAGCTATCAGACGAGGCATAGAATTGCTAACCTTCCTTTATGATTCCTATTCTCTTCCCTCATTATTGAGTGTTGTCTATCTGTAGGTATTTTCAAGTGACCTGGGCTCAAGTTAGACTTTGTAGAAATATTGAATAAGATTTATTTATCCTTTAACAGTTTGGAAATATCTCATATAGATAAACTTGCCATCCAGGCTCAAAGAAAAACCCAAGGCTTTTGCAAGCCAGGTAAAGACAACTTTGCTTTTGAGGCAAAAATCAGCTAAAACTAAATCATACAGAAACCCTAACAAAGCATGAGAGGAAAAATTTACCTTGGCAAAATTTTTATTTTCCCAGGTATAAATGCTTACCTATGCAATTGTGTACTTGGACCTGTAGATAAATACCCCACAACTCTGAAGGTCTGAAAGTGGAAACATAAGAGAGAGCTCTTGAACATCTCTTTCTGGGGCCAAAGCTGTGTTGCCAAAGAGAAAAAAAAAAACTTACAGGAAAATTATAGCGTTTGCATTTGATAGAATAGGAAAGAAGACAAAAAAAAAAGTAAGTGCCATATTACATCCATATTGCATGTGAAATATTTTAAAATACATAATTCTTTTCAACATGCTAAAAGGGATATTATCTAAAAGAATTTAATACACATATATTGTATTTTATGTATATGAACTGCCTATGAAAATAGTATATCTTCTTAGCAGCAGTTTCAGAAACTAAACTTAAATTATATATTGAAAAGCTGCAAATAAAATTAAAACATTTCAGAACTTTTAGTAGTTGCAGGAATTACTACCAGATCTAATTCCTAAATTTATCAATGTATTTTTTATAATAAATAGATTTTCATACATTTAGCAGTATTTTATTGTGTAAAAGACAGATTTGAGTTCAAACCTTGACTTTTTCTCATAAAAAATGGAGGTGCTAGTAAAAAATGAAGACATTTTACTGTTAAAGTAAAATTCTATAAATACTATAGGTAGATAGGTAGCTAAGTTCCTGGCAGAAACTTGGTATGCAATACAAGGAACTTATTGCTAGTACTAAACTTAGCATATAGTATGAAGGATTAGGGCATTGAGAAATGAATACAATTTCATTACTATCATCAGCATAAAATATAGGGTAACAGGCTTAAAATCTTGTCTTCTTGATGGGAAAAGGATAATATCATTTAACATATTAACAGCAATATTTATTATTATTATCATATCTTTTATATCTGTTTTGGTTATAAAATTATTTCTCATATTGTCTCTTAAGATCAAACTATTTTTCATATTGTCTCTTAAGATCATTTGCCTCTTGAGCCAAACTCTCAGTTCCAGACACAATGCAGTAGCTTGCAGCAGATGATGTATCTATCTCCTGAGAATAACCAGGAAGAAACAGTTTTTAAAAATTTCTTTTTTATTTTTTTTAGTTCTGAGGAAATTGGAGAGCTGTCAAGGCAGCCAGGACTTGTGGAACCAGATCCTGGAGAAAAGAGGAGACTGAATTGAGCTGCAATTGAGTTCAGCCCAACTTTCTATGCACCACTTCTCCCCTTGGGACATCTGCTGACTCTCAGCACAGGACAAGGATCTGGAAAGCCTGGCAGGAAACAGTTCTTAATCCACAAACCAAAGTTGCCAGAAAGAGATTTTAAAACCACGGTGACTAAGATGTACCTTAAAATAGATGAAAAGATAAAGAATTTTAATATAAAATTGCAACCTATAAAAGAAAAGCAAATAAAAATTTTAGAATTAAAAAAGCATACTAAGTTTGAAAACTCAATAAATGAGTTTAGTAACAGACTGGATATAGCTAAACAGAGAATTAATAGGGTGGAAGAAAAGTTAGAAGAAAATATCCAAACTAAAGTAAAGGGAAAAAATGATGGAAGATATACATAAGCAGAGAGTCAATACATATGACATAGTGAAATGGTCTAACATATACGAAACTGAAGCATCAAAAGTGGAAGACAGAAAATGAGAAGAGAGAGAATATTCAAAGACAAAGAACTTTCCAAAGCTGATGAAAGAAACCAAAGATTTGAGGAGCACTACAATCCCAAACAAGATAAATAGCACAAATTAATAAATAAAAAATAAATCACAGTAAAACTGCTTAAAATGAAAAATTAAGAATACTGAAAGAAAGGATACTAAATTTATCATCAGATGACCTGCACCCATAGAAATATCAAAGAAATTTCTTTAGGCAACAGGAAAATGATTTCATGCAATAACATAAAACTGAAAAAAGAACAATACAAATTATAAATATGTGCCTACACTAAATGGATATACACTGTTTAAAAAATAGTAAATTCCTATGAGGTTTAAATGTATGAAAAACTAAAATTAAAATCCATCACAACAGTAGGACAAAAAACTTAGAAAAAGATAAGTAATTCTTACATTTTTGGGAAAAGGATAAAAGTACTTATTTATATTAAACTTTAATAAATGTTGGCTGTAGACTAATCACTATTTAAGTGGTAAAAGAATGTGTAAAGGAGAAAATGGAATAATAAAAATGCTTGAGCCAGGCACAGTGGCTCATACCTATAATTCCAGCAATTTGGGAGGCCAAGGTGGGAGGATCACTGGAGCCCAGGAGTTCAAGATCTGCCTGGACAACATGACAAAACCCCATCTCCACAAAAAATACAAAAATTAGTTGGACATAGTGGTGCACGCCTGTAGTTCCAGTTACTCAGGAGGCTGAAGTGGGAGGATCATTTGAGCCCCAGCGGCAGAGGCTGCAGTGAGTTGAGATTGCAACACTGCACTCTAGGCTGGATGACAGAAAACATTTTTGTAATGTTTTATTTTTTTTTCCTGCCTCGGAAAAAAAAAAAAAAAAGCAAAACAACAAACACAAAAAAACAAAGGAAACAAAATATATCCTCCATCCAGTCTAATTAAAATCCTAGCATATATTTTACCTTTTTCAGGAAAACATCCACAACATACTCTGTTGTCAAGTTTGTGATGAAACAAATACCCTCAAACATGGTTGCTGGTGGTCATACGAAAGCACAGAACCTCGTAAATAAGGAATTAGTAAATTCCAACAAAATTGAGTATGCATATACTCTTTAGCCTATCGTATCTCATTCTTTCAAAAGTGGCGAAGAAAGGGAAAAATAAGATTTATTCTCTTTCCCCTATGAATTATTAACTCAGAATAAACAAAAAATGAACAAAGTTTCTCAATTTGCTATTAAATGTACAAGGAATAATAAGATTTGGTTATCATTAATTTTCAGCTTCAGATAAAATTATAGATGTGTTATGATTATGAATACCTAACATCATAAAAAGAAAATCAACCCAAACTTGTACTAACACTACATACACAATCTAGGAATAAAGTGTGAAGGTAACCAAACATCTAGATTTAAGTACCAGAGGAACATATTAAATAACACATTGGGAAAGCAATCAGCAAAATTGAGACCACGGAAAACTCTACAGAGTAAAGGCTATGGCTTCATCAACAAATAAATTACAGCAGGAGAGAAAGAGAGAGAGAAAGGGAGGTGGGTCAGGGCAACCTGTAGGTTAAAAGAGACCATTTGCAGTGTGCTATGTATGAATGGACTTTCTTTGGATGCTGATTTCAACAAAAATCTAGAAAACACTCATGAGACATTTGGAGAAATGTGAACACCAACTGTGTATTTTTTATATGGAATAAAGGTATTTTTAGAAGTTTCCTTGTCTTTTAGATAATTTTTAAAATTTTTTTCAGATTCAGGGGTATGTTTTTAGGCTTGTTATAAGGGTGTGTTGCATAATGCTGGAGTTTGGCTTCTATTGAACCCATTACCTGAATAGTGAAAATAGTGCCCTACCCAATATGTATTTTTTCAACCCCTTGCCCCTCTCCCTTTCTCCCCACTTTTGGAGTTCCCTGTATTTATTGATTCCATCTTAGTGCCCATATGTACCCATTGTTTAGTGCCCACTTTTAAATGAGAACATGTGGTAGTTGATTTTCTGTTTCCACATCAATTCACTTTAATTCACTTAGGATAATGGCCTCCAGCTGCATCCATGTTGCTGCAAAGGACATGATTTCATTCTTATTTATGGCTGCATAGTATTCCATGATGTATATCTACTGCATCTTCTTTATCCAATTTATGGTTGATGGGCACTTAGGTTAATTCCATGACTTTGCCATTGTGAATAGTGCTGCAATAAACATATGAGTATAGCTGTCTTTTTGATAGGACAATTTCTTTTCCTTTGGGTATATAGCCAGTAGTGGGATTGCTGGGTCAAATGGCAGTTCAATTCCAATTCTTTGAGAAATCTACATACTGTTTTTTTATAGGGATTGAACTAATTTACATTCCCACCAACAGTGTATAAGCATTCCCTTTTGTCTGCATCCTCACGAACATCTATTATTTTTTTACTTTTTAATAATAGCCATTCTGACTGGTGTGAGATAGTATCTCATTGTGGTTTTAGTGTGCATTTCTCTGAAGATTAGTGATAAGCATTTTCTCATGTTGGCCACTTGTATATCTTCTTTTAAGAAGTGTCTGTTTATGTCCTTTGCCCACTTTTTAGTGAGTTTTTTTCTTATTGATTTAAGTTCTTTATAGATTCTAGATAGTAGTCCTTTGTCAGATGCATAGTTTGAAAATATCTTCTCCCATTATGTAGGTTGTTTGTTTAATCTGTTGATTTTTTTTTTTTTTTTGCTATGCAGAATATCTTAAGTAAGTCTCAATTGTCAATTTTTGTTTTTGATGCATTTGCTTCTAAGGGCTTAGTCATAAATTTTTTGCCAAAATTCTTGCCCAAATTCTGGGCATTTCCAATGTCCAGAAGAGGTTTACTTCTAGAATTTTTTTTAACAGTCTGAGGCCTTAATTTAAGTCTTTAATCCATCTTGTTAATTTTTGTTTATGGTGAGAGGTAGAGGTACAGTTTCATTCTTCTGCATATGGCTAGCCAGCTTTCCCAGCACAATTTATTGAGTGGGGTGTCCTTTCCCCATTGTTTCTTTTTGTCAACTTTGTTGAAGATCAGTTGATTGTAGATGTGCAGCTTTATTTCTGTGTTCTCTATTCTGTTACATTGATCTCTGTGTCTATTTTTGTACTAGTACCATGCTGATTTGGTTACTACAGCCTTGTAGTATCGTTTAAAGTCAGGCAATGTAATACCTCTGGTTTTGTTCTTTTTGCTTAGGATTGCTTTGGCTATTTGGGCTTTTTCGTGGCTCCATGTGAATTTTAGAATACTTTTTTGTAACTCTGTGAAAGATGACATTGGTAATTTGATAGGAATTCCATTGAATCTGTAGATTGCTTTGGGCAGAACAGTCATTTTAATGACATTGATTCTTCTAATCTATGAATATGGAGTGTTTTTCCATTTGTTTGTGTTATCTATGATTTCTTTTATCAGTTATTTTTTCTGGTTCTTTTAAATAATGAATATTTATGGGTAAAATAATATGAAGCCCATAGTGTGCTTTAATATAATGGGGTAGAAGTGGATAGGGTCTGAAGGAAACAACAACAATCATGGGTTATTACTGAAACTTGGTGAAGTACACATGGAAATTATTGTATCTATTCTTTCTAAATTTGTATTTGTTTAAAATTATCATTAATAAACAGTTAAAATGTAATGTCCTTTACCTTATAAAAATACATATTTCTGAGACAGAAACTTCATGATTTTTATTTCGCGGGTGTGAGGTAAGAACCAGGAGTTTGATTTTAGCTGGGGTCCCAAATGTTTCTCATGTACATTATAAAAAATATATAGTTTTATGACTCTCCAGCACTTTAATTATAACATATGATTATATTATAAAATAATAATTGACATATTGATTTTTCATAATATTAAAGTGTATTTTTATCTTCACAATTAGACAATTGACCTTATGTTATTTTCTCTATTATTGCACTAGTACCAGTTCTTTACCATGATAGACATTCAAGCATTTATTTCTCTTGAAGTGAGTGTATATTTCTCAGTCCAGAAGAGTCTTCTCTGAAATCCACAAAACAAAGGTGAGATGCTAATTTTTCCTAAAACACACAAGACAAAGCTAATGATATATACCTCTCATAGATCAACTGCTGTTTTGCTTCAAACACTTAAATATCACAAAACACACCATATTTGTTTATTCATTTGTAAGCTTAAGAGCTTATTATTATTATCATTAGAGATAGAGTCTTGCCCTGTTGCCTGTTGCTCAGGCTGAAGTGCCTGTGCCACCATGCCTAAGTTTTTTTTGTTTTTGTTTTTGTTTTTGTTTTTTAGTAGAAACAAGGTCTCTCTATGTTGCCCAGCCTGGTCTCGAATTCCAAGGGATCCTTCTGCCTCTTCTTCCTGAAATGCTGTGATTACGGGTGTGAGCCACTATGCCTGGCCAAGAGTTTATCCCTAATCCTCTGCTTTAAATAAATTTACAACTGAAAACTGGACTTTATTAGAAAATAATAAATTAATTAATAATGGTAATGATAAATACCTCATAGCATCTGCTTTGGCAAGATCAGAACTTAAAATCTTGTTATTTTTTTTCCCCCAAATGAAGATAGGAAGAAAAACTAGTAGGATGAAAAGGCTTCAAAATATGCATGTAAGAGTGGTAAGAGAAGGACAGAAAAATCAGTCCAGACATTTCGTTACTCACCATGAATTGCTTTTTTTCTTACAGAGTCTCACTCAGTCATCCAGGCTGGAGTGCAGTGGCGCAATCTCGGCTCACTGCAAACTCTGCCTCCCGGGTTCAAGTGATTATTCTGCCTCGGCCTCCCAAGTAGCTGGGACTACAGGCGCGTGCCACCACACCAGGTGAATTTTTTTATTTTTAGCAGAGTTCGGGTTTCACCATGTTGGCCAGGCTGGCCTTGAACTCATGACCTCGAGTGATTCACCCTCCTTGGCTTTCTAAAGTGCTGGGATTACAGGCATGAGCCACTGTGCCTGGCCCATGGATTGCTTTAAGAAGTCAATTTGAGGTCTGCTGTGTACCAGAGCTACACCATAAACCACCTGCTGCTTTCCCTCACTTTAGGAAAGAGAAAAACTAAAAACCATTCTTCAGAATTTAATGAAACATAGAAATACCTATAAACTAATCAAGAGTGCTTTTAAAAATTATATTAGGATTCTTAGTTTTTAAGGCCATTTTGGTGGTTGTGAAGGAGAAAATTCACCTGAATAATTTTTACTTACCAAGTCCGTCAGAACACCTGCTTCCATTTCGAATATTTGAATTTTATAGACATCTTTGGCCAAACCTCACACTGTATACCATGGAAAAATTTTCCATGTTTTTTTTGCTGTTTTGCAAATAAAACTCTTCTGTTTGCAATGTGCAGCTGGATATACCATTTATTTTCTTCTTGTATGGATTAAACAGAACAAATAAGCTTAAATATTTCATTTATACAATAGCATTCTTAATTATGTTGTCATTTGTTTTATTTCCAAAAATTCTTATTTAAATATATTTTTATACATTCTTTGAAGTAAAGTATTTGACCTCACTTTTGTCTTTAATATAAATAAATTTAAATGGCTACAATTTCTTGCTATTATCATCCCAAATTTGTTACATAATTATCTATTTATTGAAAAGGAAAGAGTGCCTACCCATAATACTGTCTGGGAGAAATAGCTCCATAGGGGTTATGGCTCAGATCGACTTGGAGATAATGAAATGACGAAGCAGCTTTCATTTCTATCATTCACTCTGGGATGACTACAGAAGAACAGGATGTGTAGTCCTGTAGTACCCATCATAAAGATTTACACAAATTGTTCCTTTCTTCCAGAGTGCTGTTACTTTCCTCAGTGTTACATACTGTCATTAAATTCTCCACCCTCACTATTACAGCTTCCATTACCACCCACATGGCACTACGGCTTTATCCATGGGTGGCAGATGTTATCACCATATGTCATCCGATCAATTTTCCATTCAAGGGTAATGTAATGTTTGGGGGAAAGCCAACTCACACTTTAGTAAAGGCTGTCTCTGTAGTCTTCACCAGCCATAAATGCAAGCATCCTTTCAACTTATTGGCTCTGTTACCTAACCAAAAATCAGCAGGGATCTTAGAGGCTCATTGCATGTTTCCATGTTAGTTGGGCTCTCTCTCACTATCACCTGCCAAATTGTTTCCTATTAAGGAGTTTGGCATTATTTTGTTTTCCTCTACTTTTATTTATCTCAGAATATTCTGGACAGAGCATCATTAGATAGACGAGTACCAAAGGAAAGTATCAGTCTCAGGTCTGGTGTATGAGGCTGTTACTGCTTGTTTATTTCTAAGATCTATAGCTCATCTCCTTGCTCCAGGAGCTGGCATTACTCAGAGAGTTTGAAATTCTTATTCAATATAATTCTAAGAGGCAGCCAAAGTAAAGACAATATCAATTTATCTGTACAGTTCTGATTTACTCACGTGCTCTCTCTCTCTCTCTCAATCCTCTTTGCTTTCTTCTTTTCTCTCCATTTCCTTCCAACTCCATTCTTACTCTTGCTGTGGATTTGTATCTTTTTCCAGTAGATGTTATTGAACATCTATTATTTGCCAGTCCCTACCTTATGCTCTGCATATTTAAGTATTAAATAAAGTATAATTCATGTATGATTTCCAAACCTTGAAGATAAAACTGAAATTATTTTGAAACTAGTCTAGTCTAATCACTGCATTTCCTATCCATGTTGGGCAATTAAAATGTGGAATGTTAGGGAGATGAGAAAGTAGAAACAATTATGTATTTTTATTGTTTATGAGATTGCCTACGTTTCAAGTGCTCAAGCTGCCTGCAATTTGGTGAAGAAACTTCTGTTTACATTAGTAAAATTTAAATTTGCATTTAAATTTTTAAAACTTGGGTTGTGTCCTTTTTCCATTTTTGTCTTACCAGTTTCAAATCTAAATCTCATGGTCAAATTCATTCAAAACCCCTTAATTCCAATGATCACTTGGTTTGTCTTTCTTTAGAGGTTTTCCTGTCATTATGTATCTTTCTTGACATGTGATAACCAATAATTACTATGGCATTTCAGGTGTGGAAAATCTACATTTTTATATAAAATCAGCCTATTCCTATAAAATTTGCATTAATACCTTTCCAGAAGACAAGTTGGCTGGGGGGATATTTTTGGACAATTTGAAATAATGTGTTTACGAACCAGTCTAAAGTTAACCTTTTTCTGAGTTACAATTGATATTCAAACATCATCACAATTTAAAGTTTAAATTACTTATTCTTAACTTATAACTTTGTATCTAATGAAAATCACCTACTATTTTATTGTTCAGTCATGCTAACTTGAAAGCTATTCATAGGTTATTCTTGTTTACTTGTAAATGTAGTAGGATCAGAAAACTTAGATAATCTACTGTTCTCTGGGAGGACACTGGTGCCTGCAATGCCAGCTATTCTACAGGCTGAGGTGGAAGGACTGATGGTTCCCCAAGGTTCAAGTCCAGCCTAGGCAACAGGGTGAGACCTTGTCTCTTAAAAAAATTGTAAAAGAAGAGAACATTTTGTTAACATTGCTTAATTTTGTAAAATTAACAGCCTTATTTGCAGTAGTTTTTAGATTCCAGTTGTTGCTATGGTCCACGATCCTCCTCTTTGTTAAGCATTTTGTTGGCATGCGTCTCCAGGACAGGAAGTATGACTGCTGTTTAATTTGGTTCTCTACACATTGACCAATTCAGCACACTACTTCTATAGCATATATGTATATATTATACTGTATACATATGTTTTATGTATATTATTATTTAAAATATAATTTTCATTCATCAGAATGGTAGCTCCATAGAGTCAGAGACTTGGTCTTGTTTACTGCAGTACCTTAGTACCAAGAACAGTGTCTTCACATAAAAATGCTCAATAAACATCTCTGAATTCATACTTTAGAAGTGCATTGTTATTTTTATAGGCAACTAGTGAATAAATTCTTACTAATTTGCATCACTACATAAGTTATTTTATGAAATATCTTTGAGCATCTCTTACTGTCTGATTATCATGGTCTTTGCACATGGACATAGGCCACACTGGTGGTTTATTAGTCTCTCAACACCTCTGGGAATTTATAGCAGCATGTAAAATATTTTGGCCAGTTGTACCTAATTTTACCCTTGAGTTTCTGCAAACATTTGGATGGCTGCCACCAGGATTTGTTGATCTACTTATTCCTCTGTATTGATTAGGTCAAGAGTAGTCTTAGTGCTATTTATCATGTTTGGATTTGATACTTCTGAATCTCAATTTCAAAAACCAATTTAGGAATCAGTTAATGACTTCCTCAAAGAAGACTGGAATAAAAAATGATTTTTTTCTATTTTGTTTATATCCCTTGATATGTTATGAGACTGGAGATATTAAATAGTTCCACTGATCCTTCAGCTTATTTTTTTAGCAAATTTGAAGCTCTTAACTTTTATTACTTTGGTCTCTTACAAGAGTGTTCTCGATTCTGAGCTACATAATTTTTGATTCATCTGCACTACCACTCCTTAAGATCTTTTCAATTCCAATCACTTGACAAATTTCTGACTTTCAAAAATATAGGTTTTATTAAGATAGTCTCTTTGGACAGTTAGGTATGAAAAATTTTTATTTAATCATTTGATCTGTGCCAAGCCTCATCTATTTCCTTAGTGGTCATTATATTATCCCAAAACCTTACCTCTACAGCTCAATGGAAGAAACTTCACTTAATTAATACATAACATATTGAAATCCCTTCCTATTACAACCTGCTCTAATTTTGGACTTTCTTAAAAGTTGTCCATTATGTTACTCTTTAGGCTTATTTCTATTTTCAGCTTTTAAAGAATATTTTATTATTTAATTTAGGGTATTTTAACCTTTAGAAATTTTGTAATATTTCTCTTGTTATGAAAGATTTTTAAAGTCACTCAGACACACTCTCAGACGGTCTATTACCTTTGCTTCAGGCAAACAAGGCAACATGCAGCTGAGCTCCCGTGGCCATCAAAGGCCTGACTGTCACTGCTCCTTAGGAAAGCATCTCCCTCTATCAATATCAGCCTGTGATATTCCCATCATGTCACGCCTGTCTGATGAGTGGTGTAAGGTAGAGACCTGCAGCAGCAAGCAAGGCTCACTTTCTGCCTCTGCTCCTATTCTGTTTCTCTGAATTGAAAAGATGGTCTGGTGATGAGTGTGTTTGCTAGAAGACCCTTGTTCTGGGTGTATATAAAGCACTGTACTTGTCTCCATTTCTTTATCTTCCATCTGTTTTTCCAACCACCGCAGTCATCCTGCCCTACCCCAACCACTCCACTGAAACTGTTCACTGTCAGTTCACCAAGAACCAAATTGCAAATTTCATAGGTAACAACAATGTTTCTAAAATTTGAGTGTGCTTGTGGATCTTGTTACAATGCAGATTGTGATTCAGTTTACTGGGGTGGGGCCTGAGATTCTGCATTAGAACCAGCTCCCATGAGATGTCTAAGCTGGAATCAGTGGACTGCACTTTGAATAGCAAGGCATTAGCCCTCACCATAATCGTTCACCTTCCTGAAATTCTCTACTCCTTTGGGTTTTGCTACACCATTCTCTCCTGGCTTCCCTCCTCGCTAACTGTTCCTCCTAAGCATCTTTTCTTCATTCTGCTTTCTGCTTGTTCTTTAAAGGTAAGTAAATTCCCTGAGTTTCATTCTCAACTTATTTCTCCTCTTCCTAGAGTGATGATTCTCAAACTTTAGTGTACAAAGGAAGTCAGCTGAAAAATGTTATCAAAATGGAGCTCCCTAAGCTTCATTCCAAAGGTTCTGATTCAGTAGGTATGGGGTGGAGTCTCTTAGTCAGCATTTTTAATTCTGCTAAAGATGTTTTTCTTTTTTAAAAAATAAATGTATATAAATATGGCATACGTAACCTCATATTGTCTTAATTAAACACGATGTATGTCATAACCTCATATTATCTTAAACACAATATTTATATATATTTAATTAGTAAAAGTTTGCTATAGTGAAGCAAACTAACATATCCATCATTTCATATAGCTATACTTTTTTGTTGTTTTTGTGGTAAGAGTAGCTAACATCTACTTATTTTACATGAAACCCATAGTACAATTTCATTACCTGTAGTCCTCATGTTGTACATTAGATCTCTAGACTTGTTCATCATATATATATATATATACACACATATACACACACACATACATATATATATATATATATATGCTTCTTTGTATCCTCTGACCTACATCTTCCCATACCCCCAGTCCCTGCCTCTGGTAATCACTGTTTTGTTCTCTATCTCTATATATTTGATTTTTTTTTTTACAAAGATTCTGCATATAAGTGAGACCAGGCAATATTTCTGTGTCTGGATTATAGCACATAGCATAATGTCCTCCAGGCTCATCTACATAGTGGCAAAAAGCAAGATCTATTTTTTAGGACTGAATAATATTCCATTGTGTATTTGTACCACATTTTTATCCCCTTGTCCATCAATGAATGCTTAAGTTGTTTCCATATGTTGGCTATTGTGAATAATGCTGCAATGAACATGGTAATACAGATATCTTTACAAAGTTGTGATTCCACTTCTGAGTATATGCCCAGAAGAGAGATTGCTAGATCATATGGTAGTTCTATTTTTAATTTTTTTACAATCATCCATACTGTTTTTCATAATGCTGTAGCAGTTGACATTCCCACCAACAGTGTACAAGAGTACTCTTTTCTCTACACTCTCTCCAACATTTATCTGCAGACATTTTGATAACAGCCGTCCTAATAAATATGAGGTGGTATTTCTTAGTAATTTTGATTTACATTGCCCTGAGGATTGGTGATGCTGAGCATATTTTCATAAACCTGTTGTCCATTTTTATGTCTTCTTTGGAGAAATGTCTATTTGGGCCTTTTGTCCATTTTGTATTGGGTTTGTTTTTCCACTGTTAAGTTTTATGAGTTCTTTATAAAATTTTTATATTAAACCCTTAGGGTGCTCATTTATTTTCATTACTTTAACCGAACCCTAGATGCTGGGGGTTCCAAATTGAACCTACATCCCAGCCTTATTTATGAGTTTAACTGACTATTTAATATTTTAATCTGGATATCCAAAAAGTTCAAAACGTTCAAATTAATTTTGTTATTTTGTTCCCAAATCTCTAAATCTCTCTTTTTTTTTTTTTTCTGAGACAATGGCATCATCATCTAAACAGAAGAAATCTGGTTAGAATTTGTGCCCTGCAAATACTTGCCTACAAGTCTCTGTCTACAATCACACTTGACATATAAATCACCTGGGAGAGCTTGCTAAAAATGCTGAGTCAGAAACTCCTCAAATGCTTATTCATTAAATCTGGAGGAGGCCCATGAACCTGCATTTTTAATGAATCTTCCCCTAGTGGTTCTGATGAAGATGGCCCCGAACAACTATTTCTAAAAATGCTGTCTGTCCTAGGGATTCCTCCAGTTATTCCTAGCAATAGGACCACAAAGGCTTTGAAAGCATTTTTCACAACAGAGGACTTGGCGGTGGGAATAAGCGATAGTTTAGTCTTCCCCATAATCTTTAGCAGAGCCTCCCAAAGCTACTCTAAATAACAGTGCAAACTAAGCAAAATCAGTGCACTCCTATCTAAAGTTAGTATCAGTTTAAGTCACCAGCCATTCCTTTCCTAACAATATTGACACCCCAAGCCCTTCCTGTACAGATATTCCTGGACTAATGATTTGCCACCATGCCAGTAACTCTTAAAGAATGCTTGCTTGCCCTTCCCTCTAATTTTACTCCCTTTGGCCTTATTCCCATGAGGACACATTACTGATTTAAGAAATTGAAGAGCAAGGCTTATAAATACCTCAAGTAGCCAGTACATACCTCTATAGTGGTGATATCTACTGTATATGTCTTTCTAAGGAAATTTTTCAGACCACCTCCACTAGAGGAAGCTCAATTGAGAGAATTTTTATCATAAAGATCCCTGGTTTGTATTACAGTATTTTAAAAATTAAACTGTTTGAAACTGGATGAATTTGCTTTATTGCCTTAAAAAATCCTAATTTGGTGTTTTCTTTAACTGTCCTTTAATGCATGTTATGCCTCTAGGTTCAGAAGTGAAATGATTTTTGTTTAAGTTTATTAGAATAAAATTGGAGTTCAGCTGGTCACTTTGAGGCATGGCAACCAAGTGACTGATCTCTTTTTAATCTTTAATAAGTTCCATTATTCACAAATTGATGGCATTTAAGGAATCTGAAGTAATGCAAACCACATAACTGTGAAATATTTGAATATTCTAATGCTCAGAATGAAATATTTTTCATACTGATTAGGCCTCGAAACTGCGTTTGAATGAAAACATTGTCAAACAGAGGTTGTAGTGCAAATAATATAAAACATAAGTATAAAGGGTGTTGATTCATTTTAATTCTATCTCTTTGCAAACTGAATATGCAAAATGTCATCTTGATGTTCAGTCTCCCTCCTCTGTCTGCATATCAAAATGTATAATGAGGAGGTACACTTTTTTCACTGAGAAAAATCAGTGGGAACTAAAAAACAGGCAATTTACCTAGGTTTTACTATGAGCATTTTGCTTTGATTTCAGGTAGGTGAGGCATTGATTAACTTTATTTTTCTAAATCCAAAGCAAGACTTTTTACTTCAGCTGAGGTCATCTGCAGACATTTTCCATAGTTGGGAGCTATTTTTTGAAATATCTTGCATCTCTGCTTTTCTCTCCATATTTCTTTTCTCCACTCGCTTCCTCTCTCCCAGCTGCAGGGATTCGTCCTCTAAAAGAGTGGAGGTGGGAGGGAACAAGAAATGGAAGCAAAGCAGGGAGCATGAGCTAGAGAATGCCAGGATCTGGCTTTTGTTATTGGTTGGCTGCCGCCTGATGGATAGACGAGGGAGGAGTGTACTCTCTTCAGTGTGTTCTGACGGAGCCGAAGTACAGAAACCATATTTACAGGTAAGAGCGAAAAATAAAAAAAAAGAAAAGAGAATTCTTTTTTTCTTTAAAAGAGAATGCTTCTTAATTTTTACGGAAACAATTTTATAGTAGGAAAATTATTCTGAGGACATTTTCTGAAAGTGTGTCCCTTTTATTACTTGAGGAAGCTTTGCAATGAGCTTGCTGTTCTTTCTCTCTGCAAAATCCTTAGCTGATTAAAAACAAAACAAAACAATCACCAGAGGCATGTCTTATCCTAAATAACTTTCTATGCAAGTGTCACTGAAGCAAAATTAATAGATAAAATGAATCATCATGTGTCTCTTCAAAAATGTTTAATTCAAGCTTGTTACTAGGAATCGCAGGAAGGATGAGAAAACCTCGGTAAATTCCACAGGTCCTGAGAAAATGGAGCCTTCTGTGAATATACAATATAAAATTTCATGTGATGGCTTTTAATATTGACAATACAGTAAAAGGCTTAGGAAAACTATTTTTGCAGGTTGTAGACTCTTTTAGCATTAATTTAGAATGAATGATTTGTGTGCATTTAAGCCCTGTTATTTAACTTACTCCTCTTGATAAATCTCATGTTGTTCAATATTTGCATTATTTTATTCAGCAAACTTTAAGCTTATGTGATAATTAAACAATGGTTTGTCTCTACTTGTTAACTTACATGGAGCCATTTTTATTTTAAAGCACAGAAACCTAATTTTGAAAGATTAAACATTGCTGTAAAAAATAGCATCTTAACAGTCATGTTTCATGGGTAGTTTAATTTATCAGTCAAACACATCTAGATAAGAATTCCATCAGAGCATTTATATTGTTGATAATATCTCTAGGCAATTTTTTTTTAGCAACTTTACTAGGTGCTTGTATCTCCTAATATGGTCCTTTATATTGCCTTAGGGAAAAAAGGGACAAGTTCTAAGTATGTAGAATAAATAACACACTTGCAGTAAAAACATACAAAAAAACTGAACTCCCAGTCACTTAATTCTTTACTTTAATTCATAAATACAGGTCATTTAACGGTGGTAGAACCTCATTAAAATTGAACTTTCAAGAATTATGACTGACTTCAGTACACTGGCCATCGATTAATACCTGTTGATTATAATAATAAAATAAAAGTCTTTCAATGAGGTAAATAATTTGTTCCTACATATTTTAATACCTTTTTGAATGAATCAAAACTAATAGGAATGACTATATAATTTCTAAATATTTTTTGCTATTGTTTTTCTTTTTGTTTATTGTTTTTCAAATTTTTTTATTTATTGTACTTTTTTTGTTTGAGAGATTTTGTCTTTGAATAAACAGACACAAATATAATAGTTCTTGGAAAATTAAAATGAGTGAGAAAATTGCTGAATATTAGTATGGATTATCTAAATGAATTGAGAATTACCTTAAATTTCCTAAAAGTACTAAATATAGTTAATAACATGTTTATATGGTTAAGTGTCATAATGAACCAAGTAAATATTCTGGTATGGTTGATTTTGAACTGTTTCTGGATTTCAAAAATTATTACATAATACTGAAATTTTGGCATGTTTCTAATTATTGATGGATCTTTCCGATTTTGTTTTTTTAAGCAAAACAATGGTTGAAATTAATCCACCCCTCACCCCAAGATTGAAATTCAAGGTGATATATAAGACCAGATATTCATCTCCTAAAATGTATTAGAGGAAATAAATCAATGCAGCTATATTTTTTAGAAATTATAAATTCTGAGTAAAGCTACCTCCAGGAATGAAGGGGAATTGATGAAAATTAGAGAGCAGAGTTCCACATGGTTTTAAATTATTCTGTTTCCTTGGAAACCAGCTGCTGCAGATGCATTTTGCTTTCTTTGGCTAAAAATATCACCCTTTTAATAATCACTAAGGGAGAGGACTGAATAAAACCAGAGTATATTGTTGCTGCTTTTTATAATTTCCTTAATGGTTCACATATTTTGGATGAAAAGTAGATAAACCCTTTCTCAATCAGCATTTCCTATCAGCCACTGGCAGACGTCTGCAAGTCTTATAAAAATGAGACAACTGGGGTAGCTTTTACTGCAGAGTCCACAGGAAGAGATAGAGAGAGAGAGAGAATGTGTGCTGGAGTGGAGACAAGAGAGAAAAAAAAAGCATGAAAGAAAACAGTTAAGAGGTTACTGTCCAAGTGAAGGATGAAACAAGGCAAATGAAAACCATGTAAGGCTTTCAGTGAGAAATGGGAAGGCATCACCATTTTTTTTTCCTTTGGTACAAACATTTTTAAGATTTAAATGTAGGTTTTTAATGGAGCTCACTATATACAGCTTTGTCCCCTTTTCACAACACTCTTTCCTTTTTCTCTTTATGTTTGCAGTGGTTTGCAATATAATGAATAATACAATAAATTAAGAAGTATTTTTTAATGTATCAATCACTTTAATCATAAAGAGAGAAGCTTGGTATATGTCCAGGCTATGGATAGTGAGGAGCATTCAATACACATTTTGACATTAGAATAAGAATTTTTTAAACTTAACGTCCAAACCATGTTTCATTAATGCAATTATTTCCTTACCTTTGTAATCTATTTAATATGTATAAAAAATTACACATTCCAACAACCTAAAAGCTATTTGTGTTAATGTTAAGGTAATTAATTTAAAATTTAATATAAATCACTGTAAATGCACATATATCCTTTTTGCTTTATTTGAAACATTTTTGCTTTCTTTGAAAATAAACATTACTTTTATGTAGCTTTTCTCTATACAAAAAAAAATCACAATTATCATCATATTCTACCCTAGGCAATTCCTTAATTTAAAACATTTTTATTATAAAATTACATGCTTCAAAGGCAGCACTGTCATCCCATACACCATTTTTTTCAAATCTCTCAGCTATTTGTTAAGAGGAAAAATCATCATAAAGCTGTTAACAGCTTTCCTATTATTTTTGTTATAATTCAGATGAGATTCCTAACTCTTATTTTCTCTTTACAACTCATTTAAATATTTGTGACATATCATACTTTATTTTCATAATATTAACCTTAGTCTATTAGATTCAATGTTAGCAATGTAGCAAATAAAGCACCACATGCTTAAACTACGTGTTAAAATATTTAATATGTAGCCAACATATTATTTAAAGTTAAATTAATTTGGCATGTCAGTACGTTATTTTCAAAAAAAGCTAAGATGGTGGGAAGTATTTTGTTTTTATCAATTAACACGAGCAAAGCACTTCAGTGACAGCACTTTCAGCATAAACACTGATGACATTAAAAAGCAAGCTAACAACAAATCAGATAGACTAGTAAATGGATTATGTGACCTGTGTAGACAACCCCTATTTAAGGCACAACCAAAATTATCAATGCTTGTCAAGATCCTGAAGAGAATGCATTTCGTAGGCTTACTCTCAACTACAGATAATTTAAAAATACAGTTTGTTAGTCATTTCTACTTACTGCTTCATGCTTCTTTCTTTGCTAAACGTAGCTTGCCAGAATTGTGGGTGGGTTTTCATGGCCTCTTAAAGTCTCACAAAATATACTAAAGAAAACAAAATACTTAATTACTTCCCCTATAATATAAGTAGACAACTTTACATCTGTAATGGAAATATGCTAGTTTGGCAAATAACCTCTTATTGCTGGAAATGGAGGGGTGGCATTTACAAGAAATGGAAATAACATGAGAGTAAGAAAGCTTGGGTCAGATTTAATAATATTCAAATTGTGCTGTATACATAAACTAATCCAGTCAAATGAAAAAATTACATTAACATTTGTACTATAGTACATCACAACTCAAAGGTATTATTAATCAGATGTTATTTTTGACTAATATATTTAATACCTGATAGTTTAATACAGGGCTTATACAGATATTAAAAGGGGGTTGGTTCAAAGCAGCATTATTGCTTTTTAATTATGATTTGGTATGAAGAAGCAAGGAATGGATTTATCAAGCTAATTGTCACATTTGGATATTTCACATATCTCAATGAATCAGTTGGGCAGATCATTTGATTTCTCTGTCAATTGCTTAGATTTCAGATATTATAATGGCCTAAATTGTTTGAGCTGAAAACTGTTGAATATGCATGCCCTGAGAAAACACTCAATATAACTTGTAAGGTATTTAATTCAAGATTATAACGATCTAGATAAATATCAGTGCTATTTCTATGAACTACGTATAGTAAGGAAATCACTTTGATACGAGATCAACTTCATGATCAACTTCATGATCTCATATCATGGCCTGAAAAGAAGATAAGCATGCATGTGACTTATTTCCAATAAGCTCTTATACTTTACTTAGATCAAGAGCTTAATACATTATTTTCCAATACCACAAAGGGTGGTGCACACATTTCTCCTTATCTCCTGACTTGTGCACATTCATAAAAATGACATTATTTTAAACAAAAATCACCAACACTATCAAATGTAGTTTTTAAATTTATATTTTTTTATTTTATCATATTGTTTTATTTTATTTTATTTTATATTTTAGAGATAGGGCTTTTCTATGTTGCCAGGCTTGAGTGCAGCAGGCTATTCACAGGCAAGATTATAGTGTACTACAGCCTCAAACTCCTGGGCTCCAATGATTATTCTGCTGCAGCCTCCCAAGTGGCTGGGGGATTGCAGGCTTATACCACTGTCCCTGGCAAAAGTAATTTTTATGCAAATGTTTATGTCTTTAAACAATATTTACTATAAATTCCTTGGCCTATACTCATTTAATTCATGTATTACCTTTTCATATTTTAGTCTTTTATTGCCCTAGAAACATGGGACTGCCGTGTAGAGAGAATTTCTTCCTGGATTCTTCATTTTACCTATGACAAAATTAAGGCGCAGAGAGGACAATGATCATATTTAGTGGGAAACTAAGTATTTGCTTATGCAAAATTACAAAGCAAGACACTATGTGTTTGTATTAAATATTAGATATAGTGCATTAAACACTGGATGAAAGAAAAGCAGAACTTAGAAAGGCTTTGCATGGAGGTGAAAAAGCATGGTGTGGCCAGATGGTCTCTGATGCATAACAACACAGGGATTTTAGAGTTGCATAGAACTCTCCACTTCAGACCTGCCCCTGATATCCAGTGAGCCTAGTGGCTTTGACCTACTATCACAGTCTCCTTGACTTTTTTAGTTTGCTGTCACTGTCAAAATGCATTTCAGCTTTGTATTTTAGCAAGTGTGGATACAGTTAGTTGCTGTCATGTTGTGGATATATCACAATATATTTAATAATGAAACAAATAGTTTCCTAAACAGGAGCCCTGAATGTATTTACAAAGATTTTCATTTGCTTTTCTCTCCTCAGGTTAGGCTAGCCATGAAAAATCAATATTTGTCATCAGTCATTACCAGGTAATACTGGTTGTGATGGTGTCAGCGTTTTAAAGCAGAAAGATTCTGGAAAAGGGTTTCAAAAGTGATTTAAAAAAAAAAGACGTCTTTGTTCTGTCTAATTAAAATTCCCTTCTCGTTGCTCATGAAACTCATACTTAAAATTTTAAATGATTTGCCCCCTGTGCATCCAAATCAATAAGGGCCCCAAGGGGCTGCTCTCATGCTGCCCACTGAACTTACCTAGAGCTGAGTGTTAAATGGAAAACTGATCTTGGGGATGCCATTATAATCCATTTTCAGAGATCTTCCCACAACATACAGGCAGGGCCAAGGAGAGAAGCCGTGGGCCTGTCCTGTGCTCCCTGCCAGAGCTTCTTGGTGTGTGGTCATGACAGCCACTTTGTGATCTCTCAGTACCCTTTCGCTCACTATCTAAATTATAGCTCTTGATGACAAGGAGTTTCCTTCATCTCTGCATCAATGCCTAATACAATGCCTGATACACAGTATGTGCCCCCAGATTGTTTTGCCGATTGAATAATTAAGCAAATTGTCTTGTCAGATAGTCATCTAGCCTCCTCTTACATCCTCTCAATGGCAGACACTCCTTACATTCTAAGACGGTCTCTTCCTTCCATGTTCTTCTCTGTTAATGCTATTCAGTGTGACAATGTCCATGTCACCTAAATGTCATTAAGCCATGCAAGGTTTTGTCTTGCAGACTTTTTATTGTCCAAACGCTATCTGTGCTCTCCTACATTAACGGGATTTTATCTGCATGTAGTTCCCATTTCATGCTTCCCTGCTCTGTTTCATTATAATACTGCTTGGTTTCTGATACACACACACAGATTATCATATACTAAATCAATGGGTTAATTGTAAATTAATGTAATTAACTGTAATTGTTATATTAATATATAATACAAGTGTTAATTAATGTTTGTGTAAGAAAATATAGTAGTATATATTTAACCAATCTGAGTGCTATCATACATCCACTCTTAGTCAATGAATCCCCATTCTCCTGAGTTAAATTTGTTCAACAACATTTGATTAAAGTTAAAATTGTTTGGCAATATTTTTGTGCTGCTCTGGGCTCACTTTCTGCCATTTGTGGTCTGTTCTGGTGAACAATTCTAAGCCGTAATGCCTGGTAAGTGACAATGCTGCATAAGCTACAAAGAAAACAAGTGTGCATGCTTGCTTGCTGTGTGTCACTGGGGTTTACTATGCCTCAGGGTAAAGGTAAGCAGATAATATGGGACTGGTAGAAGTCCTTTGATATAAATATCACCACAACTAGGTAAAAATAACCAAAAGAATAACGAATGAAATATCCTGATGAATTTAAACTGAAGGAAAAGGAGTGCTTACCAATGTACTGTAAACGTGTTCATTTACATGGAGCTATACTGTGGTATACATATACCCCTTAAAGGTGTGATTCAGTCATGCAGGCAGCATGCCGGTTTCTAGAAATGCATCATTTGAGCTAATGGGGTACTGTGACTTTGGCTTATCTATCTATTCTTTAGGTAGTGCAGGATAATCATTGATGGGCTTTCCTAACTGATTGACTTTGCAATCAAACAGGCATAGCCTCTTATTGCCTGTGTAAATTTGGACCAGTTACTTAAACTATCTGAGCCTTAGTTTTCTTATCTGTAAAATTCAGTTATCTACCTGGGTAGTATTGTGAAGATTGGCAGGTGTACATAGAGGACTTTTCAGTGCAGAATTTGGCGTATAGTAAGCCATTGTGTGCAATTTTTAGTTGTTGTTGCTAGTCATGCTTTTCTGTTTATAAGCCAAGAATGGAAGGAGCAAAATAATCCTCAGTATTTGTAATGACTTCCTAAGTATTATTGCTTGCTAGTGGGTGAAAAAAAATCCCTCTTGACTGGCTTTTTTTCCATATTAACTACAATTAAATTGCTGGGCATCAGCTGGTAAATTTAGTATTGTATGAGAAAGTGCAATTGTGAAAACAAATCCTAGAATTATTAAAGAAGAGCAAAGATAGGACCTTCAAAATATTAATATCAAGCATTTTCAAAATTGGGGCATAGATCTCAGAAATATAATTGAAGATTTCATAAAAAATATTCTATGATTAAATAAATTTAAGGAAATTTAGAGGATATTTAAATAATATCCATTCCTGTTAAGTCTTTTCTATGCTAACGTACACTAAGACTTTTAACGAAGGGTATGTAATATTAAGAAATTGTAGGCCGGGTGCAGTGGTTCATGCCTGTAATCCCAGCACTTTGGGAGGCCGAGGCAGGCAGATCACATGAGGTCAGAAGTTCGAGACCAGCCTGACCAACATGGTGAAATCTCGTCCCTACTAAAAATACAAATATATATATATATGAAATATATATATATATAATACAAATATATATATATATATTAGCCAGGTGTGGTCGTGGGTACCTGTAATCCCAGCTACTCAGGAGGCTGAGGCAGGGGAATCGCTTGAACCCGGGAGGCGGAGGTTACAATCAGCCAAGATCATGCTACTGCACTCCAGCCTGGGCGACAGAGCCAGACTCCATCTCAAAAAAAAAAAAATTGTAGGCCGGTAGGCCAGGCATGGTGGCTCACACCTGTAATCCCAGCACTTTGGGAGGCCAAGGCAGGTGGATCACTTGAGGCCAAGAATTTGACACTAGCCTGGCCAATGTGGTGAAACCCCATCACTGCAAAAGATACAAAATTTAGCCAGGCGTGCTGGTGAGTGCCTTCAGTCCCAGCTACCTGGGAGGCCAAGGCAGGAGAATTGCTTGAACTTGCAAGGTGGAGGTTGCAGTGAGCCGAGGTCACCTCTTGGCACTCCAGCCTGGGTGACAGAGTGAGACCCTGTCAAAGAAAAGAAAGAAAGAAAGGAAAGAAGGAAGGAAGAAAGAAAGAAGAGAGAGAGGGAAAGGAAGGAAAGGAAGGAAAGGAAAGAAACGAAAGAAAGGTTAAAAAAAAGGACATTATTAGACCTACTTCATCATAGACCCCTTCCCAACACAAAAGTCTCCTACTAAAATCTTGCAGATTGTATTTTGTATATGCATGCTTCACTAAGCATTTTTAAGACAGATGTATATCTACTGTGTTATTAAAGAGCCTCTAACTCAAAGGCTGAAACATGGTCTACATTTTACAATTTTCAAACTATAAAAATAGCTCCAATGTTTCTAATACAAAAACACTTCCAAAATTATTCAATTACATATGTGTTCATTCTTCATCAGAGTAATATATTCAATTTTTAAAAATTTTCACTCTTTTTCTCTCCCCCATGTTGTGCTTTTAAACTTCAAAAAAGCAGCACGTGTACATATGTTTAAAAATATTTGCTGTCCAAAGAGGTTTTACTTCCAAAAGCATGATTCCATTTTGTTTAAACTTCTTCTCTATGAGGAAAATCTGGAAACTACTCCTTTACTCTCATGTCTTGTCTTCTATTTACCTTACTTTTCTTCTTCAAAAGTACCTGGTTATTTATTGAACATTTCTTGAATCTTTAAATAAGATCCCATTCTTCAGTTGCTCACAGTCTATTAAGAAATTGAGTAGGAAACCTATGCCAAGTTTTATATAGAAGGGGTGTAGCATGACCTTAAAGAGCACAGTCTACGGAGTCAGGCAAGGTGAGTTTTAATTCCAGCTCAGTTACTTAATTGCCTTTGTCAGTGTATGTAGGTTACTTCCATCCTAAGCTTCATGTTGCTCCATGATAAAAAGGGAAGCATAATGCTTAATTCAGAATCACTGTAAGGGCAAACAAGATAACATGTTCACAGAATTTAGTTTCTAACACCAAGTAAAAACTCAAGAACATTATTATCATCTGTTTATCCAAAAGCGAAGCTATTTATTAACTAAAGATAAACAGGACATTATGGACAATATGAAAAATATCCCAAAAAATTCTCATTAAACCCTGTGAAGGCACCTAGCTATAAAGAGTGTTCATAACCTACTTTTTCTGTAAAGATAATTGAAACATACCAAAAATCACAAATGAAATGTCTTTTTTATAGCTATTATGAATGTTTATAAACAATATTTATGTATATTTTACCAGGAAAAGGAAAATTAAGTAACGTAGGCACACACATACACACACAGAAACACATTAAGAATAAAAAGAAAGTATGTGGGAGAAAAAATGTAATTCTAAGTATTCAAAAACAAGACAAAACAATATCAAGCAGTGAGATATCAAAAGTCATGAAAGTCCGTGATGATAAAATTATGATTTCAAGTGCCCAAATGCCTGGGTTTGAATTCTGGCTCTAAAACTACCTGTGTGACCTTGGCCTCATCACCTAACCCCCATATGCTTCAGTTTTTAAGCTCTAAATGGTATTATTAATAATAATGCCTATCTTATATGGCTATGGAGATTAAATGAGTTGATATATATTATACTAATTTTCTATTAACATGTAACAAATTCCCATAAACTTAACAACTTAAAACCACATTTATTAATCAGCTTATATTACTGTAGGTTAGAAGTCCTGCATAGGCACTTTGGGAGGCCAAGGCAGGAGGTTTGCTTGAGCTCAGGAGTTCAAGATGCGCCTGGGCAACATAGTGAGACCCCATCCCTACTAAAAATCAAAAAAATTAGTCAGGCATGGTGGTACATGCCTATAGTCCTAGCTACTTGGAGGCTGAGGCAGGAGGATCACTTGAACCCATGGGGCTGAGGCTGCACTGAGTCATGGTCATGCCACTGCACTCCAGCCTGGGTGAGAGATGAGACCAGTCTCAAAAAAAAAAAAAAAATAGTCCTGCACGGTATGGCTAGGTTCTTTGTTCAGGGCCTCACAAGGCCAGAATAAAGGTGTCACTTGGCTGAACTCTTATCTGGTCACTCTGGGGGAAAATCTACTTCCAAGCTCATTCTTGTTTTTGGCAGAATTCTGCTCCTTGGGCTGATAGAACTGATGTTTCTGTTTCCTGCTGCCTGTCAGCCGGCTGAAGGCTGCTCTCAGCTCCTGGAAGCTGCACACATGTGCTGTCATGTGACCCTTTCCTACTTCACGTCAGCCACAGAGAATCTCTCTCTCATCGAATCCCTCTCATCCTTAGTATCTGACTTCTAGACCTTGATTTCAAGGGCTCATGTGATTAGGTCAAGCCCACCCGCATAATCTCCCTATCTGGTTTGGGTCTTTAATTCATGTGCAAAATCCTTTTTGCTATGTAACATAAACATAGCAACATAGACATAACACAATCGCAGGAGTGGTATCTCACAGTGTTCACATGTCTAGGGTTATACGGGCACAGGGTGTACACATTACATGGTAGGGAATCTTAAGGGCCTTTAGAATCCTACCTAGTACATATATGAAGTGCTAGAACAGTGCTTGGCACATAGTAAGCACTATATGTGTGTTGACTATAATTATTATCTTGAGTAGCTGACAAATTCATAAACAGTTTTAAAAAATAGCAATATTTTTTGCCACAGCATTGGCAAGAGTGAAGTAATATCCCAATGCACCCTTAAAGAAATATAAATTGGCAGAACCTTACTGGCAGAACCAAATTGGCAATGTGCATGGAAGACTCAATATTTCCACTTCTAGGAATTCATCGTTAAAGGTATAATAAGAGATATGCACAAGTATATATATTTTATATTATATAAAATTTTATATATTATATATATAATATATATAATATAAAAATATATGTAATATATATTATAATATATATTTTATATATGTATATAAAAATATAATGTTGGCTAGGTGCAGTGGCTCATACCTGTAATCTCTGCACTTTGAGAGGCTGAGGCAGGAAGATTGCTTGAGCCCAGGAATTCAAAACCAGTCTGGACAACATAGTGAGATCCTATGTCTATAAAAATATGAAAAAAAATTAAATAAAAAAGGAAATGCTAATTATACTGTGATTTATAATAACAAATACTTAAAAATAAACCAAACATGTCCCTTTAGAGGTTTGGTTAAATATCATGGCCTAGTTATTCAATGAAATACAATGTATTAGACACAAAACCCAAAATCAAATAAAAGCACATGGTATTGGAAAATATTGAATGAGAAGGTTATATGCTCACGTTAATAGTGGAGAAACTGCAGGTATAAAATTGCACATACTGAGTTAATCAATGCACACTTCTTCCTGTAGTGTGAGGTAGACTCTTGGCAAGATACGGTCACTTAATGAGGGAGGGAATATACCCTGACAAATCCCCTGAGATTACTGCAGTGCAAACCAGACTGCTGGTGACTACTCAGGGAGCACCAGCCTCTTTCCTGGAGTGTGGGGTGGGCTTTGACAAGACACAGGATCACTTAACAAGGGAGGCAACGTGCCCTGACACCAACTGATCACACCCACCCACCAAAAGAGCCAGGGCATCCTCAACAGGAAGACTTTGCACCATCTTTCCTAGTTCTCTGTGCTGCCTCTATTCATTCGTACCTCAAAGTAGAAACGGTGTGGTGTGAGCCCTCATTCCTGATTTATAGTTCTCCTTTATGCTACACTGGCTAGATTACACACCCAGAGAAGATTTTAGAGTATGATTTTTGTTTTTAGCTCTAATACAAGGCATCCTGGAATACAAAATATGTACCAGTGGGGTAGGGAGTATGGAAATTAGAACACCTACAACACACATTCTGGCATTATGAAATAGCTACGTGGAGGCCATTATCCTAAGCAAACTAACACAGGGACAGAAAACCAAATACCGCATGTTCTCACTTTTAAGTGGGAGCTAAATACTGAATACATATGGACACAAAGACGGGAACAATAGGTACTGGGGAGGGCTCGAGGAGACAGAGTGCGGGAAGGTGGACTGGAAGGCTACCTAGTGAGTACTATGCTCACTACCTTGGAGATGGGACCATGCATACACCAAGCCCCTGTGACATACAATTTACACATGCAACAAACCTGCACATGTACTCCCTGAACCTAAAATAAAAATAGAAGAAAAAAATAAAATAAAATAGCTACTATTAGCCCCATTTGACAGGTAAGAAAACTGAGACTGAGAGAAATTAAATAACTTGCTCAAGAGATCCTATTCAGGATTCACCATTTCCTAAATGGTGAAACTGGGTTTTGAAGCTCTAGCCTCTCAGATCTTAAATTTAAGAGATGTGCTTTTTTTTTTTTTCTTGAGATGGAGCCTTGCTCTGTTGCCCAGGCTGGAGTGCAGTGGAATGATCTTGAATCACCGCAACCTCCACCTCCTGAGTCCAAGCGATTCTTGTGCCTCAGCCTCCTGAGTAGCTGGGACTACAGGCACGCCCCACTACGCTGGGCCAGTTTTTGTATTTTTTTGTAGAGACCAGGTTTCACCATGTTGTCCAGGCTGGTCTCAAACTCGTGACCTCAAGTGATCTGCCCGCCTTGGCCTCCCAAAATGCTGGGATTACAGGTGTGAGCCACCATGCCCAGTCAACAGATGTGCTTTTGCCTGAGGGATACAGATATCACCACAAATTCAGATTGAAGCAATTCTTCCCATTTACCTTTCAGCCCAAAGGGAGATATACCAAAATTCCTAGTTTTTGAAACTATCGTCTACCCATAGACCTTACAACCCAGGCTGGTTTCTTCCACCTCTTGCTTGTCTATGAGTAAATTGATAAAAATCAATGTTCTCATTTAGGAGTTTCCCTCCAGCCTCTCAGAATTTTTCTACCGTGTCTCCAAATATACTTTCACCTTATATTCCCAGGACTGTTTAATCTACATTCACTTTTATTCTGCATCCATCTTTACCTTCAAGAAACTGTCCCCATTCTTGTTCTAGGTTTTGCCAGTTAACCTCCTGTAATCAACCTAAGCCCATGATTATATCCAAGCTATTTATTAAGTGTTCTTGCAGTGGCAGGAGAGGGAGAGAGAACATACGTATATGTGTGTGTGTGTGTATGTATATATATATGTATATAAAAATATAGATATAAATAAATAATGTATATATAAAAATATATAATACAGTTGTGGAGGTTTGCTATTCAGTATACCTAGGCTCTGGGCAGGGCATTCAGGTGCCCTTTTCCATAATCATAAAATCTCAACCATTGGATATAGTAGTCTGCAAAACTTGCCTGGTAACAACACACATTTAAGGCCGTTGCAGGGGATCCATCTAAGCTCTAAACCATCTGATTTTTAGAAAAATAACTTATATTTGTGGAAAAGTCAATGTAGTCAACATTCATTGTAGTTCTTCCTTCAAAATGGAGATTTTAGATTTTTACCTTTGTATTCTGTAAGTGATCTGTGCTGAGTCAGTTGCTAATACAGTTGTTTCTTGTAACAATAGCATAAAAATTAATAACTTACAATTTTCTACCATTACTTTTAAATGCTAATAATCTCCTTATATTCTTTTAAGTCTCTAGGTTTGTATAAAATTACTAAACTGTCATTTTGAATATTTTATTTCAAACTGTGATTATTCTATGTCTCAATCAGTTCTGGTTACCACAACAAAATATCATAGACTGGGAGAATTATAAACCACAGAAATTTATTTCCCACATTTCTGGAGGATGGAAGTCCAAGATCAAGGTGCTGATAGATACCGTGTCTGGTGAGGGACTGTTTTCTAGACAGCCATGTTTTTGCTGTAACCTCATGTGGCAGGAAGGCAAGGGATCTCTTCTGGGGTCCCTTATAAGGGCACTAATCCGCCTTCATGACTTACTTATGTCCCCAAAGCTCCAGCCCCTAATAACACCACCTTGGGGGTTAGAATTTCAACATATGAATTTTAGGGAGACCCTAGCATTCTATTGAATAAATATTCAGACCATAGCATTCTATTGAATAAATATTCAGACCATAGCATTCTATTGAATAAATATAGCAATTGTAACAATTCTTATCTTAGGAATGCTAGTAAGAAAATTGTATTTTATATATGTCTCAAAATGAATTATTGTATACGGAATCAGTAATAATGCAACAATTCCCATTAGAGCTATTTTATTTTATTTTATTATTTTTGAGACAGAGTCCCACTGTCACCCAGGCTATCTTGGCTCACTGCAGCCTCCACCTCCCAGGTTCAAGCAATTTTTCTTATGCCTCAGCCTCCCAAGTAGCTGGTGTTACAGGCATGCACCACCACATTCGGCTAATTTTTGTATTTTTAGTAGAGATGGGGTTTCACTGTGTTGGCCAGGCTGGTCTCAAACTCCTGGCCTCCAGTGATCCACCTGCCTAGGCCTCCCAAAGTCCTGGGATTACAGGAGATCTATTTTAAAAACCTAATAAGGTATCATCTTTTTGGACCAACAAAGGACTTGTGAGCGGATCTGGGAGTAGAATTGAGAAACTTCTGACTTCTAACGTACACAACAAATACAATTTTTCAGTGCTAGAAAATATAAATCAAGTCATCTGTACTTCCCCCTGTTTGCTGACAGTTTCTTCCAGCCATGTACTGTCAGAAAGAGCATTCTGTATTATAGGGTGTTTTTAAAATATTGTTTATGATCACTTTTGCTTGACTATGTGGATGGGACAAACTCAATAAAGAATGTTCATAATAACTGTCTTTTCCCGTAGTTTTCCTCCCTTCCCACCTATTACTGCAGACATCTGAAACGGAGTAGCATCCTATTCTCTCTCACAATTTAGCTTTCTCTGTATAATCCTGCTTCTATTGCCATGGAATCATTACAACATCGCAATTTTGGTAGTTCAACCAGAGTGTACTACAGAATTAGATTGGTGAAAACAAACTAGAATAAAACAATTCCTTTCTCTTTCACTCAATCTCTCTCTCTCTCACTTGCTCTCGCTCTTTCTTTCTCTTTCTGAGTCTCCTAAGCTTTGTTTAAAATTACTAAACTGTCATTTTGAATATTTTAATTCAAACTGATTATTCTGTGTCTTAATCAGTTCTGGTTACCACAACAAAATATCATAGATTGGGAGAATTATAAACAACAGAAATTTATTTCTCACAGTTCTGGAGGGTGGAAGTCCAAGATCAAGGTGCTGATAGATATTGTGTCTATCGGAAACTAAGGTGGAAAATATTTTTTTCCACCTTACTTTTGTGTTTGCTTAGATACATAATCATACAATTCAATCTTTCTCTAATGACTTTGTGCAAGTATTTTCAGAGCTTCCAAGGCATAGAAGTATAAATGTGAGCAAATATATCACCTTGACAGAAATTATTTACATTGATTTTATATTAGATAAAGAAATCAATTAAACACCTATATAGTGCAACAATTTCCAAATAGTCTCCTATAACTGATAAACATAAGGTACAACAACATTTTAAAAAATCAACAATAGCTTTCAGTCTTTCAGAACTTTCCTGCAATATTTCTAAAACTGTCAAACATCACTTCAAGACGAGCATCTCTCTAACCAAATAAAGGTTACGTTAGGTCTATAAGTGAGTTTTTAAGGTGCAGGCTACTTGGCTTTCAAACAGGGTCAACCCAGAGCCAGAGTCCTATAGTCCCTATTGTAGCAGGTAGTGGTGATTTGACTTTCAAAAATTTTGAATAAATAACTTTAGGGAGAATGGTAGATAAAATAGTTATTAAGTCCATGCCTCCATCTTCCTATTAATAAATAAATTCTTGAGAATGATCACCATCTACATATTGCCTTTTCTCTATTGAATTAAAAGAAATATTTCTTTAGAGTGATAAAAGAAAGCTTACATTTACATTTTTGTTGTTATTTTGCCACAGTAGCACCACAAGTGGTACAAGGTATCTGGATGATTCTTATTTTAAATCTAGTAGGTAAGGTGCCTCAGCCATCATCAAATAATTAACAAAGCTAGGAGGAGCCAAGATGGCCGAATAGGAACAGCTCTGGTCTACAGCTCCCAGCGTGAGCGACGCAGAAGACGGGTGATTTCTGCATTTCCATCTGAGGTACCGGGTTCATCTCACTAGGGAGTGCCAGACAGTGGGCGCAGGCCAGTGGGTGCGCGCACCGTGCGCGAGCCGAAGCAGGGCGAGGCATTGCCTCACCTGGGAAGCGCAAGGGGTCAGAGAGTTCCCTTTCCGAGTCAAATAAATGGGTGACGGACGCACCTGGAAAATCGGGTCACTCCCACCCGATTATTGCGCTTTTCAGACCGGCTTAAAAAACGGTGCACCACGAGACTATATCCCACACCTGGCTCGGAGGGTCCTACGCCCACAGAATCTCGCTGATTGCTAGCACAGCAGTCTGAGATCAAACTGCAAGGCGGCAGCGAGGCTGGGGGAGGGGCGCCCGCCATTGCCCAGGCTTGCTTAGGTAAACAAAGCAGCCAGGAAGCTCGAACTGGGTGGAGCCCACCACAGCTCAAGGAGGCCTGCCTGCCTCTGTAGGCTCCACCTCTGGGGGCAGGGCACAGACAAACAAAAAGACAGCAGTAACCTCTGCAGACTTAAATGTCCCTGTCTGACAGCTTTGAAGAGAGCAGTGGTTCTCCCAGCACGCAGCTGGAGATCTGAGAACGGGCAGACTGCCTCCTCAAGTGGGTCCCTGACCCCTGACCCCCGAGCAGCCTAACTGGGAGGCACCCCCCAGCAGGGGCACACTGACACCTCACACTGCAGGGTATTCCAACAGACCTGCAGCTGAGGGTCCTGTCTGTTAGAAGGAAAACTAACAAACAGAAAGGACATCCACACCGAAAACCCATCTGTACATCACCATCATCAAAGACCAAAAGTAGATAAAACCACAAAGATGGGGAAAAAACAGAACAGAAAAACTGGAAACTCTAAAACGCAGAGCGCCTCTCCTCCTCCAAAGGAACGCAGTTCCTCACCAGCAACGGAACAAAGCTGGATGGAGAATGATTTTGACGAGCTGAGAGAAGAAGGCTTCAGACGATCAGATTACTCTGAGCTACGGGAGGACATTCAAACCAAAGGCAAAGAAGTTGAAAACTTTGAAAAAAATTTAGAAGAATGTATAACTAGAATAACCAATACAGAGAAGTGCTTAAAGGAGCTGATGGAGCTGAAAACCAAGGCTCGAGAACTACGTGAAGAATGCAGAAGCCTCAGGAGCCGATGCGATCAACTGGAAGAAAGGGTATCAGCAATGGAAGATGAAATGAATGAAATGAAGCAAGAAGGGAAGTTTAGAGAAAAAAGAATAAAAAGAAAGGAGCAAAGCCTCCAAGAAATATGGGACTATGTGAAAAGACCAAATCTACGTCTGATTGGTGTACCTGAAAGTGATGGGGAGAATGGAACCAAGTTGGAAAACACTCTGCAGGATATTATCCAGGAGAACTTCCCCAATCTAGCAAGGCAGGCCAATGTTCAGATTCAGGAAATACAGAGAACGCCACAAAGATACTCCTCGAGAAGAGCAACTCCAAGACACATAATTGTCAGATTCACCAAAGTTGAAATGAAGGAAAAAATGTTAAGGGCAGCCAGAGAGAAGGGTCGGGTTACCCTCAAAGGGAAGCCCATCAGACTAACAGCGGATCTCTCGGCAGAAACCCTACAAGCCAGAAGAGAGTGGGGGCCAATATTCAACATTCTTAAAGAAAAGAATTTTCAACCCAGAATTTCATATCCAGCCAAGCTAAGCTTCATAAGTGAAGGAGAAATAAAATACTTTACAGACAAGCAAATGCTGAGAGATTTTGTCACCACCAGGCCTGCCCTAAAAGAACTCCTGAAGGAAGTGCTAAACATGGAAAGGAACAACCGGTACCAGCCGCTGCAAAATCATGCCAAAATGTAAAGAACATCGAGACTAGGAAGAAACTGCATCAACTAATGAGCAAAATCACCAGCTAACATCATAATGACAGGATCAAATTCACACATAACAATATTAACTTTAAATGTAAATGGACTAAATTCTCCAATTAAAAGACACAGACTGGCAAATTGGATAAAGAGTCAAGACCCATCAGTGTGCTGTATTCAGGAAACCCATCTCACGTGCAGAGACACACATAGGCTCAAAATAAAAGGATGGAGGAAGATCTACCAAGCAAATGGAAAACAAAAAAAGGCAGGGGTTGCAATCCTAGTCTCTGATAAAACAGACTTTAAACCAACAAAGATCAAAAGAGACAAAGAAGGCCATTACATGATGGTAAAGGGATCAATTCAACAAGAGGAGCTAACTATCCTAAATATATATGCACCCAATACAGGAGCACCCAGATTCATAAAGCAAGTCCTGAGTGACCTACAAAGAGACTTAGACTCCCACACATTAATAATGGGAGACTTTAACACCCCACTGTCAACATTAGACAGATCAACGAGACAGAAAGTCAACAAGGATACCCAGGAATTGAACTCAGCTCTGCACCAAGCAGACCTAATAGACATCTACAGAACTCTCCACCCCAAATCAACAGAATATACATTTTTTTCAGCACCACACCACACCTATTCCAAAATTGACCACATAGTTGGAAGTAAAACTCTCCTCAGCAAATGTAAAAGAACAGAAATTATAACAAACTATCTCTCAGACCACAGTGCAATGAAACTAGAACTCAGGATTAAGAATCTCACTCAAAGCCGCTCAACTACATGGAAACTGAACAACCTGCTCCTGAATGACTACTGGGTACATAACGAAATGAAGGCAGAAATAAAGATGTTCTTTGAAACCAATGAGAACAAAGACACAACATACCAGAATCTCTGGGACGCATTCAAAGCAGTGTGTAGAGGGAAATTTATAGCACTAAATGCCCACAAGAGAAAGCAGGAAAGATCCAAAATTGACACCCTAACATCACAATTAAAAGAACTAGAAAAGCAAGAGCAAACACATTCAAAAGCTAGCAGAAGGCAAGAAATAACTAAAATCAGAGCAGAACTGAAGGAAATAGAGACACAAAAAACCCTTCAAAAAATCAATGAATCCAGGAGCTGGTTTTTTGAAAGGATCAACAAAATTGATAGACCGCTAGCAAGACTAATAAAGAGAAAAAGAGAGAAGAATCAAATAGACACAATAAAAAATGATAAAGGGGATATCACCACTGATCCCACAGAAATACAAACTACCATCAGAGAATACTACAAACACCTCTACACAAATAAACTAGAAAATCTAGAAGAAATGAATACATTCCTCAACACATACACCCTCCCAAGACTAAACCAGGAAGAAGTTGAATCTCTGAATAGACCAATAACAGGAGCTGAAATTGTGGCAATAATCAATAGTTTACCAACCAAAAAGAGTCCAGGACCAGATGGATTCACAGCCGAATTCTACCAGAGGTACAAGGAGGAACTGGTACCATTCCTTCTGAAACTATTCCAATCAACAGAAAAAGAGGGAATCCTCCCTAACTCATTTTATGAGGCCAGCATCATTCTGATACCAAAGCCGGGCAGAGACACAACCAAAAAAGAGAATTTTAGACCAATATCCTTGATGAACATTGATGCAAAAATCCTCAATAAAATACTGGCAAACCGAATCCAGCAGCACATCCAAAAGCTTATCCACCATGATCAAGTGGGCTTCATCCCTGGGATGCAAGGCTGGTTCAATATACGCAAATCAATAAATGTAATCCAGCATATAAACAGAGCCAAAGACAAAAACCACATGATTATCTCAATAGATGCAGAAAAAGACTTTGACAAAATTCAACAACCCTTCATGCTAAAAACTCTCAATAAATTAGGTATTGATGGGACGTATTTCAAAATAATAAGAGCTATCTATGACAAACCCACAGCCAATATCATACTGAATGGGCAAAAACTGGAAGCATTCCCTTTGAAAACTGGCACAAGACAGGGATGCCCTCTCTCACCGCTCCTATTCAACATAGTGTTGGAAGTTCTGGCCAGGGCAATCAGGCAGGAGAAGAAAATAAAAGGTATTCAATTAGGAAAAGAGGAAGTCAAATTGTCCCTGTTTGCAGATGACATGATTGTTTATCTAGAAATCCCCATCGTCTCAGCCCAAAATCTCCTTAAGCTGATAAGCAACTTCAGCAAAGTCTCAGGATACAAAATCAATGTACAAAAATCACAAGCATTCTTATACACCAACAACAGACAAACAGAGAGCCAAATCATGAGTGAACTCCCATTCACAATTGCTTCAAAGAGAATAAAAAACCTAGGAATCCAACTTACAAGGGATGTGAAGGACCTCTTCAAGGAGAACTACAAACCACTGCTCAATGAAATAAAAGAGGATACAAACAAATGGAAGAAAATTCCATGCTCATGGGTAGGAAGAATCAATATCTTGAAAATGGCCATACTGCCCAAGGTAATTTACAGATTCAATGCCATCCCCATCAAGCTACCAATGACTTTCTTCACAGAATTGGAAAAAACTACTTTAAAGTTCATATGGAACCAAAAAAGAGCCCGCATCGCCAAGTCAATCCTAAGCCAAAAGAACAAAGCTGGAGGCATCACACTACCTGACTTCAAACTATACTACAAGGCTACAGTAACCAAAACAGCATGGTACTTGTACCAAAACAGAGATATAGATCAATGGAACAGAACAGAGCCCTCAGAAATAACGCCGCATACCTACAACTATCTGATCTTTGACAAACCTGAGAAAAACAAGCAATGGGGAAAGGATTCCCTATTTAATAAATGGTGCTGGGAAAACTGGCTAGCCATATGTAGAAAGCTGAAACTGGATCCCTTCCTTACACTTTATACAAAAATCAATTCAAGATGGATTAAAGATTTAAACGTTAGACCCAAAAGCATAAAAACCCTAGAAGAAAACCTAGGCATTACCATTCAGGACATAGGCGTGGGCAAGGACTTCATGTCCAAAACACCAAAACCAATGGCAACAAAAGCCAAAATTGACAAATGGGATCTATTTAAACTAAAGAGCTTCTGCACAGCAAAAGAAACTACCATCAGAGTGAACAGGCAACCTACAACATGGGAGAAAATTTTCGCAACCTACTCGTCTGACAAAGGGCTAATATCCAGAATCTACAATGAACTCAAACAAATTTACAAGAAAAAAACAAACAACCCCATCAAAAAGTGGGCGAAGGACATGAACAGACACTTCTCAAAAGAAGACATTTATGCAGCCAAAAAACACATGAAAAAATGCTCATCATCACTGGCCATCAGAGAAATGCAAATCAAAACCACTATGAGATATCATCTCACACCAGTTAGAATGGCAATCATTAAAAAGTCAGGAAACAACAGATGCTGGAGAGGATGTGGAGAAATAGGAACACTTTTACACTGTTGGTGGGACTGTAAACTAGTTCAACCATTGTGGAAGTCAGTGTGGCGATTCCTCAGGGATCTAGAACTAGAAATACCATTTGACCCAGCCATCCCATTACTGGGTATATACCCAAATGACTATAAATCATGCTGCTATAAAGACACATGCACACGTATGTTTATTGCGGCATTATTCACAATAGCAAAGACTTGGAACCAACCCAAATGTCCAACAATGATAGACTGGATTAAGAAAATGTGGCACATATACACCATGGAATACTATGCAGCCATAAAAAATGATGAGTTCATGTCCTTTGTAGGGACATGGATGAAACTGGAAACCATCATTCTCAGTAAACTATTGCAAGAACAAAAAACCAAACACCGCATATTCTCACTCATAGGTGGGAATTGAACAATGAGATCACATGGACACAGGAAGGGGAATATCACACTCTGGGGACTGTTGTGGGGTGGGGGGAGGGGGGAGGGATAGCATTGGGAGATATACCTAATGCTAGATGACGAGTTAGTGGGTGCAGCGCACCAGCATGGCACATGTATACATATGTAACTAACCTGCACAATGTACACATGTACCCTAAAACTTAAAGTATAATAAAAAAAAAAAAAAAAACAAAGCTAGAAACCAGAGATGGTCCTAGATGAAATTAAGTAACCAAATTCTTTTAGGAAATACCTTAACCTTCCCTCCACTTTGTCCTCTTTCTAAATTCTTATTCCCCAACTCCCACCCCAAAGGAACTATTGACCTCTTCAGCCCTGTGACTTGTCAGGTTTTCTGATTGTAACTGCTCATCGGAGCCACTGAATCCTCCCTACTAGGATTTTCCTTTTTCCCATCACTTCTACCTTCTTTATTGTAGACCCTCTGTTTTCTGATGAAATAGCAAGCTAATGAGTTGTCCCTTTAAAATGTAAGCTAGATCTTGGCACTATACTACTTAAATTCTATAGTTTTAAGTACCTGTAGTGGCTTTCATCTCACTTAGAGAAATAGCCAAAGTCCTTGAAGGCTCTACACAGTCTAGCCCTGAAGACTTGTCTGACCTTATCACCCACTGTGTCTCTCTTGGGCTTTGGCACACACCATTCCTTTGTCCTAGACTGCTTTTCCCTAAGAAGCCCAAATTGTTGGTTCCCTCACCTCCTCCATGTTATTACCTCTTGGTGGAGTGACATTAGTTCACTGAACAACTAAAAATTAAATGTTCTTGCTCAGTCAACCCTATAGTCACCATATCACTTAATGGCTTATTTTTCTCAATAGTATTTATCTCCATATGATGTTTATATATTTAATTTATATTTTCTTCTTATTATTTGTCTACTCCTTTCCCTAATAACACCCAGTAAGTAAGCACTATTAGAGTAAAAAAAAAAAAAAAAAAAAAGAACAAAACAAAACTTGCTGTCGATGTTGCTTCTTTGTCACTCCCCAGCATCTAAAATAGTCATTGAAACATAATAAAAGCTCAGTAGATGTTTACTGAATAATGAATGGCCCTTAAACAAATGACAGACAAATAGATCTCTTTCTATAGAACAGCATAAATGACCAAAGGATGATACTCAAATTCCCTAAAAAAAAAAAAAAAAAAGGAGTCACTGGTGTTCAGCGTAGAGGCCGACAGAATATGATGATACGATAAGGTAGAGGTAAGTCTGTTAGAAGCCAAAGCCATCTATAAGCTGGGGATATGAGGAAGCAGAAAATAAAGAAACAGAGGAAGCCAGTCAGCAGAAAGACCTGGAATAAATATGCCCCAAGGAATTTTAGCATCAAAATCAAAGGTGAGCATGATGTCCATGAGTGGCACAAGGAGGGTGGTCAGTCCCTAGTTTGCTACTTTATTAAAAAAAAAAAAGTCACTTCAGTTAGACTTGATTTTTACTACCAGAAAGTTATAGATAGGACCACCGTGCTGGTATTTGATGGCTTAAGATGTCACCTCTCCTTGGTATCATATATTGTGCAGGTGTCTTTTGTAAAATAAATTTGTTCCCCAAACTGATGCATCTCTAGTCAAGAGGGTTTCAGATAGTGTGTTGAGCTGATGGGGAAGAGACTGTTTTGATTCCCTAGTCTGTTAACCCTTCCAAGTTATCTATCCAAACCAATCTTGGGCTATCTTGTAGAGCCAGTTCAAGTTGGGATTTAAATTACAGTGCAGTCTAAAAATTGCTCCTTTGACTGTGTAAACAAAACTAATAAGAGAAAGAAAAATGCAGAATCTGAATATGAATGGAGCATTGGCCGGAGTTAGAGGAGATTAAATAAGGAAAGCATAGAGCAAAATGACCTGGACCCAAGTAACAGCTTCACCCTTTGGCCTGAGCATGCTTTCTCTGGCTCTCCACAGGTCACACTTCTTACTACCTACTGTCTCCTTGAATAAGAGGTCATTTACTATTGTACTTATGCTTTCATTTTCCTTCAGGTGAAATATTTCTTGGTATCCTTGTTGCAAATAACTATAGGCAAAAGAGAAGACTAAGATGACTATGGTTCTATTACATATGACCCAACTTACTTATCGAGGTTACCTACCAGTGTAGGAATTTTTGTTTGCAACCCATGATCACCTTCACTGTCTCTCTACATAGCTATGAAGAAATTACTACTCTCAGGTTTAGTGATTCATCTAAATTGATGTAAACAAATTTTAAGAAATGTATCAGGCTACATATGACTGGCTTTCACTGACCATGTTAATACAGAGAGTGAAGAGATTTAAATTAATATTTTATTCAACAAAAGATTTAAGGACTCTGGTTTACCATGTATAAAATCTATTCAGCCAATCTCCTTGACATAGGACTCAAGTATTCCCTGTAGCTCTGCTAAACTGACTGGAAACATGACAAAGCATCTAAATTCTGCAGGTATCGCCATTCCTAGCAACCAATTTGATTTTTGATGGACAAAGAGCCCCAGGAAAATAGATGCCCTTATACCTGAGAAAAAAGAAATCCCAAGCAAGATAGACATACTCTAATCAGTATGCTGTGGATATGACAGCATGCAAGTGAGTGATCTATTTTGTTCTGAACTCTGGCTCTGTCAATGACAACACACGATTTACTAGAACAAATCAAATAAGTGCATTTGACTCCCATTTTGACATTTCAAAACAGTTAAGCCATATCTCCTTATGCAGCAAATATATTCATATTTTTAATTTTTACTTTTTCTTATAAGACACTGTTGTCAGAATGAGAATGAAAATAACGACTTAGGGTAGAATAGTTTTCAATGCTTTCCAACATTATGGGGAGAATAATTTCTGCATGGATATGATAATGTGGTTCAAAAATTTACAGCCCCCCCAAATGACTTTGAGACTTTGACTATGCAATCAGCAGCCAAATATTTCAATGCTTCATTGCTCCTGTTCCTGTTACAGGTACATGTGACAGCGTTGCAGCTATGAGTGGAATTTTAAAGGGGAAGTTTGAAGAAGTCAACGGCTCCTCACCCTGCTCTTCAGTGCAGGAATCAGATGATGAAGTTTTCAGCTGTGACAGTACTGAGAGTGTTGATAGTGTCAATCGTTCAGTTTTAATGATTTTACCAGTGAGTATCTAAAACTCTGTTTCAGTTGTGCTCTAAATTGTGTTGCATGGGCCACTCTTGGGGGCTTTAGCTTAATTCACTGGCTTGTATCTGCTCTTAAATTCTTCCTCATATCAAAATATTTGTAAAACATGACATAATTTTGGTTAATTAAACTTCAGCAGTATACTTCTTCTCATTTCTATGGAGTGAGTATGTAGGAGGCAGAAATGAGTCCAATCGGAGGTAAGCAGACAGCAACTGGAAATAATTTAATGAGTGTCTTCAGCTTGCTGAAATAAATCTATCTTTTGAAATCTAATCAGTTAAGCCATTTTGAACGTCTATAGATTGGTCAATGAGTTACACAATATTTACAGTGCTGAGTGTAACACATTTACTTCCTAGATGAGAAAATGATGTTTCTTTTTTAAAAGATTGCTTATGTGAAATCAAGGCCTTGAAAGCCTTGAGATCCTATAGTTGTTTGGACACAGTTAAAACTCAGACTCAAGGCCAAGTTCATGCTCTTGAGTAAGGGCAGCTTTCTTCATGTATATACTTCTCCCAAGCAGTTCATGTGAATAATACCATCTAGCTTAGTATGATATGTTCTAACTTAAAAGTCTACTCATTTTCAAATGGCAATCCTTGTAAAAGATGCACATATGAAGGTTGTGAAATAGGTGATCCTTTTCCAACAGCTCTGTGCTTATTCAGCCTCAATTATTAAGGGAAAAGGAATCTCAAAATTATATTTCAGAAGAGTTAACATGCAAAGCAAAAGTAAATGAAGTGAAAGCCCCTTACCTTCACCCACCCCTCATGAGATGATAGGTGTAAACTTCCTTTTAACTTTGTATTCCACGAGTAAAGGTAAAAATTATTCAACATAAAAGAGTATCATTCAAGAGAGGCTGTTTTCACAATAGTTTTTTTCTAGCATTATTTTTCTGGGGTATTTGTATTTGGGGAGTTTAAACTCACCAAAACAGCCTTAATGGGTGTAGCAAGCCGATATGGCACATGTATACCTATGTAACAAACCTGCATGTCGTACACATTTACCCCAGAACTTAAAGTATAATTTTAAAAAAATTACACTAAAGTTCATCCCATGTAGTTCTGTGACCCGAGATCCTATTTTTAATCCTCCTCCCTCTCCCCCAGGATTCAAAATTTTATTTGGTATTCATAATTCTCCATCACTGTTAGAATAATTTTGAATAAAAATGTTTATCTCTTGACTGCAGTAGAACCTATTTTATTTGGAACTTTTAGAAAGTATTAAAAAAGTGAGGAGGAGATAAAAACACTTGCGAGAAGGGAAAACACAAGAGCTGTTCTGAGGATATGATTCTCCAGTTACGTGGAAAAGTTATGGCCAGAGAGTAGAATTTCAGAAGATAGGTTTTGTTTGGGATTTATCTAAAGCCTTTTCACACCTCCCTCCAAGTGACTGTAACCTTGTAGATGGCACTGATATTGCCTTTCCTACTGAGCCATTATCTAAAACGCCTAGAAGAGTACTGAGCACTGGATGATGCTTGCAGTTTTTTATTGAGTGAATGAATTATTTTCTGACAAATCTTAAAAGCTGGAGAGAATGAGTCCACTGGATATTCTTACCCTTAGACAAGCAATAGTACATATTTACATTCAAGACCCTTGGGAGCACTCTATTCATACCCTTTCTGTGTACTTGGGAGAGCTCTTCTTTTTCAAATCCTAGAGCACTGCAGGAGTTACCTACTATTTCTCAATCTTTTTTTTCCTTTAGCCGCTCCTAAAAATCATCATCAGTTTAAAACCCTATACCTTTGAGATGCTTCCTCATCTAGCAGTGCAGTGCAGTGTTTTCCACACCCCCGTGATTTTGTTTTTTTAAATCGCCAGCATGCTTACAACCTCCTAGGTGTCTATGACTTTCCTAAAGTTACAAATTGGCTCTCTCCTGGAAAAATCAATTGCAGGACTTCTCTATGCAAGACACTTATTGATTTCTATAGCTTGTAAGTTCACAAAGTACCTACAATGTTCATTTAAACACCATCAAGCCTTACAATTATGGCTCTAGATGCTTTCCAGATGAAAGTGATGTTCTGGTTGTTTAGGGAGGTTTGAAAAATTATAGGTCAGGCAGTTGTTCTGAGCACCTGAACAGTTTCCTGGAAGGTTAACAGTATAGTGGAGAGTGGTTTTATTTTTTAATAACTATTTTGACGTGTGGTTTTAACTGCTCCACTCCACCACCATTACTCTAGTCTGGAAAGGAGAAAACACATACATATCCACTGTGGTCAGAGGAGAATACTTAAGCTATTGAAGAAGGCAGCTGCAAAGTTGATGAGTTTTTTTCCCCCCTGTAGTGCTGTTGATGTACTTTTCTTTGTGAATTTTCAAGAGTTTTGAAGGAAACATTTGTTGATACTCCTCTGGAAGGGAATGGTGATAGGCATCATTGAACAACTTGTAATTGAGTGTGTAATCAGAACCATGACTTGAGATAAACAGTGGGGAGGAAGGATAAAGAATAAATGGCAATATGACCTACGGGAGACTATCTATCACTATGGGTTACTCTTAGCCTGATCACAAAGACAAATCTTTATTAATTATTTTATAAAGTTGGGCAAATTGAAGAAGAAAACCCATGTTAGTGTTTTTAAGAAGATCGAATGCTGTCTATATAACTGAGACAAAAACTAACAGTAAAGAGTCAAACCTCATTTTGAATTCAAAGACTATGAGAACTAGTAGGACCTTTGAGAGTGTCTAGGGTGACTCCCTTATTTTGCAGATGTGGAGACTAAGGTCTAGGAAGAGTAATTTGACAAGAATCAAAATGTGAGCTGGTGGCAGAGGACTTTAATGTAGATCCCTAGAGTCTACCTCTCTACCAGACCACACAGCTCTCTGATGGTTCAGTTACAAGCCTGGCTACTAAGTAGAGGGACACAAATCAAGTCAAAGATATGGCTGTAGCTTATATGCCAGCATCTCTTATAAATAGAATGAATCTATCTTTTGGTAAATGTAACTGGCTTCTCATTTCTTATTGCCTTTTTGTGGCTTTAGGGCAGTGCTAGTGATGAGTTTATGAACAAATTCAATGAGCTAAATGAAATAGTGGGCCGAGAATTCAATTTGAGTGTGAAAGAACATTTTACTTCCCCTTTCTGTAAGTAAGTGACAGGGCAGATTGTTGAGACTTTCCTTGTATGTCACTGACATTGATGGAAATATCTTACAGCAAACATGTTGTTTTACATTTACATGAAGGAAATCGGTTTGTCTTGGTGACATAATGCTGCTTGTGATAACGTGAAAATGTTACAATGAAAAGTAGGTGAGATGAAGTATGCAGTGTGAATCTTTAACAGCAGCTAACAAATCAAGGGTTAGTTCATTTACTTTAAAGGTAAAACCTTTGTATATTCCACTTTTGCCAGATGGATGCCTGGACTCCCTGAAAAAAAGATAATATCTTTCTATCTCTTGAACTCCAGGATCTTGCATTACTTGTTCAATAATTCAAGAATTCAGAAACCCACTTACCCTGCATTTCAATTTGACTCACTTAGTCGCAGCTTCTGACTAAATGGAGTAATTATATTCAACTTTACTGGCTAGGGACAGAGTTGGATTTTATATTTGCTTGTTTGTTTTAATTCCCAACAAACTTCATTTAAATTTGGCTTTAAACTCAAAAGCACAATTGGACCAAACTTCAAATAAAATTTTATTTATCTATAACAATGAATCTAGAAAAACAACAATCACTGTGGTTTTAACTCTCAAGTAGCTGTCATGAAAAACTAAATATAAAGTTAGTCCTGGTGATGTTAATGGTGCTGTCGCTCACATCGTTTGAAGGATATGGCTTTATTAGCATGAGATCCAAAATACATCATAGAAAACCTCCAAATTTCCCACATCTATTATTTACTCAGGATGTTCATAGGTGGAATTGATACTGTAGCTACATTTCATAAAGAGCACAAGAATTAAAGTTGCTATTAAATATTAAAGATACCATCTTCACATTAGTGATCAAAACATTTTCATCTGACAGTGTAATTTATTTACAAATAAATCTTAGAGTGTTCGTATTTTATAAACCTCTTGTTAGAGAATCACATCCTTACTTTGGGTCCATCTAGCAGTGGTCACAGGCAATACATAAATGATTGCCCAACTGTAAAATATCATGGCTTGAAAAATGCATCCAAACAAATTTAGGTAATTAAAATTCTACTAACCATCTTCAAAGTACCATCATCTTCTAGCTTTGGTTTGAATACCAGAGATTGACTTGCTTTATACTTGCTGTTTATGACGGTGATGATGAAATCTGCGCCTGAAGCAAATGTCCTTGTGTTTCTCAAAAGATTTTGAAATTCACTTTGCAGATCAGGCAGTCTGATGCTTTCTGACAGCTTGGGGGAAGAGTATTTGTGTGCAAGTGAATGCAGGAAGGAATTAAACATGGTTCTGCTTAAAAGAAAAAAAGAGAGAGAGACAGTTGGTGCGATTTCTAAATAGGCTGCAATAATATTTAATCCTTTCACTCTGGGAAGTGCATGTTTGTATATAAAAAGAAATCCTTCTTTTTTGTTTAAGGAATTTGTAAATACGCTGGGAATGTTTTAGGGCCACAGAATTATTGTACCATATGTTTTATATGTTCGGCTACAGTGATCTTGCAGGAACTAGAATAGTTAAGTAAGTCTCAAAAATACTGAATTCCATTGAGAACTGGACTAAGGTTAAAAGCATAGTTTTTAAATGTAAGGAAGAAAGAGCAATCAGAATAAATATAACAAAACCAAAAAGATAACTTGCTTTTCAACCAAAAACCAGCACATAAAAACTTGGAAAAACATCTTTTTAATGACATTTAATTTTCAGATAGAAAACTATTTGCAGTGAGTTAAAATTACAATGGACTCTCGGTTTGTTGCATTTGCCTTCATCTCACAAATATTATAATAAGGGAGTAGTAGTAAAGACTGAGTTATATAATTTACAGTTCTAGACATTTGAATAAAATTTTATGAAACTTGATTTATATAGTGAACTCTTAAGTCTCTTTACAATCCTTAATGTACAACTGCAACAGACTTAGCATCACCAAAAAAAAAAAAAACAGGAAAGAAAACACCAAAAACTCAAACTCAATTGAAACAATTTTCAAAAGCAACATGCAAGCTGGTAAAGATTGCTAGATAGAGTGCTAAAAGCACTAGATGTTTCCATGGTGAGACCCAGTCTGTGGTGGGTCCCATTAATTGTGTCATGTAGATATGCAAAATACGTAAACTGTTACATATTTTTATGCCATTGGATTATAATGTTGGTGGAAATATCATGTGAGATGGAAAATGCACATATTTTACTTACAATTCATATAAATAAGGAATATATACATATGTATATATGTATATGTATACATACATATATGTATATGCGTATATGTATATATGTATACATATATGTATACATATATATATACACACACACACACACACACGTGTATATATATATATATATATATTTTGAGACGGAGTCTCCCTCTGTCATTCAGGCTGGAGTGCAGTGGCACCATCTTGCATTCTTGGCTCACTGCAACCTCCACCTCCCGGGCTCAAGTGATTCTCCTGCCTCAGCCTTCTGAGTAGCTGGGATTACAGGCATGTGCCACTACGCCCGGCTAATTTTTGTATTTTTAGTATAGACGGGGTTTCACTATGTTAGCCAGGCTGGTCTTGAACTCCTGACCTCAGGTAATCCTCCCACCTAGGCCTCTCAAAGTGCGAGGATTACAGGCGTGAACCACCGTGCCTGGCCATTATTTATATTTGATCTTGAAATTTGTTCTAATGCCTACAACTCCCACATTTTTGAAAATGTATATACTTTAAATTTATCAGAGGCTAGGGTATTTAATTCCATCTTTGAGAACCTTGGTTTGGAATAAATCATGGAAAGTAATATTATATATAATTTTTCCAACATAGCCTGTCCTATTTTATGATTTCCTCCAAAGATGCTGTCCATTATCTTCTTGCTCTGTCAGATCCAACTTTCTGCTGTTTGCTGTTTCTATGACAACCATCATTTTGGCTTGGAGAGATTAGTACATATTCTGGATATATATACATTTATAGATATATATTTCAAGAACTCTTTACTTGCCAAAAGAATTGATTAGGCTTCCCATTATAGTGGTCATTAATCAGTTATAATGAAATGCTATGCTAAGATCATGGTTACATAAGACAGATGTCATACTTTTGGCTTAGATTTTTATAAATAGGCATAAAGCTAGAGAGGCTGCAAAAGGAAACCTAGGGAGTTAAGTTAACTGAGTAATTCATGAACATTAATAAGAAAAGTTATGTGTTTTTAAAATGCCCTTCAATGTCTGATAAACAAATGTTTCATTGAAAAATTGAAGAATGGAGTCCAAAAAGGATAAACACAGCCTACATTAACATTATCATTTTCAACAGAGTAGCTCTTCTGTAGTAGCTTTGTAGTGAGAGTATGGAAATGGTTGGAATTTATAATTACAATTATTTTAAGCTCCTTGATGGCAGGACCTTTGTCCTATATTTCCCCCACATTGCTGAATGGGAGTAATCAGAATAGCGAGTGTTATTGAGCAGTTTATGATTTGGCAGGCATTGTGCTGAATGCTTTAAACAAATTATCTCATTTAATTCTCCTTACTTTAGTTGCTAAATATGTTTATTTTTGATTGGTATGTTCATGACTTTTTACTAAAAAAGATTCAATTGATGAAATGTTTTCTTCATCTTAAGTATAACGTGAGTCAACTGAAATAGGCCAATTGTATAGCAATTATTAAGATTGTTAAATACAATTAGGGTCTCCTTCAACAGGTCCAGATTTATTGAAAAAAAGTTTTCATATCAGATGTTCATGAAGATTCCAATTTATGCATACACTATTGCCAGTCTGAACTAGGTAACTTCCCAAACTCCTCATATAGTTTCATTAACCTTTAAATTTATTACTAAATCAGAATTCAGCGTTCTCATTTATTAGTAAATTAGAACATTGAAATATTTAGAGCTGACGTATTTAATATTTCTTTGTTTCTTTAAAAAGCTGAAATGTAGAAAAAAGTTTTAGCTTTGAGGATGATTTTTACGGTATTTTTTCTTATGGTGAAAAAGTATACAGAACCTACATACTATGCAATTAGTTGAATAATCTTTGGAAAATCCACATAATTAATTATTATATAATCAACAAAAACAGCTGAACAAATGTATCTACTGACATAAAAATATATTCACATTTATAAAGAAGTTTGCAAAATTATATTAATTTCATCAATGTTTATAAAATCTTAAATACGTGGTATAATAAGATCCAGAAGGAAAAAGAAAAACACACATTTTCTATAGATGGTAATATTCAAAAAGTAGTAGAATTCTGGGTGTTTTTAAAAATCTCTATATATTTTCACAATTTGTATTTATATGCTTTATCCTAACTAGATCTATTTTGTTATTATAATTGTTTTCTAGAATTTTCCACCAATATGATTATTGCTGTTTATGACTTACTTGTAGATTAATCTTAGAGCAAATCTCTAAAGGTGGAAATCATAGTTAAAAGGGTATTGTTTTTAATTGCCCTCCAGAAGACTTTACCAATGTATATGCCCACTTCTAATAAGTGAGTGCATATTTCCTCAACACCTTACCAAACACCTTACCAAAACTAGTTAGGTATTTTCTCTCTGTCTGTCTTCTGTCTGTCTAAATCTCTCTCTCTCCCCCACCTGCCACCGGCTCCCTCTCTCTCTCTTCCCCTGTCTCTCTCTCTCTCTCTGTGTATATATAAATACGTTCATATATGCACACATTATAGACCCACACACATACATACATAGATTAATATGATTAGTGAAAACATGTACCAATGTTTGCACTTGAATTTCTCTGAATTGTAGGAAGCTAATTATTTATGTATTTAATCATTTGCCTTGTGTATGTGTGTGTGTGTATGTGTGTGAATTGCCTATCCAGGTTTTTTATTATGATAGTGATTTTCTTTTTCATTGTTTTATAATATTAAGGATTAGTTATTTGGTGAATGCATATACAATATCTTTCCTATTTTGTCATTTTTCTTCTAACTCTATGTTTGCTAGTGAAATATATTTGTACTGTCAAATATATTATGAATTTAGCTTTAGGAACTGTTTAGGCAAACTTCTACTGCCCAGATCAATTGTACACAAATAATTGCTCCTAGGATTTTCATAAATTTCTATATGTATTTAAATCTTTAGTCCATTTGAAAATTTTATTGGCATATTGTGTGAAATTTAGAGATAATTTTCCTGTTTTCCTAAAATCATATATTGAATAATATATTATTTGTTATTTATTTGTGATTCTGTTCCTATGCTAAATTATCACATATAGTGTGATCATTGTTTGTGGTTTTCTTTTTATTACATGCTCTGGTTATTTTAAAACCAACATTAGTGTTATATTATGGCTTTGTAGTAGATTTCATTATCTCAGATGAGAGTTCTCAATTTTTCCTAACCCACCACTATTAACAGAAAAACAGTACACTACCATACTCTTAAAGTTTAACATTATCTCACATGATTATTATTTAAATTTTAGAAGAATATTTTTAAGCTAATAAACAAACTTGTTATGCCATTGGAATTACATTAAATATGTAGATTAATTTAGGCAACACATTAGATATCTTTTTGTATTTAACTATTATTTTATGCACAGCAGAATTTTATGTTTTTCTTTTTGCAATGCCTATTCCCTGCTAAGTTTTTAACAATTGTTGTGTCTACTATGAAAGGGATTTTGTAATTATATGTTCTGAAAGGCTTTTTGGGTACTAGAAAGGGTATAGTGCTTTAAAAATGGAAATGCCTCCACCATTTCACCTTTAATTTAGTCATAGGATATACTTTGTCCTAAGTTAAGGAGATATTCTTCCATTAATTCTTTCTAATTAATAATGAATGTAAAGTTGTATCAGAATCTTAATAGTACATAGCAAGGTAATCCTATTTTGACCTATTAATATGATAAAATGAAAAATATTCTTCCTAATATAAAACTATAATTGCCTTTGACTCTATTTCATTGTAAATTAATTTATTTAATTTCACATGAGTATCTAATTAATCTGGCAATGTATGTGCATTAAGAGACCTTTAAAAATGTTCAAGATTATCTTAAAATACATTTTAAAAATACATTTCAAATTCACATAAAAAAGAGATAATAAGATGAAAGTTACACAAGACAGCACTACCAATAACCCTCTTGCGTCTGATCCTTCATTTTAATGCTGAATGTTTTTGAAACATATCATTTAATCCTCACAAAACAACATAAGAGGTGAGTAGGAATGGTAGTCCTAGCACAGTTTATTCTTGTGTGAAAGATAAGGAAACTGAGATGCAAAGGGGATAAGTAGCTTATCTAAGTCCACACAGCTTATAAACGCTGGCATTAAAAACTTAAAACCGGCTCAAACTCCAGTGCCCGCACTGTTAACCACTATAGTATGCTATACTTTCTATAAGAAAATAAAAATAATTTTTTCACTTCCATGCCATGTAACAAAACTGTTTTCAAAATCTTTAATTTAAAAAATTCTGCATTAAATACAAGCAGTCCTTTAGTTCTTATCTATAGTATTATTAATTAGAATAAAATGACGGTACCACTGGAAGTGCTAGAGATTGCAATTCTGATCGTTTAACCAACTATGCTGATTACCATTAAAATTAGTTTTGTAAAATGCTAAAACTCTCATGTCCCTGCTTTTGGTCCCTCACATGACTGAAGAAATACAAATTCTTTACATATCTCAAGAGTTTGTTAAAATTCTATTTATGCAAGGGCTAATGGAGCACACCACATGTTAAAGACCACACTGAAGACGTATTGCTGCATATGAGCAGACTGAAAAGGATGTTTCTGTCCTAAGGAACTTATACTCTACTTGAGAAGTTCAGACTAATAGACATGACATGTTTTAGCATGCAACCATGCTAAAAAATATAATCGTCAACTAGTACATTGTATGGATTAGAGAAAAATTAACTCTCATTTTCAGAAAACTTCAACCTGGAGACAGTACATCATTAAATGGAAGTAAATTTTATGGGATTGGGGTTATAAATTCATTCTTCAAACAAAATGTTTCTTGACAAGTAAGATCTGATTCTCAGTTTTGGGAAGTCAAAACGAAAAAACAAGCAAGCAAAAACTACTAACCAACTTTGGGTTTCCAGTGATTTCTGTCCTATAAAGGAAAACCCATTTATTTCTGTCTATTTTCCACTTAATTGGAGAATAATAAAAAGATAAAGGCATTGCTTGAAGTGGAAGAAGAAAAAACTCAAAACATTAGGTTTCAGGAGGCAAATAGATACAGAAGTTGACTGGGCCTCCTGTACCTTTTTTTTGCAAATGGGTTAAACAATAAATTATTCACTTTATTTAAAAAAATCTTCAATTATTGAAGTAGGATAAAATAGAACAACACTGCTCTGTTTAGCATCTCATATTCTATAGCTGCAGATGAACTTCAGATTCATTTTTGCTTCTTTGTAGTGAATTTTTGTTTTGATAGCCTTCATCTGGCATTAATCTGCATTCTTTTTGTCTGATTACCAGACATGAATCAAGGAATACAACTGGCTTCTCTATCTTAAAAGGCTGCGAGGAATTACTTTTCTAACTTCCGGAGGTTTTTTTAATTTAAATTATTTATTTAAGATAAAAGGGAGAGAATTCATTCAGTATTGTGGCAACAAGGCTTGTCAACATAACCACATTCATTTAATTTATCTTACTGGTAATACAAAACCACAAGCATTCTTTAATTTCATTTCTTTTACTGGTAATACATGACATTTGTCCTAGCATTTCTTTAAAATAGTCAAAGTTAATGATTACGGTTATATTAGTCAAGACTTTTTATTGCAAGTGACGAAAGCCCTATACTATCTATCTTAGATAAAACAGAGATATCCTAGCTCATGTAATCGAGATAGTCAGGAGTAGTCACATTAGGCCAAAATGGATTGGGGGTTCAAATGATACTCTCAATACCTACCCTGTCCATCATGACTTGGATCTCTCTTCACTGTGGGAAGGACTTATTTTCTCCTACCCATATATGGGATTACGGGTTCCCCAGATGATCTGCGGAAGATGTCTGTGTACTTATAGACATACATATTACTCTCTTCTTGAAGACAAGAAGGCATCTCTTCCACCCCTAGCTCCAACAGTTTAGATCTCCAGGATTATTTTAATATGTCAAGTATGTGTCCATTTGTGCTCAGATAGGATCTCTGTCAAATTGCATTTCCCAACTTCCATGCCTACTCCCTTCCAGATGGGTTCAGCAAATAAGATGCCTTGGTGGGAAAACGGAGGGCAGGGGTAAGGGATACACAAGAATATTCTCACCAACCCATCCGTGCCTCAGATGATATATCTAGTGGCTGCCACATCTTCTCATGATTCAGGCCTTGTTGCAATGGCCCAACTTTTATATTCATAGCCCCCATGCAACAACCTCTCCAGGGATTCGGCTCCCAGAAGGCAGCACCCACTCTTGATCTCTGGTGACTTACATCGCCTCTTCCTTTGGGCCTCCAGTCTGAGGGGTGGCGGCATCTACCCACTGTTGCTAATATCTGAGTTTCTTTTTCCTTTTTTATTTGGGGTCTCAGCTCCCTCAAAACCATTGTAACTACTTCCTTGTATGAAATTTCTTCACACAGGAATCATTAGACCACCCGTCACGAACTCTATTTTCTAAACTGGAACCTGACTGACAACCCTAGCCTGGGCCGCATACTCTTCACTGAATCAAACATTGTCACCAGTGGATGAGGTCCTTTGATTGACTGTCTCATTCATTTCTCCCTTGTAGTGGTAACAAGAAAGGAGACATGGAATATATTACTAGAAAAAATAGGAGGAAGAAAAATGTGTTGGGCCACCAATAACAATGGACCCCATATTAGTAATTCACTTTGATCTCGTAGTTCATAAACATGAAAAAAAGCTAAACTAAATATTTTTTCAAAACAACACTGCAATAAAATTATTTGTAAGTGAATAGTGGAAATTACTCATAGCCAATTGCTTATTAAATTTATAAATATTCTATCACATTCTGTTCCGTTTTTTAATTTTCTGGTTAATAAAAAGAACTAATATATTGAGGATATGTTGTAAGTCCCATGATATAAAAATAAGTAAAATGTTTTACTTATTTTCACTATATAGTATAAAATCAGAGTTCATATGCCCATATGAGAAATGAAGAGACTGATGTTAAGTAATTTGTTAAAAGTCACAGAGGTTAGAAATTTCCAAAATATGGCAACCTCTGTTTTTTGGTACCCCAGAACCTAAGCATCTTTTATTACATCATCATGCCACTAATATTTCTCTCTTGAACAGCATTGAATCTGCAGTTCTCTAATTATATTTTTAAAAAATCTTCATTTAGGGCTCCTCTGTATTCACCCTATGGTAAAATCACTTTATCATAAAGGCATCTATTGTGATGCCTATTTATACAAAGAGACTTCTGTGATAAAATTCCCTCATGTGATATCCAGAATGGATATCATACATTTTTTCCTTTATTTACACTTTATATTTCACATTGGCATTACGTACTCCATGTTGTTACAAACAGACCAATTTGGGGTCAGACTAATTACATGATTATATACCCTTCTGTCTGCCACAACATGCAATGCTTCTGGGGCGTAATGAAAGTACTTAAACATGTATAAATACTTATTAGGTGCTCAGCACTTTCTACAGGGGACTGTTTGGGATACTCCTAACATCTTATTGTGGCAGAAAAGATACGGACATATTATTGTTAGAAAGCCTGTGGTTTGTTCCACATTTTTTAAGAGAATAAAACTTGTCAGGGCAGCCCTAGCAACCATTCAAGAGCTTATTTGGGCATTCTTGTTCTCCAGGACAAAAATCGCATGGTTTCCATGCAGGAACATATCCATGATAACACTTAAGGTAGGTGCCATCGACTGCTTGATTAACTAAAAGTTGAGCTAACCAATTATGTAAAGGTCTCCGTCTTTTATTCCTATCAGTGGATGTCAGTTTTTCTTTTTTTAGAATCGATTTCTATTTTCTGCAGCTGAACATGAAAGTACACTGACTAACATAGTCTGCAGTTTAGCTGTGTTCCCAGGACCATCTGTAAGAATTTATGCATTTCCTGGGAATCTGATCAATTCTACCGGCAATTCTGTTTTCTTTGTAAGATTAAGTAACCCTGCAATTAATTTTATATTTAAAAGTTGATGTTTCTTTGAAAAAATTGTGAGCCCCATGTCCAAAAGACATTCTGTACTTTAAAATTGACTTCCCTGAATAAGTCTCTTTTATGCACACATACAAAGAATTTTATGTTAAAAGCATGGATATCATCATACCACAGACTTCGTTTAATATTTCTTCCTTTCTTTCTTCTTTTTTATTTTTTGGCTTGACTTCTCCATCTTCTTCCCCTCTGTCCTTCATTCACATCTCTTGCCCCTGCGAGTAACTCTTATTGACAACCTGGTTTATATTCTTTCATGTGTTTTTAAAATATTGAATAATCATAAACATTTACATATTCTAAGAGGAATTTTTAGTCAAAAAATGGATTATATTTTCTCTGAGGGTTTTCTGTCAAAAAAACAGATCATATCTATACATTTTTCTTCATCTTGGTTTTCTCATTGGACAGCACCTTATGGAAATTCCCCAAGTTATTTGTCATAGCTGTATTTTAGTAACTTTTATTTGTTTAATAATTTCATAATATTACAAGGTATGGACATTTAACAGTTTAGTCTGTCTTTCCCCTATGGGTGCTCATTTGTTTCGGGTTAGTTTTTATGTTACTATGAAAAAGGCTATAATATATATTCTTTAAAAAATATCCTTATAGACTTATACTTCACCTTTTATGAGACAGACATTTATGGACTAACACTGACTTAACAGATATTAGCATATTGCTTTTTCCAAATGGCAGTAAAATACATACTCCTATCAGCTTTGGATAAGATTATACTTTTTCCCATAAATACCAAGTAATAGGTGTTTATCCATTCAACAAGAGAAAGCCCCTCCCCTCATGATGTCTACATTAGTCATCAAGATGGATAATAACTAAATAGCTCTATAAAGTCACAAATGTGCTGTGAGGAAAAATAAAATAGGGTTAAGGAATAGGAATGGGGATAGCTATTTTAAATAAAGATGTTTATATAAGGCCACTCCAAAGAGAATATTTTGGGGGCTCAATGAAGTGAGGGAGTAGGCCATGTAATATGTGGGGTAGGAGGAGGCTTCCAGGAGAAATAATAACAAATGTAAGATGTCAGAAAAGAGCTTGACACTTGTGTGAAGACTGGATTCGAAGTTATTGTCAGGTAGTGGAAGTGAAAGATGTGGGGACTTGGCCTAAGGTGGTAGCTGTGGAGATGATGAGAAGTGGTCAGATTGAGGATGCATCTTGAAGGCAGAGCTGAAAGGCAATGCTGATTGTTTGGCTGTGGGGTGTGAGAGAAAGACATGAACATGAATTATTTATAGGCTTTTTACAATAAGCATTTTATTTTCAAATAATGTTAGAGTTTTGAAAAAGTTGCAAAAATATCACAGAGAGTTCCCATGCACCCTTTGCTCAGCTTCCCCCAGTGTTAACCTCTTACATAACAATAGCACACTTGTCAAAGTAAGAAATTACCACTCGGTATCATGCTATTAAACAAGGTACAGACTCTTCAGCTTTCACATTTTACCCATGAATATTCTTTTTTTGATACAGGATCCAATCAAGGATACCACATTGAATTCGGTCATCATGTCTCCTTAGTCTCACTGAGGTGTGACAGTGACTGTCTTTCCTTGTTTTTTATTATCCTGATTTTTTGAAGAGCTTGAGTCAAGTTATTTTAGAATGTTCCTCAATCTTAGTTTTCTCTGATGTTTTCTAATGATTAGACTTCGGGTAAGGGTTTTTGGGAAGAACACCAGAGAAGTAAAGTACTCTTCATATTGAATCATATCGGGGATATATAATATCAGCATAATGTATCACTGGTAATATTCACGTTAGTCAGTTGGTTGAGATAGTGTCTGCAAGATTTATCCACTGTAGCATTACTATTTTTATTTTTTCACGCTCTGTTTTTTTGAAATAACTAACCCAACCCAGGTCACACTCAAGGTCGATGGTGGTGATCAAGCTTTGCTTCTTAAATGGGGATGATCTGTATATGTTCTTTGGAAACTTTTTGTAAGGAACAGTTTTTCTCTTCTCTCTCATTTACTTGTTTACTCAGTCATTTATTTAGATCCATATAGACTCATATATATTTATTTTTTCTTGGGATTATAATATAATACTACCATTAATATTTGTTGCCTCAGCTATTTCAACTCTGACCATTGAGAGCTCTTTCAGGTTTGCTCTTGTATCCTTTTGACATGCCCTGGTCTATCCTATTTTTCTTCTTCCTTACTTTCTGGTATTTACACAATGTTTCAGGTTCATCTTGTATTTCCTCTTTCCTGGTCCTAAAATCAGCCATTTTCACTAAGGAGCTAGGTTTTAATTGAGCACTTTAGTAAATGATAATGCCATTTCCTGATATAAAGAAGCCCAGAGAGGGTAGAAGCCTGGATTATGTGTCTTCTGTCCTTTGTTCCTTATTACTTATTATTGTTATTTTTTGGACATACTATGTTTGAGAAGCCTATTGGCCATTCAAATGGAGTTGCAGAATAGAGTAAACAGTAGATATGAGTCTAAAGCTCAGAGAAGAGGTTCAGGTTAGAGATCTAAATTTTGGATTCATCAATAAATGGTGCTACTTAAAGACATGGGATTGGGTTTGATTTCCTTGGACAGTGTCAGAGAAGTCTCAGAACTGAATCTGCTAAAGGATGTAGAGTTCAGGAAGAATGGAAGAAATCAGGCAAAGGAGTTGAGAAAGAGCAGCAAATGAGGTAGGAAATAAACTAGGATTGTGTGGTATCCTAGAAGCCAAGTGAAGAAATACATCAAGAAAGGAAAAGTGATTATCAGAGTCAAGTTCTGTTGAGAGATTGAGGAAGATAATGACAGAACTTACCATTGGATTTGGCAATATTCAAGTTCACTGCTGACCTCGATAAGTGTTATTTCAGTAGAGCTGTGGAAATGAAGCCTAATTGAGAGGAATTCAATGTAGAATTGCAGCTGAGGAATGGAGAATGCACTCTTTAAAAAGGTTTGTTAAAAAACAGACCAGAGAATTAGGGTGATAGTGAGATGGGGAGCTGATGAAAAAGAAAATAACGATTTTAAGATGGGAGATATTATAACATATTTGCATACAAATGGGCATAATCTAGTAAAATGGAGAAAAATGATGATGTGGAAGACAGAGGGTATAATTGAAGTCGTGAAAACCTAAGTTGGTGAGAGGAAATGGAATCTAAGTCTTAAGAGAAGGGGTTGGCCTTAGGGAGGAGAAGGATGTTTCTTCATCATAACATGATTGAAGACAGACTACATGATCACAAATGCCAAGTGTATAGAGGATACAGTGATAGAAAAAAGGGAGGAAGTTTAACTGTGGCTCTTTCCATTTTCTTAGAAGCAGTATCATGAACTGAGAGTGAGGAGGTGGGAAGGAATGTGGGATGGTTGAAGAGGCAAAGGTGTCTCTTTGAGCGATATCATAGAGCCAAGCCATGAATTATCAAAGAAAGTGTGATAAGATTGCCAGGCACTACAGGGGACCCACTTATGTTTGTGGTCATATACCAAAAGTTATGTCTTGTTTTCATGTATCCTACATTTTCTCTAGTTGCAGTCATCTGTTTAGCTTCCAGGGGGCAGGTTCATAGCAGGAGGAGAACTGAATTTAATCAGGTGGGTTTTTTTGTCACACTAGTTTGAAGAAGAGAGAGAGAAAGGCCTTGGAGGTGAGTGTATGTGCAAGGGAAAGACTAGCATGATGAATAATGGTATTTAGTTAAACTCTAAATTCAGTAAGTGAGGAAGTGTGAGCATTTGTGGAATGAGTGAAAAATGTGTTCAGGTCAAGAAAATTTTTTATTAGTGAAGTATATCATTTAAGTAATGTGGAGACCTATGTTATAAAGCTTCTGTAAGGCTTTATACCCTGTTGATCTTATTTACCTTTTCCAGTGGTAGAACTTGAAACATGTTTTTCAATCCCTTCTGTGGTAATCTGTCTAGTCTAGTTTGTACCTCTTCTAGGGCCAGTCTCACCAATTTACAATTTTCTGGAAAATCATCTACTTCCTTAAGTTTTATAATTTTTACCTAAATTGTCACCTAGATTCTCTTATAATTCTAACAGATTTCCAGAAATTGTAATACCTCTTCCTATGCCTTTAAATAGAGAATTATTACCTGAACAATTTTAGAAAATTGTTTGCACATTTTTGAACACGGGTGATTGAATGGAAGAATCCATGGTGACCACCTCATCTATAAATAGTCTAAGATTAATTTGGTTATATAACTCTTGTGCACTTTACTGAAATAGAATGACTAAGTACTATTATTCTTTTGGAAACATTTTTTGTCATGTAATAATGTTTCTTATATTTCAACATATGTGAAAACAATGGAAATTCATTTTTGTTGTTTGGTAGACGAATTGATTATGGGCTGCAATATTTTTGTTAGCTGTACTTCAACATGTATGTGAAGGCACAAAATTGGAGTGGTATTGATATCTTAAAAAGAATTATAAATAGAATTAATATGACTGTCAGTGAAGTTTCTTCTCTTAAAAAGATAGGGTCAGCCGGGCATGGCGGCTCACGCCTGTAATCCCTGCCCTTTGGGAGGCCAAGGAGGGAGGATCACAAGGTCAGGAGATTGAGACAATCCTGGCTAACACGGTGAAACCCCATGTCTACTAAAAATACAAAAATATTAGCCGGGCGTGGTGGCACGCGCCTGTAGTCCCAGCTACTTGAGAGGCTGAGGCAGGAGAATCGCTTGAACCCAGGAGGCGGAGGTTGCAGTGAGCCGAGATCCCACCACTGCACTCCAGCCTGAGTGACAGAGCAAGACTCTGTCTCAAAAAGAAAAAAAAATAGGGTCAACTCTGCATAGAAGATTGCTGTCTCCTGCTAGATTTCTTTGCCCCAGGCCCTTTGCTCTGTCAGGAAACTGTCCTTCAGAGTAAATGATGCTTGTGCTGGTTGCAGGCATATTAATTATGCAATGCTGTATTTTGAGATGCAATTGCAGATGCAATTGAACTATTTCACTGAATTTACAAGTTTTATTATCACTTGAGAACACCAGACAATTACTCCACTTGTGTTCATAGACCATCATTCCCTTTTGACGTATTTGGGTTGTGATGTGTGCCAGGCTTCCAGACAAGCAGAAGTCGTCAACTTAGAGGTCTCAAATTCTGTGATTCCGACAGGAACAGATTTATTCTCAAAACCCCAGCATTGGCAAAAGAGATTTTTTTAAAGGCAGGAACAAGATGACAGCCTTTCAAACAAGTTCTATTTCTTTATAGCTTATCACCGAATCATCTATTAAAAATATTACAAGCTAATTTTATAGTTTAGTCAATGCTATCATTGGGATGTGACCTTCAGTGATCTCAGTGCTGGCTGGCTTGGCTGCTGACTGAAACATACCAGCAATAGCTATGTGCCTCACTGACCTACTGAAGATACCCTTTTAGAGAAAATGTTGAAAACATGGAAGAGTGCCTTGACCATTGCCAATCAAGATAGCAGCTGGGATTTGCAGGACAATTTGCAGTGATTTCCAAGGGCAACCAGGAAGCCAAAGAGGCTGGAACAAGGAGGTTGTCTTTACTTTCCCCATCAGCATTGCAATATTGAAGGAATTTCCACAAGTTAAAAAACTGGTTCTAGATGACTTTCTCAATTAAGCCCCAAATATTAGAAAGGAGCAGATGTGAATCATAAGAGTTAGATGCACATTTCTAAATGATGATATGGGTTTATGTCAGTTTTATTTTTCATTAAAGTTATATTCAGACATCTGACCCTGGGCTTCTTTAAATGAGCATAACAAAGTTGTTTGAAGACAAATGATGTTATATTTATATAAGTATACAGTTATCAGTCTTCTACAAGTTTTAAACTCCTCAAACATTTTTTATAATACCAGGAATGATTATATTTATCCTTGAATCAGCTGTAGAGGACATTTGTCCCTGCTAAGCCCAACCATAGGGCGTGGATCCCACTCACAGGTGGTATGAAAAGGCAGTGTTGAGGCTATCCAGTTTGGTTGTGATAACCTCATAAAGGCAAGATTCCAGGAAAAATGGCAGTTCCCGCTGATCTTCTGTGATGTGCCCAGGGGGGCCTGCAAAGGAAGAGTAGCTGCCCCTTAATCTTCCTGAGGTACATTACATCCCCGGATGATTCCTCTACAAAGTTGCCTCAGGGTGAGCGCTGTAGATCTTAGCACAACTTTTAAAATTCTGTCTCTCACATGTGTGCACACATACTTTGTTTTAACACAGTCTTACACAGTCAGTGTCCCCAGGTAACATCCACCCAGCACAGGTGCTAAACTGGAATGGTCACCTGCATCAACTACTGTGCATTGTGCACAGAACAGGCATTAAGCACCAGATCCCCAATACTTGGACCTTTGCATTGAATATGTCATTCTTCCCAACTCCTCCTCCTGCTCCTTCTCCTCCTGCTCCTCCTCCTCCTTAAACATTTTTTTAGAGGCTGGTCTCGGATTTCTGGTCTCAAGTGAACCTCCCATCTCAGCCTCCAGAGTAGCTGAGGTTACAAGGCTTGCACCACCACACACAGTAACTCCTTCTTCCTTTTCGGTAGACTTCACCCTAGTGGCTTCACTGGCCTTAGTTAGGGTCAGTTTTATGCATGAGATTTATTTTTATATCCTTGACTTTCAAACAGGTTAGAGTTTGAATTCCTTTCTTCTATAGGCCAGGGTACCTTTGCCTCTGTCTAAATTATAGGTTAGTTATAGATACGTGGCCAAGCGCTGTGGCTCACGCCTGTAATCCCAGCGCTTTGGGAGGCTGAGACGGGCGGATCATGAGGTCAGGAGTTTGAGACCAGCCTGGCCAACATGGTGAAACCCCGTCTCAACTAAAGATACAAAAAAAAAATATTAGCCAGGTGTGCTGGTGCACGCCTGTAGTCCCAGCTACTTGGGAGGCTGAGGCAGGAGAATCGCTTGAACTGGGAGGTGGAGGTTGCAGTGAGCCAGTTGCACCAGTGCACTCTAGCCTGGGTGACAGGGCAAGACTCCATCTCAAAAAAAAAAAAAATACATATATATATATATATATCTGTAAATTTAGATCACTAGATTTCTCAATATTTTTGCTTTCCTCAATAGAATATCTTAATGCCTAAAGAAAGACTTTTATTTATTTGGCTGTCAAATACAATTATGTTTTTGAATTTCAACTTTAATAATGGGTAGTCAAAAACACGTAATTTTTTTCTTTAGATTTAGTTACAGATCACAAATATAGTCAGTTTTCTTGTTTGTAAAATAGGCAGCTTGAACGAAATAGCATCCTCATTTTCTTTTTATGGCAGCAGAAACTTTTATTTCTAGGATGAAATTTTAAATGGTATCTTAATAAGAAATTACATTTAATAAGGAATTTATTTTCACTAACGAGAAAAGTTGACCTTAAATTATGAATGCTATTTATAGACATATGCAACTCAACATCTAATTTAATTATTTTGTTTTAATTGCAAATATCTTTTTCTTTTCCTTTCTTTTTTTTTTTTTTTTTTTTTTGAGACAGGGTCTTGCTCTGTCACTCAGGCTGGAGTTCAGTGGCACGAGCTTGGCTCACTGCAACCTCTGCATCCTGGATTCAAGAAATTCTTGTGCTTCAGCCACCCAAGTAGCTGGAATTACAGGCGTGCACCACCATGCCCAGCTAATTTTTACATTTTTAGTAGAGATGAGGTTTCACCATGTTGGCCAGGCTGCTCTCAAACTCCTGAGCTGAAATGATCTGCCCGCCTTGCCCTCCCAAAGTGCGGGGGTTACAGGCATGAGCCACTGTGCCCGGCCACAAATATTTTATAACTTTTTAAAGTCTATATTCAGTGGACACAAACAGAGATCTGTTTGTATGCTTGCTTGCTGCTTGCTTGTTGGTTTTTAATTTCTTGAACTGTAATCTCAGGATATTCATCTTTAACAGAGAAAACAGGAAAAGCTCCATTCTTAGATGTTGCTCAAAATAAGTGCAAAGGATGATTCAAGTTATATCTTCATTGGTCTTCAGTATGCCATCATTTGAATGTATAATGTTCTCAATAGAATTTTAAGATATTTAAAATTATACCTAAAATTGTACGGCAAGGTGACTATAGTTAATGATGCTATATTGTATTTTTGAAAAACGTACAGAGAGGTTGCTGTACACTCTCACCACAAAAATGATAACTATATGAGGTAGTATAATTTATTAATTAGCTAGAATTAACTATTCCATAATGCATATATACTTCAAAACATGTTGTAAATGATAAAAACATACAATGTTATCTGTCAATTTTTTAAAAACCTAAAAATCATTAAAAATAATAAAATTGAATTTTGATTGCATTTTTCTGAGGTTTCTTAAGTTCATCTACCAAATCTGGGGTTACTCAGAACCAAACTGACTCAATAACCTCTATTAGCTCTGTAATTCCAATCACAATTTGATATTTCTGTGCTATTGTTGTATCACAGTTAATCCAGTTTATTCCAATTCTTTATCTCAGCATATCTATGTAGATATTGATAAAGTTTAAAGGAAAAAAGAGAATCTTGGCGGCACAATTTGCCTGAGACAAATTTTTTTCTTAAAGATTTTGATATTTTGTTTGTTCAAATTACAGCAGCATAAGTTGCTTGTGTAGGGTATTTGTTCATTCAGGTAACATATTTGTAGAATTTCTACACTAGCTATTGTCATTGGCTATGATCAATGATAGCTCTGTTCTGCCTACTGTGGAAACATAATAAATGAACAAGCTTCTCTATCTCATTTTTAAAGAAAATTTTTACATTTTTATATGGACTTGGTAATATTACCTTGACATACAAGAGTAGAAAATTCATTAGTGGTTTAGAAAAAGTGATTATATACATTTTAGTCTGGGTAAATAAAAAGTATATATCATTACTGCCCGGGTTTCATCATCTGTCTAAATGGTTGCACTAATCACTTCTAATTACGGCACTGTAATTTTAAAGAACAACATTTTTGTTAATGTATGTCATTTTAAAGAATATTTTGTAAATTTTCTTAAGGCCTAAGTTATCTTAAATCATGAATATATAAATATTTGAGTTAATTTTATAATTAAATAGTTTCCTTTAAGCAAATCAAACAAATCAAGAACTCTAACAAATATTCATTGTGATTTTTATTGACTGTCAAAAGCTACAACATTTTGGTTGATTTCCCTGGATTTTTATGTGTTTTGAAGATATGAATCTCCTAAAGACTAGAAAGTTGCTTAAGTCTAGTGTAATGCTGGTTAATAAAATGGATATATCTTTAACTTATTGTCCCAAATAATATTTGTTGATTGAAAACCAGATAAATAAATGAGTTAAACTATGTATGGATCATTAGAAATTTACTACATTGTTCTAAGAAAAAATTTTCTTTGCTAAATTATATAGCATATGATTATTCAGTTCTGTATTTAATGCTTTACTTATAGTTTAAGATTTCTATTGATTTTCTCCTATGTAATCACGATGTTGGCACCTTTAGTAAGTTTGCTCTTTGAAAACATAACCTTACATAACATTCTGAAACGTATTTTCTTTTTTAAGGAAAAAATGAGGAAATATCAACAGACTGAAAATATGTTTTCAGAGGCATAGAATCTTCAGGAAAATACTGGAGTTCCTGAGATCTCAAGGTTAGCAGTTTATACATTATTATTCTCATGCTTTTACAGATTTGGGATATAATCTGTGCATCTGTTTCAAGTTTCTAATGTGTAATTGGAAATGGTCTTACTTAAAATATGTGTTTTAAACGAAGTCTCCTCAAGATTTTAAAAAATCCATTTATATCAGACATACAGTATTTAGTTTCATTAGGGACAATAAAAAGTTGTCTTAATAGAGAACTACTGGTTCTTATAATTTGCTTCATTTTAAAGGGTAGCACTATTAGCATAAAAATAAACATTTGACATTTCTATAAATTTTTCTTTCTGATTGTTAAATATAAACCTATTTAGTGACTTTTTCATTTCTTTTGTATCTTTGGCTGCAAAATGCACACATATACATGTAGTTTAGAAGGATAGCTAATCAGCAATCCTTCTGAAATTCCTTGAATTCTATTTCCTGACTTTTTTTAACTACAGCCAAATAAATAATGCTATCATTGGAAAGTGTGGCTTCGATAAAATGACAATTAATATGAAGGAACAGGAGGATCTTGGGAATCTTTTCTAAGTTGTTTAGGATGATATAACTGGAAAAGAAGAATAAGCCTACCCATTATTAAGCAGCTTATTATAATAACAAATTAATGTACAATATTCATTTAGAAGTTATAAATGTAGGTTAAAGTGGTTTAGTCTAATTGGATACCTTGAAAAAGTAGATGATTTTTGATGTGTTTATATTGTGGGACCCAATATCAACTATTCATAATTTTAAATGAAAAAAAATGTGATCTTTCATTTTGATTGTCTTGGTCAGGCATGTCTTCAGTATCTGTATCTATTTCTCATTCTTCCAAGGGTTTATTCATTTATTTAGGACTTAGCATATGCAAAGCAATGGGCTAAACACTTTGGTTCTTTCTAAGTGAATAAGATATGGTCCTTGTTCTCAAAAATTTCCCAAACAATATGTTACCTAGAAATTAATTTTACTATTAACTCAGGCAACATATAATTAAACAGACAAGCCAAATTTTATAAGGGCATGTAATTAATTCTAAAGCTAAATGGGAATTATTTGGGGATTATTTGTATTTTCACATTATAGCTTCTGTTAGCCTAGAATACTGGCAGCTTATACCAATGTGAATGTCGTTCCATTACAACCCACACCCAAATGATTTTTTTATTAAATTAGCTCTTGAAGTATAAAACAAGTAAGAAATATGAGATTCTAGGAATGAAAAGTCTCTTGACACAACTGCAAATTTAATGTCATAGAATATAGTTGTGCAATCACCTATGAAAAGAGCAAAGGTGGCATTGCCTACATTTTTTTTTTAATTCGAGTACATTGGATTTCCTTACTAAGCTCATCAGAGAATTAAATCGTCTCCCCAATGACCTAGAAAGACTTGTAGGTTTGAAAGGGATTGAATGCTATAAATCCATAAGGGATCATATGCAAATAGTAGGTAGGTGAGTACAGGGATTTGAAATGGGTGGGAATGCAGACTCAGCTTGAAGTGCGCAGCACTGTACTTCTCAAGAAAACCTTTTTAAAAGGGTAGTGACTTAAGAAGTTAATGCAAGTAAAGTAATTTAAAATAGTAAACTTCTTATTTGAAAAATCAGTGAAGAGATCCCTTGCCTCATTGTGCCATTAGAGAAGCAGCTAAATTAATTTATATAACAACCATAATCATTCAACAAATATTTGTCAAGTGCCTACTATGTGCATGGGGGTATAGGGTGGATTGCTGGGGAGTGACAGCAATGAATAAAATAAACCATTCTTGCCTGAGTGGAAATTACATTCTAGTGGATGGAAATAGGTAATAAAAAACAAAATTAATTATGTCTTATGTTTGATGCTTGTAAGTACCATGGAGAAAAGGGAAAAAAGAAAGGAAATGTAGAGTGTAAGCAGAGGTAGAATTTTTAAATAAATCTAATGACTTTGCACTACATAATTTACACAAAAGAGATAGATGTCACTTCTGTTCACATAGTACCCACTAAAAACAAGGATGATGAAATACAACACCTGATGGTAAGTTTTCTAAATCATTAGTAAGATATATGTTGTAAATGTATGTAAAATCAGTTTCAATTTCACCAGAAAGAAAAGATATTATTTTTTAGAAATGATGATACAGTTACTACAAGTATATGAAATCAGATAATATTAAAGGACATAGGTCTATCTATGTGCATTTTTATTAGAAAATATATAGAGTTGGAAATTAAATCAATTTTGTGCAATCATTAACAAATGAGTGATCAGGGTTTTTTTATGGTAATCTGGTTGGAATATTTTCATTCAATGTTTGGTTCTGAGCACAGGAGTCTGGAAATATGGAAGGCCCAAATACTCCTGCCTGTTTTCTTGCAATCCATCTATAGTTTAGAACTCATCATATAAAGTGCTGTTATTTTAAAAGTCATTCGGTCTTGACTTTACTGGCTGGAGTTGAGAGGTTTAGCCGATTTTGTATGCTGAAAAAGTAGTTGAGTCGTTTTGTTTTCATTGAGGATAAGTCAATGTGAATTAAATATCTGGCCATGCAAATAAACAAAACAAAATTTGGATTAAGAGATTTCAAAATCTATTAAGTATTGTGATTTTTTTTCAGTCTTCCAAAAGGCAGGTATTTTAAGCAGTATATCATCTAAAGGACATGTGTCCAATATTAGATTATTAAAAGAAACACAAAGTAAAGTTCACAATTATTTAGAGGCTCTCTCTGTATCTATCTATCTATCTATCTGTCTATCTATATTTATATATCTATTTTATAGATATATAAATAGATATATAGAAATATATTATATATATATATTATATATATATATATATATATATATATATATATATATATATATACATATTTTTTTTTCCTTTGAGACAAGGTCTCTCTCTGTTGCCCAGGCTGGAGCATAGTAGCAGGATCTCGGCTCACTGCAGCCTCAACCTCCTGGGCTCAAGTGATTCTTCTGAGCCTCCCAAGTAGCTGAGACTATAGGCATGCACTACCACACTTGGGTAATTTTTTTAAAAAATTTTTTGTAGAGACAAGGTCTTGCTTGTAGCTCAGGCTAGAAGAGGGCCTTTCTTAATTTAACCAAAGTAGAGAGTGTTTATTACATGCCGTATTGTGGAAAGAATTGATGGTCAGCTCTGTAAGTTTAACCACAAAGAGACAGCTTGTGTTGTCTGTTATGGGAAAGCCAAAAAAAAAAAGAAAAAGAAAATTAGAGATGCAGAGGGCTGGTTGAAGGTTATGGGGGAAACAAAGACTTCTCATGCAGTTTTTCTCTGTTAGGGATAGATTCTTCCCAAACCAATATTGAGCTTTGTTGTACTCATCTGGAAACGTCAATGGAAAGAACTAGAAACTCTGGTTGAGGACAACTGAAACTTGACTTTTCAAAAGCAGGTAGAAAATAGCATATGCTTTCTTTAAATTCCTTTGCTTTCATCCTCCCTTCATTTGCTTTACAAAATTGCCAACCCAGGAATCATTTGCAACTCTGTACCACAAATCCAGTTCCCTAGGAATTTTTCCAAATAATGATTCTTCCATTCTCTCACAAACCAACACCCACATGAATTTCACATTACCTGGTATGCCCATGCTCTAGGTGGCTCTTTCTTCTCTGACCCTGTCTTCAAATTCTCCAAGTAATTTCCTAGCATTCTTATTCTTCCATCGTTCTGGCAAATAATTTATCTAATCCAAGGTTTTTCAACTTCAGCACTATTGAGATTTGGATCCAGATAATTCTTTATTGGGGGAGGGGAGAGAGCTGTCCTTTGCAATGTAGGGCGTTTAGCAGCATTTCTGGTACTAGATGCCATTGGCACTTCATCTTTAGTTATGACAAACAAAAATGTCTTCAGGCATTGACCGATGTCCCCTCAGAGCAAAATTAGCCCAGATAGAGAAGCGTTAAGCCAGCCCTAACTTCTATAATCTCAGTAAACTTCCATCCACTCTACTACAACAACCACAAAACCTCCTTAGCACCTCCAGCATCTTGTTCTCAGTTAAAACAGCTCAACAAGGCCAGGCATGGTGGCTCGTGCCTGTAATCCCAGCACTTTGGGAGGTGGAGGTGGGTGAATCACTTGAGTCCAGGAGTTTGAGACCAGCCTGGGCAACATGGCAAAGCCCCATCTCTACAAAAAATACAAAAAATTAGCTGGGTGCAGTGGTGTGTGTCTGTAGTCCCAGCTATTCAAGTGGCTGAGGCATGAGAATCACTTGAACCTGGAAGGTGGAGGTTGTGGTGAGCTGAGATCATGCCACTGCACTCCAGCCCTCCAGCCTGGGTGACAGAGTGAGGCCTTGTCTCAAACAAACAAACAAACAAACAAAAAACCGCTTAACAGATACACTTTAAATATCAGTTTCCCTTGCTAAAGTGAAACTCACCTCTATTTGATCATCTGTATGTTTTTATTTTCCTTTTATTTGCTTATACTCGGCCTTGTATCTAAAACATGTTTTACAAAATAATACGACAATATAACATAAGTGGGAAAACAATGGTAAAGAAGAAATAAGGTAAAAGCAAGTGAAGTGAAAGGAAAAGAGTTTATTACATATGTAACCTGACTTCACCCCTAATGCAATCATTGGGGTGATTACATTGAGACTGAGCTAGCCCCTCAATGCCATTCACTAATGTAATCAGCGGGGTGAAGTTAGGTTACAAATGTAATAAACTCTTTTCCTTTCACTTCTTTTGCTTAGAATAAAATTAGACTTTTAGTGCCTTTAATAATTCCATGTTCTGCTAGCTGTGCTTGGAAGTTTGCTTGGAAACTAGCAGCTTACCTCCCACAGCTCTCCAGCCACTCCTTTCTTCCACAGTACATGCAGCCATGAACCCGAGCTATAGTGAATCCTTTCTTGTACTCACATTCATGAGTGCTACAGGAGCAATTATACCACTCTGCAGATTTATGGTGTTCTAATCTGAGGTAGCCCCTCAATAGCATTCACTAATCCTTTCATTCTGACTGTGGTCGGCCACTATTTCAAAAGTTCATTACCCCACTCAAGCCACACAATCTCTCCCTTTCACGATTAGTGCACCTGCTATTTTAACAAGAAAATTGAGGTCATTGTGTGGAAACTACTTGTGAATCTTTGCAATCCCCTCCAGCATCAAACCAACTAGGTCTATAAACATTTTTTCTTTCCTTCAATCTCTAAGAGGGCTCAGGAGTCCTTCCTGCTATTCAAGGCAAAGCCTATGTTTGATTTTACTTCCCATCACTGAGGCTGAGACCTTTTGCCATTAATTGTTTCTTTTTTGTCCTTTATTTCCAACTTTTTCTTCCTTGCTAGCCCTTTTCCTTCAGCCATTCGTGTTCTTCACACTCCTATCCAAAAAAGCAAATTGACAAACAAAAACAAACCAACCTCTTTCTTCACCACCATCCAATTTCTGTCCTCTTCAACTCATTCAAGCTCTCCAAGCAGTAGTCTACATTCATTATCTCCAACTTCTAAGATTCAGTTACTCCTCAGCACAGTGCAATCTGATTTCTAACCCCATTTAACAGAGCATGCACTTTCTAAAGGCACGGATGACCCACAGCCCTTATCTTGACTGATTCTCTCAGGGGTATTTGACATTGTTAACTACATTTTTCTTCTTTCACTGCTCCCTCTTGATTTCCCTCACATCTTGTGGATCTTTTTGTAAAGACCCCTCTCACTGGCTCTTCTGTCTCTATTCTTCCATCCAGAAAGTCACAAACCACAAACTCAAACCCCAATAGGTGGCTATAGGTAATATAAATGAGTGAAGTTGGCTAACTGAAAACAGTAAACACTACAGAGGTCAAACAACATGCCCACAAAAGTTCTTGATATTTTACTCCTATTCAAATGACAGTGCTCCCTGGAGATCCATCTTCATTCTATTGCTCTTTGGTTCTTCTTGTTCTTCCTAATCAAGCAAAGCTGTTATCATGACTTTGTTAATGACATAGAGGTCAATACCTCCAACCCTATTCTTCAGCTAAACTACAGAATTACAAGTTATGCGAAATGTCTATGGGGTGTCAATGTCTAACAGGGACACACACAAAAGCATACATCAGAGCAATAAAATAGAATAAAGAATCCAAAACCATACATGTGATCATAAAGTGCACTGCCAAAATAATCATAACTCAATGAAGAAGCTCTCCAAGGAAAGTCGATTAACAAACCCAGGTACACATAATTAGTGTCTGATAAAAGAGACAATTCAAATAGCAGGAGGAGGGAAGGACGATGGCTTATTGAGTAGATGGTACTAAAACAATTCTTTAACTACTTGGGGGAAAATAAGGTGTGATCTGTGCATTACACAATATTAAAGTAAAATTTAAATAAAGATTTAAAATAATATTTTAAAATATTATTGAACATTGAATAAATTCAATAGCTTATAGGTATTTATGTGACTTTGGCCTAGAAAAGTATTTAAGCAATGCAAGAAAGCCAAGTCATTTATTCGTTTTTAAACTTATAAACAGTAAAATTCACACTTCTTGGTGTACAGTTTTGTGAGTTTTGACAGTTGTACAGAGTCATGTAACTTTCGCAACAATCAAATTACAGAACATTTCCATTACTGTTCCCTGACCTTCCCCCTGTCAACTTATCCTTACCTTCATCCCTGGCAACTAATCTGCTCTAGGTCACTACAGTTTTGCCTTTTCTAGAATGTCTTATCAATGGAACACAGAGAATGTAATCTTTACCATCTGACCTCTTTCATAATGCATTGAGATTCATTCATGCTCTTGCATGTATCAATAATTATTTCCTTAGTATTGTTAAGTAGCATTTATTTGTATGACTGTACCATGGCTTGTTTATTCATCCATCCACTTAAAGATATTTAGGTTGTTTAGTTTTTGGTGGTTTGAATATGCTATAAATATCCACGTAGAAATTTGTGTGAGAACTGAAGTTTTTATTTATCATGGGCTAATACCCTAGAGGGATTATGTATCACATGATGAGTGTATGTTTAGCTTTCTCAGACTGCAAAATTGTTTCCCAAAATGACAAACCATCCTAAATTTCTACCAGCAAAGGATGAATATTCTCATTGCTCCATGCCTTCACTGACACTTGGTATTATCAGTTTTTATTTTACTTATTTTAACCATTCTAATTATCACTCTGGTTTTAATTTGCATATTCTTAATGGATAATAACATTGAACATGTTTTCTTCTGCTTATTCGCCATCTGTTTGTTTTCTTTTGTGAAGTGTTTGTTCATACATTTTGCCCAAATTATACTAAGTTGTTTTCTATTTTTGAGTTTTGAGAGTTCTTTATAAATATTCTGCATAAAAATCCTGTAGGAAATAGGTGATTTGCAAACATTTTCTCTCTGTCTGTGGCATGCTTTTTTGTTTTCTTGACCACATCCTTTTAGAGTTTTAAATTTGGTAAAGTCATGATATCAGTTTTTTTCTTCTGTGGATTATGATTTTGATGTTTATATATTTCTTTTTTTTCTTCTTCTTCTTTTTTTTTTTTTTTGGAGACAGAGTCTTGCTCTGTCGTCCAGGCTGGAGTGCAGTGGTGCGATCTAGGCTGACTGTAAACTCCACCTCCTGGGTTAAGTGATTCTCCTGCCTCAGCCTCCCAAAAAGCTGGGACTACAGGCGTGTGACACCACGCTCGGCTAATTTTTGTATTTTTAGTAGAGACGGGGTTTCATCATCTCGGCAAGGCTGGTCTTGAACTCCTGACCTCAAGTGGCCCACCTGCCTCAGCCTCCCAAAGTGCTGGGATTAACAGGCATGAACCACCACTCCCAGCCTGATGTTATATCTAAGAGGTCTTTGCTTAACCCAAGGTCACAATGATTTTCAACTATGTTTTCTTCTAAATGTATTATAATTTTATGTTTTGTATTTAGTCATATGATCTGTTTGGGGTTAATTTTTGCATGTTATGAAAGATTGAAGTTCACAATTTTACTTATGTGCTTACGGACATCCAATAGTTTCATCACTTTTTTATAAAAGACTATTTTTTATCCACTAAATTGACTTTGCATTTTTGTCAGAAAATCAATCACATTTGTGCAGGTATATTTCTAGTCTCTATTGTGTCCGACTGACGTATGTATTTATACTTTTTCTATTATCACACTGTCTTTATTACAGTAGCTTTACAGTAAGTCTTGAAATCATATAGTGTGAATCCTCTTCTTTTACAAAATTGCTTTGGTATTCTAATTCCTTTGTATTACACTGTGAATTTTAGAGTTAGCTTGTAGATATCTACAAAAAAGCCTGCTGAGATTTTGATCGGAAAATTTACCTATGCACATTAGAAAATTCTCTGAATTCTATTTCCAAAATAAAACACTTGAAAAAATATTCACTGCATATATGATACAAATGGCCAACATTATTAAAATATGGAGTATTACTAGATATCATTAAAAATAAATATGAATCTCATTAGGATAATTGGCAAAGGCTTGTGAGAGCTTTTCACACAAAAGTTCTGATGACCTCTAAACTTAAAAATTAAAAGACTCAACATAATTAGGAATCAAAAACATTTGCTCTATAATGGTCATTTGAAAATATAAAGCTTTGGGAAACAATATAGCATACTGAGAGAGCATCACTGTTAAGGTCTTATTGAACTTTGAGTATACCCCTACTGTCCAATTATCTGTGAGGACTTAGGCAAACTGCTGAAACTTTATTGATGTTCAGATACTTCATCAATAAAGTAGGCATAGAGTCTGGCACATTGTAAACACTCAATGTAGGCTATCATAAATACATTCAACACTGATGAGGATGTGGAGAAATGGACCATATCATACTACAGAGATGGGCCAGGAATTTGGTTCAACTTTTCTAGAAGACTGTTTGTCATTATGTATCATAAATCTTAAAAGTCTGCATGCTCTCTGACTTAGGAATTCCAAATATAAAAAAAGATTAAGGCAATAATTATAAACACAAAGCAATGTGTACAAAGAGGTTTGTTGAGATAATATTTAAAGTAATAAAATGGGAAACATTTGCATGTCCAAAAATGAGGAAGTCATTAAATAAATTATTAAATAGCTATGAAAAGTAAACCTTCTGAGGTATTAAATAAAGGTGTTTTCACAGCATATTTTATGATTAGGGAGCTATCTGAAATATACACATAAGTGAAAAATAAGTTTATGAAAACCACACTTAAAGTATGACGCTGTTTGTACTTTTTTTTTTTTTTTTTTTTTTTTTGAGACAGAGGCTCATTCTGTTGCCCTGGCTGGAGTGCAGTGGAGCTATCTTAGCTCACTGCAAGCTCTGCCTCCCAGGTTCACAGTATTCTCCTGCCTCAGCCTCCCGAGTAGCTGGGACTACAGGTGCCACCACCACGCCCAGCTAATTTTTTGTATTTTTAGTAGAGACGGCGTTTCACCATGTTAGCCAGGATGGTCTCGATCTCCTGACCTCGTGATCCGTCCTGCTCAGCCTCCTAAAGTGCTGAGATTACAAGCATAAGCCACCGTGCCCGGCCACTATTTGTACTCTTAAATGATGTATGTGCATGTAAGAAAGGATAATTATATATGTACACACATATAAATATCACACACACACATGCATAAATTAAATCGGTATGTCTGGATGGTTGGCTATGTATTAGATTTATTGCCTTCTTGGTATTTTTCAGTAGGCTCCAAATTTCCTGAAAACACATCTAATTATTATTTTTAAAAGTAGGTATAGAATATGAAGGGATGGACAATCATAAACAACATAAAGAGATAAATGGCCAACTACTTAAAGTATGTTTATTTCATAGATGACAGTGGAGTTTGAGTAGCCTTATTATTTAAAGACATCCACAAATTAATGAGAAGATCAACAAGACCCCAGTAGAAAAATGGGCTAAAAGAAAACAAAGGGCAATAGAAAGAAAGAGACAGGGAGACAGAGAGAGAGAGAGAAAGAGATATGAGAGAAAGAAAGAGAAAAAAGAGAGAGAGAGAGAAAGGAGAGGGAGAGGAGGAAGAGCTAATAAATAATAAAAACTTTATACTGAACAGTAGTCAAAGAAATAGAAATAAAATGATGTAATATTATGTCTATAAATTAGCAAAGTTTTTTTATTACATATTTGTTTCCCAGTCATATACTGTTGATAGAAATGTTGAGTCCTTTGCCTATCTTTTAATCAGGTTGTTTTTTAGCTATTGAGTTTTTTGAGTTCCTTACATATTTTGGATATTAACTCCCTATCAGATGTTTTGATTGCAAATATTTTATCCTAATTTGCATATTATTTCTTCATCCTATTAACTGCTTCCTTTGCTGTGCAAAACTTGTAAGTTTGATATAATTCCCTTTGTCTATTTTTGCTTTTGTTGCTTGATCTTTTAGAATCAAATCCAAAAAAATAATTGCCCAGACCAGTGTCATGTGGTGTTTTCCTATGCTTTCTTCTAGTGCAGTTACTGTTTCAGGTCTTAGGTTTAAGACTTTAATCCATTTTGAGTTGACTTTTGTAACGAATATGAGATAAAAGGATAAAGGTTGTTTCATGTTTCTGCATGTGGATATCCAGTTTTCTCAACACTCTTTATTAAAGAGACTGTCTATTCCCCATTGTGTGCTCTTGGCAGCTTTGTGAAATATTAATTGACCATGGATTTTTAAGTTCATTTCTGGTTTCTCTATTTTATTCTATTGGTCAATTTTTCCATTTTTATGTCAGTACCATACTGTTTTTACTATTATTTCTTTGTAATATACTTTGAAGTCAGGTAGTGATGGCAGCAGCAGGTCATCTGGAGTGGCCGCTGCTATCATGCCGGCTGCAGCAGGGAGGTGCAGCTGGGCCTGCATGCTCCATGGGTCTGGCAGGAGCTGGGGACAAGTGTGAGCCCCATTCCTTCCAAGCTGGGGCAGGAGCTCCCCGGGTGCCACTGTAGCCACCCAAGCCATAGCTGTGGACTTGGGCATCCCTGTGATCCTGGGGCCAGAGCAGGGGGGAGCCCTGCCCTCCTGGGTGCAGTTGCAGCTGCCCAAACCACGGCTTTGGACCCAGGGGTCCCTGCATTCTTGGGGGCCCAGGAAGGCCCCCCTGCCCTCACAGGCTCAGAAGTGCCTGCTCCCACTGCTTGGCTTCTGCCTGCAAACTAAAATCAGAATGAGATATTGCCTCACACCAGTCAGAATGGCTAATACTTTGGGGGAACTGTTGGGAAGGCATAATTGGTTTTGAAATGTGAGGACATGAGATTTGGGAGGGGCCAGGGGCGAAATGATGTGGTTTGGCTGTGTCTCCACCCAAATTTCATGTTGAATTCCCAAAGGGACCCTGTGGGAGTTAATTGTATCATGGCAGCAGGTCTTTCCTGTGCTGTTGTTATGATAGTGAATAAGTCTCATGAGATCTGGTGGTTTTAACAGCGGGAGTTTCCCTGCCCAAGCTCTCATTCCCTCTTGCCACCACCAGGTAAGAAGTGCCTTTTGCCTTCTGCCATGATTGTGAGGCCTCTCCAACCACGTGGAATTGTGTGTTCATTAAACCTATTTTTCTTCCCCTCTCAGGTATGTCTTTATTGGCAGCATGGATATGAACTAATTCACTTGTATACTAATACATGATGTTATGTATAAATACATATACACACATGCATAGGAGTGCATGCAGAAACTTCTCTTTTTTTCAAACCGGCGTGGATGTATGATTTAAAATTTAAAATGCTGGAAGACCATTGCTCTGAAGTTTTTCAAGGGCAAGAAATATGCCTTATTTATTCAGAACATATAGCATAGTGTTGGGCACACAGGTGACTTTGTTGAATTTAACCAAAATTAAAATTTTAGCAAACTCCTATTCCTGTCTATAAAGGTATTTGTGAAGTGTTTAAAGATTTGGATTAGGAGAGAAAATTATCTTGCCTACTAAACTTGATGTGTATGAGAGTTAGCGAGAATTTGAGAAAGAAATGGAAAGTAATAGAGAAGAAAATTAATGCTAAGAGAACTTTCATGATTGCAAATGTTTTTTAAAATCATGAGGAATGCAGTTTTAACAGATGTATCTTTGTAGTTTGCCAAATGTAGCTAAAATGCAACATTGTCATAGACTAGAAGATCTATGAGGATTTATAAAAGGGAGTAGTTATTTTTAAAGCAAATGAAATTTTGAAGGTAAAGTATGTTTGGTAACCTCAATTCTCCAAGCTCAGAACTACAAAAGTCCTTTCAAAATTCCCTTTACAAGGAGCTGCCCCAATTTATATAGTATTTATATATGCCTTGGGGTATCTGTCAATCAGTTTCAATTACTAATCTGAAAAAAGGGGCCAGAAGTCTAAACCAGAGAGAATTCCAGTGAAATAAGTGTGATTATCATATAGCAAATGGCTCTCCCAATTTTAATAAAATTGTAACTCCTGTTATTTACAATTCCAGATGAAGAATGCAGAAAAAATGTAAAGAAAAACCATCTTTATGATTTGTGTAAGGATGAATGGATACACAAATGAATAAAAGATTTACAAGCTATATGTATTTTAGCATTGTTTTCAGGGTAGAGTTGAATGTATGTATTTGCATATAACGTGAGATAGTTGGAAGGAATTTTTCCTCTCCTAATTAGTTTTTTAAAAAGTCTTCATGAACATGATGAATTTAGGAGCCTCTCTAGGATTTTTTTCCTTATAAAATATAATAGTCCTATCTTTTCTGCTGCTTCTCTATTTTTAGCACAGCTGATTCCAATTTAGTTGTTTCTTTAGATTTTTAACATCAAGCCAAAATAAATATCTACAAATTTGTGTTACTCTTGGACAATTCTTTCTTACTCTAAGGCATACATTTCCTGAAACAAAGTTATTTTTATATCACTCGTGATTATCTTTAAAAATCAAAAGAAGAAAATGTATAGTATGAGAGATTTCTCATTAAGAAAAAAATTAAAACTAAGGTATGGGACTGTAATTTAGAACACCTAAAATAACTCCATAAAATTCTTTTTTTTTTCAGTGATCATTTTAAAAGCTTTAATTAATATGCACATGAATAATATATTCTCTTCACAAAATACTATCCTAAGGGAAATTGACTAAAGATAATATTGGTACTCAGTTTCAATATCTAATTCCAGCTTAACACTTAATTTTTAGACAGCTATCTGTATGTATACTTATTGTCTACATACAAGAGAAAGGATACCAATAAATATTTATTTGACAGTAATTCTGAAATTCAGATAGAAGCCCTAAGGACCTTGGTTTCAGAGTCTATCCTTATCTTCCTACTCCACCCTCTTCCCATTACCATTTTGAATTATTAGGTTGTTCAATAAATAAGGCAAATGCTTGAAAGTTTGACACCAATCCATACTAATGACTGCGGTTGCACATTGGAATCCACTTGAATTGTTATTTCCTTTGTGTTGACACTACTCTACACAGCTTACAGGCTTGGCTGGTAAATTTTCAAGTAGGTCATTCTTCATCTGCATGTTTCAGATTCTCTATGAGTGAGAGAGAACATGCGGTGTTTGGTTTTTTGTCCTTGTGATATTTTGCTGAGAATGATGGTTTCCAGTTTCATCTATGTCCCTACAAAGGACATGAACTCATTATTTTTTATGGCTGCATAGTATTTCATGGTGTGACACCCTAACATCACAATTAAAAGAACTAGAAAAGCAAGAGCAAACACATTCAAAAGCTAGCAGAAGGCAAGAAATAACTAAGATCAGAGCATAACTGAAGGAAATAGAGACACAAAAAACCCTTCAAAAAATTAATGAATCCAGGAGCTGGTTTTTTGAAAAGATCAACAAAATTGATACACCGCTAGCAAGACTAATAAAGAAGAAAAGAGAGAAGACTCAAATAGACGCAATAAAAAATGATAAAGGGGATATCACCACCGATCCCACAGAAACACAAACTACCATCAGAGAATACTATAAACACCTCTACACAAATAAACTAGAAAATCTAGAAGAAGTGGATAAATTCCTCGACACATACATCCTCCCAAGACGAAACCAGGAAGAAGTTGAATCTCTGAATAGACCAATAACAGGCTCTGAAATTGAGGCAACAATCAATAGCTTACCAACCAAAAAAAGTCCAGGACCAGATGGATTCACAGCCGAATTCTACCAGAGGTACAAAGAGGAGCTGGTACCATTCCTTCTGAAACTATTCCAATCAAGAGAAAAAGAGGGAATCCTCCCTAACTCATTTTATGAGGCCAGCATCATCCTGATACCAAAGCCTGGCAGAGACACAACCAAAAAAGGGAATTTTAGACCAATATCCTTGATGAACATCGATGCAAAAATCCTCAATAAAATACTGGCAAACCGAATCCAGCAGCACATCAAAAAGCTTATCCACCATGATCAAGTGGGCTTCATCCCTGGGATGCAAGGCTGGTTCAACATATGCAAATCAATAAATGTAATCCAGCATATAAACAGAACCAAAGACAAAAACCACATGATTATCTCAATAGATGCAGAAAAGGCCTTTGACAAAATTCAACAACAATTCATGCTAAAAACTTTCAATAAATTAGGTATTGATGGGACGTATCTCAAAATAATAAGAGCTATCTATGACAAACCCACAGCCAATATCATACTGAATGGGCAAAAACTGGAAGGATTCCCTTTGAAAACTGGCACAAGACAGGGATGCCCTCTCTCACCGCTCCTATTCAACATAGTGTTGGAAGTTCTGGCCAGGGTGATCAGGCAGGAGAAGGAAATAAAGGATATTCAATTAGGAAAAGAGGAAGTCAAATTGTCCCTGTTTGCAGATGACATGATTGTATATCTAGAAAACCCCATCATCTCAGCCCAAAATCTCCTCAAGCTGATAAGCAACTTCAGCAAAGTCTCAGGATACAAAATCAATGTACAAAAATCACAAGCATTCTTATACACCAATAACAGACAAACAGAGAGCCAAATCATGAGTGAATTCCCATTCACAATTGCTTCAAAGAGAATAAAATACCTAGGAATCCAACTTACAAGGGATGTGAAAATTCTTATTTTCCCTAAAATGATTTTTCAAGGCAGGATAATATGGTATATTTTAAATGTGAACATTTCAGAAATTTTCTTCAACAGGGGTTTGATCTCCATTTGTCAACATTGTGTAACTTTCTTTTACATCCAGTAGAGTTGGTAGCTTCAACATTTCTGTTAAATAGAAATCATAAGTATTGAAAAAATGCCTACAGTTTTATGCCTCATTTTATGTGTAGGTGTTTTATTTTTTAAGTCACTGAAGAAAAAAATATGGCATGAATAACAGTTGTAAATACAAAAGTTCAATTAGAATAACTACTCATTTCCAAACTCACTTTCCTAATCGTTTTCACCCTCCAATCTCAAATTGATGGAGGAGCTATTCTGCTTTGAAAGCCAATCCTCCATTTACACTGTAGCAATGGGAATCCCTTACTTAGCCATCTTTACTGACAATCTCATAAGGTTAAAGGACATAACAAAGTGCTGAGAAGCCAAGCTGCTCCATGCTCACATTGTGTGCCCTGTGTTGAAACTTCCAGAGGTTTATTGATGCAGTGGGACTAGAAAAATGAGAGCAGAACCAATTTTCTCCCTGGCCTTCACCCTTTCTCACAGACCACAAGCTAACCACTGTTATTGAAAGGACACAAGAATTTTTCTCTTCTGTTTTTTGTCAAGCTAAAATAATGATATTTCTTTTTTTCTATTCAAGGATGCTTTGGTAGGTTCAATATAAACCTTAGCAGCATATTGCTTATGTTTAAGACAAGTAGTTTATTTTCTTATTTTTCTCTATTACTGATACGGGACTAGTAAGAGTATTAAAATAATCTTGTATGTGAGTTTGAAGGCTTTCTAGCAAGTTGATAAGTGTAAGAAAACTTTTTATAAATGGGGAAATATAAGACAATAAATGTTACTGTTTTCAACATATCTGTTACAGAAGATTTGCATTGATAAAAATTAATACAACATATAATGAATCCTGTCTAGGAAACAATGAATTCTTCTTATAACTGTAAATTTTGAAGCAAAAGTAAAGAAAGAAAATAAGGTAAAAATAAGATGTATCCAGTGAAATTTATCATCTCATCAAAGGTTGTATTGCTTTCTCAAGTAAAGGAAATTCTGTGCTTTATAAAATCAAAACTAGATGTATTCCATTAAGACAAGGGCTGAAAACTGGCAACCTGAGAACTGAAATATGTTTGTTTTGGCCCTCATAATATTTACTAAAATTAAATTTGCTGAATTTCTACTACTTCCCATTTTTTACTCTGTGCTGATGCACATTTTTTGGTATCTATCTGTTTCTGAAGTCATCTGAGTTTGTGACGTCTGCTTTAGAAAGTTGCTATTGAATGAGTTTAAAAAAACTGAAAAGTGTGTAGGACAGATTCTTTTATATATTACTGGTGAACATGTAAATTCTTTACAATACTTTTGGAATATGTTTAGAAATATTTGTTAAAACACTAATTCCTTTGAATCTTCCATATGTCTGCAGCCATTCTACAGAAGGACTCATACAGGTGCATAGAGAATGTTCACTGACACATTGGTTGTGAGTAAAAAATTGAAAAAACTTCTGAATATCTATCAATAAGGTGTTGATTTAATAAACTATCATAAATTCTTATAAAGAAATATTATATAGCTCTTTAATAAAAAAATAAAGTGGTTCTAATATACACTGACATGGAAAAACATCAAGTAAATATTAAGTGAAAAAAGAAAGTGGTGAAATATTTTCAAGTTTCTTTAAAAAACAATCCCATAATATTAAAATAATAATATCTTAGTACATTAATAATATTTATCAAACTGATAATAGAAGTTGTCCTTGATTGGATGGGATTATAGTGGGTTTCTTATATTCTAAACCTATATTTCTGTAACATTTAAATTATTAAAGCAAGTATATATAACACATAATAAAAAGTGTAAATGCAGATGTTTAAGTCACCAAAACTTTCTATAAAAAATTATCAGATGAGAAACCACTTTTCTATATTATACTTGAGACTTGGCTTGGCTATTGATACTGTAAGAATAATGGTATGTAATATAGTCCAAATTTAAATACTTGTTAGTTATGTTTACCAGCTTTTTGATGTTTGTTTTCTTATTTAAATAAAATGCATTTTTAGAGATATAGGTAAAATTGCTAAATATGACTCATCCTTAGGAGGAAGAAAAACACTTAAATATTTAGATACATATTTTTTGTAAACATAAGAAGAGAAATATTTGGAGCTTCATGAAAAGTAGTATGCTGGGGACTAGGTATATTCTAAATACTTTAGCTTGTTCTTTTTTTTTTTTTCTTTGACCTACATTTTAAAACTCTGTAATAACCTGTTCTGGGAGGAAAAAAAGAACATATTCCTTCTGCTGCTAGGAAGAAAACCTTGTCATCTCAGCCTTAATCACAAACTAGGCAGTGGGTTACAAATAAGCTTGGCAAAATTTAGATGCCCTTTCCTTGTAGACCATTTAGTCTACAAATGGACAGATGATATACAAGATGGCCTTCCGTCATCAAGGATAGAATCAAGAATGAGGCAAGCTTACTTGCAGGGAAAGGAATTTGTGTGCTGGCCTTGGCAAATTTTATGTCTGACGTGATCACAATGACAGGTTTATTGCTATGATGAGAGAGAATAAAAATCTTGCTGGCCTAGAGAGGAACTTGAAAATGAAGAGGGGAACACAGTCTGGAAAATGAGATCATGGCTTGGACTACTGTCATCATTATCAATAGCAAACATATTGAGAACCTGCTAGATGAAAGAAACTAAATTAAGTATGGTGAGGCTGATGTTATAAAATCCACATGGGAAGCTGACAGTATGATATATAGTTACACTGTTGATTTAATGCCATATTTAGTCATTCTAGAAACACCAGAATTATTAGGATTTGAAAATTTCTGTTTCCCACGAAACAATGACTTCTCTTCTCAGAAAAATGTACACAAAAGTTTGCAAGTAAAATCAGAGGTCATTCATCCATAGTTCCCTGGTTCTACTTTAAAATAATGTTCTTAACACTAGAGATATGAAGGACAGTCTGGTTTTGAACTCCAAGCTATATGCACATTTGTGTGCCAATAATATACTTCCAAAGCCATTGTAACTAAATCTCAACCAAATATTGTCAACACAACTGTTCTAAGCTTTTTTCAGTTTAAATATAATAGCGTCTTATGTATTCTATTTGTTATTAGTTCAGTACTGGCAGCCTCAGAGTTTGAAAATGCAGATTCATCTGACCTCAGATTACTCTTGTTAACCTAGTTATAAATATTAACCATGCTTAAACAAGTTTCTTCCAAGTGCATCTGATTATGGTTTTTATTTCTTTCCTAAGAGTTGATCTGACTAAGGTTTCCACAATGTTTCCATAAATTTCAGCTGAATATGGCTTTCACATGATTCTGCCTGTCAAAAAACATGCTAGTACTCAATGACAACATAAAAACCACACCTTACTATTTAAAGTATTGGTTTTGTCAGGTGACAAGTAAATAACGATGGTCTCTAAGATTTTTATATTCTTCTGGGTGTTTATTGACCTCACCTTTATAAAATTACTTTTAGGATTTCTAGAGCGTGTAATGTTAAGCATGTGTCAAGTTCTTCAACTCAATGCAGTGAATAGAAAATGTATGTAAGATTTTTTTGAATTCTGACTCTGCCATGGAGAGATACTTCTGGCAGAATCTGCTCATTCTTCCAAAAGTAATATTTAATCACAACCCACTATATGTAGTTCTTTCATGTGTGCCAGTTATTGAATACATTAAATGTTATATTGCAGGATAACAAGATTTTAAATTGTGTTTTCAATTAAATAGATGAATAAAATAATATGGATTAACATTAATTAATATATATTAAGATCTGCCATAAGACCACATGCTGCACTGGCTATAGTCATTGCTTCCGTATGTATCCTGTGTATGGTATTCTCCAAAGGGAAATTGAAACCAGGATACATAAAACAAACACTCAAACAGGAAACTCTGCCTTCCCTTTCCTCCCTTTATCTCTCCAAAAGAACCATCCACAGCAGTCCAGATCTCTTATTTTTTGCATCATTCTATTGTCTCTGCTGCCCAGGACAGAAGATAAGTCACCTTCTTTAAATGTCAGGAGCGAGGGATGGTGGCTAACAAACCCAACTGTTACTGACACATTCAACTTCATGCTTTTTTTTCCTGTTTATGGCACAGGGACAAAGGAAGGGTGAAAGAAGCTACTCACTGAATGCCAGTGGGTTTATGGATCCTGACCTGGTGAATACTGAGCTTTACAGATTTGTTGGTAAAGACATTCAGAGAGTGAACCACAGGGGACCTAAAAGCCCTTAACGCCAGGAACCTCACCTTGAATTTTCCAGATGAAAATATCCCTGCATCCTAGATATATAATGAAGGCTATTTATCTGATCTATCAAATCAATGTCATATTATAAGTAGCTCAAAGAAAAGGTTTTATTATCATCAATTAATGTGTCAGTTTTATAAGTGTAAATGGAAAAATTATTATTACCTTTACATTGATTTGTTAAGAATTATTAGCAATTATTCAGAGTGTAACACCTCCTGTCAGAGAGCTCACAATTTTTTTAAAAATTTCATTTATAGTACATCAAAGAAATATCATTATATTGTTCACTCCAAACTTTCTTTTCTGTAACTGTGTCCTTTTCAAGTTATCATACTTCTTTTCTCTTGCTTTTCCCTTTCTCTACACTCCCATTTCTATTTTCTTCTCTTTGTATTGATCTTAGAGTTTCTTTTCCTTACCTTAATTAAATTTATGACCTAGATTTACCACTTGCCTTCCATTTTCTTTTTGATTTGTTCAATTCAGAAACATTTATTGTCTACCATGTGCACAGGCACTGAGAATCTTAAATGAAGAAGAGGTAGCCCCTGTTTGATGAAACTACTGAGCTTTTTTTTTCCCTTCAGCTCCTGAGGACAGATGAGAAAAGTAAAACTAGAGTGTTTGTGGATAAAGAAAGAAAACAGAGTTGGCCTGTATCTTTAGCATTATTAGCAAGGACCCACTGCTCCAGCAGTACCTTCAGCAGTTCACTGGTGGCTACAATTCCTTAAAGAGGCAAGATTATTCATCCCACAACACAGGAATATCTGCATATAAAAATACCCCTGAGAGAAATCCAGTTAATTAAGCTTTTCTTATGTGCAATTCCCATGACACTTTGTATAATTCCTTTTATTATTATTAATTATTATTACTACTACATACCACCCTGTCTCTAATTGTGCTATTTTCCCCAAAACCAGTAGGAAAGTGGGACAGGCCATTTTGAGGCTGTGGGATTCTAATTTTCAGTGATACCTTCGTGATTCTCACTAGCTTTCTCCTTCTTTGAAGATTATATCTGCTGCCTCTCCTTTCCCGTATACTTCATGAACTAGCTAGGTGCGTATTCTATCCCATTTACCCAGTGTCCCCACTTCCATCCAGTCTCTCACAACTCATGGCGAAGAAAGGACATATCTCTTTCTTATTTCCATATGGACTGAAAGAGCCATTGTGTGGAATTGCTTTTGAAATGAATTATTGACATTTTCAATGGCATCTTCCCTAGTATCTTGCCTTGACATTTCTCCCATTTTTTTCATAGTCATCTCCAGTAATAGAAATAGATATTCTATTCCCTTACTTTCTGTTGAAGTGCCTCCTCCCCCTCTTAATTAAATAATGAAATTATTTATCTTTGCATTGAGTCTTGACATATTTTCTGGCATGTAGCAATACACTTGTGAACACTGTCTTAGAGATACACTTCTCACTTATGAAGCATCTTGCATTTTGCCATTCCTAGGTACCTGTTTTGCCAATTTTCAAGTAGTAAAAACTATGTTTAACAATTCTATCACCACAAATACAGAGAGAGTTTTCTATTTTCCACATTTGGAAAAGAAATACTCCTAACGATATCTCATGCTACAGGAAGCATGAGTTATTCTGGAATAGTGGATTGAAAAAGTACGATGTTATTTAAGCAACCAAGACAGGGTCAAAATTTTCATTAAGTCTTATCGTTTTCTTTAAAATTTATGCAACCCTTTGCATTCAACCTGATGGTATATTTATGTTTGTTGTAATACAAGATAATATTTTGATTACTTAAAGCATTTTCTCTAAGTATTTTTAGTAAAACTGACAGATCAATATGCACTGTTTTTACTCTGTGGCTTCATGTAAGTCCAATATGCCTCGTCTGATAGGGAAGCAGGAATAGACAAGAATTTGCTTTTTCTTTCACTCTGCCCAGCTAGTACACTGAATTTTCATGGCTAACCTACTTGATTTTCTTCCCAGTCATATACACACCTACTTTTCCCCTCACGCCAGAATGAGCTGACTTTTTACCTGACATATAAAAGCTTCCTTTATTGTTTTCCAATATTTGATTATTTTCCCCTAATGGCTATGTATTTTAAACATTTTTGCATAGCTCCTCTAGATGTTTTTGATTAACAACTTAAAGAGAACAAAGGCTTTAGTCTGTTCCATAATTTACAGTGTGTCTTGAACAGCTGATGTATAAAAAGATGCTTAATAAATGCATTTTGATGATGACTTTTTAATTCATTTTCCACTCCTCTCTTTCTGCGACCTTTTTATTTAAATCAACGTGAATTTATATTTGCACTCCAAGTGGCTGCCTGCTAGAGATACAGTTAACAATAAGCAAAAAGTCAGAAGTAAGAATAACAGTAATAATCGCTGGTATAAAAGTGGTGTAAATTTTCAGAATTAATTTAATTCTGTGCCTGAATTATTTTAATTTTCATGTAAGACTGATTTTTGCTAAGGGTGTTTGTTAGCAGCTATGCTGGAGCAAATTCTAAGAAACTAGAGGTCCTGGAAATCTGAATAAATCTACAGGTGAAGACTACTCCTTGAACTTGGGAAAACATCAGAATTGCTGTTAATGTACAAATAAACCCAAAGGATAAAATGCCAGTAGTGATTGACCTGTAGTCCATCCCCAATAAAATGACATGAAGTGACAAGACTCTCCAGCCCAAACCTCTAACCTATTACTATTCCTGGATAGCAGAGTGCATGTCTCACTGAGGCAAGGTGTTGGCAAGCAACCAGTTCTCCCTCTCTTTTGCTCTAAAATGCATTGAATAGGCTGTTGAACTTGTTTATATTATTTGCTCCAGTGGCTTGCCTTGGCAAATTACTCCCTGTCTTTATTGTTAAATTCAGTGTACTGGTAGTGTTTTAATTTTTGTTTGCAGCCCAGTGTTTGACATTTCCACTAGTGTAAACAATATTGGGTAAGTTGATATTCTCTCTGAGACAGAAGCTTATAAAGTTTCTCTTTTCCTCTATTTGGTAGTCTTTTACCCAGTAACTTGCAAGTCTTTATTTTTACCTTTAAAATTATCTTAATTCTATGAGAAACATAATTAATACCTGCGATCTTGTCTGTGCTCTACTGCTGGGCAAGGCAGTCTCCTCCTTATCTCCTTCGAAAGCTTAACTGTGAAGTCAGCTTCTCTTCACTATTCTCTGCACACTAAGCCCTGGAGACTCATGCAGACATTCCTTGTGTTCCACAACACACCACATTGATCTTTCCCATTTTATGGCACCAGTTCTTTTTTTTCCCCAGGAATCCCTGCTGGCTTGTCCCTGTAAGATTCTGGTTACATTCTGAATTACCAGTTTAGTCTAAATTTCTAAAGCCTGAACTCTGGGTTCTAGTGACCTAGAGGGGTAATTCACCTGCCTGGATGGCCCTGTCTGGAAGGGACCATCCATCTTCTGTACCTGGTAGTTTGGTAGTCCTTCTCTATTTATCTTTAATATAGTTTCTGGGTAATTTGTGTAATTTATGCATCTAGAAATAACTTCCCAGGAACATTTTGTATATATTTGTAAAAATCAAATATTTTTACATGGCGGGGTTTTCTCTGAAGAGTATGGCCTTCCAAAGAAAATTTTACATTATAACGTCTTGTATTGCCCCAACTGCTTGAGCTTAGAGTCAATATTTTATATACCACCAAACAATCAACCTATTTTATTTGAGTATTTACCTGAAGGGTCAGTTACTGTTTGTAGTTCGAATTCTAGCTCAATCCCCATCTAGAGTTTCTGCCCTTCTCTCTCTACCTGAATAGCTGCTATGTAATCATATCCTCTACACCAAATGCATTTTTTTTTTTTAGACAGTGAGGAAGGACTTCCAGGTTCTTTTTTAATTGGATAATTCACATATTGGATATTATACAAGTTCATAAAGGAAAGACCCTTTTGTTTTATTCTTTACTCGATCACTTTTCATATGGCTCCTAGAATTCTGTCCCTCAGTGGCTCCTGAGCACTACAGAGGTCGTCCCATAGGACACAGATTGTCCTAAGGCCTCTCTCCTCTGTCTTCAGCTACTTCAAAATGACTTGAAGCTGGAGGTCTCTCTACCACATAATGGGTGGTGCCTGCCTTCAAAGTTTTCTGCCCATTTATAGCACAGGTTCTTCTCTCTCCACTTTAGAGCCCTGAGGGACAGCCAACCCAGGTGACACACATCGTGGGATACAAAGGTGAATTAGATAATCTCTGCCTATAGAGAACACAAATCTAAATGCAATTATACAATATCTCCTAAACTCTCATGTGACCACTGTAGACCTCACACCCATGATCAGCTCATTCCACTGTTAGAACCTGGTGTCAAGATCTGAGCAGTTGTTTCTATCTCTCCTGTCATACACTTAATGAAGGCACAAGCCTTGATCACCCCAGTGTAGGGTGACTGCTCATACTTGCTAAGGTAATGGGGTATACAGCCAACAATTCCCTTCTACAGAGTTTATAGTTTTCTAATTATTTTTATCATGTCCTAAAAATAAGATCACATAGGTAGAGACCAAAATTGCCTTCTTATTAATGAGGAAACTAATCTTAGCCAGGTCTAGAAATTGAAACTCTGTTCACCACAGCACTGTCCATGCTGAACAGTAACTAAATGTACTGTCACAACCTTTGAGGAATCATTAGAATTTTCAAACATGGTTTTTCAAACTGTGCATTGACTTCCAGAACTTTTGATACTTCATCCTCACTTACCTAGCACATCCTAATATTCCTAGCATTTCCTTCTCTGGGAAACTAGTTTGCCTAATGCTGAATATCACTGATGGGACTGATCTGTGCCAGTAAATGGCATGGAGAAAGTCAAAAGCTTGAGAACCAGGCCTTTGAGAATTAGATGAAGCTTTCGAAAGAAAAATGCCCATACACAATTTTTTGCAGATTATTTCCTAGTGCTTAGGAATCACTTAAAACTCACTGTTTAGTGCATACCTTGTCAGCATTGGTGAAGATGCATGTCTGTACGTGTGTACGTATGAGTGTAAGCATATATGTACATAAACATATAATAAACAAAAGGGCTCCAACAATTCATAATATAATGTAAACTACTTTTTTAAGTTGTCAATAGTTTGTGAGCACCTTCACTATATCATGAAAATATCCAATGACCTCATAATTTTAATAGCTGCATAATATTATACTGTATGGATGTATCAAAATGTATGATCAATTCCTTATTACTGAATAGTAAGGTTTTTATATTTGCCCACTATTAATAGTGATCTGTAAAGTTAAATCTTTAAATACATGTATGATTATTCTCTCTGTATAAATTCCTAAAAATTAATTTTAAGACTTTTGATAAGAAATGCCAAATCAATGGAAATTCATCTTGTATATTCTACTTGCAAGTTATCATAGTATTCTCTCTTAGTGATAGAATTTTTACATTGGAATAGACACGATTATGTAGGAATATTCACAGCTCTCAAGATCTCTGATGTTAAGTCTGTATGAAATATGAAGTAGCAAATCCCAATTTTTTTCTGAATTTACTGAGAATCTGTGGTTGCGTAAGTAGCAGTAGACTCTCATTCTCCTCTGAGATAGATCAAGCAAGTAGTTGGCTCTTATTATCAGTTGAAATATGTCATGTGGCTGTGTCCTCTCCTGAGTAGACTGAGGGTGACAGTTAGCTGGCTTCCTGGGATGGCTGAAGTATCCATTGACTCACACTTAATTTGAGGCCTTGGGATTTTCTTCTACTTTACTAGACCAGGTTGCCTCATCTGTCTTCCTTAACTATACCAGACATCTATCTGGACTGCAGAGCTCTTCTCTAAGCTGTTCATGTATTTTTACATTGTTATTCTTTTATTAATGATATTTTAATCTAATTTGTTTACTTTTTTAATTAATAAAAGAAAATTTCTTGTAACCATGGCATGCAAATTAAAAATACATTTAGCTAGTAAAGACAGAAACATAAAAGTTAAACATATTTACCTACAATCTTATGAACATTTAAATGATATATTAATAAGATTTGAAACTGGATAAATAGTTATTACCACATTTCCAATATTATTTAGTTGAAGCTTTTAAAGTTCAAATACATTGTTTTCTATCTATTTTTAAAAATTTGGCATGGGAGATGAGGAATAAGACATCTCAATCATCAAACTAAATTCTTTTCTTTTTTTCAAGATTATGTTAATACTCTGCTAAGGAATGTAGAAGTTGGTTATAATACTAGGATTTAGCTTAGTTTTTCATTTTTAATTTTCATGGGCACATACTAATAGTAGGTGTATACATTTATAGGGTACATGAGATGTCTCAATACAGGCATACAATGCATAATAATAGCATCACGTAAAATGGGGTATCCATCTCCTCAAAGGATTTAGCTTATTTTGAAGTTGCAATAAAATCAGTGGTTTCCAGTCATTCAATAAATATGACTGAGCTTCAACTATATGCAAAGCACTTTTCTAGGGCCTTGAACACATCAATAAAAAAAGAGATCAAGACACTTGCCCTCCAGTATCTTAACTTTCTAGTGACGAGAGATAGACAAGGTTAATGAAATATTATATTATGTTTGTATATTTTATATATATATATACACACACAATGTTTGAATATAATATATATTCTGTATATGTAAAATATACAGAATATCATATAGTATGTTAGAAAGTGATATGGAATAAAATAAAACTGGAACTAAGTAAGTGGAATCTGAGGTACAGAGTAGAGGGGCAGAGTGACTGGACACATTAGGCTTTACTAAGAGAGGAAAAGAATTGAAAGAAATTGAGCAGGTAGCCAAGGAGTCATCTGGAGAAATAGTGCTCCAGGAAAAAGGAAGAATTAAAGCAATGGCTGTCAGGCAGGAGCAAGCCTCCTTCTTCACAGCACAGCAATGAGGCCATAGACAGCTAGAAATGGTGATTAAGGAGAGTGCTGTAGGTGATAAAGCCAGTGGACCTAGTTATATGGTTCTTTTGGCTAATGAAAGACTAATTATTACTCTGATTAAAAGGGAGAACCATTGGAGGGTTTTGAGAAGAGGATGACATGATCTGACTTAGATATTTAAAAGGATCTACCTGGCAACTGTGTTAAAAGTTGGCTGTAAAAGAGAAAAAATGTAGGAGATCTTTTCAGGAGGCTTGGACCAGAGTGAGAGAGTAGAGGAGAAGGAAATGGTTTGATTCTGAATATATTTTGAACGTAGATCCAACAGGATTTGCTGATAGCTTGTGAGATGCTAGAAAAGGGTGGAAAATTATAAGTTTACTTGAGAACATAATAAGTTTAAAATATCCATTGTACACTCAGGTGGAGATATCAAGGAAGTAGTTGTCCTGGGACATGCAGTTTAGGAGAATAGTCTGGAGAGAATATATAAGCTTGAGAGTCATCGTCATGAAAATGATGCCTAAAACCACAAGAGACTGTAAGATCACAAAAAAGGTAAATGTAAATAGAGAAAGGAACCAAGAATTGAGACTTAACCCTCTACAATTTAACGAAAAGGTTAGGAAGAAAAGGAGAACCAGCAAAAGAGAAAGAGAAGGACCAATCAGTGAAGTAGGAGGAAACCCAAAAGAATGGGTAGTATGGGCCACAAATAAAGAGTGTGCATCAATGAGAATAAAGCGACTGGTTGTGTCAAGTGTTTCTGATGGGTAATAAAAGGGGAACTGAGAATTGACCATTGCATTCAACACCATGGAGACCACTGGTGGTGTTGACAAGCATAGTTTCAGTGAGCTGGTGGTAGTAAAGGCTAATCTATATGGTTTTATGAGAGAATGGGTGGAGAAGATTTAGAGTGTGTATAAACAATTAATGCCAGGAGTTTTGCTGCAAAGGAGAGCAAAGAAAAGGGGCAGTCACTACAGGAGACATGGTGTGAGAAGGTTGTTAATATTATAAGTGGGAAAAATAACAGCATGCCTAGGTTGAGAATAATCCAGTAGAGAGTGAAAAATTAATGATGCAGGAAAGTAAAAGAATTGCTGGCCCAGTGTCCCCGAGCAGGCAAGTTAGGATTGGATTTGGCACAGAGGGGCAAGGAGCATATTAAATAAATTTGTAATATACATTGACCTTGACAGGGTCATTATGAACAGTTCAAAAAGTCCAAAATTCTGGTGGAGATGGAAAATATGTAGAGAGGTATCTGGGTTATTGTCACTTATTTCAAGGTTATGAATTCTTAACAGGGGCCATGGGGATGTGGGCCATATCTGTCTTATTTACTCTGTGTACCTGGTGCCTAGGATGAGTTCTGGCCCATTAAATAGATATTTAATAAATATTTGCTAACCGATTTGGTGATGGGAATATTTTATTTTCTTCCCTTTTATTTGTGTTTCTTAAATTTAGAAAAATGAATATGTATTACTTTTTAAATTAAATAATAAACATTGCTGATCTTAAAGAGAGAAATAGATCCAGGAAAATACAATTAGTCATTTCAAGTGAAATGTAATATTTGAATGATAATTTACCTCAGGTAATTTGCTAAACACTCTATAATGCAGAACCAAAATAAAAAATTGATACTAGATTGCCTATTATTTGTTATTATTTGTCTGCAGTACATAAAGTTAATTATGTGTTATTAGCCCCACTTTATAGATGAGGAAACCAAGGCTCATAAATGTTAAGTACCTTGCCTGAAATCATAACATGAAGTAGAAGACCTGGACTGCAGCTAGGTCTGTCTAACTCCATGCTCAATACCCTTCTTCACAAATATCTGTCTTCTGTTTGTTTGCTTTTGATTTTTTGTTTTGTTTTATTTTGTTTGAGACAGAGTCTCACTCTGTCGCCCAGGCTGGAGTGCAGTGGCGCAGTCTCGGCTCACTGCAACCTCTGTTCAATTGGGTTCAAGCGATTCTCCTGCCTTAGCCTCCCGAGTAGCTAGGATTACAGGCGCCCGCCACCAGGCCCAGCTAACTTTTGTATTTTTAGTATAGATGGGGTTTCACCATGTTGGCCAGGCTGGTCTTGAATTCCTGACCTTGTGATCCACCCGCCTAGGCCTCCCAAAGTGCTGGGATTACAGGCATGAGCCACCAAGCCTAGCCTCTCTGTCTTCTGTAACGCTGGTACTCTGCATACAAATGCTACCTAAAAGCTCAATGCTGTATTTTCTCCGAGTCAGATTCATTCTAAACAATTTCTTCACCACATAAATTCAGAACTATTTTCTGGGGGTTTTATTTTGACTTAAAGAGTGTTTTTAATTAGTAGTCTTCTAAGAAATGTAGAGCACATTTGAATGAGTTCAGAGAATTTTCCTCAAATGATGTAATGTATAACCAGGTTTTCAAAATAATAGATACATATCTTTATTACCTAGAAGAAAGGAGGGATTTAAACTATGAAAACCTATGTATAATTTGGGATCCTGGAAAATATTACAAATCAGAAAGTGAATTACTTATACTTTTTTCTAAAGATGGATTTACAACTGACTTAGAGAGAAGTGCAGAGTTTAAATCAATTTCAGCTATGTTCTGATTTTCTTTAATTGAAGTACATTAGTAAGCATTGTAAAAATATTTTCCAATTGTATTACATATATTAAGCAAAAAGTGAGTTTCCTTCATATCCTTCTCCAATTTACTCCCTTCTTAATTGATAACCACTGTCAATGTATTTTGTGCCTGTCTTTAAGTCTTTTTCTGTGGACAGTAAAAACTGCTCTCTTGGTATTCTTTCTGCTTTGAAACATACTGATGAACCTCATTCATTTTTATATCTGTAGACCATCCCTTATTATGATGTCACTACTCATTTAACTATTTCCATAAAGAAGGACACTTGAAATTATTTTCAAATTTTCAATATCACAAAGAATGCTACAATAAGCACCTGTGTAATTCTGGAGAATGTGTTTCTGGACATGGAATTATCAGTCAAAAGGTTTGTGCTTTGAAAAACTTTCACAGATAATGCCAAATTACTGAACAAAAATACTGTATCACCAATGATGTAGACAAGAGCCTGCTTCCCAGTCCCTTGCCAATACTGAATATTGTCAATGTTAATATCTGCCAGTCTGGAGTGTGTTTGTTTAATTGATATCTCTGGGTTTCAATTCACGTTTCCTTGATTATTAGAGAGATTGAGCATCTTTTCATACGTATATTGGCAGTTTGAATTTCTTTTTTTTTTATTAAGTACCTGCACAGAATGCAAAATGTGCCCAATTTCTCAATGATTTCTTCTTTTAGATTTTACTGAAATATTTCAGAGGATACTCTAATTCCACTAAGGAAATAAGAGTATATTTGTAGTTATCTTCAAACTGGAAATAATTTCTTTTTGCAGGATGTTTTTTCTTGACTACAAAATTAACCATACTAATGGTAAGAAAAAGGATTCAGATTTGCAGATAATTATAAATAAAAAAGTATTAAGAACACAATTGAGAAAATTCTGAAAACCACTTGCAATAATGACCTCAAGTTACCCACTGTTAAGGTTTGGGTACTTATACATCTATGCTTTACATGGGTTTTTAGTACATCATTTTACAAAGTTGACAGAGATTATATGTGTTGTTTTCAAACCTAATTTATTTTGCTTTTATTGTGAAAATAATGCAAGCTTCTAGTAAAGCATTGCAAATACTAAAAAAGTGTGATGTGAAATGCAAAAGTCTCTGCTCCACCCTTCCACTGTGAAAACTAATTTGTGGTTTGCTAAATTCCTTCTTCAAAAACTGTCTGCCCTTTTGGCATTCAGAACCATTTAGAAGGACTACTTAAGAAATAGTGAGGTGGAAATTCTCTCAAAATATTTGCTGGAAATAATCAGAATTTTGCATCTCCTAAAATATCATGGGATTGGGGGTCTTAACATGATTGGATTCCCATTTCTGCCACTTACTAATAGTAGGATCTTAACTATTATTTCATCTCTCCTCAGTCTTCTCAATTGTAAAATAAGATTAGTAACATATACCTCTCCAAGATACTCTGAGGATTAAATGGCAATACTACTATCTGACACATGGGAAAGTATCCAGTAAATATGATTTGAATTTGAATTGTCCAAACTACTCTATATAACTATATTTATCTTACAGCTAGGTTTATACAGGAAATATTATATTGACCTTATTTATTTATATCCAATAGTCTGTGTCTTCTCACAAAGATCGCAAACAAGATTTCTTTTTAAGTGTTGTGTATAACATAAACACTTCACTAGGTCATAACATTTTCTTTTCAAACAAAAGGAGTCTAAATTGTATGGAAATCATTATGTCCTAAAAATCAAAAGAAACATAACCCTAAAGAGCAAGTACCTAAAATCTACCAGGAACCAGTCTGTTCTTTTTAAGTGACTTATTTAATTCTGGGTATCTCACTGTTTCTATGATGAATCTGTTGTGGACTCGATAGTCTTTAAATAGCAGATTTAGCCAGAATTGTGTCAAAAATTAATATGATCCATATTCATGGCATTTTCAGAACTACTCCTTTAGGAATTTCTATTCTAGTCTGGATAAAAAGAATTAACAATTAAAAATATCTTCCCACTGCTTACCTTCCTTTTAACTTCTTTTTTTTTTTAATTGTTTTTCTGAGGTAATGTCTTTTTTTTTTTTAAGTAGTAAAGGTTATTATAGCTTATTTGAGGCAATCTGCTTTTGAATTCTTGAATGCTTTAAACCTGGCTACCTAATCTACTCTTAGCTATATTGAGATTACCCTGAAAAGCTGTAAAGGAATAATTTTGAGCTGGTGATTCATATTGTGAAGATGATTTTATTTATAATCTGTGATAATAGAGACGACCGTGTTAGGGAATCTATACCTCAGAACCCTGTGAAATATGGTAAGGGCCAGAAATAGTTGTCATGTTTTCTAGTATGAAAATATAAATGCTTTTCCAAGATTCACAACTGAAATCTAGACAGTTTGTTGGGAGAGTTGAAAGTCAGGGTAGTCTAATTTGAAAGTTTATACCTCTAGTCAGTTAATACAAGTTAATCGCAACTGGTTACTAAATTAGGCAGATATAGAGCTTGGTTTCTCCAGCATAGAAAACACAGGGGTCCAGTGTTTTACTCTTTTATACCTCTAAGTAACTTACCCAACCCTATTTAAGCCTAAATGTGGTAGCTCTCAATTATATATAACATTATTTTTCTCGATGAACTGTTTCATTTTTATCTATGTCATTTAAATCTTCACAAAATCACTGAAAGACACTTCTCTTCACTAACACTCAAACTGGGAAGAATTGAAGGGGTGGAAAATATGACACAATGTAGCATGGCAAGGAGATAAAGACCATATTTTTTCTACCCATTAAAACCTGCGACAAGGCCACAGAGGCCCTGGAGTAAAATGAAGATTCATTGTATGGCAGCCTACAGGAGCTTTGTTGTAGTCTATATGGTGCAGACAATGTGTCCTTTCACATTTGTATTGATGTCTAGAGATAATCATCAAAATGACCTTGAGAATGTGGAGATGAAAAACAGATATCAGTTCAGTCCTTGGTTTTTCTGTAGTCTGTTGCACCTCACTGAGGAATTATAACATTTTAGAGTGGGAAGCATTTTTTAAATCTTTAGCAATTAAATTGCCATTATACATGTAGGACCTTGAATATTCTAAGGTCTGGCTAAATATCCCTAGCCTTAGCAAGGAATTTCAGATGTAGTGAAATGTTAAACATTCCTCTCAGAACCATGCTGATCATTGTTAATGATTTGAGGACAAAAACAAGGACATTAATAAAAAATCCATCACATTTTTAAATGACAATGGCAATGCATGAACAAAAAGATTTTAAAAAGTACAGAGAAAGATATGGGTGCCAAATGAAAAGAGGCAAAATGTTACTTTGATATTGTAGAATATTATTATAAATAAGACTCTATTTTAGAGAGCATGTCAATGTATCAGTGAGCCTGTGGATAAATTATAATGTGGTCCTGTGGGAGAAAGAAAAATCAAGGGGAACAGAGTGGACAATTTATTTTGAATAGAGTGGGAATGGTATTAACAGCTCAATTAAGTGCCAACAGTTTAGAATTAGCTAAGAGTCATTGTCTTCCTGGGACAAATAAATTCTAGCTGTTCTAATTTGCTTTATGTTTCACATAAATGTGAACTAAAATATGCTTACGTTGTTCCTGTTGACAACAGAGCAAACCAAAAAAAGGCTTCATTTGCTGAGTAGAAATAAAGATTCATTCATCCTTGTTTTCCAGAACACCATCAAGGCACACTATTCTTCAGTTTCTATATTTAGAGCAATGTAGGTATATTTTCACCAGATAAATGTGGCACAATCCATCCTGAATCTTGTCCATTCCTTGCTGTCCTACTTTCTCCCTCTGTCACTTGCACATGCTTACTGGCTAGTCCTTGGGAGGCTACCATCCCTCCTTGGGCAAGGAATGCTTTCAGAGTCGATTGTTCTGTGCAAGAACAGCCATTTGGGAACATGATGGATATAAGCTTTTTCTCAAACATGGTTTCCTTGCAATTTTAGCTTTACCACATAACCTGCCCTTCTCCACCTCCCCTTCCAAAGAAGACTTACTTTTTTTTTTCAATTCTGAAATCAACTTCTTAGATCTACTTTTCCTTACCTTTTTCTATCATCTGCCTCCAGAACTGGACAGCTTTTATGCCTCCTTCTTACGCTATCATTCTTTGATTCCAAATATTCCCGAGCTTTAGATGTAATTCCAAGGTTGTTCCCACATGGAGTGTTGAAATTCCTGTTTCACCCCTGCTAACTCAAACTAATACCCCCAGTCATTTCATCTCAATTCAGAGCCCTAGGCTGACATACTGTCACGTGTTCTCCCAACCCCAATATGAGCTCTATAAAACAATGTTGAAACAGACACTGGAAAAGTTCCCACCAGGAGAAAATGAAGTTTCCTTCGCACCTTATTTCCATGATGTCTTATTTATTTTTCACAAAATCTTTTAGTCTCCCTCTATACCCAAGTGAATAGTGGGAACTCCTGCTGCCCTCTGTCTGCCACTGATCTTTCTTTCTCTGTTGTCCCTTGGTGCTAAATCACAAGTGGAGATGGAGAAATTTTAAGATAAAAACTCTCACATGTGTCTTATGTGTATCCAGTAACAGCAGCAGTCAGTTTCAAAAGCCCCTGCAGATCTTGCTAATAGCTATTCCTGTCTAATTCTAGCTGTTCGCTGCTAAAATAGAAAGCTGGGAGAACAAAGTTGTATTCCCAGAGGAATTTAAAACTGTGGCACTTCATAACAAGTAAAAATAAAGTATGTTTAATAAAGTGCTGATTTCCAAACTGTATGGCTATACCGTGAAACCTTGGATTACCACTCTGCTTCTTGTAGCAAAAAAGAATATACGAATTATTAAAAAAAAAAATCTCAGAACTCCAAACACATTTAGGCTGTGATGTCAACCTGTTTTCAAGTGAGCCAGATGCATAGAAGGAGAGCTTCAGAAAGCATTTTTAGAGTTGCAAAACAAATACATAAATTCAATAAATATGAAAAGTGTGAAAAAACATTCATATTTATTTTCATTGGGGAATCTAACCTATTAATTATTATGGCACAATGATAAATCATCAAGACAGCTATATTCCTTGCTTAAGAAAACTTTATGAAAAACTTTATCATCACAACATGGGGAACCCAGGCTGCTGAGCAGGCCAGTGTTCTGACACAGAATCTTGGATTACATTTCTCTCTCCACATCTTTCATTTATCAGCATGTTGGTCAGTGTGGCTCAAGTGGAAATTTAATTGAAAGAGAAGAAAGCTGTTAGTTTTTCTGCAAACATCTGAATAAAGATCTTACAGAATTCTCAATTAATGTAAATGTGTTATATAGTAAAATAGTCTCAAGACAGGATTCCACTTCCTGGTGCTCTTAAGCCACCCACTTGAGACCCTGCAGCTATCTCAGTAATCTGAACAGAAAACCGATCATGCTTTCCAGCACAAAGCTCATCCTCAGACAATCAGTATAGGGTGAGATATACTTTGGTTTTTGAAAAAGAAGTTAGGCGATTGTCAACTGTGGACGCAATAGGATAATAAAAGTTAAAATTTATTGAGTTCACCATGAACCAGGTATCTGATCATCACTTTGTAGTTACATCTCCTTTAATCCTCACCAACCTAAAAGGGGCAAATTATCATTATCTTCTTAAACAGTCATCCTGAGACCCTCTATCACCTTCTCCTTCCCTGAAAATGTTAGCTCTTGTCTCACTGTTTTTCTCTCTCTAATACCATACCTTCATAATTTATCTATTTTTTATTTTTTTATTTTTTTTTGAGATGGAGTCTCACTCTGTCATCCAGGCTGGAGTGTGCAATCTTGGCTCACTGCAACCTTCGCATCCTGGGTTCTAGCGATCCTTCTGCCTCAGCCTCCCAAGTAGCTGGGACTACAGGTGTGTGCCACCATGCCCGGCTAATTTTTGTATTTTAGTAGAGACAGGGTTTCACCATGTTGGCAAGGCTGGTCTTGAATGCCTGACCTCAGATGATATGCCTACCTCGGCCTCCCACAGTGCTGGGATTACAGGTGTGAGCCAATGTGCCTGGCCATACCTTCGTAATTATTTGTAATATCAACGTTCATGTAGATGATTCTTCCAGTGGTAGTTTTGTGATTATGTTCTCCAACCCTGTTACATTTCATTTTTTTCCTATGTATGTACCATAGACATTTTTATGACCAGTAACTGTAGTCTTTTAATTATCTCAATCTCAAGCAGTCATTGTCTAGCCTCTACCTCCTATCTTTCTAGCTCTCTTCTTCCAGTGATCAGAATCCTATAGCTCTTCGACCTCACTGGGACCTACCCTGCATTGATCCCACCACCTTTCCAAGTCCATCCTTCTTTACTAAAATAACCTAAATTTCATGCTCTATCATTGTAATCACTTCCTTAAGTTTACTTTCAATTCCCTTTGCCCATCTCTCTTGCTTTATAGTATATGCCTGGTATGACCCCATATTCTATACCTATTTTCATACAGCCAAACGTGGCTGGAGAAAGTGCACAACTGTGCTAAGGTATTTCCATTTAAATTCATAACCACTAATTTCAGCTGAATATAGGTGGTAGCCACCAATTCTTATTTCTCAGATCCACTCATTTCCTCCCTATCCAGAAGATTTCTTTCTTTTCTTACTGCAAAACTTCAGTTTCTCTCCGCCCTCATCTTCATGATCTTGTTTCCCATTTCACTGATAAAATAAAAGCAGAATAGAACTTCCATAGGCTTTCCCACAAAATTTCTACCTTCCATTTGTCATTATGGATGTTTATGTTTCTATCCAAAGCCAGCTATTCAACTGGTGCAGTAGGTCCCATTTCTTGGTGGCTACCCAAAGACACTGCAGCAGATGCCTCACTGTCCTACATCATCATCTCCTTCTACTATATCATTTCTATCAGCATATAAATATACTGGCTTTTAAAAAAATTTACAAATGAAAAGTTTCCTTCCCCCATGTTACCTTCCATCTACTGCCCCATTTCTTACCCATCTGCTTAGCAAAACTCCTTCAAAGAGCTATTTATCCTCTGATCAGGCATTGTCTTTACAACTTCATCAAAACTGCTTGTGAAGATCACAGTGCCTTTCGCGTTTCTAAGTCTAATTGTAAATTTTCAGCCATCCATTTACTTGACCCATCAGTAGTTGTAGAGAGTTGATCACTCCCTCATGCATGCTACACAATCCCCGCTACTCCTCATTTTTTTAAGATGCTCTTTGCTGCCAGGAAACCACACTCCTGTTTTTTCTCCTATCACATTTTCTGCCTCTTATATTCCTGTGCTGGTTCTTCCTCATTTCCTCAATCACTAAACATTGGAGTACACAGGACTTAGTCCTTAGACTGCCTCTTTTTCCTACCTGGGCTTTAAATATTATCTGTTCACTGGAAAATTTTTATCTTTAGCTTGAAATCCTTCCATGAACTTCAACTTTTATATAGAGAGATAGATAGAACTACCTATTTGACATCTCCACTTGAGTAATAGACATCTCAAAGTTAATTTGAACTAACCTGAACTCTTGTTCTTACCCATCATTCTGAAAATCTTTGAAGACTTTCCCAGAACAAACTGCTAACATCCTTATTGTAATTGGACAGGTGAGGATCCTTGGACTCAAGACTGTGTCCTCTCTTTTTCCTCACCCAAACATTTAGCAAATTCTTTTGGCTTTACTCCAACAAATATTCAGAATAAATCATTTTTTTACTACTGTGTGATCCAAGCCACCATCATCTATTATCCGGAAGTTTGGAATAGCCTCCTAATGAGGCCCCTGATTCCACCTTGCTCTCCTTTCAAACAGCCAGAGTCATCTTAAACCTCATGCAGATCATTTATTCCTCTGCTCAGGACTCTCCACTGACTCTATTTCACTCAGAGTAAAAGTCAAAATTCTTACAATTGCCTGCAAATTATAACACTGTCTGCTGATTTTCTCACTTCCCCGATCACATCACCCACATCTGACTTCATCTCCTCACTCCCTCACTTGCTCCTCGTCTCCAACACTCTGGCATCCTTGTTAGTCGTTGAACATCTCAGATCCTTTGCATTTGCTATTTCTTCTTTCTGGAATTCTCTCTACCCCAGATATTCTCTTGGCTTACCTCCTCACCTCCTTCAGGTCTTTGTTCAAATGTTGCTTCTCAATGCACCCTTCCCTAATCAGAAAAGAATTGCTTACCACCCCCTCCAACACAAGACTCTACTTCCTTCTCCAATGCACTTACCACTATCTGATATACTGTATACTTTAGTTAGTTTCTTTTTGCCTACTTATTTGCTTTGTCCCCTTTTTCTCCCACTTCCACCAGAATGAAAGCTCCTTGAGGGTAAGACTTTTTGTGTGCCTAGAATAATACCTGTAATATAGATAGCATGTGTTCAATAGATACTTTTTCACGAATGAATTGAGCTTTCATTTTACAGATGAGGAAACTGGATTCAAAAGTACAAGCCCAAAACCATAGAGCAAGTAAGCTGTGCCACTAAGAATGGAATGCGAGCAATATGACTCCTGTGGCATATTTTCTGACCCTTTTCTCCTAGAGGCCTCTAAATGGCTTGCCAAGTCATTCAGCCTCTTCTTTTGGGCCTGTTTGCCAGATACTGGACTAGGAGCTGGGTAGTCAATCACTAACCTGACATACTTTGCCTACTCATTGATGGTGAAGCTGGGATGGTTACATAGGTGAGAAGGACCACTATCAATACAATTGGGCAAATAAAATGGAAACAATGACAAAAGGCTCTTATCCCAGTTTTGTGAATTCAGAGGCTGAATCGTAATATGTGAGTAGGCATTAGTCAGATGAAGAAAAGAGGAGCTATTTCAGATAATATGAAGAGCATGTGCAATTTCATGAAGGCATGAGGTTGCATTTTATATTCAGCTTCTATTATTGGGGAATAAAAACAATATAGGATATGATCAAAGGTAAGACTGAGACGGGAAGTGGAGTCCAGATGGTGGAGGGACTTGGTGCCATGCCCAGTATCTTCACAGTGTGTCTCTCAGGAGTTTAGCAGGGGAGTTCCTTGGTTTAGATTTGTGTTTTAGATTGCCTACCTGGTAACACTGTGAAAAGGGGCACCAATGACTAGACCGGTGCCATGGTCTCTTTAGGGGAAGACAGCAGTAGCAGGGATGCTGCTGAAGGTGCGGAACTGAGAAACATTTGGAGGAAAAGTCAGTGATTATTAGTAACTAAATAAGTCAAATTAGGGGTAGGGAAGGAAAGCATTGAGGGTAATTCCAGGTTTCTTGGATTCAGCAACTGGGATAGTGTTATTGGACTAAGATAGGAGATGCAAGAGGAGAGGGATGTATGATGGCAATGACTATAGGTTCACTGTTTGACACACTGACTTTGCAATTTCTGAGGCAAATCCAAGTGGTGAAACAAGTTTGAAGGTCTAAAGAGATGTCAAGTTTAGAGACGTAGATACGGAGGTCATCTACAAAAAAATAAAAGTCAAACCCTGAGAATGGATTAGATTGCCAAGGCAAACAGAAGGGGAGCAGGAAGTAGTGGGTCAAGAACTTTGGGGACGTCCAAGTGGGAATGGTTGCAGGAGAGAAGGTTGGATGAAGAGGGACCTGCATGGCAACCAAGAATCAAAAGTCAGAGAGGTGGAAGAAAACTAGGAGAATGTAATGTGAGTGACAAAAATAGAACATTTCCAAAGGTCTGAGAAAAATAAGAAAAAGAAAATCTGTACTGAAAAGGTCAGTTTTAAAAGATCGGTGGGAGAAGATTTATTGAATCTGAGTGAGAGATGAGAAAGTAGAATAATTCTCAAAAATATTGGACAGAAAATGAGGGTGGAACAATATCAATATAGCAATGCAAGAAGAGCTTCTCTTGTTTTGGCTTTTGAATAAAATGAGAGGGTGTGATCTGAACTAATAGTTAGCCTGAACACACTGAAATTACCCAATAGTTGTTTACAGCTGGTACCAGCTCTAATTGACTAACTTATCTATTTGGATTGGTTAGAAACCAGAGTCATTGCTAAATATCTTTAATATTCTCCTCAGTGTGATTATAGGCTGAGCGGAAGTCGAAAAGGAAGGGTGGCAAAAGTGGCAATCTTGTATAGCAAGGGTCAGCAAACTATGGCCTGTTGTACAAATCTGCCTCACTACCCATTTGTATATGGCCTTTAAATAGTGGTTTAAATTTTTAAGTGATTGAAAAAAAGAAAGAAAAGAACACTTCATGACACATTAAAATTTTATTAAATTCAAATTTTAATGTCTACATATAAAGTTTTATTGGAACACAGACACATTCATTTGTTTACATACATTTATATATTTGTTTATCTACAGCTGCCTTCGCATTAAAACAACGGAGTTGAGTACTTGTGACGGCAACCATATGTTTTGCAAAAGCCTAAAATATTTACTGTGTGGCTTATTACAGAAAGAACTTGTTGACTCCTGGTTTATAGTATCATATCTGTGAAGAAAGAGGGAGAGGGAGTTGAGAGAGGGAGAAAATGGGATCGAGGGCATTTAAGGAAAGATTGGCCTTGAAAAGAATAAAAGCATACTTCATCTTGTAAAACTGGGGGAAAGGATGATAGGACTGTGCAAATATAGACCAGTTTGTTGGTGCTGGAGGAGAAAGAGGAGGGAGCTCCCCCCACAACCATATATACCCCACACTCTTAAGTTAAATGTTTTGGCTGCCGTTGATCATGACATTTTAGAGGACAAAAACTGTGTCGTATTCATCTCTGCCTCCCCCACAGCTTTCAGCACAGTGCCTTCCTTTCAGCCATTCTCACTAAATATTTAATTGAATCCCAGGTGAAACTCTATTATAAGCACATTCCTAGAAACCTCTGCCCTTAGGGGCTTGCATTTAATTCTCTTACTATGTAGCCTGCATTTATTAAAGTTTGATGTTATGTTTAGAGGTGTGAAGAAAATGGAATCCAGTTTCTTATTTAATTTTCACTTTGCTAAATGGAGTCAATATTGTTAGAGAGAGTTAATATTCTTATTAATGTTGGCCATTTTTCCCTTTTTTCAACCTGAATAGTTCCATAAGTTACTAAGGGAATTTTGAGAATAAACACTATACAAAGAGAAGGTATTCCTGCAGATTTTTTAAAAGCCACTAACAATGTAAAAAGAAAATCGGGACCACAGGGAGAGTTGAAAAATTAAGGGGGGGAAAAAACTATTGTAGAGTAGAGAATATGGCAACACTTGGTTATTTTATTTGGCCAGCATGGTGGAGTTTAACAGTCTGAATATCAATGTCCTTGGGTATACTCTACTCATTCACTGCCATTGTCACAGTTGCTGGTGTCTTATACCTGCTCATACAAATATACTGCCAGCCTGGATCTTAAAAGAATTTAAATGTATAATTGCTGATGAAGGGTTATCTGAAAGCACAAGAGCAGTCCACATGACCAGCTTGAGGTTTACCTTTTATCGTGGCATGTATATTTTCAAAGGTTTTACATAAGTTAGTGAGCAATTTTCTCTGCCTTTTGGGAGGACCATATCTGTATCATTTAAATTGCTGTTTCCATTTAAAAACCATTTGTAGAAAAGAAATCCATCATTCCACTGTTAAACAAGGGGAAAATGTTCAGGTAAGATAATAAGAGAGTTTGTAAGACACACACACACATTTACATGAATATACACATATTTACTCTGATTAGCCAAATCACCAGATTCCTCTTGTTTATTATGTAGCCGCAATAATTACAAATTAAAAAAATTAAAGTAAACAGCATGCATGTGAAAGTGTCAATGATTTTACGTATTACTCAATTTATAGTGAATGGGAAAATTAATTTTGCCAGCACTCAGTTATCTAATGTTCTTTAGTTCCCACAATCAATCTTTGCATCTCCAAAGGGAGCTGTACACGTGATGACCTATAATGACATTCATCTTGCCATGATTATTCTCATTATTAATCTTCCGATAGGCATAGATTGCTGAAAGGGATACTCTAATGTGACTGATGACAGTGGTATAGTTCCCAACTAACCAAATCTACAAACTCATCTAAATCATCTATGGTACAGCATAGACTAGAGGGCAGCATAGGCTTCAGTAAGGTGATGTGTCAGAGACTACTGAGAGAGAGAGAGAGAGAGACAGAAATATGCAAAGAAGAAAAAAGCAAATTAGTTTGCCTGTTAATCATATAGAAATTGGAATATAGGAGTTTTTATTTCTTCTGACTATTTTCATTATATTCAAAATTTTGGTTCATTGCTACTTTGCCACTTTTGTTAATAAATCTCTCTGGTACTAGAAAAAGAGCTTGGTCTGTGAAGGTGAGAAATACAAATAATACAGTCTCTCAACTGTTGATCTCTACTGCTGAAAGTGTCCCCTTTAAGATCACTTGTTCTACATGGTGTAATACTCCTCATAGATAAAGGCTAAGTGAAATAGGATATGGTCTTCAGTTGAACAAGCTTTTTACTATCTTAATTTTTAGCTTTCTAACTGATAAAACTTTAAATACACTAGACCAAGATAAATGCTAGGAAACTGATATTTTTTAAAAAATGAACAAAAAATAATTTATTAATAGACTTTATAGAAGGAGTCCCAGAGTCATTCACAAGTAAAAGAAAAGGGATGTGTAATGAAACTAATAGTGGTGCTAATGAGGAAAATCAAGCTCTATTTGTCACCATTTAGCTTTGACACATTAGAATGTAAAATAATACAATTAAGACAAGAGATCTATAAAAACAAATATTAAATGTATTGTGCACTTTAAGTATCTTCCTATTCTATTTGTCCCATATTATGAAATTACTCTGAATGTAATATTTTTCTTTCTTTCTTTTTTTTTTTTTTTTTTTTTGAGATGGAGTCTCACTCTGTCGCCCAGGCTGGAGTGCAGTGGCACGATCTCGGCTCACTGCAAGCTCTGCCTCCTGGGTTCATGCCATTCTCCTGTCTCAGCCTCCTGAGTAGCTGGGACTACAGGCGCCCGCCACCAAGCCCGACTAATTTTTTGCATTTTTAGTAGAGACGGGGTTTCACCAAGTTAGCCAGGATGGTCTCGATCTCCTGACCTTGTGATCCACCCACCTTGGCCTCCCAAAGTGTTGGGATTACAGACGTGAGCCAATATTTTTCTTAAACTGACAGATCATTTTGTACTCCTTATCCAAAGACAAAGATTACAATTAGGTTCTATTGCTTTCCTTAGGGAGCTCACAATGTTCTATTATTTTACCTGGAAATTTTCCCCTTGTTATATGGTGGAATGATGGACTTCTTTCCTAAAAATGTTTATTGAATGGGAATATCAATGTAAATAGTATAGATATAGCCATCCCTAGAAGCAGAAGAAATTACTCAGTGACTTTTGTAAAGCCGTTTTGAAAATTACCCATGTCATTAGCCTGTGTAGGAAGAGAATTGATTAGTTACTACCTTTTGCTAGCAATCACCTCAACCACAACTTTTATAACTATCATGAACAATCCTTATTCATCTTTCTCTTTTCCTGCATCCTCTTCTGTCGTGATACTCTGTAGCTAACCCAAGCTTTACACTATCTTTTCTCTCTGCCCTTAAGCCATCTGGTTCCCACTGAGTGAGTCTCTCTATTCCCTACAGCCATCTTATCTACTCTGATAGAGTCCACCTAAACCACAGGAAGCATAACTGCAGTTTTGTAGCATTTGCTACCAAATGGAGTTTGAGTTATTCAAATCATTCTGTTTTAGGTAGGAAGCAAAGCAGTTCAGTAATCAGGTGTACTCTCTAAAAGCAAAGCTCAAAATATCTATGTATAATTTTGTTAACTGCTCGATCAGATGTGAAATGCAGATCCTTATGGTAAACCAGACTTTTTCCGTTTATGTACTTGGCTTGCAGATCTAATCTTTTAGTGGTATGTCTTTAATCGCTTTAAACTGTTTGTTTCACTAGTGTTCATGATGTGATTTGGCTCAGTGGAGCTTACATTTGAGAAGCAAAAAAATGCTATTACTTTTATATTTAGTGATAGCTGTCCACTTTTGCATAGTGGATTTAGGGCCAGAAAACATGCCTTTAAATACTATCTGTCTTACATACAAAAGGAAGTACTTTAATTCCTTATATTAGTTAGTAAGGACTACTACTTGTCAAATTCTGCCTTTGAATAAAATTTAAATTTTTCTGCAGTTAAATAATAAAAAGTCAGAATACTTGAGTTGAAAAGAGCATTAGTTTAAACTAGGAAAGTGGCCACTTGAAATCTTTATGCCTTACATTTGCCGTCAGTAAAACTGGATAAAGTTACAAGTAAGTGGTCCTTCTACCTTTGATGTCTACCTAAAGATGAAAGCAAATGTTTAAAACTTCTCAGGAGAAAATTCGAGTCCATCAAAGGTTGAATATATTCAAGTTAGGACACACGAACCCCCTAAAAGACCATATGAAATTGAGCTCAAAAAATGAGAATGGTTGATTTTTTTTTCTCTTCTTCAAGAGTAATTTCTTACTTTTTCAATTCAGTAATGATTCTTCTGTTTGTTCTGGTTTCTTGATATTCTACAAAAAGTCATTTTAACATTGGTAATTTATTCACTGAATCCAAAATGGACTGCTCATTTGGATTGTATTCTCTCTGCAAATATTACATTTACTCCCTCTTCAGTGAATTTAATGCCAATGTTTACAAAATTGCTGCAATACAGTCCACATTGTAATTTCTTTTGTCTTAGGAAATTCTCCACAACAAGCTGAAATTTTAATATTTGCTACCCCACAGTATGTTCTTTCTCTTAAACGGAAAGAATAGACAGTTGTGATAGGCAAAAAGCCAGTAAGGAATTTCTATTTTGTAAGCTCTTTTTCTTTCTGGTCTGTTTGTTGTAGGTTTAACTGGGATGGGCAGGGGATTCTCATTATTAATCAATGTCTTAATAAGTATTTATTATGTTAAATACTAATAAAGTCCAGTGAAATTAATTCTGAATGAATATACATGAAAATTCCTTTTATATGTAATATTAATTAACACATGAACATTTTATTCTAACTTCGATTTTTATTTAACACATGCCCATGAGTTGACAGAAAGCTTTTGTTGACAGAAGTAGTATTATGTATTTGCTGATGTGTTGATCCAAAATGTAAAAATGTTTACAAAGGGCCATTAGAAAAGCCCGAACACCCCCTGATGTACAAGTGTCCCTATTTTAAAAGAAATCTACCTGTGACTCCAAAGAGACTATGTTAGATAACTGTGTGCAAAATCACAGAACTGGTCTTGGACAGACATGGAGAAAGGTTGAAGCACATCTCTTCTGCATTTGAAAGAAAAAGAGGGAAAGGAGAAAAGTCATTGACAATGGGGATGATAATGATGATTGGTGCTTGAGAGAAGGGCCCAAGAAGTTTTATCAGTAGGAGAAATTTTTAACAAGGCTGAAAATGTGTTACCAGCTGTGGAACAGCTGCAACTGGGGAAAAATTGCAAAACATTTTGTCTGATCCAATTCTCATAACCCTGTTGTTGGGGGAGAAAAAGTGTATGCAGTATCTCCAGCTTTTCATCTGGTTCATTTAGACAAGCTTGAAAAACACAAACTGGAAGTAAGTGTTAAACAATAATTCTGTCCTCTGAGCAATTTGAATCTTACCAGCACATTCTAAAGATAGCTGTCTCAAAGCTTGTGTCCACTTTATGTCTATATTCTAAAAGCACTTTCACAAAAACTTTTTCAATAGTGTTGAGCATTTCTCATGGTAAAGGTTTGTGGTGGACTCTAAAGATATAAATATGAATAAGACAAGGCCTTTGTTCTTGAGATTGTAGTTTATTAATATCTTTCTAGAAATACAAACACAGTAATAAGGCATAGTGTCATAAAATTTATAGTAGAGTAATAAAGAGACATGAAAGAGAGTGAAAGGGACAAGTTTTTTCACTCCATGTAAAAGGATATGGGAAGAGGCTCTAAAGAGGGGGCGCTTTAGAGCTGAGCCTTCAAGAGGGTGGGAGAGTTAACCTGATGAAGGAGAGAAGACAGTGTGAGAAGTCAGAGGATGATATGAACATTACTGCTGTGCTATAGACTGAAAATGTGCTTCTATACCAGACTCTCCTATTTGTAGCCAAAGATTTATTGGGCAATACAAATTAAAACTACCTCTCAAATTGTTGCCTGGGAAACACTATGTAATGACTGGTTCTCTTTTAGTACACAATTGTTAAAACAAACTAAATATGGCTGAGAAGGACCCCATACTTCTATATGTGAATCCTGGTGGAGGAGTGGATGGACTGTAACCTAGCTTAATAGTCAGACAAAATTGAAAACCTAACTTAGGAGTATGCACCTGTAACGATAACTGAGTCTTGGGCAACCCAGTGGCCATACTTCAATCACTAATAGACTGCTAAGTGTTCAAACTGTGTTCAAATAAGGTAAACGCCAACCTGTAACCAACCCAGCTGTTTCTGTACCTCATTTCCCTTTTTTTGTCTATAAATCTTATCCCACCATGTGGCTGCACTGGAGTCTCTGTGAATTTGCTGTGATTCTGGGGGCTGCCCAATTCGCGAATCATTCATTGCTCAATTAAACTCCTTTAAATTTAATTTGGCTGAAGTTTTTCTTTTATCACAATTAATAACCATAACAAAATTCAGTGACAATATGCTTAGGTTCAGAAAACTTCAGCACCAGGTCTCTCTGGGATAGCAAGAAAGCACGAGTTCAGCTGCTAGACTTTTGTCTTCCAGGCACTCTCTGAGCATAACAGAGACATAGTATTAAGACACTAATATTTTTCCAATTAGACACATGTGCCACAGGCCTTCTCTGATGTTTCTGCTGTTAAATTTCATGTGAAACTACATAATGCCCAGCTACAAATTTTTGTAGCTTCTGAAGATCTTCCTCCAACTTAAACAAGTACCACATCCCTGTAGTGCCCTTGTAATTTTTCATGAAAATAAAATCTCCCCCGCTCCCCCCAGACAAGTAAACTAATTTATCATCATGCAGGGTTTGGCAGCTGGCTCTGTGGTGTCACTCCCTGACACCTAAATGTGCCACCTCTAATCACCCCTTTTGGTCTATCGCCACCTAGGGAAAGAATGGAAATAGTTACGTGAACCCCCTTGTGGTACCTGGGAAGCAAATTTAGAAGAGCAGCATAGTGTGTGATTTCTTACAGAAAATTTTCAAAGAAATCTGTTCATCAATCAAAGCAATCAAGTCTTTAGGGATCCTAGTATGGTATCAAGTTTCAAATTCAGCCTATGGGTGGAGAGTGGTAGCAAAGATCAATTTCCTTGATATCTAAAAGCTTAAACATAACAGCAGTTGCAATTATTTAAACAATATTCTGTTAAAAAAATGCTTTTCTTCTTATTAAAATAACTTTAATACAACTAATTCCATCACAATAATAATTCTAATATTAAATTTGGCATTGTATTAATAACAGATAGATGGAAAATATAGAAAAAGCCAAAGTAGAAAATTAGAATGACCTATTTTGTAATTCTAAGAGATTTTATAATTTTGATTGCATTTTTCCTATTATTTTATGTTCATGTATATTTAAAACACTGAGATCACAGTGTGCATATTGTTTTATACTAGCACACAATCCCTTAAATTTTTTATATTTCTCCCTAGTCTTTTTCTATACCTATTAGGTGTCATCGTATTTGTTTGTATTTCTGGCCAATTTTTTCACTAATTATTATTTTGTAAACATTCTTATTGTTTTTACAAAATCATAATGACTGATTTTAATCGCTATCTGATATCCTACTATATATAGGAAATATGTATATATCCTACTATATATAAATATCTGTTAAATGTATTTGGGTGATTTAAAGCTTTAATTATTATAAATGTGGTTTCTTAAAATTTTTTTGTATTTAAAACTGCATTCTTCTTGTTGCTACCTGGTTCCACAGTGGCCATAGAATATAGTAAATTGGAGTGATGTAGCCATAGGCTTCCTAGGGCAAATAAATATTGTATAAATATGATGCAATGAATATATAGAGACAACTTTAAAGCACCTCACTGTGAGTGACTGGGAAACAGTAGCAGTATAACGCTCAATTTTGTCTCAGCTATCATAATTGCATGTTCCATAGGTAATCATCAGTAATTAAAGAGGCAAAGATGCAAATCATGCTATGGCCTACAAAGAGTAGTGGTTGCTGTAGTACCCACGGTTGTCAGCGAAAGTTATCAGGGGCCATAATATTCCAATAAAATGTGTTTATACTTCTCTCTGTTCTTAATACCACATACTTGGCTATTCACATAAGAAAGTCTTAGAATATCTAAGTAGAGTTTATTGAGACTGTTATCAAAATAACTTGTTTTTACTAGTTTGTTTACAAGGCTAAGGGCTTTTCTTGAATGAAATGTTGATGTTCTAAACTAATAAAGGTGTGAAAAGAATATCTGTCCTTTAGCAAGACCATGAGAATTAAGTGCCACTACCTTCTAATATGAAGGAACACGTGTACTATAACAACATGTGTATATAACAATCATACCCCAGTGTAAGAAGGCTGTATAATTCCCTTCCTTCCATAAATAAAAAACAGAGCCAAATATGTTTGGATCATGGTTTCATGTAATAGTGCTCTTTGATAAAAATAGACCTGAATAATGAATACTAAATAGGAAGCTGACTATATGAACAAGAAAGAAAATGCATGCCTCATATCAAGGAAGCCAGCCACTAGCATTAATAGCAAGCCATGGAATTAAGCTCATTAAAACATTTGCCTAAAGGAGAAATCTAATTTATTTCTTGTATTTATTCATGTTGTATGATTAATAGAAAGCATGGAGGTGGATTTCCTGATCAGGAGCATGATTTTAATCTGCACAGAATACTTTTATATAGTTTTCTTACATGAGCATTACAATTAAGTTCAATTGATGGTATTCAAGATTTGAACTTTTATTGTAAACAAAATAAGCACTCTTTGTTCTTTCTTAACCTTTAATCGGGCCACTGAGGGAAATTCTGTGCTTTTAAAAGTTAACTGTGACAGACAGAATCGTCTATCTGGGTTCATAGACAAAATCTATGAATCTCCCATCTTCCAAACCCTCTGTCAAATTCATTCTTTTAAGAGTCTCCTGAGTTATTTAATAAAACTCAGTCGTAATCAAACCAGTCAAATACCTTGTATGACTACAGACAGACTCTAAGATGCGTTTCAAACATTCCAGCATTACAAATGCACAATCCTATCGAGATAAAAAAAAATCTTAGCATTTTCAGAGGGATTTTTAGTTTCCTTCACACATACATTAGTCATGCCTCAATATCTGTGTACATTCTAGCCCTTCTGCCTAGAATACCCTTATTTTCCATAAAAGAACTCCTACTCATTCCTGAAGATTTATTTCCCATGTCAACTCTGCTGCAAAGCCCACCATGACTACCTTAGATAAGATGTCACAGTAGAGCCATAATGGGTTAAAACCACAGTACCTGGGTTGGATTACAGTCTCTATCTCGTGATGCCTCAATGGTTTCATCTGTAAAATGGAGATAGTAAAAGTAGCTACCTCATAGGCTTGTTGTGATGGTTTTACAAGTTAATTAATACATGCAGAGCCCTTTGGATTTTGTAAATTCTTGATAACTATTAGCTATTTTTAGATAGTATTGTGCACACCACCACATCCAACTAATTTTTAAATTTTTTTTTGTGGAGACGGGCTCATTGCATTGCCCAGGCTGTATATTCTTATATATTCTTCAATTATAGAACCGTTTCATTATGCTGTAACGTCTCTTTATATCTATCCCTGCCTCTAGATGGAGAGCCACTTAGCTTGCAGACTGCCATCTCCCTAACGTATCAGAACAATGAACTTGGTTCCAAGAGTATAGAACTCAGTGAATGTAAAATGGATGAATGTATGAATTAATGCATAAATCAATAAATGAACCCAGATGAATAATATGCCAAAGTTGTTTCTGTATATCTCTGTGATACAAATAAACATATGCTCATTCTATTAGCCAAGTATTTGTGGATTTGTATTGGTGAAATAAAATATAGAAAACTCTTTTTCTTATGCCTTGACCCCAAAAGCAGTGTCATAACCCTTTTACTTATGGTGCAACCAATAATAGGATTGATGGAAAAACCATCAGTCCTGTTTCCTTTTAAACCTGCTCAGTTCATATTTGACTTTAGCATATGCTATTTTACTCCATGTTTTATTTTGTCACAGGTTAGACATCTAATTCAGCATAAGAAGAAATCATTACAGTCAACATTTATGGTCACTAAGAAATAAATGTATCTTTTGTGTTCTCTGAGAGAAGGTTTGCTTCATTTATTCTTTTCTCTCGATAAATGCTGTTTTCTAATGCCTTTGTAATGATAGAGACTTAAGGATGGGGAAAAAATCTGGATACTTTCTTCTCTGTGTCACTTTGTATAAAGACTTCTTTACAGCCATGTTCAAATGATTTATGTACATATTGTAGATGCAGTAGCAGCAATTATAGAGCTATCCCTACCACTTAACCTGCAACATTCTGAATGGCCATTCACTGGCCACTTAAGCTAACATCTGCTGCTTTGGTAGTCTAATATCCAAATAGAATGAAAAACCGAAAGGGTAAAACTCCAGTAGGCTTGTTCACTTCAATAGGTAATGGTGGCATGTGTGTGTATGCATGTGTGTGTGTGTTTTAAGTCTTAGTTTGCATTATCCAAAATTATCTGTTTTTTATCTTTGCATAACTAAAACACATTTGTCTTTTCCACACTTTTTTTTTCCTAAATTGGAAATCAGACACAAGAAAAAAATATAAACACTGTCCACTGCGTACTTTATTTAAGGGAGGTCCTGTTGTTTTACAGTTACTCTCAGCCTCCCAAACATAACATTAACAATGTTTGATACTAATAATTTTTCACAATGCTGGAAAGTTTAACCAACTAAGGCAAATACAAATAAAAATACCTGTGAAATTACTGAATCTATGTAACAAAACTAGTTTCATTAATGCTCTTTTGGATCTAATTGGCAGCTTAATGATTGAACCATTGACTTTTAAGGCTATCAATAAGATCAGAGACCAGTTTATCTAAACAATTTTAAATATTTCATCATTCTTTCTGATGGATTCCTTTCTTCTCCTTCCTCTCTCACCGCCTTTATTTCATGCCCCCATTGTTTTTCCCTGATTCTTCATCAGATCTCAGCTGCTGCCCCAGTGCTCCACCAGGCTAGCCTCTCCTCAACTGCCAAAATTGTCTTCTTTACTCATTACTTTGCCCATACCTCTTATCTTATCCCCTGGTGACTTTACAATGTCCTGCATATTGCAAACATCTTCTCACACTCAGCTTCAGAAGGATCTAAGAGAGAGCACCAGACATCCTCCTTCAAAGTCTCAATACATGCCTAAATCTCCTGTCACCCAAGTCTCTTCAAAGTCCCTCTTATTATAGTTAGTAAAGCTCTTGTCTTTGTTTCTGGGCTTTTCCCAAAGTACCACTTACTACTAGGAACTCCCTTTTCTCCCAGAATGCCTATATGTGATTTCTCCAGCATGACAGCCTCAGGGCAGTGAATCCTCTTACATGGCAGCTCAGAGTTCTTGGACAGAGTGTTTCAAGAGGCTCAAGTGGAAGCCACAGGGTTTATTAGGACCTAGACTTGGACTTTCCAGAGCATCACTGCTGCAGCCTCTACTGGTTAAGCAAATCACTCAGACCAACTAAGAATAAAGGTGGAGGAAATTAGACTCTACTTCTGGCTGAAAAGAATTGCAAAGAATTTGTAGCCATTATTTTTATTTTATTTAAAATATCTTATTATTAAGATAAGTTTTGTCTCTTCTAAATTATAATATCCAAAAGTAACAGGATAAATTACAATTTGACATTTGATAAATTATTTTAAATTACAAAAATAATTTTTCTGATTTTAGCAGATATATTGAAAATAAATAAATGTATACATAAAATACATATTCACACAATAAAATATGCAAACTTTTGAAAAAGTACCATTTAATACTTTCACATAACATGCTCAGCACATTTTTTTAATTTTAAGCTAAAGAGACTATGATCTTCTTGAGAACAGTGTATATTTCATTTTTATATCCCTAGCAACTCTCTCAGAGCTTGGTACATGGTATCTTCTCAATAAATGTTTGTTAAATTGAATTGAATTAGTCCTGGATTTTGAGGTTGACGTAGCCAATTTATTGACTTCTCTGAATGTGTTGTGAAGGAGAAGAAAATATAGCAAGAAAATCCAGCCTCATCAAGGGAGAATCTAATAGTAGCAAGTGGTATACATACCAGTTAATATGGTTCCAGGAAACACAGGTGATGGTGTTAGTAAATCTTTCTTCATGCAGTAGAATGTTCAAGAGATCGTCCAGTTAACATAAGCTCATGTCTAAATTACTGCAAGAACTGGATAGCAAATATTTTGGATTACTTCTGATAAGGTTTGGTTATTTTGTAGGAAAGGGGAGTAAATAAAAGAATTCTATGAGGCCTATTTGTCTTTAGAGAAAAAACAAGCTAACAAAGAGTCAATTGTAAGAGTTGACATAATTTTTTTCCAATTCACAGCTTTTAATATGCCAAAGTAAATTAAAACATCCTTTTAATCTTGGATGGAATTTGCTTCTTAAAGCTATGATCTTGTGTTTCTTTGTTAATTTCATATTTAAAAAATTCTTGGCCCATAAACTTGTTTTATAAGCAGAGCCACCATTGTTCATTGTGTAATTTGAGAATCTCTGGGGCTATCCTCTTGCCATCTCACTGATTCCAGAGTTTTGATTAGAAGGGTGGGCATATTTTGTAATTTGTTTTTATCCTGAGGCAATTTTATGAGATTTCACATTATAGTACTTCTTAAGTTTAATTCTATTTTTTCTGCATGTATTAGAAAAAAAAAATCACCTCTTACTTCCAAAAATCCTATCTACTTATTATACTTGTTTGTCTGTGTTGTTAGAATAATTTATTTAAAAATTCTTTTAAGCAATCATTAGATTTTATATCATATCTTTCCATTTTATTAATATTAGTTGACAATACTTGGTTAAAGCCAATTTAAAGAACTGAAGTACAAATTATTGCTATAGGTTTCCATGACATACTTTCCAAAGACTTTTCTGTTCCTGGTGTGCAGACTTGAAAACTAAGGCATAAGATACTGGAATAACTCACCAAGGTCATCTATGAGAATAGCCGACCTGGAGAGATTATTACCATCCCGTGATTCATTCTATCTCTTTCTAGTTCTGATATCCACCTTTAAATATCTTTTTCAACATGAATAAATTGTCAGCTTCTTATATTTAAAACCATACACTATAGACTTCCCATTGGAGACTCACAATTTTACTGGCAATGTGTTTTAATTGCTAGCTATTTTCATATTCCTTGTATTTATTTTCTTATTGTTAAATTATTCCTTTGCATATATACACACAAATTTCACATATATGTGGATTTTTTTTCCCAATTTCTCAGCTCTTGTTCTCCCACTCTCACTTTCTAAAAACTTGCAAATAACTTAGTTTTCTGCTGATTCTTTCCTTCCATTGGGCAACCTTTTTATTTCAATGTTTTTGAAGTAATGCAGTAAAAAAAAAAAAAATGGCTGCCTTTTGTTTACTTCCTTGTACATTAGCATGGGTGACATGATCAAATATATTAACTAGGATGTACATATCTTAAGAACCCAGAAGTATACTATAAGCCCTTTTCTTTTAATGCCCCAAAGTTTTGCAGCTTTAGCATAGCTCTAATGCTGTGCTAAAAATGAACATGAACATTTTGGGACAAATGCATTAAAATGGTGGTATCTAAAACATATATGAATATTTCTTTCAATGTTAAGAAAAACCCATCAAAAGGTATTTATTTAAGTCATAAACATTTATTTAAGTCATAAACATTCTAGATCAATGCTAACCCTACAAATAATATCATAAAGAAAGGTATTAACTCATTGTATTTAAAAGCTAAGCTACTTAACCATACTTACCTATTCTGGTTTTAAATTATTTTTAAAACTTTCAATTGACACACAAAAAATTTTGAGTTATAATATTTTTTGCCCCAAAAGAATTTCTTACTAATGGAAGGCTTAAGCAAATATACATATATATGTATATTCACTTTTTAATTACTGAATTATTTATAAGTGCCGTTAAGTTACTATATATCTAACTACTCAGAAAATTTATTTTCTCATCTGTATTTATAGTGCTTCTGACTTTTCCTTCTGTGTGTGTTCTTTGTTGCACTTCGCATGTATTTGTCATAAGATTTTCACTGAGACTTAAAAGTAACAAGCTTTCAAACATCATTTTAATTTAGACAGTCATTAAAGAGATAAGAAATCGATGTTTTAAAATAAGTTCCAATAACTAAATAGTTCTGTATTTGGAAATCCAAATTCCATTTTCAGTTTTTAAGAAATAATTTTATATATTTAAAAAAATTTTTAGAAAGGCAATCTGACTACACACACATACACACACATATTTGTATATATATTAATGTAATATTTGTGTGGTGGAAAATTCCTGTAAATGTTGGATAGTTTTCCCTGAAACTACTTGTTAACATTGAAATCAGATAAGGTAAATCATATGTTTTATTGAGGTAAGCTGTCTAAAATAAGTTACCGCAATTTTAAAAATTAATAAAAACCATATGTCCTTTAGAACTTAAATTGAAATCTGCATTGTTCCTTTAAGTCAGCTGTTCTAGGAATGTGTCATCTTTTGAAAAGATAAATTAATCATCTACTTCATCTATATACATTAATAAAAAAGATTCACCTTCTCATCTACTTTATCAAAAGTAATTAGTATATCTATTTTTATTCACATATAGTATCTTTTAGTGATTGAGATTTTAATTGAGGATATTTTGAAGGAAACAGCAATTATCTTTTTACAAAAAACAAAACACCAAGAAAAAGAAATGCCAGCAATCTAATGGTTAAAACATATTGCCAAATCATTCAGTAGCGCAAGGCTCTTTAATAACATTTGTACAAAAGTACTTTCAGAAAATATGAGATAGGAAATGGCTTTTTGCAAGTTCTCCTTCCTTAAATTATTATTCAACCTCTTATTAAAATAAAATCTAGTTAACTTCTTTTGGAGCTTGCTCAAACATTTTCTATAATAAAAAAAAATCTTGTGAAGGGATTTCCATAAGTTGTGCTGCATTAATGACTTAGAGCAGCTTCCTTATCTGTTATTCCTTCCTCCTAGTAGACCTCAGATGATAAAAATATCCATAGACACAGTGAAGTCAGTGGCACGCCTGGCTCTCTCAGACAAAACTCCATGTGATCACATATAGGCAGCCTCAGTGAGGCTGATGCCGTGCAGCAAGCAGTAGGTAATGAGTCTTTGTGCAGAGTGAAGCTCTTGTTGCTGAACAATAAAGCATATGGTACAAGCAATAAAACACAGGGCTGGGAAATTTAAGAAGATTCCTCTGAACCAGGAAGAACTGTGTCTTCGGTGATGCTGACACATATGATAAAATGATCATTTATTTTGGATCCTAATGAATAAAGAGTGCAAGGACTAAGACTACAGTTATTTGAACAGGTTGGTGATTTTATAAATTACTCCAACACTTCCTTGTGTTTGACTGGATTTAAATTAGAATGGGCTGGTGTGTTTTGCCTTAAACAAAAACTTTGCAAGATATTTGTAGTGTATAATATTAAGGATGCACTTGAATTGACCCAATGCGATTAAATTGTCGATGTAGTCAGATGTGACAGAGAAATGTTGATATCATTATATTAAACTGAAAAGTTATTTAGTCTATTTTAAAAATTTATGGGTAAGAAATAAATTCATCCAATAATTTTTAATCTCCTGTGTATGCAGAAATAATATAAAAGAGAATACTACTGACAAATAGTTCACATAAAAAGCTTCAAAATTATTTTTCCAGTGTTAAAACAATCTGTATTGCAATAGTTTACATGTCTTATAAATTAGATAATATATCATTCAAAATTTGTTGATGTGTGTTAGTATACTGCAAAAGGAAGGTTTGGAATATTTAATTATTTGAATTAAAAAATTTAAAAACAAGGAAATTTTGAAATGTAAATAACACTATTAGAACAATGTATTTTATACTTTAGTAACACATATCTGTATTTATTTGTTGTGTGCTTTTAATTTTTCATGTTATATTTCTTTTGACACATGAAAAAGATTATTGCACAAAACCTTTTATTTTATAAATATTATTCATTGATATTTAGAGAAAAACAAATTTGCTTAATTTTTAAGAGAAGAGATTATTTGATGATGCATATTTTCATTGGCTTACCATTTAGAAAGATTATGTGTCTTTATGTATATTTATAAAATATGTACACACATGACTTTTTCTATGTAGAAAATAACCACTTCTTCCATTTATGAGCAATAGAGAAGTTTATGTTTCAAATAGAGAGATTGTTGTGTGTAGAAAAATAAGGGAAGAAATAACTAGCAAATAATAGCACAACACTGAATATCTTTGCCAAAGACAGACAAGCATTGCTGCTATATGAATCTTTAGATTTAAATACATAGTTTAACTTTGCTCTACATTTTGACTGCTGTATTGTTTTAAAGGCATCCTGGGACCTAAATTCTTTACAATTAATTTTTGGACACCACTTAGGATGATAGTCTCTAAGACACTTGGGCACATTTAACATTTTACAGAATTACTATAGTGACCTCATGTATTTGTGTAGTGACTAATATAAATTTACGCCTGTAAGATGCTGTTTAAACCACAGCAACAAAAAGAAATACCCCATGTGCCTGATTATACGTGCAATATGTATTTGAATTTAAAAAAAAAGCTGTGTTTCAAAAACAAGGGAAGTTAATGAAAATTTAAAATTGGCCTTCCACACGTATTTAAATGAAGCATTTGACTATTTGGGTTTCCTTGGTTACCATAGTCGCTGCTGACAGCTTCTCTTGGTGGGGAGGGAGTAAGCAGTGAGAATAGGACTCTAAAACAAAGCGTTAAAATCGTTTATCCATTAATAGACACAGGGAAATGTGATGCTGACAGCCCAGTAAAACCCGTGCCCACTCCCCATCCTGTATTCCTGCTCTCCCGTGATTCAGGTAGCCTGGCAGAACCGCAGTTCCACAATTCCTTACCCAGCATTCCGTTTCAGCTGCTGGAGGACTGCCTGAGCCTTATGCAAATGAGACCAGCTCGGAGGCTTTGACTGCAGAAGCGAGAGGAGGGGGCAGAAGGGAGTTCAAAGGTCACAGGGCTGGTGGAAAGCTGGATCAGTTGCCTGAAAAAAATGTACTGGGGTTCTCTGCAGCAGTGTTTTGCAGCAGTTAAATGAAGTGTGCTTTATTTCTGAGAGTGAAGATTTTACAGCGTGTGTGCCGTAGTCGTTATATAGTGCACGCAGGTATGGTGACATTTCATGATGCGCCTGATTTTATTTCTATTAAAGACACTGATGGGCATTGGCTATTTTAATTCATCGTGGCAATTGGCAGGGTGTTCCTGGTTTTCAGGATTCCCTTAACTAGTTTATTTTTTTAATTTTCTTCTTCGTATTTCTCTACTTGAAACATGGGTGTTTTGTTCCAATAGAATAATTTCATGTGAGAAAAAACTGGGTTTAGGCTTCTAAATAATTCCATTTCGGGGGTAAGTTCTTTATTGAAGAGAGATCTCTGAGCTGAAACATCTAGAAAAATATTGAGGCTTACAACTTTTAGAGGATTTTCACATTTTTTAAAGAAATGTATTTAAAATAAGATCCGAGTTCCTAGCCTAAGATTATTGTGATGTATCTGGTATTAAATAATGGAGTTCTTTTGTTCATATCTCACACAATCGCATAAGGACAATTTTAATAAGTATATTTTCATTCCATTTGAAGGGTTTTGGTTTTGAGGGTTTTTGTTCTATATTTTATTGCCAAATATCTTCTCAGAGCAATAATTTCTTCTATTGGGGCTAGATCCTTTAAACCTTTCTTTGATTTTTCTAATTGTTATAAATTCTCTTTGGGACTTTTTGGATAATGCTATTTGAATTTAACGTGTTCAACTTCCTATGACTTTTCCTTTCAGTTAAGTCTGCATTGTAAAGGGATCCTTATAAATGTCACAGACAGGACAAAAGTCTTCTTTCCATGCACGAAATATCACACTTTTGTAAAATGTGTGATTACATCATAGGAAAGTCTGTCCTGCACCAAATAAATGTGTACTCACTTTTATTGTTCATATTTTTTTATTTCTAAAACATATTTTCAAACAAACTTAATTAAAACAGTACAATCAAACTGTTTATTCCTATCATTAAAGCACTTAAGTATATCAATTCAGCAGTTACAATGTTGATTAAAAAATGTTATTTTCATTTGCATCAACTGTGCATCTGTCTATTACAGGTTGTATGTGTATGAAAATATGTTGGAAAAGATGAAGAGGCAAAAATAGCTTTTAGCCATGAAATGACTGCTTTATGTTTTTATATTTGCATAAGATATTTAAAAATGAATTTTATGAAGCTTACATACAAAGAGCTAGTACATATTTAGTTAAACTTAATTACTTTCTTTGCCCTGAAAAGAGGGAGTTAATTTTATTATAATGATTAAGATGAGGTATTTTGGCAACAATATGTTTTATTGTAAAATAGAGGGGGGATTGAGGAGGAACCACAACAGGAGGATAGCTATTTAAAACAGTGAAGGACAATTATTTCAAATATTTATGAAATTCACTTAGTGGTTATTCAGGGCCAGATTCTCACCCTTTATCACTCTATGGGGACATTATGACATTTATCCAGGATCCTGAGACTAATTTAGGAAAAGGAATTCATGTTTTGTATGAGCTTTTAAAAAATTCAAAAACTGACATTTTCTTCTAAAGTGTTTCTCTTTTGAAACTTTCAATAATGACTTTAGGTAAAAGGGTTATTTTTTAAATTAGCTATTTTCTTTTTATGTTGGTCAGAATATGCTGTCCTCTGGTCCAAACAATATTTATAGGCTTTGCTTTTATACCTATATATAGATATATAATTGTTTTTTATATATGTATAAAACAATAAATATATACATATAATTGTTTTATATATGCATAAAACAATATATATATACACACACATATGTGTAACAATATATGTATGTTATACATATTATTGCATATATTATGTATATACACACACACACACATATATATATTTCAAGCAGCCAAAGAAAATATTTTCAGTGGTAAATCATATTTAATTCAACAATTTTTTCTTAAAATGTTTAATTTTATATTTAATTCAGTAGCGCCTGTAGTTTGTGTCTACTAATCCCTGCGTGTGTTTTAGGCAGAGAGGGAGAAAAGAACCAAGTTTAACATTCATTTAGGTAGTCCAGTACTTTTAACTTTGTAAATGCAACTGCTACCACAGAGCATGTTCTGAATATGGAAATAAAAACAGTGTGGGCAAAGAAGGAAAGCCCATGAAGATTCTTGGAGAAAACGTGATAATAGACAAATGTGAAATAAAGAGAATTGTTGTGATTCTGTGAGCCACAAGAGAGCTATATATGTCCTGCAGCTAATTTATGGCTTTGAATATCCTGGATAATTTATGTCTCTATGCAGATTCACTCAAAACTTTGAAGTCTTTTGCAATAGCTCGAGCCATACTACTTCCATACAAATCTCAGCAGCATATACACAGTAAGTCTGTGGTCTGAATATCTAAACGTATATAGAAAAAATGCATTTGTGTAAATACAATTCAAATCAAATTTGAGAAGTAAAAGAATAAATAGAGTGATCTAAAAACAAATCTTTAGGGATATGTACTTAGTCTACTTAAAGAGATAGTGTTATATCAGACTTCAAAGGAATCTTTGAGGATTTTTCAAAAATGAATTTCCTGCTCTTTGATTACCAGTCTGTCTTTGTCATCACTTGAAACTAGAGACCATATTGTAGGCTTGGAAAAGATTTCAGGGCAAACATGTTCTACTCAGTCTAGCAGTGTGGAACATAGTCTAAAATCTACAAATAACTGTTGTCATCTCAAAATCACATGTGTAGGTTTTAAGTTTTATTATTGCTATATTTGTTCTCCTGAAATTCTGGAGCCTATGAAATAGAAAAAAAAAAACAAAACTAAATTACTGAAACATGTAGAAGGAAAATGCTCAAAATAATTGAGTATTCAAAACAATCACATTTCTCTATTTTAATATAATATTTTAAAAGAAAACAAAACAATTGTCTTTTTATTGCCTATTCTAGAATTTACATAAAATTCCATCAATTTTATTAAAAATTATAAGAACAATAAAATTGTAAAATGATTTTAAAGATCTTATTAGACCTATAGTAATGCTATAGTAATACCTTGTCTAGTAGAGTTGGAAAATAATCTGTATGATATAAACTGATTTTCCAAGTAGCTAAAGTTTATGACTATAAAGGCCAGTTCTTAAAAATGCCAATAGCTGTCATGAAACAAAAATATAGTACACATCATACTGCCTTATAGAGCAAGGTGAAAGTCAGTTTAGGTTTTTTTTCATGACATAATAATTATTAGTCCAACCATGATATTCACTTACTGCAAAAGACAAAACTATTCCCAACTGTTCTCCAACACCAAATAGCCTCTTACTATTATATACTTTTATATATAATTTTATATGCTTTTTATAATTTTATTGTCTTTTTTAAATGTTAATATGTATTATTTTTAACATAGTTAATAATTGTCCTTTGAGAGCAATTCAGAAATCAATTTTGAACTTTGCTTTACATTCAATTCTAAATCACTTTGACTTTCCTGGACAGAGAAAGAGAGAAACCTTTCTCCATATTTCTCGTACGTACTGAACTCCTGACAGATACATACATATAGTATAGGAACACACAAAATAAGCAAAATTTATTTTTAGTTTGTCTTGTGTTCAGAATGTTGAAAATCATTTGAATTCCAAATAAATGAAAATTTTCTTTTGTTAGTACAATGAGAATCTATAATATTAAACTATCAACAGAAATTTGAACTTACTTTATATCAAATAGGAAAATGAGGAGTCTCTAACAGGTATACAAAAGAAAACACAGAGACCAATTTTTTGGTTGCATTTGACTAATCATTGGTGCCATATACTTCTTGCCAATTTGGGGACTTGTGGTCCATCTCATTTTCAAATCCTGGCATTAAATTTACCATCTTTCACCACAATGCTAGATGGGAAGAATTTTTGCTTGCTCAATTCTTTATCTCCATGCAAGCTTATGAATCCACATATTCATTTAGAAATGCATTTAGCCACATGTGTTCATGCTCATGTCTTACACTCTCCCTAATCATAAATAAGGAAAGTAAGACAGCTGAATCGTCAACCACCATTTCTTTGAAATCTCACTAATATAATATGTTAAGATACACAAAGCAGCTAATACCATTTTAGTAGGTGTTCTCATATACTGTGAAGAACTTGATCTAAAGGACTGTTGGTTCCATGAACCTAGTATCAAAAGACTCTGTAAGAATGAGATCTAGTCCAACATATTTGGAGAATAGCTTATCATTCTGGTCCTCTTTTGCACACTAGCATATTAAAAGGCCTGAGGATTCTTACTTTAACAAACCTGGGTAACTTTATTTAATACAATAAAACCTTATAAATTTAGGTCAATTTATGAACAAAGGAAAAAAAAACAGAAAAATATTGTATATTGTTTTCTTGATAGAAAAAGCTTTTATTGTGTTGTATATTATATGTGATTTCAAGCTATATCGTGGAATGTGAAGAGGCTGAATAAGGGAATGGTTAAGAACTTAAGTTCAAGTCCCAACTCCGGAGTTGTTTACACAATGTACTCTGACATTTACAAGCCATGTAGCCTTGACATGGTACTTAAAACCTGTAAGCCTCATCTTCTTCATTGGGAAAGTGGTAATATTAGTCTCTATATCAAGGGATTTTTATGAAAGGGGAATGACATGATACATACCTGGCACATAATAGGAATATTATAGATGATAGCTAATATTAACATTTTTCAGCCCACACAAGTTGATTCCCTGGTGCTGATGAGGCAAGTTCAGCTTAAACTTATAGTTACAGAAAATCCTCATGGAACATCTTAGGTGTCAATGGATGAGGAAAAGATGTGTTTTCCAAAAATAGAAACCTGCCAGGATTTTATTGGAGGTTATCCTAGGTAATACTGAGCAGTTAATGGTTAGAATTTGAATGGGACAAGTAGAGAAAGCAATCAGCCTGGTCATCAAGGTTCAAACCATATGTGGCTAAATAGATATGTACCTTGAATCATTCCAACTAGAAGTACGGTCTCCACAAAATCCCCAGGTATGATGTGGCAATATGTGCTTTTCTGAGCTCCCTTTTTTTATATCCTTTAAGGCTTTTCAAATTTCCATCTTTGTACCTCTGCTCTACTATTTTTCCATTCTGACTTTATGCAATTAAGGCAGTAGTTATTCATCTCTGCTCCATCCAGAGTTTCTATCTCATCTATAGACTATAAGTTCTTCAATTACAAGGGGAGCCTGGCACATAGAAAGTGTCCAAGAAATGTTTGCTGAGCCAATGTTACTATGGGGCATAAAGCACCTAATTATACCTAATGACATAAAGGTGCTAATTTGTGTGAATCATGAAGTGATCACTTTGTTACAAATTAATTGCTATTTTAAACTTCCTGAATATCATATTGGTGTTTAGAAATATTGAATCAATTGATTTAGTCGCAACGTTTTCCAAAAGAAATTTAGAAAAATATATCTACATTTTTACTTAAAAATTATTTTAATAGTAGCATACCTAGAAGTGCTTTTTGGTAAATATACATTAGTAACCAGTTCAGAGTAGATTGCAGGAATATCATGACTCTACTTTTTTTTTTTTTTTTTTTTTTTTTGAGACAGAGTCTCACTCTGTCGCCCAGGCTGGAGTGCAATGGCGTAATCTCGGCTCACCGCAAGCTCCACCTCCCGGGTTCACGCCATTCTCCTGCCTCAGCCTCCTGAGTGGCTGGGACTACAGGCGCCTGCCACCACGCCTGGCTAATTTTTTGTATTTTTAGTAGAGACAGGGTTTCACCACGTTAGCCAGGATGGTCTCGATCTCCTGACCTCGTGATCCGCCTGACTCTACTTTTGTGAAACTTGTTTAAAGGGTGAATCTCCTCTAAACAGTGAATGTCCAAGTTTCAAAAGATTGTATGACTATGGTGCAACTTATTTCTATTGTGAACAAGTTTTACATTTCCGTAGAACATTTACTGAGACTTGAAAGTCCAGGTAATTTTACACTATATATTATTTTTTTACTAATTGCTGCTTAATGCAAAGTCAGCTTCAGGCTTAACAACTATTGTTGCCTGTCCCTGCCTTAAATAGTAAAAATCTATATTGTGCCTAAGGTGGTGATTTACTTTGAAGAATGTCCAAAGTATTTTTTTCTACTTGTTGTAATTTTAAAAATCTCCTTTATTTTTTGTGCAGTATCTTTGGCAGGATCCCAGTGCTTGGATGGGTATAGTTCTAAAGCTTGCCCATATTTTATTCTGATGTCTATTTTAATGTACTTTATGGGGAAAATGTTTTTTTAAAGTCCCTTTTCCTTCACACTATTCAGATGATTCCTCTAAAGGAAAAGGATATCATTATCTTAAATAGCCTTTGATTTACATTGCCTCATCTGTTTTGTTATTCAATCAGAAACTTTCTAAAGGACAAAGGGAAACTTTTTAAGTGCTAAGAAGAAACAAAAAATGCTATCTTCCAGTGATGCAATAATAATAATTTTTAATTCTTTTAGATCCATGTGTGTTTTGTTTTTTTTTTCCTCAATGTGGTAAGTCTTGCAAATTGTCCAAGGAATTAGGCTAAGTACTATTCTTTAGTCTTAATTGCAAGCATGTAAAATAAATTTTTCATTAACTTCACTTGGTACTTTTGTTGTTATGGAGGGAAAAGTAGGCTTACACTAGGCACTTGATCAAATTTCAACAGTTTTAAAAGCCGTATCGTGTTCTTGGTTGTTTCCTCTGTTTTTGATAACTAAAACACCATCTTAAAAGTTAACCTTAGGGAAGAACTTTTGACTTTCAAACTAGTGTATTCCACTATACCATTTTGCCAAATGCCAAATGATGATCAATGTTTAGGGCCAAGAGGCATTCAAAACCAAGTTCTGGCCATCTTGTATGAATACTAATCACAATGGCACACAAGTGCAGGTAACATGGAAAGCTTCCTGAGTACCTCCCAGCCAGAGAGAGTCATGGAAAACCTCTTTGTAATTATTAGTAAATGGAATAGCCGTCCCTCTCTTTGTCAGCAGGACATAAGTCAATTTAGCCATTGGGGTGAAGGAAGTGGGTATGAACAATTTAGAGGCATCAGTCTTTGCATAGAGGTCATGGCTTTTGTCATTTATTCTCAGATAGTGGGGTCTGCTTTGTATCAGAGCCTATGTTTTACTAGTTATGCCCTGCCCACCCCTCCCACCCCCACCTTTTTTTGAGACAGAGTCTCACTCTGTCACCCAGGCTGGAGTACAGTGGCGCTATCTCAGCTCACTGCAATCTCTGCCTCCTGGGTTCAAGCGAATCTCCTGCCTCAGCCTCCCGAGTAGCTGGGATTACAAGAATGCATCACCATGCCCAGCTAATTTTTGTATTTTTAGTAGAGATGGGGTTTCACCATGTTGGCCAGGCTGGTCTCGAACTACCGACCTCAGGCAATCCGCCCACCTCTGCCTCCCAAAGTGCTAGGATTACAGGCATGAGCCACTGCGCCTGGCCCCCTTCTTTTGATAGAAGTGCAAACTGAGACCCAGAGAAATAATCTTCCTACTTAAAATTATGCCACTTGTTAGTAGCTGGTCCAGGATTCAGACTCCAAATTTATGTCTATTCATTTACTGAGCAGGCACTGGAATACCTATTCAGTCTCCACAAAGTGTTTTATAATCAAGTTTGAGAAAAACATTGGGTTGAACGGGGATTATAATACAGTCTAATAAGTACTGATAAATGCATAGACCAGGTGGTGTTAATGCAGAGAAGCCACTTAACCACAGTGTGCTACTGGTCAAAGAATATTTTTCAGAGAAGGACTGGGTCAGCCATAAACCTTGAGCAAGTGATCTAGACTTCTGAAACTTCAGTTTCCTTTGTTAAAACTACCTTGTAGAATGTGGTGGAAGGTTACAGAGAACGGTTACAAAGCATCTGGCCCATAGTAGGTGCTCACTAAATGCTAACTGGAGTTATTATAAATGGAATGAGGCTATCTAACCACCTTTTAGGAAAGACAGGTACTGTCTAGGAAAGTGTACCTTAACCTAGAACCATTCCTGTCAAGTATTCCTCAAGCCACAAAGTTGCAGATGAGGCCAGTTTTGGGTGGTTTTTTGAGTAGTATGTGGCAGCCAAGACGACAGTGAAGAAATCCCCTGGAAATGTCTCCAGCAAATGCAGTAGGTCCTTTGGCACAAATGCCGGAAGAAACTGAAGGAGCTGGAAAGAGCCCTGTCCTAGGAAGTGGGTGACCCTGACGGTAAAAGGAATGTTGGCAACAGATTTATAAACTTCTTTTTTACTTTGAAATAATGTGTTCCCAGTGAATCATCTTTCCAAGTTCTGGATACCCACCAAAGCTGGGGAAATGGTACAATCACCAGAGCAGAGGTTTTTATCCTGGGAGTCCATAATAAATGGCATGCATTTCTGCTATGTGCACTTTTTTCTGGGGAAAGTGTTCATTTCTTAATCAAATTCTCAAACTGCAAATCATCAAACTGCGGAAATGTTGTGATCTACCGCATATAAAGTAACTCAGTCCTTTAATTCAAGGTCACAAACAATTCTGGCATAAAGAATTCATACATAATTTGGGAGCCCCACAATTATTATTTCTCCAACAAAAATATTTATTAGCCAGGAGTGCTCCCAGGGTTCTTGGCTTAAGCAGACACTTGGACAAGTGAAGTACATTTGGCCAACTTGTGCTTCTCACATTGGCAAGCCACCAGCAGCATTTTTCACATTGGTAGTGCCCCATGGAAACACCTTGTGGGATTTTACCTTGTAAACTCATTGCCAGATTCCTCCTGTTTTGGCGGCAGATATGCTAATTTCTTGCCAAATGGGTTTAGGCAGAAATGACTCTAGTATTGCAGAAATATATATCCTTTTTTTTCTTTTAGAAAAATGCATAACTATTCTCAAAATGTATGAAGTGATAAATGTTCAAGGCACTTTTTGCTTACTCAGGGGTAATTGTTTGAATGACCTAAAAGTCATGCCTTCCAACAAACAATTACATTCAATATGGCTTTGAAAGGAGCATCCCCCAACATGCATGTGCACTTTTTTAAAAGTTAAAAATATTATGCATTGTAGTTACCATCTGTGATTTGCTGGAAAAGACCCCAGTGGGAGGAAGCATAGTATAGATGTATTGACTTCTAATCCTGCTTGCTAAGAAACTTTGACAAAGTAGTTAATCTCTCTGCAACTTGGTTTCTTTAACTGTAAAATGAGGGTAACATGGCAAGATTGTTGTAAAGATTCAGTAAGATAAAGATTGTAAAGTAACTGGCACATAGTAGATCTATTTAAGTCCTCTTCCTCTTCCCATATCTCTTTACATAATGGTCTCCTGCCTTGCACTTCCCCGGTCTTCATGTTTTACACTAGTAAATAATAATAAGAAGAAGTATGTCATAAATGACAGTAAGTTAAACGTTGGGAACAAATAATAGAACAAATTAAACAAACACAAGCATGTACAACTGTTACAGGAAAGGGGTCCCTATCCAGACTCCAAGAGAGGGTTCTTGGATCTCACACAAGAAGGAATTCAGGGTGAGTCCACAGTGCAAAGCAAAAGAAAGTAAAGTGGTGAAAGAATAGCTACTCATAGACAGGGTAGGGCTTCCGAAAGTAAGAGGAGGAACGCGTCCACCTTAGGTACAATGCTTGTATAAATAGGATGAACAAAAAGATCATGGGGAGATGTGCTCTGTTACAAGGGTTTGTGATAAAGGATTAATTTTCTTAATTACTATGTTTTTCATGAATCAATATTATTATCTTTAAAGCAAAATTAGGAATGCTTTTGTTCTTAAGATGTCAGGATATTAGGACACTCCCAACTCTGAGTCTATTTAGTAAACATTATCAATCTGTTCCCTTAACTGTAAACACCTAGAGGCTACGAATACCTAGCTTTCTGGGAATGCAGCCCAGCAAGTCCCAGCCTCATTTTTCTAGCCCTCACTCAAGATGGGGTCGCTCTGCTTTGAACCCCTCCGACACAACTTCTCTGCTGGGTTTGAAGCACCCTTAGGGAAAGCAGCTGAGGCTAGGATCACATGACTGAAACAAAGAGCTAGGTAGTAGCAAAGAGAGGGCCTTCTAAATGACACTTGGAATTTATTTCCATTATGGGTGATGTCAGTGAAATATGATGTCACATAGTACTCAGCTTTGAAGAGATGGCCTTTTTCTTCTATCCCAACTCTACAGGCTCCTGTGCAAAGAATATGAGAGTGCAATGAGTAAGAAGAAAAAGAAAAGGAAGGAAGAGAATTTGCTTAAAGATTAAACAACAAAAAGCTTATAGAATGAGTCAAAAGCCTGCAAAAAATTCAGAGTTGCACTGATTTTATGAAACCTACTAAAGAAGTCATTTCTTTTAGAAGGGCAACTGCTTAAAATGATGATTAGTTTATTTAGCAAAGAGTTTAGACCAGGGATGTCCAATCTTTTGGCTTCCATGGGCCATATTAGAAAAGAAGAATTGTCTTGTGCCACACGTAAAATATACTAACACTAAGGATAGATGATGAGCTAAAACAAAAAACAAAAAAACTCATAATGTTTTAAGAAAGTTTACAAATTTGTGTTGGGCCGCATTCAAAGCTGTCCTGGGCCACATTACAGCCTATGGATCACAGGTTGGACAAGCTTGGTTTAGACTATATTCACTGTTTGATTAACATAATAGTATAAGGACAGAACATTATAGATTACTAAAAATCATGATTTTAAAAAGTTGGGAATGAAAAGGATTTAATTTAAACTAACAGTTAAACATTTGTTCAGGTATTTAGGAACATTTGGTTAACTAAAGCTATTTCTCAAAATTATAAAAGTATCATAGCATAATGTGTTTTTTTTTTTTTTTAACTGAGTTCTCTTTTCTTGAATATTGTAATAAAACCTATATACCATCAATTCAGCCACTGTCCTCTTCATCTTCTATCTGGCCCAGTAGACCATCTGGTTGATAATTTGACGTTGTGAATATTTTTACTTTTGCCAGCTAAGCTCTTCCGACCTGCTATCACAGATGAGCCACTCACAGGTATTATCATCAGCTTGTTTACAATGTCTCTCATGTCACCATTTGAATTTGGTGAAGCAATCAGAAGAAACAGCAAAATTACGTTCCTTTCTGAGTAAAGCTAAAGAAGAAAAGCTTTTCCTATGCAACTCAATCCAGACACTGGTGTTTCTTGGGCCCTCAGCCCATTGCTGATTGAAGCAAGCACCCTTACCTTATTAAGTTCATTAGAATAGAACTTTATCATAGTTTCTTGGTGTTTTGTGCTTGCTGGAAGAATTTACTGGAAGAATGCACAATAGATTATTTTGCACTTTCACAAATCACAAAAAATCCCTCCTCTCATGCCACCTTGTAATGCAAGTTGTTTAACATGCCTGTTGATCTAAAATCTTCCACCTTTGCCAAATTACAAAGGTGGAAGAATCTTTGTTAATGATCCTTGCAGTTAAAAGTTACTCTCACTTTGCTTAAATACAAAATCAGCAATGCAAAGGATAAACCGAATCTCCCAAGTAAAAGTGGACAGAGGGGCTCTTGATGCCTCCTATTGTTCCTGATAGAATACCCCCTAAGGCTCATGCACTACACAGTGTGATGGAATAAGGATCCTACGGATCAGATGAACCCAGGACTCACAGCTCACCTTCCTTTCATTTTCCGGCCAGGAAAGAAATAACATCTCATTAAAGTGAACATCTCATTACCATATAAGAAAATTATTGCCATGCCAGAGTTACTTCCTGTCAAGTTCATTTCTTCCTACATCAGTGGTAGGCAGGCCTGTGCTTAATCTATTAACCATCACTCAGCACTCAAACTTTTTCAGATTGTTTGGTAAATTCATGATTCACCTTTGGTAAATTCATGATTCACCCAAATGACTTTACATGTTTTATTTACTGGGTTTCAAGGGCAGGAATTTTCATGTACGTGGTTCTAATCCAGGTGGATTTTCCTATTTAGATGTTTTGGTTAATTGCACAGTCATTTACTTTCTCACCAAGAGAACGAATGAAGGTTGTCAGATTAACAAAAAACAACAAAAAAGTAGATTTCTCAGTTAAGGTTGAATTTCAGATAAATTTTAGTGTAAGTATGTCCCAAATGTCAATTTTTTTAATCTGAAATTTAAATTTAACTGGGTGTCCCATATTTTTATTTGCTAAATCTGACAACCCTAAGAGGTTCTTCTGCAAATCGTGTTACCTGCTCCTCAGACATGGGGATTTATGGTGTTCTTAAGACATATTTTCTGTGGTCATTTCCTTATGATAGATAACAGAACAGGAAATAGGGGCAAAATATAAGAAGAAAAAAGGATTAAACACTAGATGAATATCAGTGGGATAGTAAGAACTAAATGAGTTATCTATGAAAGCCATGGAATTTTTAGACTGTCAAAAAAGAGTAAAATAAACAAGATTTCAAGATATACCCAAAGGTTCATTTCAGCCATTCTTCCACAGGCATTAAAATGAATGTTTTTATCCGTCCTCTTGATTTGACATTTTTAATCAAACCCTCCACCTAATATGCTTCTGGCTTCTGATATTTTCCCTTTGAACTCACCATTAACTTTGCCTTCCCAATAGGACAGAAATATATTAAATGAAACAATTGTACTTATAATCACAGAAAATCTAGTGTTGTTTCTTTATTAGTTTTTTCTTGCAGACAGAGATGGAAACATTAACAGTTTTCTGCTACTTTTTCATAAATGTGCTCACAGGCTTCTGAGCAATGGTCATATCTAATGTAAATGCTAAACAAATCATATATGTTAGTGAAGAATAACAGATTTCTGAGATCATAACATGCTTATTTAATGTTTTAAAATAAAGTAGTTCTTATTTAAATTTTGCAATAGACAGGGAAGTGTGGGTGCAGGGAAAGGGAAATCCCTGAGAATGTGGCCAAGACGTGAATTCATGGATTATACTGATAAATGCACAAAAAAGATAAATTGGTGACAGATGAGGAAATGATACTGGCTTTGAAATGCAATTGAGTCTCTGGAGTAGTACCCAGCCAGGTGGCCCCCTGTTCACAATGTCTCCCTCTCGGCCTAATGGCCACGTAGTTGAATGATCAAGGGGCAGACACCTGACCCAAGATAGGTCAAAAAGTTGCTCAGCCTTTGGAACATTACAGTTGAACTGTGACACAGAGAGAAGTTGCTGGAGCTTAAATCTGGTAATTGCAGAGCTCCAGAGAAGGAATTTTTATAGCCATAATCCCAGAAGCTGCCCTAGTTCCTGTTTCCTGAGTTTTGGTTTCAAGCTGTATCGTAGATTGCATGAACTAGTCCAGTGTTTTCCCAACAGAAGTCTTTTGCTTAAGTTAGTCTAGAGTTGGCTTTTGTGTTGCTTGTGAGCAAAAAAAAATTGTATGATGCTTTGGGCTCAGTTTCATTTCTCATTTTCATTCTCATTCAACCAAATATGTTGTTAGGGGAGTTAGAGTGGTAAATGAGATGAATAGGATTTCTGACTTCATGGAGCTTTCAGTCTAGCAGAAAAAAACGGATATTAAATTATGGAAATTAAAGGCTTATATTAATTCACTGAACAAATATGTATTGAGGCACCTATTATATACAAGGCATTGTTCTAGGCACTTGAAACATTTGTAAAGAAACAAAGATCCCTGCTCTTGTATTTTTTTATCAGGAGATGAAAACAGTAAGTAATAAGCATAGAAATACATAAATAAATAATACGGATTTAGAAGGTGGTAAATGCTATGAAAATAAATTAAAAAGTAGATCAGAAGGAATGGTATATCAAATGTCCTAAAGACAGAGAGAAATTGCAAGTTGGAGTAACTGCAAGATTATTAGAGCTGAAATATCAATGACAAGGCCAGTGGCTCAAATGAGGATGAAGAGGTTAGACAAGCTAGATTGTTAAGGACTTTATAAGCCATCTTGAGGATTTTGAACTTTATCCTAAGGCAATCTGAAGCTACTTAAGAGTTTTAAGCCATAGACTGACATGATCAGATTTGCATTTTAAATTTATCATTCTGCCTGCAACCTTGAAAACGCATTGAAAGCTAGCAGCAGTGGATGCGAGAGAATAATTGGGAGGCCCTTGGCCTAGTCTAAGTGAGAAATGGTGGTGCCCTTGACTAGCATGTGTTTCATGAATTGGACAACGATAGCTGTGATAAAATGGCTGTTTTCTACACTTAGACTTTCAGCTCTTCATATTTAGAATAGATTAATGCCTGTCCAACTTTACCTCTGTTCTTTGGGCTTTGGTGCTATAAAAGCCAACTTTAGGGCCAGGCGTGGTGGCTGATGGCTGCAATCCCAGCACTCTGGGGGGTCGAGGTGAGAGGGTTGCTTGAGGCCAGGTGTTGGAGACCAGCCTGGGCAACATAGCAAGGCCCTATCTCTACAAAAAATTTTTTGAAAACTTAGGTGGGCATGGTGGTGGTGAATGCTTGTAGTTTCAGCTACTGGTGAGGCAGAGGTGGGAGGATCCCTTGAGCTCAGGAGGTTGAGGCTACAGTGAGCCATGATCATGCCACTGCACTCCAGACTAGGCGACAGAAACCCTGTCTCAAAACTAACAAATAAAAATAAATAAATTAAATAAAGCCAATTTGTAATGTTTGGCACATTTTCATTTGCTGTATACTACCAAGTTTAATTTGGCCTCATCTTTAGGAACAAAAATATAATATGTAGGTATTTAAGGAGTACAGCAGCTAAGGGATAGGTATTAATTATCCTCACCTGGCTCTGTATCTAGTCAGTCATACATTGCAATCCTCCAACACAGTATAAACAAATCGGGTATACAACACTTTATTAATAGGGCCTTCTCACTAAATCCTTATATTCTTTTCTTTCCTAGAAAGATAATGTAGGTGATATAGAAGAAAACCACATCTCCCTTTAACACTCCTCTATTAAGTCTAGATTAAGGGTTACATACTGGTAAACAATGGACCATTTGGCCTTCAAATTTTGTTGTGACATTTTGTTATAGTCACATAGGGAATATTTTTTAAAGGCAATGAAATTGGACAGGTATTCTACTTCATTGCTACACAAAGCAATTTTGTACTTAACAGGTGTTTCATGGGTGTAGGTGTATGTTAAGAATATGACTCCCAGTAATTATATGAATGTTTAATTGTTAGCTTAAATACTGATCACACTCTTAGCAAACAGTTCCTCACTTCCTTTGACCTGACTGTAGTTCAGTCTCTTTCAATTTTAAAGACCTAGACAGAACTTACATGAACCTATAACTCCATTTCTTCAGCTCTTGACATCCCCAAATTTAACTAAAAGGAAAAAAGAGGCTTTTTAATTATCTTATTATCTCTTCAAAAATTTTCCTTCTCATTCTTGGGGAGGTGAGAAAGGAAAAGAAGAGTACCAAGTACCACATTTTGTAATGTTGTGACATGCATCCCTGTAGCCCAATTAAGTGTCCTTGATTCTTGAGAAGTCTACCTTTCCTAAAGAAGCTGGGGGAGTATGGGGGGAAGAAGAACATGGTTTCTAACTGCTCCCATTGCAATATCTTATTATAAAAATGTACTTTTTAAACATAGGTTTCCATCTTGTATTACTTTGTGTCTTGGAGTCTCTCCCTTATGAATTACTTTGCATCTTGTTTGAAGTGAACCATTTTAAAATTTATATCCTGTCCTACTTTTATTTCAAGACTTTACTTAAAATATCTTTTTTCTCTTCGCCCTACTCAGATATGCATGAACATTTTATGCATTTCACACTCTTTAAGATGGAGAAAATAATATGCTAATCTGAATAGTGGTAAAATCAGAGTAGAAATAGAGATTTTATTTTCAAAAGAGTGGACAATGATGTATCTTCCTATTGCTGTCAGTTATCTCCATTGTTAATATAACATTCATGCAGAAAGACATGGATTAATAAAGCAATTGAGTAGAACATGAATTTGGGAGTATTCTTAATTTGATGGAGCCCAGCATAGTGAATGTTTGCTTCTTGAGGGCAGGTAACCATCTAACTTTCTTTTGTATCCCCTATTCCACTCAAGAAGTCAAACACATATACAATAGTTACTATTGTATTGAATGAAGTAAGTTGAAATTAGTAATAAATACTTATGAAACATCCAACACTGATATGGTTTGGCTGTGTTCCCACCCAAATCTCATCTTGAGTTGTAGTTCCCATAATCCCCACATGTCATGGGATGGACCCGGTGGGAGGTAATTGAATCATGGAGGCCGTTACCTTCATGCTGTTCTTGTGATAGTGAGTGAGTTCTCATGAGATCTGATGGTTTTATAAGGGGTTTTCCCCCTCTATTCGGCACTTTTCTCTTCTGCAGCCATGTGAAGAAGGACGTGTTTGCTTCCCCTTCTGCCATAATTGTAAGTTTCCTGAGGCCTACCCAGCCATGTGGAACTGTGAGTCAATTAAACCTCTTTTCTTTATAAATTTCCTAGTCTCAGGTATTTCTTCATAGCAGCATGAGACTAGACTAATACAGTAAATTGGTACCACAGGGAGTGGGGTGCTGCTATAAAGATACTGAAACTGTGGAAGTGACTTTGGGGCTGGGTAACAGGCAGAGGTTGCAACAGTTTGGAGGGCTCAGAAGAAGATAGGAAAATGTGAGAAAGTTTAGAACTTCCTAGAGACTTGGAGAGCTCAAAGACAGGAAGATATGGGAAAGTTTGGAACTTCCTAGAGACTTGTTGAACACTTTGACCAAAATGCTGATAGTGATATGGACAATGAAGCCCAGCCTCAGGAGGACTCTGATGGAGATGGGAACTTGTTGGGAAATGGAGTAAAGGTCACTCTTGCTATGCAAAGAGACTGGCAGCATTTTGTCACTGCCCCAGAGATCTGTGGAACTTTGAACTTGAGAGAGATGATTTAGGATATCTGGCAGAAGAAATTTCTGAGTGGCAAAGCATTCAAAAGGAAGTAGAGCATAAAGGTTGGAAAATTTGAAGTCTGATGATGTGATAGAAAAGAAAAACCCATTTACTGGGGAGAAATTCAAGCCTGGTGCAGAAATTTGCATAATTAATGAGGAGCTGAATGTTAATCACCAAGACAATGGGGAGAATGTCTCCAGGGCATGTCAGAGACCTTCAGGGAAGCTCCTCCCATCACAAGCCCAGAGGCCTAGGAGGAAAAAATGGTTTCCTGCGGTGGGCCCAGGGACCCCCTGTTCTGTGCAGCCTGGGAACATGGTCCCCTGTGTCCCAGCTGCTTCAGCTCCAGCCTTAGCTAAAAGCGGCCAAAGTACAGCTCAGGCCATTATTTTAGAAGGTGCAAGCCCAAAGCCATGGTGGTTTCCACATGGTGTTGAGCCTGTGGGTACCCAGAAGTCAAGAATTGAGGCTTGGGAACCTCTGCCTAGGGTTCGCAGGATGTATGGAAATGCCTCTATGTCCAGGCAGAAGTCTGTTGCTGGGGCAAAGCTCTCATGAATACCCTCTGTTAGGGCAGTGCAGAAGGGAAGTTTGGGGTTGGAGCCCCCACACAGAGTCCCCACTGGGGCACTGCCTAGTGGAACTGTGAGAAGAGGGCTGCTGTCCTCCAGAACCCAAAATGGAAGATCCACTGACAGCTTGCACCATGCACCTGGAAAAGCCACAAACACTCAATGTCAGCCCGTAAAAGCAGCCAGGAGGGGAGCTGTACCCTGCAAAGCCACAGGGGCAGAGTTGCCCAAGGCTGTGGGAGACCACCTCTTGCATCAGCATGCCCTGGATGTGAGACATGGAGTCAAATGAGATCATTTTGGAACTTTAAGGCTTAATGGCTACCCTATTGTAATTTGGACTTTAAGATTTAAGTACTGCCTTGATGGATTTCAGACTTGCATGGGCCTGTAGCCCCTTTGTTTTGGACAATTTCTCCCATTAGGAACAGGTGTGTTTACCCAATGCCTGTAGCCCCATTGTATTTTACAGGCTCATAAACAGAAGGAACTTGCCTTGCCTCAGATGAGACGTTGGACTTCGACTTTTGGGTTAATGCTGGAATGAGCCTAGACCTTAGGGGGGCCGTTGGAAAGCCATGATTGTGTTTTGAAATGTGAGGACATGAGATTTGGGAGGGGTCACAGGCAGAATGATTGTTTGGCTGTATTCCCACCCAAATCTCATCTTGAATTGTAGTTCCCATAATCCCCACATGACATGGGAGGGATGTGTTGGGGGGGTAATTGAATCATGGGGGCAGTTACCCTCATGCTGTTCTCCTGACAGTGAGTTCTCACAAGTTCTCTAATGGTTTTATAAGGGGCTTTTTCCCTTTTTCTTGGAACTTCTCTCTTCTGCCATGTGAAGAAGAATGTGTTTGCTTCCCCTTCTGCCATGATTGTAAGTTTCTTGAGGCCTCCCCAGCCATGTGTAACTGTGAGTCAATTAAACCTCTTTTCATTTTTTTTTTTTTTTTTGAGACGGAGTCTCGCTCTGTCGCCCAGGCTGGAGTGCAGTGGCGGGATCTCGGCTCACTGCAAGCTCCACCTCCCGGGTTCACGCCATTCTCCTGCCTCAGCCTCCCAAGTAGCTGGGACTACAGGCGCCCGCCACTACGCCCGGCTAATTTTTTGTATTTTTAGTAGAGACGGGGTTTCACCGTTTTAGCCGGGATGGTCTCGATCTCCTGACCTCGTGATCCGCCCGCCTCGGCCTCCCAAAGTGCTGGGATTACAGGCGTGAGCCACCGCGCCCGGCCTAAACCTCTTTTCTTTATAAATTACCCAGTCTTGGATGTTTCTTCATAGCAGCATGAGAACAGACTAATAAAATTCCTAAATTTTGCTAGGAATTACACCAGGAAAGGTCAAAGAAGAGATTTTTGACTAGGAATTCAGTGCTGGTTTATGTGACTATCTAGGGCTGGTATGTGACCACATCCAAGAAAGAGCCATGTTTATGAATGAAGAGGCTAAAAAGCATGCTAAATTACACAAGTGATCCTCAATTTTGAGTGTGTTGCAAAATCACCCAATTTGGGGCTTCACAAAGTAAAGAGTGCTGGGCCCTACTTCCTGGGAATTTCTGATTTGTAGATCTGGGATGGGAGCTGAGAATTTGCATTTCTAACCATCTCACTCCCAGGTAATGCTACTGCTGCTCATTCAGGTAGCACACTTTGCAAAATACTGACTTAGACCTTCCTTGGAGAGTTGGCCCAGCTCGGGGAATCTGAACACGCTGCTTGCTCTGTGATCTGCACAGAAAAGAAGTGATTTCAGAGATTTCCAAGAGCAGTACAGAGATAATATAACTAAGGGGGTCTCAGAATAGTGTTAAGGGTCTTGCTTCCCCCTGATTTATAGGATTGACTATACTCTGGCGGAAAAAGGAGACAATGTCTTCAATTCCTCAGGTGTGAGTTAGAATCAACTGAAATAAATTAAGTGGAATATAAAATGCATGGAATTGCCTTATTAATAAAGATTGGACATCCCTAATCTGAAAATCTGAAATCTAAAATGTTCTAAAATTCAAAACTTTTTGAGCACCTACATGATGCCACAAGTGAAAATTTTCATACCTGACCTTATCTGATGGGTCACAGTCAAAACAGAGTCAAAACTTTGTTTTGTTCACAAAATTATCAAAGATACTCTAGGAAATTGCCTTCAGGTTATATGAATAAGATATACATAAATGAATTTTGTCTTTAGACTTGGGTGCCATCCCCAAGGTACCTCATTATGTAGATACAAACATTTCAAAATCCAAAAAAAATTCAAAATTCAGAGCACTTCTTATCTTAACCATTTTGGATAATGGATATTTAACCTTTCAGTTAAATACTGTACTTTCAGTTAATGTAATTTAGCAATGTAAGATCACATACATGTATCTAAGATAATTTATAAAATGTTTATACCCTAAAATATCTTTCCTTCTGCAAAGAAAGTTTGTGCTCCTTACTTGACTGTGCCAGTTCATGGTAAAATGGAGAAGGTGGAGAAAGGTCAGCCCAGGGAAAGGGGAAAGTCCATTAACCCAAGATAAATTATTTAGAAGAAACCATATCCATTCTCTACCCATAGGCCTTTCAATTCAATTATTGCTATCTTCCAGGTAAATAGCCTTAGGAAATTTCTGAAAAAGTGGCCAGGGCTTCAGTAAGCAGGTAGCATGGGGATGCATGTCACCCATTGCAATACTGAAATGGAAACTACCTAAAATTTAGAACTGTTTTTACATGCTTCATTGTGCTCAGCTAATTGGGTTTCTTGAATTTTAGAACTTGAGTACAAAGGTCGTGCATACTTTTTTGTGTTCCAGCTGAATTTCATATAATGTTGTAATCAAGGACTTCAGGAGACATTGGCATTATTTTTCTTTACAGATTTTCTTGGACTCAGGTGGATTTTCTCAATTTGCCAATAAAAAGGAATAATGATATTACATTAAAATGAACTATGTCTCAAAATATAAAAACCTTTTGGTAATCAAATGGTTAAATACTCATATTTAATTTAATCTTATTTTTGTTAATTTGAAAATAGAAAAAAAAATCTGCTAAAGATCCTTTCAAGGGAAAGCTATAGCTCAGCTCATGTATAAAAAGCCACATAAAAATGACTCTGGAGACCTTGGCTACACGTTCAGCGGTCAAATATTTCAATGCTCTGTTGCTCTCCTTCCTGTTACAGGTACATGTGACAGCACTGCAGCGATGAGTGGAATTTTAAAGAGGAAGTTTGAAGAAGTTGACGGCTCCTCACCCTGCTCCTCTGTGAGGGAATCAGATGATGAAGTTTCCAGCAGTGAAAGTGCTGACAGTGGGGACAGTGTCAATCCATCCACTTCTAGTCATTTTACCCGTGAGTACTGAAATCAGAACCGAAGTCAATTGTCTGGTTCTACAGCAAAACTAATTGTGTCATTTTTATTTTTACCTTTCATGCTAGCTATATATATTTTCCCATCAACCAAATACAAAGAACACTTACCCAAAAATGAAATATTTTTCGGGTGACTCAGTAGATTCCTTTATTTAGAATACTTTTTTGCAGTGGATTATTTGATTGTATTAATTAACTAATTTAATTTAAAGATCACATTACATTATTAATACTTTCCCAAGTAAACACCTAGTACTCTGGGAATAGATGAGGGAAGACAAAGAATAAATCCAGTTTCAAAAAAAAAGTATCCTTTCATAATTGAAATGATGTTCTGGGAGAAAACATTTTAAAAGGCATTATTAAGGAATGGAGAGTCTAGATTATGATGAGAAGGAGTTTAGGCAGCCAGGGATTAAGCAGAAATGTGAAGGCAGCAAGTCTCCCCCAATTGTGCAAGTGTGTACAGTCTAATGGCTCTTTCCTAGTAATTCCTCTAGTCTCTCTTCTCCAGTATTTAAAGCCCAACAAGAAAAATAAAAATCTATGCTTTATTTATTGTATTTTTAAGGTTTTTGTTGAGATGGAGTCTCGCTCTGTCGCCCAGGCTGGAGTGCAGTGGCATGAACTTGGCTCACTGCAACCCCCTCCTCCCAAGTTCAAGTGATTCTCCTGTCTCAGCCTCCAGAGTAGCTGGGACTGCAGGTGCATGGCACCACACCCAACTAATTATTTTATTTTATTTTTTGTATTTTTTTGTATTTTTAGTATAGATGGCGTTTCACCATATTGGTCAGGCTGATCTCAAACTCCTGACCTCAGGTGATCCACCACCTCAGCCTCCCAAAGTGCTGGGATTACAGGCATGAGCCACTGCATCCAGCCTATGTTTTCTTTTTGATTTTTTTTTTTTTTTTTTTTGCCACATTGTAATGTCAGCCCTTCTGTCAGACAAGATAAAGGGAGGTTTGAAGGACTGATATGAAAAATTCTTAAGGTAATGTAATCTATAGTCTAAAGGAAACTGACTAGCATAGTTAAATAATCTTTTTAAAATTTATGTTCCTTAAACAAGAAGATTTTAATATGTCTTAATATCATGACAGATAACTGGTCTTGGTTTTTTACTTTCCAATTAGTTAATGTTATTAATATATGATTCTATAACAAAGAATTTACTTTGGCAATGTAGCAACTCAAACAACTAAATGATTTAAACATATTTTTAAGAGGTAATAAGGAACTCAATAGCTGTTGAACATGAAATAAATATAGTAAAATCAATAGCATTCCATTAAGCAAGCACAACTAATTAGACAATATGATGAAAAGATGATTATAATTATTATAGCAGAAAAATTTATAAAATATTCAGGGATAAAGTTATTGTGTGATGTAGGTGGTCTACAAATACATTTACACATATCATGATGGTATGAAATGAGCTTGTGCTTTTGACTCAGAAGAAGAGATGTATTTATGTTTTGGGTCTTAATACTAGTAGTGATAATAACATCATTATCTCACATGGTATTGCAAAGATCAGACAGAGCAAGTGAGTTAATACACATGAAAAAACGTTGTAAAATGTCAAGTACTAGGCACATGTTAAATTAAAAATTATGATCATAGCTTACATTTATTGGATACAGACTATGCTCCAATAGCTTTATAGACATTATCCATACTCCTTACAGCAATTCTGAAAGTAAGTAGTACTACCTCCAATTTACAAAGGAAACAACTGAGGCTCAGAGAGGCTAAGCGTCTGGCAAAAGATCACACAGGAGTTGAGCCTGGATATATATACATGTCCTACCACATAGCCTCTACCTTTTGCATGGTCTTATTCCGCCCCTTAATTATATAACATTGGACATATCTTTAAAATGTTATTTCTCATGAGTTATAAAGGAAGACTTAATTAGTGAAGAGGCAGATTATGTTTCTGGATATAAAGGTCTGGATATTAATGGTTTCAACATTAATTTCTAAATATAAGAGTAAAACCAAAACAAAATCTTCAACTGGCATTTCTAGGGCGCCCAGGCATTTCTAATGTGCCCTACCTAGGAATGCATAGAAAATCCCAACATGTTATATATGAAAATTTTATATATAAGAAGAAAACATTATAAGATAATGAGAAAGGGAAAGACTATTTAAGAAATGGTTATGGTCTTAGGAAATTTGAAAAAGAAGTGATTTAGACTCACGTCTCACAACATATGCCAAAATACCAGATAGATTACATGGACAATTTTTTTTAATAATGAGGAAAGTTACATTTTGCCAGACATTTAGTAGAATCACTATATGAACTTTGATATGAGAAGAAGAAATAATCACATTGGAAAATACTTAATATATTTAATGATGTAAAAGTATTAAACTTATTTGCTATTTAAAAAAAGCCCAAAGTGAAACAGTTTATATTGGAAAAAATATTTACATTATTTTCTGGATAGAGTATAGCAAAAGTACATGTAATTTCTTGAGATAAACACGAAGACACACATCTCCAAAGAAAATCCACATAGTAGGAAATATAATTAACAAATGTTTTAAAGCATTTAACAACAATAGTAACAAAGAGGCAGATTAAAAAATGCTAATGAGATTTCATTAGTATGAAATCACAGAGATTTCATCCCTTGAAATCGGTACTCATTTCTCCAATAAAAAATACTAATACCTAAGTGCTGGTGAAGGTTGCAGTACAGATTGTAGGCACACACATTGCTATGAATGGCAGTGATATTTAGAAAGCACTTCGGAAATACAAGAGCCATAAAAGCATTCATAAGTGTCTACTTCAGAGAATTTATCTGAAGAGAGAAATATTAAAAACAAGGTGAAAACTATATAAATGAAAATATTTGTGGTTGATAGTAGTCCCAAACAAGAGGGGTTGGGGAGGAGAGAGAGAAAGGTAACCTAAGAGTGAGGAAATGATCCATTAAGTTACGGTAACTCATTCAATTAATTTATTTTCATGATAGTTATGAAGACCTTTTGGCAATATGTACAATGTTTGTGAAATAATGATAAGTAAGAAAAGCAGAAGACAATATTTTATCTATACTGTCAGGCAAAGTCTAAGTCTGTACATGCACAAAGGTAAAGAATGGTAAGTTGTCCTAAAAATTGGAAACAATTTGATTTGTTGAGGAATTAAAATTATGGATGAATTTTTATATTTATTAATTTTTATTTCTGTTAATTTTATATGTATTCTCACAACAAGGTGTCCAACTTAAACTGCTAAAAATTATAACTGTAGTTTATCTTGTGTTTATGTTTGCAAAACAGCAGATTGAAATGGCCTGGTGAGCTAAGGTATATATTAGTCAGCAAATATAGACTTTGTTATAAGTTATGTTCAGCCGAGATTATTTTTTTCATTGAAGAAAGTAGACTTATTTTACGATGTCTAAGAAGTCATTGAAGTGTTTCAGCACATCATTTAATATCAGTGGTAGTGGCAATGGTTAGTTTACTAACATGCTGTTTTAGCTTTGTATTAAATATAATCTGGCAGAGATTTTTCTTGCTTTTTAAAAATAATTCAAGAAAAGATTTAATAAAAAGTGCCCTTTTAATTTAATAGTGCTTTTTTCACTATATTCACATTAGGAAGAGAGACATAAAGTGGGAAAAAATAGTAAAGACTCAAAAGACAAAATTTCTGCCTGGAATATTTCTTGTAGAAAAGATCTGAGAGGTTGGGCACAGTGGCTCATGACTATAATCCCAGCACTTTGGGAGGGTGAGGCAGGAGGATTGCTTGAGCCCAGGCATTTGAGACCACCATGGGTCTCAAATCCCCATCTCTAAAAAAATTAAAAAGAAAAATAGCCAAGTATGGTGGTGCATGCCTGTGGTCCCAGCTACTTGGGAGAATCACTTGAGCCCAGGAGGTTGAGGCTGCAGTGAGCCATGATTGCACCACTGCACTCAAGCCTGGGTGACAGAGCAAGACCCTGTCTCAAAGCAAAACAAAAACAAAAAACAAAAAGAAAGAAAGAAAAAGAAAGAAAGAGAGAGAGAGAAAGAAAGAAAGAAAGAAAGAAAGAAAGAAAGAAAGAAAGAAAGGAAAAGAAAAAAAGAAAGACGAAAGGAAGTAAAGATCTGAGGTTTTTTTGTTTGTTTGTTTTGAGACAGTGTCTCACTGTCATGCAGGTAGCTGGGACCACAGGTGCACACCACTGCACCAGGCCAATTCTTGTATTTTTTTGTAGAGATGGGGTTTCATCATGTAGCCCAGACTGGTCTCAAACTACTGGGCTCTGACAATGCCCCTGCCTCTGCCTCCCAAAGTGTCAGGATTACAGGCAAGAGCCACCATGCCCATCCTGTGATCTAAGCATTTTAGCCAGTGTGAGAGGAGTAGCTAAAAGAGTTTCTTGTTTCTAGAAATGTATTTCAGATTATTTGCTAGTCCAAAAATTGATATACAAATTTTTAGGACATTTATTATTTATTATGCTGTCTAGATTAAGGTATGGGCTTCTCTGCAATGGTTTTGTTGGATGTGAATCAATGTTTATAAACTTTCAGAAATATTATTATTGATAAGTCCTATTTCTTTACTTTTTTTTACTTAAAATGATTACTTGTCTTATAGTAAAGAAGGATTTTTGAAGACTATCAAATTTGTGTAGCATTAACAAACAATTTAATTTCACATTGGGATTCTTTTTTTTTTTTTATTATACTTTAAGTTTTAGGGTACATGTGCACAATGTGCAGGTTAGTTACATATGTATACATGTGCCATGCTGGTGTGCTGCACCCATTAACTCGTCATTTAGCATTAGGTATATCTCCTAAAGCTATCCCTCCCCGCTCCCCCCACCCCACAACAGTCCCCAGAGTGTGATGTTCCCCTTCCTGTGTCCATGTGTTCTCATTGTTCAGTTCCCACCTATGAGTGAGAATATGCGGTGTTTGGTTTTTTGTTCTTGCGATAGTTTACTGAGAATGATGATTTCCAATTTCATCCATGTCCCTACAAAGGACATGAACTCATCACTTTTTATGGCTTCATAGTATTCCATGGTGTATATGTGCCACATTTTCTTAATCCAGTCCATCATTGTTGGACATTTGGGTTGGTTCCAAGTCTTTGCTATTGTGAATAGTGCTGCAATAAACGTACGTGTGCATGTGTCTTTATAGCAGCATGATTTATAGTCCTTTGGGTACATACCCAGTAATGAGATGGCTGGGTCAAATGGTATTTCTAGTTCTAGATCCCTGAGGAATCACCACACTGACCTCCACAAGGATTGAACTAGTTTACAGTCCCACCAACAGTGTAAAAGTGTTCCTATTTCTCCACATCCTCTCCAGCACCTGTTGTTTCCTGACTTTTTAATGATTGCCATTCTAACTGGTGTGAGATGGTATCTCACTGTGATTTTGATTTGCATTTCTCTGATGGCCAGTGATGGTGAGCATTTTTTCATGTGTTTTTTGGCTGCATAAATGTCTTCTTTTGAGAAGTGTCTGTTCATGTCCTTCAGTGTGGTTGCCCTTATTTAAATCTCACTCATCATGGGCTAATCTTTCAAATTTAAAATATCTCATGTACCCAGTGTTTTATAAGCACTAACATATTGTGTAACATAACATTTTGTTGTCATTACAAATACAGAAATTGATAAGATTGTTTGGTATGTGTCAACAGCTATGGTAGTAGAAAATTCCATGCTATTGTAAGCTTTCTGTTAAAATATCCAATTTGTAGCACACCACATTATGGTAATAAAAGCTTCAAAATATAAATCAATAAGGTCATTATGGCTTTTTCCTTGGACTTCTGAATTTTGCTAGGCAACAAGCATACTTACCAGTCATCAACCAAGGTCATATCTTGTACTTCCCTTGAGATAGAAACAGCAGAGTCTGTATTGCTGTGAAACGCTTTGTTTCATCAAATCCCTATGGCTCTATAGCCAATCAGCCTGTACTTGAGCACTGTCAAGAGGAGAGCTACAGAGAAACTAGAGAGGAATGATTTTTTTTCTGCCCTCTCAAGGTTCTTGGCACTTCACATAAGTAATGAAAAGCTATGTGCTGAGCCATAGTCCCAAAAGGAACACATTATGTCTCTTGAAACAGAGTGTTTCTACAAATAAATGTATAGTATTTAAGAAGTGAAAATATCAGGAAGTAAAAGGATACACATTCTAAATTGCACATGAATGCAAGCAGTGGATGTCCTACAATAGAATTAAGATTTTTTTTAATTTATGAAACACTTTCACATTCTTGAGTTCATTTAATAGCCAAAAAGTGTTGTGTGATTAGGAGCCAATTATCATGCCCTTTTATAAAAGTAGAAATTAACATTCATAAATGTACTTATACTTTACCCAAGAGCTAAGATACAATCTGTTTGCTTCCTTCCTTCCTTCCTTCCTTGTCTCCCTCCCTCCCTTCTCTCCTTCCCTCCCTCCCTTTTCTCTCTGAATACACAAGGCATAAATATGCCATCATGTGCACCCAAAGTCAGTCTTTCCCCAGTGTGATTTCCCTACTACTGGCTCCACATTTCATAATGGGATTAGACATAAAGAATCAATAGAAAACAGATTTGACATTAAACTTTATTAGAAGTATGACTGGAACATGCCTGTTCTCTTTACTAAGCAGTTAAAATGCATTGAAGATTTAGATTTAATTTCAACAAACATGGTATCTTATGTTACAGGCTCTGAGCTAGGACCTTTCAAACCTGTCAAAGTGATATATTCCAAACAGTAAATACAACTTGGCGATACAGTGATAAATTATGTCTACCCAGCATTGTAGTATTAGTTTGAGAACTAACTTTAGCAAAGACATATGTCGCAATCTACCCTGACTCAATGCTTTTGTAAACAATGGAGGAGTGTTCAGGCCAAGCTGAACACAAGAGTTTTAGAAGAAGTCTTTGCTTAAGCAGGAGGTAGGACATCATGACGCTCAAAAGATCCTTTCTAGCCTGTAATAATATGCTTATAAGAAACAGGATCCAAAATAGGCATCATAAGTTAGAGTCAAGGCCAAGCAGGAAAGGAAGCAGCATAGATAAAGGTGCCTCTGAAAATCTACTATTAAATTAAGAGGTTCCCAGACTCTTCACACCCACTTATGCCTGGAAAACAACCAATTAGCTTTGGCTTGGGGTACACAATCTGGGACCAGCTGCAGATCATATGTAGAAACATGCAGATCATAAATAGGTCATGTTCAGACATGGACCAGTTGAATCATTAGGTGTTTATTGTTGGAGATAAAGGAGTTAAGTAAATTATGAGTGGAGGAAGATATTTATGAGCTAGTAGTCCTCTGGAAAATAGTCACTTGGATATGCAATAAGGCCTGTTGTCTGATACAATAGAATTGTTATCAGATCATCTGTCTGCAAGATTGTGGACTCCAGTAATTATAAATCAGAAATAGTTAACCACTGCTACTTCTTCTGGTCTTACTGAGACCATCCTTCAAACAGAAATATCTTTTTTTCCTCCCAATTTCTGACTAAGTTCTATACCTGCTACAAGGTTCATATCAAATATTTCTTTCTCCATAAAAACTTCACCAAGTCTCTCTCATTTGACACATCCTCTTCGCCATCTCCTCAGAATCTCCTGATGTTTCTTTATTTTTTTATTTTTTTTAATTTTTTTTGAGACAGAGTCTCGCTGTCGCCCAGGCTGGAGTGCAGTGGCGCAATCTCGGCTCACTGCAGGCTCTGCCCCACGGGGTTCACGCCATTCTCCTGCCTCAGCCTCATGAGTAGCTGGGACTACAGGCACCTGCCATCGTGCCCGGCTAATTTTTTGTAGTTTTAGTAGAGACGGGGCTTCACCGTGTTAGCCAGGATGGTCTTGATCTCCTGACCTCATGATCCGCCCGCCTCGGCCTCCCAAAGTGCTGGGATTACAGGCGTGAGCCACCGCGCCCGGCCTGAATCTCCTGATGTTTCACAAACATTCACAAACTTTGGCAATGGTTTTCCTTCTTCTTTCCATCCTAGTATTTTCCATCAAACTGAGTGATGTCAGTTAACTGTGTGATGGCTCATAGAACTGATCAGCTTTGTGTTTCCTTGAGCACTCTGACCTGGATTCCTTACTTCAATTCCATTCATGTCTTTTACCACCACTCCATTTAGCACCTAATGTCTGCAACCTCACCCACAAGACGTTTGCAAACCAGACCAATTCTCCTTCTGAAATACTCAATTCCAGTATTACAAATTCAGATCATAACCTCTTTTCCTTCCACTTCCTTCCTCTCCTCATCCACTTTTTTTTAACCTCATCTCTTGTTTTCCCCAGTGTAGCACTCACCGCTTGTCTTTATATAAGTTTCCATGCCACACCAATTGCCCCATTATTTCAGTATTTTATTTTATTTAAAGGCCAGGACTCTTCACCACTTTCCTGCCATGTTCTTCACTCTATATCCATTTTTTATTCAAAACACTTGAAAACTTCTTTAAAAGTTTTGGAGAAAATGACAAAACTGTGTTTTCAAACTCAGCTACTTGTTAATGCCACACAAGCATCCCACCAGGTAGATTTTCTGGCCATCTCAAAGCACACAATGTTCATGTCTCCTCCAATCACTTTTCCCTCACCTCCTATTTCATGTACAGCAGAGCTTGCTTTCTCATCGTCTTGCACCCTTCATTCATATTTGTTATTACCCACATGTCTTTACCCTAATAGGCAGGGCTCTCAAAATGAGTTTTGAAGGAATTAATGTAAGCTTATTAAAAGCAGGAATGTATGTTTATCATCTGATCAGTACATGATAAGTATTTATATCAATGAATGAGTGAATGGATATTTATTAGGTATTTGAAACTTACCATTCACTGCACTAGTATTAGGAGGTGGAAATATAAAAGTAAACAAGACATGATCCAGTTTCTGCAGAAACTCACGATCTAACAGTATTTTAGCATTTCTCTAACACTTACTGTATTCTATTTTACATTGGAATTATTTATGCACACATCTTATCTTTTCTTGGGATTTATAGAACTTAACTGTGTATACTTCTTGCTACCTGGTGCTGGTTCAATTACTGTTAAATGCTTAATAACATTTAGCTTTGTAAAGTCTTGTCTTCTTTAGTACAACTAAGCCTTATAAAGTAAAAAAGAAAAAAGAGATGCATTTATTAGAAGACTTCACAATGGTACAAACATTAGTGGAAATAAATACCAATTTACAAGCTAACTGTAATTTATAATTTTGATGAGTGTCATTGTGATGTATCAGGATCCTGATTTATTACTTATCATATCTGAATACATGTAATGATGAACTGTGTTTTAAATAGTGTCTCACTATAATTATGCATTCTTAACATGTACCTTTCTGGTTTCATTTGCTTATATATAGCTTTACCAGGCAGAAACATCACTGTTTAATTGGATGCTGTGCAGCTATTTATGCAGGAACTGTATAACACACTTGAGGGAGTCTGAGTTGTTTTCACCTTCACCATCCTTTGAATTGGCTAGGAAAAAAGGGCATTACTAAGTCAGGTCACTAACATCATATAAATACAGTTCATTTAGTTCTTGTTTGATTTGTTTTAAATTCAGGATCAGGACCTCACATTTAGCCTTAAAAATAGTAACATTTGATTTAGCTCTTTATTTCAGCCTACTGAGATTTTTAAAAATTATTTCTGTCTTCTTATATATTTGCTTTTTCTCCCACAGTCACGTCTTATATAAATGTATCTGAAATCTGTCTACTTATCTCCATTTGTTTTGTACCATATCACCATCCTCTTTCTCCTGGACTGCTGCAGGAAAGAGCCTTCCAGACGCCCTCTCTGCTTCCTCTCTTGTTCAAGCCTCAGCCTCTTCTCTATGCTGGCATCTTTCAATCATTTTCAATTCATCAATCACTTTCAATTGAACTCATTACTGTGGCTTCCAGAATCCTGTACTCCCTTCCTATGCTTGAGCCTTCACTCTCCTGCCTTCTCTCCATCTCCAAACTCCAGCCACATTGATCTTTACTCAGTTCTTTGAACATGACAAATTTCCTTACCCTAAAATTCTGCTTGGAACAATGTTCCCATGACTGACTCCTCATATTTCAGGTTTCAGCTTAAATACCATTTCTTTAGTATAGCCATCCCTGGTCACCTCCATCTAAAGTACGTAGGCCCAAAGTCCTCATCTCTTAGAGAAATACATGAAAGTTTTGACAGAAAAAAAATGATAGATATATTGAAGCTGCTTTCAAATAACCCAGAAAAATAGAGCGATAGATGAAATGAGACTGAAAAAATATTGAAGCTTGGGGCTTACTATTCTACTGTTTACATTCATATATAATTAAAGTTTTCCACAATACATTTTAAAAATATAGATGCATATGATTGCCACTGTGCTACAGCCTGGATGACAATGAGAATATGTCTCTAAATAAATAAAAATTTAAAAAATTTATAGGTCCAACTTATCCTAAAATTTTCTGAAAGAGCCAGAGAATATGGCCAAGTATATTATAGTATATATTATATGGCCAAGTACATTCAAAATTATTCTTCTGAAAAAGAATAAGGAAGAGGTGAGGAGTATGCTTAGCCTAACAGATCTCAATACTTGAAAAGCTGAAATAGTTTAAAACCCATGGAATTAGCTCAAGAGTCTGTGCATGGAACAAATAGGGAGCATAGAATCAGAACCACATTTAAATGGCAACATGGTATGTGACGGAGGAGACATTGCAAATGAGTTGAGAAGTAAGAGTCTGTTCCAGTAAATGGCTTTTTAACAAAAAAGATAAAATTAGATCCCTACCTCATGCCATATATGAAAATAAATTCCCAATGAACTAAAAATCTAAATATTTTTTAAAATTATAAAATATACAAAAAAATAGGAAAATATATGTATGTCAGAGTAACATACTGTAGCATGAACTGTGAAAATTATTATGTATTTGGGTACATTAAAATAAAACTGAATATATAACCAAATACCCCACCAAGAAAGTGAAAAGACAAGCTACAGACTAAAAGGAGATATTTGTAAATCATTAACTGACGAGGAATTAGTATCTGAATATAAAAGAACTGCAAAAATAAGGAAGAGCTAATGCAGCAAAAAAAAAAAAAAAAAAAGTAGACATAGAACCTGAGCAGATAATACACAGAAAAAAGGCTAACACAATTATGAACAGCTGTGTAACTCTATTAGGAACCAGGGAAATTAAAATTGAAAGAAGACATCATTTCACGTATGTCATATCATCAGATTAGCAAAATTTTAAGGGTTTGAAAATACCATGTATTGACAAGCATGTGCTGAAGGAGGAACTCTCCTAACACTGGCATGAGTGTCAGGTGATTGAATTACTAAGGAAACCCAGTAGTGAAAAGTGAAAACGTGGAATAATTGTCCATTTGAATAGGATTGCATAAGGTGCAGTTGGTTCATATTATGATAAATTGGAAAATAAGTTGAATTGAATAGCCGGATGTACATGTATATGCAGTTAAGTGAAATATACAAGTTTCAAAACTCTACAGTATGATAGTATTTATGTAATTAAAACACACACGCACAGAGAGTGGCACCATTTTTTATGGAAGTAAAAATATAACATAGGAAGGGATAATACACAAAAATGTGAGGCTTAGAACCTCTAGGGATGAAGAGTAGAATGGATGGGATTGCCTTAGCTACACTCTCTTAACTTTTTTTTACATATTAAGAAAACCAATCTGAAATAAATATAGCAAAATATTAGCGTCCATAAATATGAGTATTAAGCACGTGTTATTTTCTAGAAGCTTGAAATAGTTTATAGTTTTTAAATATGTTTTATATATATACAATTTCAATTGGGATGAAAGTCCATAGATTTCCTTACCACGCCTTCGTGCCATTATTTTATCTTTCAGTAACTCCCTCCTCTTTTTCCTTCATAGGACATATCACAATTTGCAACTATTTTATAGTATACTAGTTTTCTTTTGTGTATCTGTCTTATTTTGCATTCCTATTAGGAAAGGGCAGAAGAACCTTGTAGCACCATATTAGAAACTTCCAGGCCAAACTTGGCCATCAATTAGAACTAAATTTTAACAAATCCATTCAGAGCATTCATCGTGTTCACAGTGATAACCAAGTGACACTGTCACATATTTTCTTCAGATCCTTTCATACATATTTATTACCAAGTCTTAAAAGTAGGGACCCATATCTTCCCCAGGTGTTCAGCTCCAGTCCCCACAGTGACATTTAGAAAAATCACCCATGGAAATTGCTTCTGTGCTATAAATACACTATCACTGTCACACTGTATATACAGTTATATGTTCCACATAACATTCTTCTCCTGAGGTATTAAAACAGAATATTATTTCTTTAGTTGATCATCAGTAAAGTAGTTGTCTTGTGTTTGGGAACCATTGTGAAAGAAAAATATGTAGGTTTGCTCTGATGTTTCTTTCCCTAGTGCATCAGTTGAACTTGTGAGAATGGACTTCACTGCAAACTCATTCCATTTGTTGTAACGGAAAAAGCCACAGCCAAGGAGCCAGAATATTCTCACTCTAGGTTTAGTTCTGTTACAGTTTACTCTGACTTTGGTTAAATCATTTAACCTGTTTCTTCTTTCGCAAAATGTGAGAATAGATTGGGCTTCAAAGTATTATAATTTGCATCAGATTCTAGTAATCCCTCTTCCCTCCAAATATAGTATGCCACCAATAGTCCCTTCTGCTTGAGTTATTTATAGTGTTATATTTGATGACATCTTTGTGTTTTCAAAGTTTATGCTTGTGTGCTATTATTTACCCACGTATATATATATTATATATATATACATAAGTTTAATCGAATATTTTATTATGGCTTGTAGATCCCACAAAAATGAAAATCGTGAATTATTTTATTGGATTTTGTTTGGGGGCTGGCTTAATTAAACAGATAATGCACTCAAAGTATCGTACATTAGAACTGTGGAAAAGACAGTTTAAAAACTAGATCTTAGTAAAAATAGGAAATGATGGTTGGAAAAGGGAGTTGTATGTGTATGTTGTTCCACTGACAATGAAACAAAATTTATGTACTTAATGATTTTTAACAACTATCTTCAAAGCTGCCTTTCACTGGCATAAGTAAATGTTAACTTTGGAACGGTTCATGAACACAGAGGAATATTCTAACTGGAATTTTTAAAAGAAAGTAACAAAAGAATTAAGAGCTGGAAGGAATGATTTACCTGGAACATTTTTAAAAACAGATAGTCATCTGATATCACGAAATGTTATTTATAAACCTTAATATCTACATTTGTCTCATGTATGTGCTAATTGTGGTGAGCTTAACCCTACTTGTTAACAGAATATGCAGGCATATAAACAGTATATTTTAAAAGGTTTTACTGTCTTAAAATATCTTCTACCATATGACTGAAATTCCCACCATTAATGTGATCCCTTTGGGGTGGTTCCTTTGTGATGACTATTAAAATCCCCATATAGATAGCAGTCTGGTAGTTAAAAATGTAAAAAAATTAAAAAAAAAAAAAGTGCCTGGCCAGGTGCAGTGGCTCACGCCTGTAATCCCAGCACTTTGGGAGGCCGAGGAGGGCAGATCACGAGGTCAGGAGATCCAGACCATCCTGGCTAACACAGTGAAACCCCGTCTCTACTAAAAATACAAAAAAAAAAAAAAAAAAAAAAATTAGCTGGGCATGGTGGCGGGCGCCTGTAGTCCCAGCTACTTAGGAGGCTGAGGCAGGAGAATGGCGTGAACCTGGAAGGCAGAGCTTGCAGTGAGCTGAGATGGCGCCACTGCACTCCAGCCTGGGCGACAGAGCAAGACTCCGTCTCAAGAAAAAAAAAAAGTAGTGTCTGGAGTCAGATTACCTAAATTCTCATAAAAGATGTTCTACTTAGAGGCCAGGCGCAGTGGCTCACGCCTGTAATCTCAGCACTTTGGGAGGCCGAGGCAGGAGGATCACGAGGTCAGGAGATCGAGACCATCCTGGCTAACATGATGAAACCCCGTCTCTACTAAAAAAAAATACAAAAAATTAGCCGGGCACGGTGGCGGGCGCTTGTAGTCCCAGCTACTCGGGAGGCTGAGGCAGGAGAATGGCGTGAACTCGGGAGATGGAGCTGGCAATGGGCCGAGATGGCGCCACTGCACTCCAGCCTGGGCGACAGAGTGAGACTCCGTCTAAAAAAAGAAAAAAAAAAAAAAAAAAAAAAAGAGGCAAGTAATGTAATATCCCCCACCTTTGGTTTTCTTATCTATAAATACTGATAAAAAAAAAAGTACACTGTCTGCCTTATAAGCTAAAATGAGTGAATACAGGCAAAATGCCTTACATTTTACTTTACATTTACTAAGCACCCAGAAAATGTTAACTATGATGACAATTATGATGATGATGATATTGATATTTTCAAGGAGGGACATCGTACATTTTATTAATAGTTATTCAGAAATTCTAACTAAACAGGGAGTAGGTCTCCAGACAAAAGAGACATGTGACAGTTATGCGTTTGGAAGAGTGGGAGAGAAGCCTGGAAAAGATCGAGAAGAGAGATGCAAATATTAATATCTTTAGATGTAGGCAGATCATGTAACTATGAGAAGCAGCCAGGTGTATGACAAGAGGGATGAATCACAGCCGCTATGGAAGTAAGAGTTCCCAGTATTTATTCTTTCTATTCTTGCTGGCATTAGTCCTAAAATATCATGAGTCGAGAATAATAATCACAGCAGTAATAATTGGCATTTATCGAACTTTCATTAAACATTCAATGGGAGGGACTGCACTGACATTTTATGTGCATTATCTTACTTACTTAGCGCAATCTATGAGGCATCTGAAGCTTGGAAAGATTTTAAGTAGCTGCCTTTTTATGAAGCCAGTAAGCAGTCAGGCGAGCCTTTGATTCTACGTTAGTCTGACTGTGGGGTCTTGTGCTTTAATATCATTATATTGTATTGTTTCCCACAGTGAGTGTTGAAAACAGCATAATCAATCTTTCTTAATCTAGCATCTTTTCCAAATTTCCGCAAACATAACATTTTGCATCCAACTCAGAAAATATAGTAAGGTGTACTGCTAATTAATAAAACAGCACATAGACTCCATTTTAAATGAGATAAGCTCTACAAATATTAGACAGTCTGGGTTCAAACACCCTGTATTTGCTTACTAACTCTTTTATGCGTAAAACTTTTTGTACTGGCATCATGCATCTTTCTCTTCTGATGCCATGGCTAATAGTCAGAACTTTGGCCTCTTGGTTTTTTCTGAAACTGAACCACCTCAGTCTTCATTTGTATTTATTTATTTGAGTGGTATTTTCATTTCCTTTGAGTAAAAGGAGAAAGGAAGAAGAGTTGCTGACGCTGTCATGACTGAAGGGGTAAGATTAGGCATTGTGGCACCTCTCAGCCAGGGCTGCTTCCTTACAGGAAGTGCTTCAGAGCTGCGGAGATGGGAGTGATTTAGCAGCTGCCTCCCCCTTGATTGACCGCATCAGGCTTTAAAAATATCAATGGATTCATCAGCATCAACCCTTTGCAGAACTCTCTTGAAGACTATCGTAATGGAAACATGTGAGAGCTTTTATGAGTGCACTCCAAGATATGATTTATGGGAAATAGTCGCAACAAGTGTTTGCTTGAAGTCTGTTAGAGTCATTCCTCTGAACTCTAGGCACTATCAGAACATCAATAAAGCATGAATTTTGAGTAAAGACCAAGGCAGATAAATAAGTATTGGCGTTGGTATTTCTGGAAATTTTTCTGGAACATTTATCAAGGACAATTTGCTAGAAGAAATGGATAGTAACCTGATGCTTAAAAGTTGAAGAGGGAGGGAGGGAGGAGGGAAGGAAGAGATAATACATTTGACTAGATTGAAAATGTATATTTACATGCTCAGAATATGGGATTAGGAAAAGAAAAAGTGTAGTAAGCAAGGGGAAGTATTGCAGAATGGAGATTTGTGCTTGGCTCAGGCATGTAGACAGCAAGCAAGTGAGGGATAAATGAGAACACTGAAGATGATAACTATGTGAGGCAACACAATTGTTAATTAGCTAGATTTAACCATTTCACGATATATGTGTGTGTGTGTGTGTATATACATACATATATATATGTATATACTTTGAAACATTATGTTGTACATGATAAATACACACAATGTTGTCTGTCAAATTAAAAAAATAAAAGAATAAAAATTATAAAACCAATTTCTACTGTACCAGATATCACCTCTTAGTTTCTAGTTACTTTTCATTTCAACCTCATGATAAGGGTGGGTTTCCTTTCCAGTGGTAAAAAAAATGTGAGCTTTAAAAATGATGCTTACTCTTACACTTTACATAAATTAACATATTTTAGTTCTCACTGCAATTCTGTGAAATAGGTTCTATTTTTAATCTTAATTTTACAGATGATGAAACTGGAATGTCAAGAAGTTCAATAACTTTCCAAAGGATCTTACTGTTAGTAAAGTTGTGAAGCCAGATTCAAACCCAGACCAGTCTCAGTTCAGTGTTTGAACTCTTAATATAATGCCTGTCTGTAGACGCTTCAAAGTTTCTACTTAATTATATATAATTCTTAATCTAACTTGATTTTAACATATGCGGAATTCTCCATGGGTGTAGTTAATTTTCCAAGTATAAAATAAAATCTTTGTAATTTACTTAAAGTCTTTATCGTATAGCTTTATTTATAGTGCCCCAAAAGTAAAAACATTTATAATTTAACACATTTGCTCTTGCCTTTATCTTTTTTTCTATAAAAGTTACCTTTACATTGTCTAGGTAATATTTACAAAACCACAAGATGCTTGCAAAAGTACTAAATGCTTTTTGCTATATACAAAGATGTTCTTTGAAACGTTATTTTTGTTGCATTCTTGGAAGCCAATTAATTCTCTAATTTTCAAAATTGTATTATGTCTATAGTAACAAAATTGATTACCTTATAATTTCTGAATAATAAACTATGCATGTGTAAAGCAGTGTGCAAAAGAGTACTATATGACCTGCATTAATTTTACTAACATTTGGGGAAAAGTATCAGTTATAACCACCTAAATCAACATACAAATATCAGTAGTGTGTCTATACTTCAGTAATGGACTAGAAATGATCATTTCTCTGTGTTGTGAACATTCAAAATCCTCTCTTGTAGCTTTCTGAAAATATACACTAAATTATTGTTAGCCATTTTCACCCTACAGGGGCCACAGAACACTAGAATTTATTTCTCCCATCTAGCTATAACTTTTTATCTATTCATCAACGTCTTCCTGTCCTCCCTCTTCCCCTACAATTCCCAGCCTCTAATAATCACAGTTCTACTCTCTACTTTTATTAGCCCAAATTTTTTTTAGCTCTCACATATAAATGAGAACATGAGTGGTATTTGTCTTCCTGTGTCTGACTTATTTTATTTAACATAATGTCCTCCAGGTTCATTCATGTGGCCATGAATGACAGGATTTTATTATTTCATGGGTGAAAAGTATTCTATTGTGTATATATACCACATTTTCTTTATCCATTCATCTGTTGATGGACAATTAGGTTGATTCTGTATACTGGCTATTGTGAATAGCGCTGCAGTAAAGTTGGTATCTCTTCAATATACTGATTTCCTTTCTTTTGGATAAATATCCATTAGTGGGATTACTGGATCATGTGGTAGTTATATTTGTAGTTTTTTAAAAGATACCTCCATACTATATTCCATAATGGCTGTACTAATTTACATTCTTACCAACAGTGTATTCGTGTCACCTTTTCTCCACATTTTTTGCAGCACTTGTTATTTTTTTGTCTTTTTTATGAAAGCCATTCTAGTTGGAGTGACATGATGTCTGATTGTGGTTTTGATTTGCATTTCTTTGATGATTAGTGATGCCGAGCATTTTTTAATAATACTTGTTGGCTATTTATATGTCTTCTTTAGAAAAATAACTGTTCAGATCCTCTGACCATTTTTAATTGGATTGGTTTTTTGTTCTTGAGTTGTTTGAATTCCTCATATAGTCTGGATATTAGTCTCTTGTCAGATGAATAGTTTGAAAATATTTTCTTCACTCTGTTGATTGTTTCCTTTGTTGTGCACAAGCTTTTTATCCTGATATAGTCCCATGTATCTATTTTTGTTTCTGTTGCCTACATTTTTGAAGTCTTACCCATGAACTCTTTCCTTAGACCAATGAGATGAAGAATTTCCCCTGTGTTTTCTTCTGAGAGTTTTATGGTTTTGAGCCTTATGTTTAAGTCTTTAATTCATTTGGAATTGATTTTTGTATACAGTGAGAGATAGGAGTCTGGTTTACTTTTTCTGCATATAGATATTCAGTTCTCACCAAACCACTTATTGAAAAGACTTATCCTTCCCCCATTGTATGTTCTTGCCAGCTCTGTTGAAAACAGGTTGGCTGTAAATGCATGGATTTCTATTTGGGTCTTCTGTTCTGTTCCAGTGGTCTATGTGTGTGTTTTGATGCCAGTACCACACTATTTTGGTTACTACAGCTTTGTAGTGGATTTTGAAGTCAGGTAATGTGATGCCTCCAGCTTTGTTCTTTTTGCTGAGAATTGCTTTGGCTATTCAGGGTCTTTTGTAGTTCCATATGACTTTTAGAGTGTTTTTTTTTTTATTCTGTGAAGAATGTCATTGGTGTTTGATAGAGATTGCGTAGATTTGTAAATTGCTTTGAGTAGTATGGTCGTTTTAACAATATGAATTCTTCCAATCTGTGAGCATGGATGTCTTACTATTTTTTGTGTCCTCTTCAATGTCTTTCATCAGACATTTCTTCAATGTCTTTTCATCACACCACTATGCCTCGCTAAGGTTTGTAATGTTCATTGTAAGATCTTTCTTACAATGTGTTAGATTTATTCACAGGTTTTTTTTATTTGTAGCTGTTTTAAATTGATTTATCTCTTTCTTTTTCAACTAGTTCATTATCAAAGTATAGAAACACTACTGATATTTGTATGCTGATTATGTATCCTGCGACTTTACTCTTAATTTATTTATCAGTTCTAACATCTTTTTGGTGGACTCTTCAGGTTTTTCTACATATAAAATCATGTCATCTGCAAAGAAGGACAATTTGACTTACTTTTCCAATTTGGATGTCCTTTATTTCTCTTGCCCAATTGCTATGATCAAGACTTCTAGAACTATGTTGAATAAGAGTGGTGAAAGTGGGCATCCTTGTCTTTTTCCCGTTTTTAGAGTAAAGGCTTTCAGCTTTTCCCTATTCAGTATGATGTTAGCTGTGTGTTTGTCATATATGGCCTTTATTGTGTTGATCTATGTTCCTTCTATATCTAATTTCTTGACAGTTTTTAATCATGAAGGATTGTAAGATTTTATCAAATGCTTTTTCTACATCTATTAAGATAATAACGTGGTTTTGGCCTTTATTTTGTTGATGAGTTGTAACACATGTATTGATTTGTGTGTGTTGATGTGTTTACATTTTCATTCATTTCAATAACATTTTTTAAACTTCCATCTTTATTTCTTCACTGACCTAATAAATGGTTAGGAGCATGTTATTTAATGTTCATGTATTTTTATACTTTCTAAAGTTCTTCTTATTATTGATTTCTAGTTTCTTTTTCATTGTGGACTGAGAAGATACTTTACATGACTTTGATATTTTTCTATTTGTTAAGATTTGTTTTGTGGCCTAAAATATGGTCTATCCTGGAGAATATTCCATGTGCTGATGAAAAGAAAGTGTATTCTTCAGCCATTGGATTTAATGATCTGTAAATGTCTGTTATTGTCATTTGGTCTATACTGAAGTTAAGTTCTATGTTTCTTTGTTGACTTTTGTCTAAATCATCTTTCCAATGCTGAAATGTGGTGGTGAAGTCCTATTATTGCTTTTGTGTCTCTCTTTAATAATATTTGCTTTATATATCTGAATGCTCCAGTGTTAGTTGCTATATATACTTAGAATAGTTATATCCTTTGCCGGGTGTGGTGGCTTACCCCTGTAATCCCAGCACTTTGGGAGGCCGAGTCGGGCAGATCACAAGACCAGGAGATCAAGACCATCCTGGCTAACATGGTGAAACCCCATCTCTACTAAAAATACAAAAAATTAGCCGGGTGTGGTGGCGGGTGCTTGTAGTCTCAGATACTCAGGAGGTTGAGGCAGGAGAATGGTGTGAACCCGGGAGGCAGAGCTTGCAGTGAGCCAAGATTGCGCCACTGCACTCTAGCCTCGGTGACAGAGCAAGACTCCATCTAAAAAAAAAAAAAGAATTATAAAAGAATTGTTATATCCTCTTGCTGAATCAATCCCTTAATTATTATATATAATGCTTTTGTCTCTTTTCATTTTGTAACTTAAAATCTATTTTGTCTGATGTAATTATAGTTATTTCTGCATGCTTTTGTATTCTGTTTACATGGAATATCTTTTTTTCATCCCTTCACTTTTATTTATTTATTTTTTTTGAGACAGGGTCTCTCTCTGTCACCCAGGCTAAAGTGCACTGGTGCAATCACAGCTCACTGCAGCATCGACCTCCTGGGTTCCTGAGAATATGGCACTATAGGCACATACCACCATATCTGGCTAATGTTTGTGGGGTTTTTTTTTTTTTTTTTTTTTTTTTACAGATTGGGTCTCACTATGTTGCCCATGCTGGTCTTGAACTCCTGGGCTCAAGTGATCCTCCTGCCTCAGCCTTCTGAGTCACTGGGATTACAGGCATGAGCCATCATGCCCAGCTTCCATCCCTTCACTGTTATTCTTTGTGTATCTTTACAGATGAAGTGAGTTTCTTGTGGGCAACATATAATTGGGTTTTGTGTTTTTATCCATTCATCCAGTCTATATTTTTTAACTGAAAAATTTAAACTGTTTACATTTAAGGTTCTTATTTATAGGTGAGGACTTAATCCTATCATTTTGTAAATCAGTTTTTGATTGTTTTGTGTATACTTGGTTCCTTTCTTACTTTCTTATTGTACATATTTGTGTTTTGGTGGTTTTTCTGTAATGATAACATTTAATTTGTTTCTCATTTGTTTCTTTCTCATTTGTGTATCTGCTGTACCAGTACATTTTATACTTTTATGTATTTTTATGATGGTAGATATCATTTTTTACTTCCAGATGTTAGACTTCCTGAAGCATTTCCCGTAGGACCAGACTAATGGCAATTAATTCACTCAGGTTCACCTCTCTGGTAAATAATTTATTTCTCTTTCATTTTGAAGCATAGCTTTGCTGAGTTATTTTTAACTAACTTTTTATAAAAACACTTTGAATATATTATCCCCTTCTCTCCTGAACTGTAGATTTCTGCTCAGAAATCTGCTGTTAATGTGAGAGAGATTCCCTTTTATATGAATTGATGCTTTTCTGTTACTGTTTTAAAAATTACCTATCTTTGACTTTTGATGGTTTGACTATAATGTCTCTTGGAGAGAATCTTTTTGAATTAAATATATGTTGGATTGTTTCAGCTTCTTGTGTTTGGATGTCTAATATCTCTTCCAATATTTGGTCATTTGATGTTTTCCCACATTTTTCCATTCTTTAAATTTGTTTTTTTGTTTTTTGTTTTTTGGTCTGACTGGGTTATTTCAAAAGACCTATCTTCAAGTTTAGAAATTCTTACTTCTGCTTGAGCTAGCCTATTGTTGAAGCTCTCAGTTGTATTTCTTATTTTATTCATTGAATTCTTCAGTTCAAGGATCAGTTTGTTTCCTTTTTATATCTAATACTCTTGAATTTCCCATTCAGATCCTGAATGATTTTCTAATTTTTTTATTGTCTATCCGTATTCTCTTGTATCTCACTGAGTTTCTTTAAGACCATTATTTTGAATTACTTATCAGGCATTTCATGGGTTTCCTTTTCTGTGAGGTCTGTTGCTGGAGAATTACGGTTTTCGTTTGGAAGTGTCATGTTTCCGTGCTTTTTCATGTTTCTGTATCATTACATGATAGCTGCACATCTGGCATAATAATTGCTTCTTCCAGTTTTATGGAGGTAGCTTTCATATGGAAAGAATTTTTCTTGTAGATGCATCTATAGTGTAAATTGGATAGGGTACTTTAGTTTTGGTTTTGGGTGGGCATTGTAGCCTAGTGTCCATATGATTTCCTTGGCTGTAGTCAGTATCAGTAATGTCTACGTTCCTCAGTGGCTTAGGCAGCAGTTGTTTGTGGAGGCTGTGGTGAGGCTTTGCTGGAGACTGTGGTGCCAGGCAGGACAATCCTCAGGCCCCTAGGTGGCACATGTGTGGACACTGGCTGTGGTGATGATGGGCTGGGCAGGCTGGGCCTTGGATCCCTGGTTGGTGCATGCAGGCACTAGCAGTGGTTATAGCAACCCAGAAGGGCTGTATTTCCTCTCCGTAGATGATACGCATATGCAGGTGTGTGGTGGTCCCACAACTGGAGGGGATGGTCATAGCAATGGTAGTCCCAGGCATGTGGCCTTCAGGCTCTGTTAGCCCATTCTTCAGCTCCCTATGTCCTGTGCGTGGCCCACATAATGTGCTTGACCAATTGTTCCTAGGGGTGTAGGGCACTGCATAGGCTTGGGTGCTGGAGATGCAGCTGAAGCACTGGGTCCAGCTGGTGTCACAATGCCATAGCACTCTGAGTGGATGTGGAGAGATGTTGGCAGGACCCCAAGGATGTCAACATGCAGCGGTTATTGGGCCCCAGGGCAGGGTGTAGTCTGAATGTTGGCTCTGCTTTTAAAATGGTGCCATGCTGCAGCGGCTTGAGTCCTGGGGAGTGGGTAGGACCAAGCATGAATTTCCTCTCTAGAACAGTGTAGTAATGTGAACTACATGCAGCTGCCTGTACTTGGCTAGGGCCTGTGAGAAGCAAGAAGCTCTTCTGTAGCTAGGATTGCAGGTATCTATGATGGGAATATGGTTTACTGAGGATCTCTCACTTACATTTTTCTTGCAGTGGGGACTCCATCCTGGCTTTGAGCCAGTCCTGGCTGGCTGCTTTGCTTTCCTCTCTGTGCTGCCATCTCAAGTTTCTGTACTTCAGAGGGTCCCTGTCACTTCCCTGCTGAATTCCAGTGTTCTCCCTTAGACACTGTATTTGACATGTTAGCTACAAACAGTTTTGGTTCTTCTCTGCGAAGCATGTTATCTTATTAACATAGCTGTCATTGTCATCAATATTTGCTAATACAGACTACCCAAATAGTACTGTCATTTAATTGGGCTCTATGCATTTCATAAAGTTGGGCACCCTTGCTATTGAGGAGCAATAGCAACAGAAAGATCATATGAACCAAAAGCTAAACAAATTGAACATTTACACATATTACACAATTTCATAGAACTATGTAGCCAGCATTAGGAAATATTTGCTATCCATTCACCTCTTCCTCTTGTCCAGAGCCCACACAGAGCAAATCATATATGTGGAAGGATTATAGAGCGCTAGAAATAATAGCCTTCATGGGGATGAGAAATGCTCTAAGGTGAAATATGAAGACTGTATTAGGAGAAAATATTTTGAGTTGGTCTTAAAGGATGACTCAGTAATATACTAGAGGTTGGAGAAAGTAGTCTATACCAGTATTGTGCTAGATTATCCTTATGAAGGTTTTAATTATGTGGTGTGAATTTGAAAAGCTGTTCAAACATTCGGTAACATGCTAGGAATACACTTCTTTTCATTTAGACATACCCTTCCTTTTCTTTCTTTAGGGATGGTTAAATAGTTGATAGCACTTTAAAGTCATAAAACTGTCAGTCATGAATTAGTTAGTGTGAGTGCCTTTGTCTCTAAAGGAAGTTACATGAGGGTCCCAGTGTTGTGGGTATCTTATTATAGGAGAACTAAAGTAAAATAGAGAAAAAGAGCAACCAACAGTTAAACTAAAGCTAAATTTCTTAGGTAAATACTTTTACCTATGATTGTTCCTAGAAGACGACAGAGTAAATGGGGATTTAGTATAGGAAAATCTCTTCTTCTATGTCCTAATTTTTCATTTTTTGACTTGTAACATTTAAAAATTACAGGATATTTATCTTCCTACCTAAACTCCTTCTGATTCAAATTCATACAATCCGAAAACTACAACTATGGAGTCATATTGACTCTTTTTGCTACCAGAAAGTATTTTATTAGTGGTGAGGCTAAGGAACAAACAGTGTTTCTCAGGGGTTAGTTTGTTGGGGACCACCTATGAATTTTTTCATGCCCTATCGTACCTCATAGCTACTGGCAAAGTCAAGAAAGTGGCAGAAATCTCTAGAGAGAATATGTCATTTACAAAATCAATTATAAAGTTCTACACACATACAAACACACACACACACAAAATGGAAGACACTATCAAAAAGTGAAGAATTAGAGGCTCAAATTCTTGCCTGATATCCTAGCATTTATCCACTAACAAATATCCTAATATAAGGAGGTTTTAACCTGGTATATTTCCCTAGTAGTCAGTCTGACAAAGATAATGAATTAAATATATAACCACCTAAGTCAGAGGACTTTTTATCTTTAAGATTTCTAAACTTGAAATTCCAAGTATAAAAAGTTAAAAGCTTTCAAATGTATTAGGGCAGCCATTCATCTAGTTAATTAAGTTAAACTTGCTACTTAGGTTGGGGGTACATATTCTTAGTAAGAGCAAGACTTGGAAACAAAAGGAAAATTCTGAGACGAAGGGTCTAAATCTGAAGTGGACACCCAAAGAAAACGCATTTCTCCTCTTATTCCTAGGGAACTGATATATCACAGAAGCAAAAATACTTAGTTGCAATATTTTTAAAAAGTAGAAATAAAGTCAGTTTTCTAGTTAAAATTACTACATGGTTTTCCATAATTGTTGCAAGACAAAGCATATAAGCATGATAAATTTTTACACAGTTTTTCTTTGTGATCAATGTGATATATAGCCAGAGCTTATGTCCATATAAATCTTCCAAAAATTGTCCAAGAAATCTAATAATCTGCTGTGCAAAGAAAAAGGAAGAAAGAATCAAACATTGCCTGGAAAGTGAATAAATAATATGTTTAAGTGTATATATTTTTAAAATCTATGCGACTGATTTTATAATGAAATAAAACATATCCACTTAATTACAGGTCCAAAGTGGCTATTTTCCATTATTTTTCCAATTAAAAGATGATGTGAGGAATAATTTTGATATTAAAAAGGAACCTCAGTCTTGAAAATATTAAAAAACCATTGCCACCAGATACTAAAATGTGATTTACTTAGAAATAAGGAAATGTCTAACAGGGCTGGAAAGGTAGACTGTTCACATTTATTAGCATCTCACAGATGTCTCTTTCATTTACAAATAGCTTGATTTGTTAAAATCAACAGTACAAAAATGTTCATTTTGTGGCTGATTTTCCATTATATTCTATAATGTAAACCAATAGTAGGTCATATTAGTACTGGTAGCCCATAAATGCAGTGGCTGGTACCTTACATGTGGTATTTGTAAGGTGCCTCCTAATTTAGTGAATCCACACATATTTTCATAGAAGAAGTTTATCTGTAGGATATTATATTATAATTCCTTTACTACAACCAAAATGTCAATGTTGCCCATGGATTAAGAGGCCTCAAGTTTTCCTTTCCATCCCTGAATTACATTTTTATCCTTATATATTATAATATTATCATTGTGTTTTATCCTTTATATATAAAACTAATTATTTAACCCACTTTTTTCTAGTCTGCTTTTCTTCAAAATTACACTTTAGGAGAGAAATGACCATCATATAGGTAACCTGGCCTCTCTTATCTTATTTAATTTCTTTCCTGATTATGAAAGAACATAAATATATGATCACATTAAGATTTATCTTAAGCTCAAAGTCAGAATCCAAACTAAACAAATCCCAGTTCCTGGTTAGCAGTCGTGGGTCATTGTAGTCCCGGGCATTGTATTGAGTCCTGTCTGACCACAGATGTTCTTGGCAGCTTTTTCTGCAGGCGTCCTACCAAAATATTATTATTTGTTCTGCTTGCCTCCTTCAGTCCTTTTTTTTTTTTTTTTGAAATACCACTGATGCCAATTCTGGCTTTTCATCTCACTTTCCTCCCAGTGGACACAATTTTCCTCAAGTATTCTTCTATTTGATATGCTAAGAATGGAAGGTACAGAACAAAGAAATAAAATATGGCCTGGCCCTCAAGGAATTCCTAGTTTTACCGATGAGAAAAGGAGACATGATTTCCAGTGGAGCATAGAATGAGTCAGCAGAAGCAATAAAAAGTACGTGAAGTAGCACAGAAGCAGAATATTACTTTTTAAAAGGAGTGTGGACCAGGAATCTCTTACAGAGAAGAGTATGTTTAGCTGTTTTGTTTTGTTTTTGTAGAAAATAATATAGTTTTATTAAAGAGAATTTAGTTCAAGTTATCATTATCCCTTTCTATTTGTTGTTGTTGTACCACTGGAGGAAAAAAATGGTTTATTTTAAACACTTTTGTTACATTTTAGTCTTGATACCTGCAACACACAATTTACAAACATGCTTTATCTTCCTTTCTCTACTGCCCTGGTTTTATTTAGTCCTTACCTCTTATTATTTTGATTTTCCACTTGATATTTCTACCTATGTGTGCTATTAAGTGTTTCTACAGATGAGAATGTTTATTTTGTTCTTTAGAGCATTCAGCTTTACCACTTAGAGAATTTTCTTCAGATCATTTGACACATTTCCCTACTCTCACAAATGGCAGGCAGAGCTTTCTTCTTTGAGCTGGTCTCTTTATTCTATTTTGAAACATCTCCTTTCTAAAAGGCATCTTACTCTATTCTGCCATATATTTCACATTAAAAAAAATAACTTCTGAGATTACCATGACATTTGGAAAAGAGTATCTCTAAATTTGAACTTTTAAAGTTATTTTTCTTTACAGGTAAGTATTTTTAATTCTAGCAGCCTATTTCCCTTCTTTCATAAATGTATTGTTCATCATGCTATTAGGCAGCCAATTCTCTGTAATTTTCGTTTGGCTTTATACATCTTTTGATTGGTTAGTTCTTGATATATACATTTTTGTAGGCATCAAAATATTTGTGTTTCTAAAAATAATATACTAAAGAAGCCTACATTTAAATACCTTTTTTGATATCTATATATTAGTTTAACTGCTGCAACAAAATAATAATAGCTTTAGTTACATTGTATAGTTTATGTTTAAGCATATTATGTAGCTTAAACAAAATAGAAGTTTGTTTCTCTCCACTTAAAACTCTAATCATAAGTAGTCTACTGCTGCTGTGAAGGCTCAATGGGTTTGAGAACTCATGATTCTTCTATCTCGTTGATCCACCATATTTAACACTGTTTCTATCTTGTGTTTGAAGTTGGCTACATCAGATCCTGACACCATGTTCCCATTTCTCCAGTGGGAAGGAGATAAGAAAGAAATGGTAGAAAAGATACTCTTTTAAAAACAAAACCAAAGTTGCCATATACTGTTCTTACTCATACCCATTAGTCAGAAGTAAGTCACAGGATCCCACTTAACTGCAAGGAAGGCTGGATCACTAGCTTAAAATTCACTAGCTTAAAATTATATTACTAGAGAAGAAATAAAGATATTGGAGAAAGAGCTACTAGTCTCCATTACAGTCTATACTCACTCGTAACACTTTCTTCTCCTCCAACCCAGACATTATGTTTTTAGGAATTTGCACTGTACCTGTATGAGGCGTCTCCATACCTAGGCTTTTTGGTATGCAGTAGGCTCCCTGTATCTGCAGGTTCTGCAGCCACAGATTCGACCAGCCTTGGGTTGAAAATATTTAAAACATAAATAAATAAAATAAAAAAATGACAATTTTTGAAAGGATACAGTATAACAACTATTTACATGGTATTTATATTGTATTAGGTATTATAAGTAATCCACAGATGATTTAAAGCAGGGGTGCCCAACCCCTGGGCCATGGACTGGTACCTGTCTATGGCCTGTTAAGAAGTGGGCCGCACAGCAAGGAATGAGAGGCAGGCGAGCAAGCATAACCGCCTGAGCTACGCCTCTTGTCAGATCAGTGGGGGCATTAGATTCTCGTGGGAGCACAGATCCTATTGTGAACCGCTCATGCATGGGATCTAGGTTGCGTGCTCCTTATGAGAATCTAATGATAAACGTAATGCACTTGAATTATCCCGAAACCATCCCTCCCCAGTCCGTGGAAAAATTGTCTTGCACAAAACCAGTCCCTGGTGCCAAAAAGGTTGGGGACCACTGATATAAAATATATGGAAGGATGTGCATAGGTTCAATGCAAATACTACACCATTTTATATCAGGAACTTGAGCATTCATGGATTTTGGTAACAGTGGGGATCCTAGAACGAATCCCCCATGGATACTAAGGGAACACTGTAATCATGCTTTTGTGCTATATTTACATACTGACTTTTTAATACCCCTAGGCAGCAACATCTACAACCATAAGATATTTTAACAGTGTACAGTCACTGAGGACTCTCCCTCCTTCCTGAATTCCTACTTCTGAAACTTGGATTCTACTTATAGGTAGCTGTTGTCTAGGCTTTTTGTCTCCTACTGTTACTTTTTCTAACTCTCTTCCTTTCCCTTTTAGAGCAGCTGCAAGGGAGGCAACTGTTGCCTACCTTCTCTCCACAAAAGGGAGTATCTCCTTGTCTGGCTTTTCTTGTCATAGCAGCACATGGAGTCTATTAGCCTCATTTTTCCATTCGTCTTTGAAGTTTTCTCTTATCGCTCCCACTCCTACAACCAACAACAAAAGAGTCCTAGCCACCTTGAACTGTCTCTTGCTTAATTACCTTGTTTCTTCTTTCATCCTCGTCTGTAAAGCAGGTTCAGGGAGAGCATTCTAGAATTTTGAAAGGAAGGAAGGAAAAACAGTTTTTATTTTATATAATTTGGACTTTTTAATAAAATAATGTATTTAATATTTTTATTTATTTTAAGCTTTCTTATGTGCATTCTGAAGCTGAAGGTAAAATAGACTCAGACTTTAGATTCTGAATATATGCACCCCACACTGGTTACATGTGGCCTCCTGAAGGGAATGGATAAAGGCTTCATGCCTGCTCTATAGAATCGCCAAAGAGGGCTTCCGTCAGGCCAGTCCTTTTTTCTTCCTGAAACATTCTCTTAAGTCACTCTTTTTATTTTTCTTTGATTTAAGCTCACAATTTCCTCACTTTCGGGGATTTAAATTACTACAAATATCCTGTGGGTTTATCCATTTTGAGGTACCCTGGTACCTACACAGTCCCTTGCTGGCCAGCTGCTCTCATCCATTGTTATACTGGTGCCTCATAAATTTCCCCTGAGAGGTCCCTCTTCTACACAAAAGCTGCCTGGGTTTTCTTCTCTTAACTAAGAAGCCTTCTTTTCATCCTACAGCCCACGAAGAAAGCAAAGCACACTGAGGTTCTCACCCTTACTTCCCCTGCCTCTCCCTATTTCCTCCTCCTTCCCATCACCTCTTTCCTTTATTTATTCTTTCACTTCAGCAGTCTCAGCTGGCATGCATGAGGAGTCTGTTAGGTGCCACACATTGTATTGTTCATCTCTACAACCGGTGAGATGGGTTTTCTCATTTTACAAAGAGGAAACAGGCAGAGAGAGGGTAAGAAGCCCGCGGAAAGTGGGAAACTAAATAATGGCCTAGCCAGGATTGGAGTCCCAGTCTGACTGTGAAGCCGGCAACTGCATCACACTGCCCCTCAGATATATGTGCCACATTGTGTTTTTAGAGAAGTCATGCAGAACAACTGAAATAATGTGACAGTCCAAGAGATCTCATTTCAAATCGTGACTCCCATCATTTTGGTTGTGTCCTAGGCAGGTTACTAAATGAGCTCATTTCCTCATCTGCAAAATGGGACCAGTGAGCCTTTCTTTCATTCAGTAAGTATTTACTGAGCACTTCCTATGTGCCTGGCATACTTCTAGGTATTGGATATGGCAGGGAGTGAGACAGGCACTACCCGGTTCTCAAAGAACCAACATTTGGGTAAGGAGACAGGTAACAAATATACATAACATGTAGTTGTAAGTGCTCTTTAAAAAAAAAAGTGCCAGGCACGGTGGCTCATGCCTGTAATCCCAGCACTTTGGGAGGCCAAGGTGGGTGGATCATCTGAGGTCAGGAGTTCGAGACCAGCCTGGCAACATGGCAAAACCCTGTCTCTAATAAAAAAAAAAAAAAGGAAAAGTTAGCTGAGCGTGGCGGCAGGTGCTTGTAATCCCAGCTACTTGGGAAGCTGAGACAGGAGAATTGCTTGAACCTGGGAGGCAGAGGTTGCAGTGAGCTGAGATCATGCCACTGCACTCCCACCTCAGCAACAGAGTGAGATTCTGTCAAAAAAAAAGAAAAGAAAAAAGAAACGAAAAATATGAGGCCAGGCATGGTGACTCACACCTGCAATCCTAGCACTTTGGGAGGCTGAGGTCAGGAGTTCGAGACCATCCTGGCCAACATGGTAAAACCCTGTCTCTACTAAAAGTACAAAAATTAGCCTGGTGCAGAGGCGGGCACCTATAATCCCAGCTACTCGGCAGGCTGAGGCAGGAGAATCGCGTGAACTCGGGGCAGAGGTTGCAGTGAGCCGAGATCACACCACTGCACTCCAAAACTCCATCTCAAAAAAAAAAAAAGAAAAGAAAAAAATGACTGGGCACAGTGGCTCACACCTGTAATCCTAGCACTTTGGGAGGCTGAGGTGGGTGGATTGCCTGAGGTCAGGAGTTTGAGACCAGCCTGGCCAACCTGGTGAAACCCTGTCTCTCCTAAAAATACAAAAATTAGCCCAGCATGGTGGTGGGTGCCTATAATCCCAGCTACTTGGGAGGCTGAGGCAGGAGAATCGCTTGAACTCAGGGGGCGGAGGTTGCAGTGAGCCGAGATCATGCCACTTCACTCCAACCTGGGCAAAAGAGTGAAACTCCTTCTCAGAAAAAAAAAAAAGAGAAGAGAGAAGAGATAGTGAAAGAAATGAGGGTAAGAAAAGGCTTTGCCAGTAAGGTGAAACTTAAGCAGAGACTCAAATGAAGTAAGGGAAGGAGTGAGATGGACATCTAAGGTAAGAATATTCCAGGCAAAAGGGCAAATACAAATACAAAGGTCCAAAGGCTGGATTTAATAACTAGCTCAAAAGCTTGTAATAAGTTAATCCTTACCGTGTATATGGATTGGTGTACTGCAGGTACATAAACACCTTATTTCCCCCTTCAAAGTACTGCTAACATTCCGTATTTCCTTGTCCAAAGCATGAGATAAATATTTGAGAGCAGAGCATTTCTAAAAGCTTACTGTTTTGCTTCATTGCTATAACATGCAGTTTCTTTTGCCACTCTCCAAGCAGGTCAGTACAGACTGCCTGTTGCTGCTACCTCGTGTTCTGCCACCTTTCATGGCTGCTGCCCTCTCCTCTTGGTACCCAGTGGCCAAATGACTTCACCCCAGTGTGGACCACCCTTTCTCATAGGTGAAAGCTCTTGACTCTTCCATACTTTTAAATGTAAGGATAAAATTACTTATATTCTTCGCAAACCAAGAAATATCCACATGCCTACCTATGGTTTTCCGTACCCTCAATTACTTCTCATTTTCTCAAGAACACAATGAACAGATCCTTTTTCCTTTCTGTAGTTGAACCTCCTTCACCATCCTGTAGCCTTGTTGCTGGCCTCGTTTCTCATGGGATACACATTGCTTATTCCAGCTTTGTGCTTTTATTTACTTTAGAGAAGGTTAGTTCTTGATGGCTGCCTTTGAACTCCTTCACTCTCCATTTGATTGTTCTCTTTGGTCCCTGCTGGTTATCTTAGATTTTCTATTAATGCATCCCCTTTTCCCACTCAATATTTGACTACTATGGAAACCTTGTGGGGAGCTGCACAACTAAGCTTGTTGTCTCCGCTCAATATTCTTCTCCCTCTGGCCTGAGAATACCTTTACCTCTGAAGCATGCCTACTCATTTCCTCTTTATAGCAGGTACAGTAATTTTCCTGCCATTTTCTTGATTTCTCTATTGTCTCTGCTGGGTAGCTTGTTTTTCTTTGCCTTGTTCTTCTTTCCATTACCTGAAATCCTTTGCTATCTCCCCTGGAAGCTCTTTTGCACTGACTGCTCTTTCTATTATAGCCACAGGCAGCTTTTCTGAGTTCTTTTCTCTTTCGTTCTGGGCCCTTGAAGTAGGCATAGCTTACTTTTACTGGGAAATAATTCATGTCAGTCTGCTAGAGATAGCCTTTTCTGCCTCTTTAAAAGAACGCACTGATACTCTCTCGTCATTGCATCCATTCTTCTCCCCTCACATTGCACTGATTGCATGAGTCATATGCAAACCATGTTTCTGGTGCCCTCCACTACTAGATATAACTCACTTCTACCTAAACAAAACTCTCTGTCCACTGAATCACACTTCTTCCTCTTGTCACATGACCTTACTCTCACAATCGACTCCTCCCACCATTAGTAACTATGGTTGAAAAGATGTCCTTATTTGTTCTTCACCACCCAGAGACATGGTCAGAGCATGCATTTTTCTCATTCATGAATGAGGAACTATGCTCAGAGATGTTACACATGTTCCTCCCACAGTACACAGTCAATAAATGGAGAGCTGCCTCTTGAACCCATTCTTCAGTAGACTCGTTTTCTCTCCAGTGCCCTGCTATATATATCCCAGCAAATTGTACTGGAGCTGTTAATGCTTCGAAATGTTTGCTAAAACAAGCAAAAAATTCCCATGAAGCCATAGTTGAATTCCTGAAGAGAATGGTTAGTTTTTAGCCCCAGCCTGTCCAGCGGAATTGCCACAGAATTATCCTACCAGCCCTACTCTGGCATGATTTTATACCAAATCATATCCAAACCTTATATTTCATTGCTTACTCTTGTTTAGTATGTTCTTATTACAAATGAGCCCTGAGGGATAGGCTCCAGAGATTCCCCAACCCCTACTACAAACATACTCTTCTTTTAGATCTACTCTTTCTTGATACACCATTTTGTGCCTTTTTCCCCCTTTTCTACTTCTTGTGTCTTCTTTTGCAGACCAATGTATCACAGGTTTTCAATTGCTTTCTGTACTTATTATCTGCAACATTTCTCCTCATAGACTAGTGGTTCTCAAAGTATAGACCTGAAATAAAAACATCAGTATTGGCTGGGCACAGTGGTTCACACCTGTAATCCCAGCACTTTGGGAGGCCGAGGGGGGCAGATTACCTGAGGTCAGGAGTTCAAGACCAGCCTGGCCAACGTGGTGAAACCCCGTCTCTACTAAAAATACAAAAATTAGCTGGGCGTGGTGGTGGGCGCCTATAATCCCAGCTACTCCGGAGGCTGAGGCAGGAGAATCGCTTGAACCTGGGAGGCGGAGGTTGCAGTGAGGCGAGATGGCGCCATCACACTCCAGCCTGGACAATGAGAGCAAAACTCTGTCTCCAAAAAAAATAAATCAGTATCCTGTGGGAACCACCAAATCAGAAACACTAGGGATGAGGGGGCCGGGCACAGTGGCTCGTGCCTGTAATCCCAGCTTTTGGGAGGCCAAGGCGGGAGGATTACTTGAGCCCAGGAGTTTCAGACCAGCCTGGGCAACATAGTGAGATCCCATCTCTATTAAATAAAAATTCAAAGAAAGAAAAAGAAACACTAAGGATGGGGCCTAAAAGTCTGTGCTTTTAAACAAGTCTTTCAGGTGGTAGAATTTTGGAACCAGGTAGTACAGGCTCTTTATCTCCTCCCTAAATCTGTGGAAGAAAAATTGGTTACAGTGGGAATATTTACACTATGGAAATTGATAAACACTACAAATCAGGGTAAGAGCCATGTGTTAAACATTTTCCAGCATATGACTGCTGCCGGCAATTCTGATACAAAGTTTGAGAACATTTTCACAGATAATCTCTGAAACTCACCCTGCTCAAGGGAAATAGTCTGTGCTCCACTTCCACAGGCTCCCACCAAGTTGTTCTCCTGACATCACTCCCTCTTTCCTGCTTCAGGTTCTGCGTACAGATAGAGGACAAGAGTACACCCTCACTGTTTGCCTCTTTCTGCCTCATTATATAGTATTCAACAACAGCAGATTCTGCAGCCCTGGAACTCTCCTATAACCATGTCACTCGCAGTAGCTTTGCTTTCTTATGCTCCAGTTTGTGCATCTCATTCACGGAGGTAAAGCTCCCATGGTTTTTCTTCAAAACGCTATGAATCCAGGGGTACAGTTATGATGCCTTTTGTTGTTTTGTTTTGTTTTCTGTGAGGCAGCTGAGGCATCACAGGTATGCGACTTGTCCCAGGTCATTTGGTTACTTGTTGGACCAGAAGAGAGACCTAAATCAGAGGCAGAGTGAAATGTTTTCCCTCTAGGGTCATTCATGAAATATTCTACCAAGTGAGAAATGAAGATATCTCGATATGTTTGATTCAGAAATCAAATTAGTAAATGTTAAACCCCAGAACCATCAGTAAACTGTGAAAATCTGAAATGGTGGCCTAGCATTAATCCTATTTGATCTCCCTGCTTTTTTTCCCCTTTAAAAGTTTTCATCTTTATTTGTCTTCATTTTGCACTCTACCTTTCATTGATTCCCCTTTTATTTCTGGCTGCCCTGCCTGCTGCATTCAGCAAGCCATTCCTTCTCTCAGGTCTAGAGGACCCCAAGCTGATTTCCTGTGGTTCACTTCTAACCACTTAAAAGAAAGGTTGCAGCATTTTCTTTTGTACTCAGGTGAATTTGATTGTTTAAAACAAGCTTTCTTTCAAAGACTCTCAACAGACTGTACAAAAGCTTAATCATCCTATCTGTACGTAGACTAAAATAAAACCTAGGGTGCATCATCCAAGGCTGTCTATTCTTTGATTTTTGAAGACGTAAAAAAGCTCCTTTTTTGTCTCCTTTTCTGCCTGAAAAAATAAATTCTGGCGTTCTTAGGAAACAATGCATTAATCCTAAAAGTGTGTATGTGTATTTTGAATTAGTCTTTTCGTTTTCTACTAAGACAGCATTTAGAATAGCCATTTTTATTTCTTGTATACCTAAGACTGACTCCTCCTTTTCCTTCAAGATTTTATTTAGTCCCTCTGATTTATTGCCTTTCCCTCTTTTCCTGTGGTGTTACCCATTTATAATGCCTTCTCTTTGATCACTTTGAAATCCACCATATGTTTTCCTGTTTGCCATCTCCCGACTTCCCCATGGCATTAACTGCAGTGAGTGGTGGACTCCTTGTCGGGACCCATGAAGGATCTTTGTTTCTTCAGCTGGACAGCAACAACTCCTCCAGCCTGGGTCTCCAGGATCCTCTCCAGAACTGCTTTCAGTATCTCTTTCTCTCCCAGTTATCAAATGACAGACAAAGTAATCATTTTACATTTACTCCATACATGGATATATCTCTTACAGTGAATTTCAGCACCATTTTAGGAAACACTGTCCTTGTACAGCCACCCTGTAGTGGGAATTTTATCAGAAATTATTGTATTTCTCATGTAATAAAATTGATGATATTTGACGTGTTCAAAGTTAGTTCTTTGATTATTCAGAGTTAGTGGAGCAAAAGTCTATTGCCTTCATTTATTTAACAAACATTTATCAAAAGCCTACTAAGAGACATACAGAGATTTGTGAATGAATACCCCAGGGAGGCTAATTATTTGTTAACGTTTCTTATTAGGGCCAAGGTTTCTAATTATTTGTATAGCTTTTTCATTATGTTCAAAAATAAGAGATTTATTACCCACACTAAACATTATATAACATTATAACTTAATCATAATTGCCTTATTATTGCAATATTCTGAGCCAGATAACTTCCGAGGAGGTATATTAGAGGGTTTTAAATTTCAATGTTAACATAAATCACTGGTTCTTGGTAAACAGCAGTTATGCCATGCATTATACACATTCAGAATTTCGGCTCCCTGTGACTTATGACTTCAGGCAATTGACTAGGGGCTAGAGACAATGTGTGTGTGTATGTGTGGGTGCAGGAATTGGCTCTGCCTGTAAATTACAAGGGGCAGCTTGATGTGCAGGCCATGAGTGTCCTCAACAGAGATGAGTGGTGCCAATGAAGGCGTTTTTATATTCTCACTCTAGGGAGCTGTTTACTTTGGTGGGAACAAGACCGATATACAAGTTGCCTGTCTTCTGTGGAAATCTAATTTTACTGACACATATATTTTATTTATTCCATTGATATTCTGTAAGCTCTTATGGATGCCTTTATAGCAGCCAATGGCCAGCTCTCCTGCCTTTAATGTACTGTGGATATTAAGAAAAAGCATGATTTTCTCCATGCCTTAAAAGACCTCAGTCTATTAGAAGAGGCAGAAGTGGAAACAGATAAGTTACACAGATCAGTAAGTAAACAATCAGAACATGTCACTATGCTTAAATTATATTTTTATAGCCATACCTGTTCTATAAATCAGAAGTTAGCAAACTACAGCCTTGCAGGCCAAACCCACTCTTTCACCAGTTGTTATAAATAAAGTTTTATTGGAAAACAACTACTCTCACTCATCTACCTATTGTCTGTGGCTGCTTTTGCACTATAATGGCAGAGTCAACTAGTTTCAAGAGACTGAATGGCTCACAAAGCCAAATGGTTAATATCTGGCCCTTTAAAGAAAAGATTAATATCTGGCAATCAAATATGTGTGAACGTGTTTCAAAGGGATGGGTTTAAATACTATTAATATTTAGAGCATCAACCTAACTCAAGACTTGTTTGCAGAATTTTTACAGTTTCTGTGCTGCATGGCCAGGCCTAGAAATGATAACAAAATATGACTATCATCACACTAAAGTTAATAGAAAATTATTAAACATTTTATGAGTGCTTAGAATATAGCATAGGTATTAATTCTGAATTTAGTGTGAACATGTTCTTTTTATTCTTTTATCAATGTCACAGGGCTGTCATTGTATTAGGAAAATAAAGTGAAGTGCCAGGCATGGTAGTTCACACCTGTAATCCTACTACTTTGGGAGGCTGAGGCAGGAGGATTGCTTGAGGCCAGGAGTTCAAGACCAGCCTGGGCAACAGAGCAAGACACTGTCTTTACAGAAAATTTAAAAATTAGCATGTGTCTGTGGTCCCATCTACTTGAGAGGCTGAGATGGGAGAATTGCTTGAGCCCAGGAGTTTGAAGTTGTAGTGAGCTATAATCACAGCATTGCACTCCAGTCAGAGTGACAGAGCAAGACCCTGTCTCTTTAAAAAAAATAACAAAAATAAGGAAACCAAATGTTATTCTCTCTCCCCATGAATGTTCTATCCCTGCAATGGGACTTTACAGCTTTACAGTTACATTTTTAAAAGCTAAACCTAGAAATCAACAAATCTAACCATTTTATGTTTAAATAGAGTCTCCATGAGAATATTTTGATTCATAAAAAGGAACTTAAATGAGTATTTCTTTATGAGACATTTAAATAATTATGGCATGCCCCATGATTCACCCCATCTTTATTTCATTACTGTTTTATCAGAGCTTTGCATTATCAAGTTGAGTTGAAACAACATGGGCTACATGACTTACCAGCTATCAATTTTCGTTTCCTATCTGCAAAGTAGAAATCCGTTATATCATTTCTAAGGCTATTCCAGAAGGGAATAAAGCCTGAAAAACACTTAGCACTGTGGTAGACATGTGAAAAATATTATCTTCCTTACCTTCTTTTTGATATAATCTGTAATATTTGAACATTTTCTTATGTCATACTTTATGCAAATACAGTATTTCTGTCACGTTAAACTTAGCAAAAAACCACCTAAGTGAACTATACACTGATTGTGTAGTTAAGCTTGTTTAATATCTCTTAAAACATTCATCTCAGTTGTTACCTGAAAATACCGATTTAAGAGACTTAAGTCTAGTGATGCCCTATTCCAAAGGACTTAATAATGTAATGTTATTGCTAAAAGGAAGGCAGCCAAGATTGTCTTTTATTGTTTATTTCTATCACTTAAATCACCTACAACTATGTTGGCATAAGGATCACTAAAGTCCTAGAGTAAGCGGATTTATAGTCTCTGTCTTTAAGAAAGAAAGTAATGGCCTATTGTGAAGCCTCGAATTCTGGCATCGATAATATTTTGATTTTGTTATTTTTCTAGGATTTCTTATGAACCTGTGTGGAAAATATTTAGGTATGTTTTCATTACAAAACGAAAGCAATTTCTTCTGAAAATCGCAGCTTCTTTCGTCTTGCTTTGTTCAGCATTCTAATGCCTTTCTTTGTTTTCCACATAAGAACTTCAATCTCCCAGCTCACAAGCTTTCCAAGACTCCCCACTGAGCACAGAACAAAATCCAGTCCCCTGATCCTAAGATTTAAGCTTGAAACCATGCTAGCCTATTCAGCTATTACATGTTGAATACTAGGGCTGCATCTTACTGCTTTGCTCATTTCCTCCTTGCTGAGGACAATGCCTGGCACATAGTAGTTGCTCCATAAATTTCTGTTAAATATAACTAGTTACTAAAATATAGACAGAAGCTCCTCTGCAATCATTCACTATTTGTGGCTCCCTGAATGTGTTCTTCCCCTTACAACCTCTGGGTACTTTCCTGAACTGTTGAAATCCTGCCCACACTTCCAAGACCCTGCTGCACAAAGCCTCTCATGATCTTTCAGTAGTCAAAATTAATTTCTTCATTGGGTTTTCATAACACTCCTTATGTCTGTTACGCTATTAAACCAATTCATTTATTCTACAAATATTTATTCATAGACTATCTTTGTAAAACATTATTTGAGGTCCAGCCCCGTGGCTCACACCTGTAATCCCAACACTTTGGGAGGCCAAGGCAGGCGGATCTCTTGAGCCCAGGAGTTCGAGACCAGCCTGAGTCACATGGCAAAACCCCGTCTCTACTAAAAATACAAAAAATTAGCCAGGCATGATGGTGTGTGCCTGTAATCCCAGGTACTCAGGAGGCTGAGATGGAAGAATCATCTGAACCTGGGAAGTCAAGGCTGCAGTGAGCTGAGATCGCACCACTGCACTCCACCCTGGGCAATGGGAATGAGATCCTGTCCAAAAAAAGAAAAAAAACACACACAGAAAAACATTATTTGAAAAACATACAAAAAACACATATTGAGCACCTGTTCTGTCTGCCAGGAAATATTCTAGGAATGCAGCATACAGTTGTAAATAAGACCGGCGAAGGGCCCTGTTCTTACAAAGGTTACATTCTGGTGGTCAAGATGGATAAGAAACAGACATATGCATAACATCAAGTAGTGATACAGACTCCAGAAAAAATAAAACAGAGAAAGGAAATAAAGAAGATGGATGAGTAAATAGCTTACGGAAGTTAAGGAAAGGATCTCAGAGAAAGGGATATGAATAGCAACCTAGATTACATTAGGAAGTACCCAGGCCCTGTGCTAGGTGCTAATAATTTAAAGATCAGTGAAGCATGTTCTTTGCTTACAACCTGGTGAAGAAACCTACCTGGAGGTGACAACAATTACACTCTAGTGTCTAGAAAGTACTCCAGTACATCCTGCAGAGGAAAGTCATTCTCACACTGGTATGGTTGCCTTGCTATTTGATGTGCATCTGTGTGCCTTACTTTATTGTTATCTCGTCCAGGAAGGAGCCTGTGTTGTTCACTTTGGTATTTCCCCAGAGTGCTAACAGTCCCTGATGCATTCTAGGCCCAGCAGGCTATTGAATCCAGCCAGTGCAGTCCTGAGGGGAGTGTTCCCAGACTTACACTGCAGCTGGGGAGGAGCCAGCCTGGAGCTCCGGGCTTGGTGTTCTCAGCTGAGGGAGCTGATTGCTCTCCCTCTGTGAATTGCTGTACACACTGAGAAGCCCTGCAGCAGCAGATCTGATGAGTGGGAGAGCTGCCAAAGTGCGCAGCCAGGCTGGGCCCCTGGGGTGCCCGTGAGGGCATCCTCTTATTTTCTGTTTGAAAAGCTGACTGAGATCATAGTGGAGACAAGTGGGCAGAACCTAGACAAAACTCATTCTTTTCTCTGTATATTTATAAAAAATGTACCTCAACACCACATAGGACAATCTGATTCCTTTTGATGACAAGAGCCTGCCTCCATTTTACTCCTGGGAAAAGAAGGAGCTTTAAAGGAAAACTTTAAATTCAAAGTCATTGGAAACCCTTACCCTCCTTCCCAGAGGTACATTTGAGACTACAGTCTCTGGGCTAATCAGGTGCTTTAATAGAGGTTAGCGTTTGGAGAGGGCAAGTGAGACAGAAACAGGATTATTTGTGTTCAGGTAAGAACATGTTATCATAGGATGTTCATGCACACAGGACAAATAGAAATGTCGATACCCTATTTTATTTATTATATTGTTTTCATATGATATAATATTGCCTTGTCTAAAGGCAGTATCTTACCTGATGGTAAAACCAGTCTAGACTTGTTTAGTCTTTGTGTTAAAGGGACAGTAAGCTTACAGATGCTTTAGTCATAGGCCAGTACAGCTCACCAGGGTTGTAGGCCAGAACTACACAATTCTATAGGATTAAACATCTATTTGAGAGTTGCAGGTAGTCAGTGCATGACAAACATGCAACTTTCCCTCCATCTCTTTGGTGCTACCCTTCCTTGCTCCATACCCATTTTTTCTTTCCCTCCTCAATTGTTCCTCTGGAGAATTGTAGAGTCAACTCCCACCATGATGCAGAGCCCTTCACCTCCCCACCAGCTTCTGCTTCAAAGCTCACATATCCAAACACACCATGGGGAGTAAGAAATACACCCAAGGGTAAAGAAACTTGTTTATTGCTATAACCCAGTTTCTTAAACTTACGTAAATGAATGCTACTGTTTTAATAGTATTCCTATTAGTGTTAAGAGAAACAATCTCTTCCATTGGCTCAAATGACCTTTCTTGCTCTTATTAGCTATGGCAAGTGACACATTCATATGTAAGCAGATTGGTAACTTACACAGAAGCTACTTAGAAATTGCCTGGATTCTAGGTGCTTAATATATATTTATTCAGTGAATAAATAAATATGAATGCATGTGTGCATAATTGGATGAATGAATGGATAATTTAGGAGTTTATAGATAAGATTCTCTTTGAGTGAATAACATAGGAAGATGATCTGTATGTTTTCAGAGGCCTGTATATGAGGATAACTGTACTAACTCCATCAATAAGACACGTGTCTTGAGATATTTTCCCAGTAATATTGATATATTTGTGTTTTTCTGATCCATCTCCTCCCATTAAGTTCTCATAACCCATAGCATCAACATTCAAGATGGAACAAGTAATCATTATTGCCATGTCTAACTTTGGCTTCACTAGAACTAAATGAACAAATTAATCACATATACTTAACATAAGTAGGTGTGTAACTATAAAAACATACATATGTAATATTTGTATATGTAAGTCATATGCATATTTTAATTCTAGCAAAACTTAATTCTAACAAAAATATGGTTATTGTTTCCATCCATTCTAAAATTTCATCATGCTAATGCTACTACAATTTTATTATTTTTTAAATAATTAGAGTATTAAGCATTAATTAGTTCATTTACTAATTTTTTTTAATAATGCTAGAGCAAAACACATAGATTTGGTTCATGACTGGTGGCTAGGCAATGAGGGCAGTCACTAGGCAGTAGGGTTGACCTCTATGGAAGACAACCAGCATTCCTATTCACAATGTCCCAGGTGTCATGGCATACTCAGTTCTGATCCAGATAGGTTTGGTTGGCTTGTTTTGTTGTTTTGTTTTTGTTTTTAGCTAAAATTTCTGATAGAATAGCACAAAGTATGGCAGAAGGTATTGCTAGATCAAGGCAACAGGTGAGTCACAGAAATATGATTCTAGGTTGATTCAACAAGGCTATAGCCAGAACTCATAAAATAGCTTGAAATTAAAGGAACAAGTCAATGTCCTGAACAGAAGGAAAGACCTTAACATGACTAGGCCTGTCACTAGGAAAGCTTGAGTTCTAACAAGGAAATGGAACGTGAATCCAAAAGCAAGAATGAGGCTACAACTTAATTTGTCTGGGTCTTTATATAGAGATTTGGTGGAAACACTACTACCCAGTGGGTGTGAGTATGCCCTGTGATGCAGAAACAGATTAATTGTATACCTGGCATCACTAATGGAGATGGAGCTATTAGTGTATTTTCAGGCTCACTATCATTGGCTCAGAATTAGGTGGTATTAGTACTCATAGCTGGTCATGATTGGGATCGGAAAGGAGCGCCACATTCATGACCATTACTGAGTGGTTTCTGCTCTGCAACATACTTTATGGATCTCTATGAATAAGTATGAATAAGTACCAGTGCTTATGCTTAATGGAGTTTTGAAAATGTAAAACATATGATCATAAGTGCCAGAGTATAAGATGACTCATTTATAGCAATGCCATTTCATGAATGCATTAAACAATTTCATTGTCTTCAATTCAGAAAACTATAGTGGAAGTGTTTCTTAATGTACAAAATGGAGAATTTACAGTCTTTGTAAATCTACTTTTTGTGAATGTTCATTGTGTAAAAGTTGGAAAGTTCAAAACAGTGTACAGATACAGATTCATTACCCTAATACAACCAGTATTCGCATTGTATTAACCCAGTATTTTTTAAAATGTACTATTATATAGTTGCTACAAATTATTGTTAAACCTTTTTTAATGCCCCTTTTTCACTGAATACTATATCAGACATTTTCTAATATTATTGAAATATCTATAAAATCTTATTAATTTTATTGGCTACAAAAATATCCCAATATATATAGTACAAAAGACAGTCATTTTACTCAACCATTTCTATGAAGTCAGGCATTTAGGTGTTTTGTCAATATTTCATTATTATATTTAACTTAGTGATGAACACATTTTGACATAAATCATTTTCTAGGCTGGGAGTGGTGGCTCACGCCTATAATCCCAGCACTTTGGGAGGCCAAGGCAGGTGGATCGCTGGAGATCAGGATTTCAAGACCAGCCTGACCAACATGGTGAAACCCCGTCCCTACTAAAAATACAAAATAAACTGGGTATGGTGGCACATGCCTGTAGTCCCAGCTACTCAGGAGGCTGAGGCAGGAGAATTGCTTGAACCCAGGTGGCGGATATTGCAGTGAGCTGAGATCGTGCCATTGCACTCCAGCCTGGGCAACAAAAGTGAAACTCCATCTCAAAAAAAAAAAAATCATTTTCTAAATTTCTGATTATATCCTTACTACTGATTCCTATATTTAGAACTATTTATTTTATATTTTTTAAAAGATGAAGATGCTTTCTGAAAATGTTGTAAATCTTTAATATGCCAACAAGTAGTATAGAAAAGTACCTATCTCTTTGTACTCTTGCCACAACTGAAAATTTTTATAATTTTGCATTATTTGCTAGACAGCAAAAATATATTTTGTTATTTTGATTTTTATTTCTTTGTGACCACTGAAGTTGAACACTTTCTTAAATATATTTTTAATATTTGAATGTTATTTTTTGTCAGCTTTGTATTCTTAAATTTTGCTCATCAATTGTTGGGAAATGTCCTCTGACAGAGAAAAAGTACAGTTGATTCTCAATATTCATGATAGTTATGTTCTATAAGGTTTCAGGGAAGACTGACTTAGTAAATACAGAGCCGTTGCTCCTGGGGGAAATACAGGGTTAGGTACCTGTTGAGCCTCTGGTCATAACATTTTCATCCACCAATCAATACATAATCTTGTTTTGTTTGTTTCCGTTTAAAGACACCTTATTAAATATATGTTGTTGATTGATTAACATTAAACTTATGACCAACAACACCATAACTTATGCCTGAAAAAAACATGTCTTGTCACGTATTTTCTCTATATGACACATCGCTGCTTTCTTGCATTTAGGAATAGTAGACAGCACTGGTACTTGGGGGCCTTTTCAAACAGGAAAATTACCTACAAAAAGCACAAAACGTGCAAATAATGTGGCACTAAGCACCATATGAAGGACATTTGTTTACAGTAGGAGAGCTGAAATAGGAAGGCAAAAGTCACCTTGTTCAGCCTCAACTGGGAACATACACATGGGACAACTCAATTTTTCACTGTTCTGCGAGGTCTGTGAATGTGTATTGATTTGGAGTTACAAATAAATTCGGAATCTATAAATAATGAGAATCAACTGTTTATATCTTAGTGATCTGGCCACAAAGTGCATGGTTATATACACGGCTGAGTAAAGAAGTTAATGAGTGGATGGATAAATATAAATCTGTTCATTTTAAAGGGAACAAGTCAAAAGGTGTCCTTTAAATCCCGTGATTTTGAAATATACACAGGAGTTGCCATACCCAACAGCAAAGAAAGGACAAATCTGAGAATGACAAAGTCAGTGTTTTGACACCTGAGGAGATACAGCAGACAGGGAAATGGAAAGGGCATTGCTGTGAAGCCAGGCAGAGTTGGATGTGAGACTCATTTTCCAGGCTTATGACCTTGGAGGAGAGCCACTTGGAGCCTCTAATTCCTCCTTCAGAAAATCAAGATTAAAATATCCATCTTAGACTGTCTCTTACAGATACCTTTTGTCTCTCATTCATAATTATGACCCTAGGACTTAGCATTATTCCTGATATATTTGTCAATTATCTGTCAGAAATATATCAGTTATTCAGTGTCCATTACCTTTATGTGCCAAAACAAATATCAGACCCCAAAAAAGTATTTAAATTCCAGAATGCTATACATTTAAAGTACAGAACAGAGCATTTTAATTGTAAAACTCTTATCATGTGGGGCTGGTTGCCTCCAATGAATAGTTCATACATATTGATTCTCTGTGTCAGGCACTCTACTGCTTCATATAAATGATTTATGTGAATTCAAATTATATAAATGATTTTTGATTTCTTTACTTTTAACAAACACTTATACAGTACTTACTACGTGCCAAACTTTGTTTAATGTGTTACAAATATTTATTTAATCCTCATAACAGCACTATGTGATGAGTATTATTATTAAAACTATTTATACATGAGGTGAGCGAGACAGAAAGATTAATTTGTCCTAGCTCACCCAGCAAGTAAATGACAGAGCAGGATATGAACTAAGTGCTTTTTGTCCACTATTCATGTTTATACCATTACTTCACCACTGCCCTAGGAGATTCCAGATAAGGAATGGGTGCCATAGCTGACCTAAGGTGGCAATGAATCTACTGGTATGTTTCACTCCAAAGCCTGCATCATTAGGATTGATAGCTTCAGGCCACTAGCAGTCTGGTACTGCAGAGGCTTACAGGGGCTTACTACTTACGTTGCTTCTAGCTGCTTCTAACATGCAGGTAGCTTCCTCTCCCCATTTTCTGAATAATGTAGCTAGATTATTATTGCTTAATTCTAGAGTTTGGATCCTGGGAGCAGCTGTTCACAGGCTATAATAAGGAAGAAGAAAGAGTATGAGAGCATTCCAGAACTAATAAAGGAAGGCAATATAGTGTCAAGATTAACAGCTTGAGCTTGAGCTTGACACTGTCTGCATTCAAATCAGGCTTCTGTGTTACCAGCTGTAAGGTTTTGGTAAATTACTTCACCTCTGTGGACCTCAGTTTCATTTACAAAATTGGTATAGTTTTACCTATTTAAACTATGATCGTGCTGCTGAGGATTCAATGAATTCATACCTATAAAGCAATAAGAAAGGTCCTTGACACATGGTAAGCATACAAATAAAACATCACTAATAGAAGCAACACTTGAAAACAATCCATTTATCTTTTACATAGTTCCATCTCTTGTGTCCTAGTAGGTTTCCAAACTTGTGGTCACACACCACTATTATTAAAATGTTTAAACATGCATATCAATATCTTTATTTTATGTATAAATAATGGAAACCTATTGCTGTAGTAATCGATTGTGTGCAATTTTAAACCAGACCACAACAATGGTTCACCAGTTCTAGTTTATCTTTCTCTAATACCCTTGAGCTGCCCTAGGGCACCCCTGCATTGTCAGTGCTTAGACCTCCCATCCCTGAAGAGTTCTTTACTGAAAGCTATCTGTCACCTCCTCAAGTCTTTCTCAATTCCTAAGATTTACTAAAGACAAAAGGGTAACTTCTTCTGTTGAAGGAAAGTAATTAAATTCATTATCATCTGGGAACAGTAATAGTCCTTTAACTCTCCCAGGATTATTCACATACTCAAAAAATGTCCTGTGTTATCCTTACTGAATCGTTAATCAAAGGTCAGGAGTCTGGGAACCACAGCAGGCAAGTCTACCTTAAAAGAATTCTTCTTCTCACTTTTTCCTTTTTTCCAACTCTAAAGACCAAGAGACCCTTTGGGGAGTGAATTGGTCTCTGGTAGGGATCAGAGATGAAAATTTTGCTCATATAAATCACTTAAAAATTAAATTTAGAGTTATTGAAGCCTGTGTACCTGAGACAGAGGCCAGAGGAACTGGTTAGTAGATAATACTGAGAACCAAGGTTTGGAATTTTAGTTTGCTCCAAATGATAAAGGAAACATGGAAATTTTTTGAGAAGTGCTCTTTAAAGGTAAAAGAAGTTGGATCCTGCTTTTATAAAATGCAGTATAAGCATTCTTCTGCTCTTTTGTTTCTCTTCTATCCAAGGAAATATAAACTCTTAAAATGTAGAGGGGAAACAAACCTCTTTATACCTTCCTTTTTACAGTCCAAGTCTGAGGTTACGTTTGGCTTTGGAAAGAATATTTCTTGTAACAAATAGCCCATGTCATGAGAGTAGCACAGATAAAAGACAAACATAGACTCTTTGGGATGTTTCTATGCATCCAGTAGTACCTGAGAATACACACACACAAACACACACACACACACACACACACACACACACACACACACACACGGTATAATGTATGTATTGCCCTATGCACCCTGTAGATGTGAAAGCAGAGCTGTAGCTAATACCACTCTTTGGGGCTGCCAAAATGATTCCAAAGAGCTTTATACTGATTCTCTCCTCTGGCAAGATGCTTGCAAAGGGAAATATCTGTGAGTTCTGAGGAGACCTAGGGGAAAAATGTATTTCACAGGAATAAAAACACTTCATTAAGCATTCCTTAGGAAACCTTTCAGTTTTAGACTCTTCACAGGGAAAGATTGTTTCTTCAGGTGATTTGAATTTTGCTTTCACATACTATATGATAGCTATGATATATTTACTTGTGAGATTATTTTTTTGCAAGAATTGCAATGTCTAATAAGAGTAGACGTGGCATTGATAAAATTTCTGGGAAATCTAAAAATGATTATGCATATTCTTTTTTTTTTTTTTTTGAGATTTAGTTTTGCTCTTTGTTGCCCAGGCTGGAGTGCAATGGTGTGATCTCAGCTCACTGCGACCTCCGCCTCCCAGGTTCAAGAGATTCTCCTGCCTGAGACTCCCAAGTAGCTGGGATTACAGGCATGCGCCACCATGCCCGGCTAATTTTGTATTTTTAGTAGAGATGGGGTTTTGCCATGCTGGCCAGGCTGGTCTTGAACTCCTGACCTCAGGTGATCTGTCCATCTCAGCCTCCCAAAGTGCTGGGATTATAGACGTGAGCCACCACGCCCAGCTTGCATATTCTTTATGACTTTATTTTTCAAATTTGCTCTGTGCTGTATTCTGTCATTTAGAAACTCCGATAAAGATTGTTGGAGCTACATGCAGGAAAAAGAGAAGGGAGAAAGAGAGAAAGAAAGAGAGATAGAGAGAAGATTATAGAGTGATTCTATTCTTCCATGGGTATTTTAGAGGATTCTTTAATAACATAAAACTGCTAGATGATGCACTATGAGCTAAATTACAAAATTTTAACCTATAAACCCCACTCATTCATTTAACACATGTGTATTGAATATCTACTGTATCCCAGATGCTTGGAATCTATGAATGAAAAAATAAACCAAAACGCTGTTGGAAAACATTCCTCCATGTGTCTTATACTCTTCTACATCTTTCTGAGGATAAAAAGAATGTACTGCCCTGACCTGTCCTTACTTGGACCATTTCTCAATGTTGTGTTTGTAGCAAGCAAGCTTGAGGGATGAGAAAAAGTCTTCCTCTGGGACAAAGAACAGTCTTGCTTACTGCTTGCTAAAAACCAGTAGGTTACCAAGCTTACTGAGCCTTTGGTGCAGTACAAACCCACTATGTGCATAGCATCTGTTTGGCCCCTCCACATTGCCCCTGTAGAATTTGGGGATCAAGGAGTACCAACAGAAACATGATGCTCTTGCTGCTTCCTGTGCTGTGAATAATAAGGTTCTTTGTTTTTGACCCCGGAGTCTCATGTCTTTTGCCACCATCTGTGAACATTAATAGGATAACTTTGAATCAGTCCCAGACATGCCAAAACCCTGCCCTCATTCAACTTATATTCTAGACCATAATGTTTCAGTTCTATCATGATTTCATATTTTTATAAAATTTAAAATCGTCTTTGCTTATTTCTGCTCCTTCTCTCACGATCCATCAACTAGGCCTTCTACGTATGTCTCATCACCATTACCCCTACAACATTGAATTATCTATCTTAGAACACATGCCTGTATATTATAAAATTTCACAGGAAATTAATAAATCTTAAGCAATATGATTTTTTTATAGGAAAGTCACTCCTCTAAGGCACAGATGACAATTTAAGTACTAAGAGGCAGAATCATTTTGTAAAACCATCACTAATTGACTGCTAACGGCAGGAAATTCAGTCATGTGTTTTTGCTAGAGGTCAGTACCAATTAGTGATACATTATCAGCAGGATTTCTCTTTCAAAATCATTTATAATATTCAGGTAACTCTTCCCCCACCAGCTACTTGCTTTTTAGAGATGAGTTTACAAACTCATTATAGTTGGATTGTTTAGAGATTATGGAGCCAGGGTTAGTTTGTCATGTTAGGTCTTCTGATATGTAAAATATAGCATATTTCAAATGGTTTCTAATGCAAAAGTTATGTGTACCCTCAAGCCATGAAAGTCATGTATCCTTGCTTCAATACATAATTTTTTCTTTGAAAAATACCCCAGGAAAACAGGTAAAGTGACTAGAAATTATTGAAGAAGAAAGACATGTTGAGCATGAGGCTTCAGGGGAGAACTGTTGAATGTCATCTTATCATTCAGAATTAAAGAAAATATATTTAGGAAATATAAATGCTTATGTATTTAGCCCATTGTTTAATTATTCATTCATTCAGTTTAAACCAACATATATAAGTGAGTTTTAGTGCCCAGCAGTGTGCTGTACCCTGAGGGTTCCATAGTAAGATATAGTCCTTGCAACCCAAGGCCTGAGTAGAGGAGAGAGACACACACACGCTCACATTTTTATTATCAGTATCGAAGCAAGCATGCTTTGGAAATGTGTAGAAAGAACAGTTACTTCATCCTAGGGACTCTGTGGAAGGCTTCCTGGTGGTGACATTTGAGCTGAGTCTCAATTTTATTTTTCTGGTAGATATTGAGTGATAATTCTATGCCAGACATTGTGCTCAAGTAATTCTTCTATCCATAGTTTTGAAAATGATTAGATATTGACTTAGTCCATTTTGGCTGCTGTAACAAAATACCATAAACTGGGTAACTTATAAACAGCAGAAATTTATTTCTCATAGTTCTAGAAGCTGGGAAGTCCAAGTTCAAGGGCACCAGTAGATCTGGTGTCTGGTAAGGGTCCACTTCTCATAGATGGCACCTCCTTGCTGTGTCCTCATATGGTTGAAGGGGTCATGGTCTCTCTGGGGTCTCTTTATAAAAAGGGCACTAAGGCCAGGCACAGTGGCTCATACTTGTAATTACAGCACTTTAAGAGGCCCAGGCAGGTGGATCACTTGAGAGCAGAAGTTCAAGAACAGCCTGGTCAACATGGTGAAACCCCGTCAATACTAAAAATATAAGAATGAGCTGGGTGTGGTGGCATGCACCTGTAATCCCAGCTTCTTGGAAGGCTGAGGCATGAGAATTGCTTGAACCTGGTAAGTGGAGGCTGCAGTGAGCTGAGATCATGCCACTGCACTCCAGCCTGGGCGACAGAGTGAGACTCTGGTCTCAAAAAAATAAAAATAAATAAATAAATAAAAAGGGCACTAATCTCATTCATGAGAGTGCCACCCCCAAAACCTAACAACCTCCCAAATGCTCCACTATCTGATACCATCACCTTGGGGGTTAGAATTTCAACATATAAATTTTGGAAGAACACAAACATTCAGACCATAGCAGAAATTGAGAAGATTAAGAAAATTTGAAGTGCAAGCCCAATTTTAAAATGTGATCTATCTATAGAAAAATCACAGTTATAGTAAAATTTTCCCTTTGTTTTTGATATTTGCAACCCTCCCAAATCACTCACTGACAGCCAGCAAACAGAGGGTACACAAATAAACCCAACTGTCCCTCTCTTAGCTGCCCTTATGACCTCTGCTTTAATTCCAATTCTGCAGCCCTGTATCTCCATTTTATTTGTTTATTTATTTTTGAGACAGGGTTTTACTCCTTTCACCTAGGCTGGAGTGCAATGGCAAGATCTCTGCTCACTGCAACCTCTGCCTCCCAGGCTCAAGTGATTTTTCTGCCTCAGCCTTGTAGGTTTTTTTTGTTTTGTTTTGTTTTGTGTTTTTTTTGTTTTGTTTTGTTTTTTTGGAGAGACAGGGTTTCACCATATTCCCCAGGCTAGTCTCGAACTCCTGAACTCAAGTGATCCACCTGCATTGGCCTCCCAAAGTGCTGGGATAACAGGCATGAGCGATTGCACCCAGCCTGGATCTTTATTTTAAATGTAGAATTTCAGACATATGGATCCAGTAAAACAGCATAAATTAAATTCCTCCTTTGTTTTTTAATGACTTAGATTTTTATTCAGGATAAGTATAGTAAAGGCTTTTTTAGATTTAATGGCATTTCTGTTTTTTTAAGCATGCATCAAGATTTCATCCTTCCCAGCAAAGTTAAAAGTTCAAGTATGTGGTTTTGGGCCCAGTCTTGCTCTCCAGAATAATTTCTAAGAGATTTTAGAATTTTTTTGTTGCTCTTGTTGCTGTTGAGGATTTGTTTTGTTTTGTTTCTTTGTTGTTGTTTTTAAGTGATGTTCTGACCTGGATTATCATGATATATTAGGCTTGACAGGGTTGAATTGTTGGACCAGATGAAATACTGCTTGGGAAGTCACTGAGCAGGTGGAAAATGCTGTTTAATCCTTGTAACAGGAGAGGCTCATGGTGGTATTGAGAAAATGTAAAACGCAGCAAAACAGGTTAGTAGAGCTGAAGAATAGCAAATGTTTCCTTCTGTCATTGTGTCAGAATGCCTCATGCGGCTTTATTTTGCACTGAGATATTCCATGTCCCCAAAATATTTCTCCGATGGTGGTAATGAATTGCATTGCCCTCTTGGTTGCAACAGCGCGGGTATTCTGCTGAGGAGCCATATGGTTCCCATTTATTTTAATGTGTCTTTGACATCAGGAGAATTGCTGAGACAGCAGAGGGAAGTGCTTACACCTTGGACTGCAGCCAGAACTGTGATTATTTATGTTTAGTAACAACTACCTTTTTTTCCCAATAAAAAAAGATATAATATGAAGATGTTATTCATATTGAGATTTTAATAACACTAGAGTATAGGTTTATATATTTTGGAAATAACTGTTACTTTAGTGGCAGTGAAATTTGTTTCTTAAGCATGAAGTTTTAGTGTTTAATTGCACATATGAGAGATTAAGGAAACAAGCTGGGAAGTAGGTGGTACTTGTTTTCTCCCTGATAATAAAGGAACACACTTTTTATTTGGTTTAACGGCATCACCGAGATAGTACTCGGCATATGTAATGCTTTCCATCTGTGGTTCATAAGGATTTTTACAAATGTAATTATTTCTTATAATATTCCTGTGAGGTAGATAAACATAATTCTGAAAATATTAATGGAGGAACTAAGAAATGCAGATGCTCATTAATATAACTTGTATAATGGATTTTAGCAAGTATTAAAATTCAGACTTTAAATCGATTACATTATTTGACAACTTATTATTTTGCAGACATTGGGATAGGAAAATATTTTCTCTAATTCATTAGCAATATGACATGCTTACAATAAAAAAAACCAGCCTTTAAAAATGAAAAGGCAGATACCTCAATAATGTATGTTCCATATGTAAATGTTAATATTGGCTGTGTGGAAATCTTTAAAATTCCCTGGAAAATATTAATGTTATCTAAAATATATAGATAGTGTGGAGAGAGAAAGGAGCTGATAACATTGATCAAAATTCTTTAAAATGGTTCTCAACAGTAATGACGTCAGGTGATAGCTGAGTACAGATAGTCCCTGACTCCTTAATGCTGGTTGGACTTACATTTTTTGATTTTACAATGGTGAGAGAGCAGTAGGCATTCAGTAGAAACCGTACTTTGAGTACCCATACAACCATTCTGTTTTTCACTTTCAGTACAGTATTCAGTAAATTACATAAGATATTCAATGCTTTGTTATAAATAGGCTTTTCATTAGATGATTTGGGCCCCTGTAGGCTGATGTAAGGTATTCTGAGCATATGTAAGCTAGGCTAGGCTGTTACGATGTTCTGTAGGTTAGGTGTATTAAATGTATTTTGACTTAACAATATTTTCAACTTACAATGGGTTTCTTGGAAAGTAACCCCATTGAAAGTTAAAACGGAGCTTCTGTGTATTATATAGAACGGGGGGAAAATTCCTAATTTTTGGTCTGCTTTGGTTAGAGCTGAGCAAAATTCAGTGCCTATATTTAGCAAAACATTAATATTGCATTGTGTTTCCAATATTTTGCTCAAGGATTTTAATATATAATTTTTTTAAGTGATTTGTCGTGTAAGAACAAAATTGAAGCAAAAGGAAGACTGATTGTGAAATGTAGAACTGGAACACCAAAATTCATGATGCCTAGTTCTATAAATTTGATTGATTTATTGATGCAAAAGGAAAATCATATATCTAAATTAGAACAAAAATTAGTAGATCACTCAGTGGTACAATTTTACATATAATTTAATCTAAACTTTTAGTTTAACAATTCACCATCCCCAATATTAATTGCATTTTATGTTGATGGCTAGGGCATTCTGCAGTTACATTATATTTTCAGTGGGTTGTTAGTTCTACATAAGCAGGAGGATCAGTGCTAAGTCAATTAGATATAAAAATTATTTATAAAAGATAAAATAATTTTTTAAAAAGATTTTTTTGCTTTCTTGATCTGCAGTCCAATGCTCTACCTTTGAGCTGTACCCCCTCTTAAATTTTTGCTTTTTTAATTTCAAGTTTATAACTTTAAAATATGGTATGTCTTGCTTTTGTCCTAGCAAACAAAGTGCCGTTTTTTGTTGTTGTTTTTTGTAGATTACTCACAAGAATTAGTGGGGAAGAGGAGGGGGCGTCCTTAAAAAATAAAATGTGTGGATGAACAATTGCTAGTTTTGCAAAGTGATCATCTTTTGTGAGTTAATCATATTAATTATTTATGACATGAAGGCTGGAAGGTCAAAGTGTGTGTTAAATTTTCACATGCAGCTTTCAGAATTTACATCAAAATCTTGGGCAATAAACCTTACTTTTTTCCAACCTGAGAATTTTCAGTAGATGAGTATTCGATCAAACCAAACCAATGAAGTCAAATTCAGCTTACAGAGAGCTGAACAGCCTGGGCTGTGCCTGTCAAGAGAGACTGGGAGGAGAGCTGGTTCCCTTCATGCATATCTCTTGCTTGCTTGTGTGGACGTAACTGACAGACTGAATGGATGACGACGTGACATGCATGTTCATGATCCAAAACAAAGCTTTAGTCAATCAGCTTCAAGGGTCATCTTTTTATATTACTTCTGTTCTTGCTATTTTGTTCTTGTTGTTTAAATGCATACACAGTATTTGCACATATCTTGATAGAATACTTATTATGTCACTTAGTCTTATATGAGAGGGTTTTTTTCTTTGTAAACTAGCAATTTAAACAAAAGAGTCTTGTCTTGAATTATTTCACTCAGAAGCTGCAATGTGCAAAAGACATTATTAGTCTTGAGGGTAATCCATTGTGAATATTTTCAATTTCATATAGGAATGGGAAATATTTACAGCTAAATGGATATGCTACCTAATCCTATGTATGAATTATAAACCTAGTTCTCCTCTACCAAAGGAATGATATCAGAATGACAACTGGTTCTTATATGTGTCTATCATATTTTATATGGTCTAGTCTACTTGCTGCTTTACTAATACATAAGTTGGTTGGTTGGTTAGAAATAGAGAAGAGTGGTATTTAAGGACTGAGGAGAGACATGCACTACAATTTTAATAGCACTTAGAGCTATTAGTCGTAATACAGGGAACCGAATATATCAGCAAGAAATAGACTTGGACTAAAAATGATGAGCATCACCTAAGTGGAGGCTACTTTTTCTTGATTTTTATTTTTGAATGCTACTTTCATAGTAATAAGCAATAGTAAAAAAGGAAAAAAATAAGACCCCTGACTTGTTGTCCTTTAGGTACATTAAGATACTTTTTTACATTTACTGCCTGTGTTTCAGTTCTGATTATTCTTTTGGGAAGAAAAATAACTTAATTCCAAAACATTGGGTAATTAAAAATATTCCCCTACATCATGCCCATTGTTTAAGGTGGGTTTTTTTTCTTTTGTTTGTGATTGTTAGTATGTGTTTTAAACTCTTTATAACTGAATGTAAAATAACAGATCAGCTTATATTACATACTTAAGGTAATTTGGATTTTGTTCATGGTAAGAAAGAAAATAGTCCCAATTAGTCTTTATTTTCATTTTGCTTCTCATTCACCCACGATACTTCTTTAGTATAAGTCTTTTGGAGTTTTTTCCACTTAAACAATGTATTACTAAATACCTTATTTGAGCAAATTAAATTTAAAAAGACGACTGGGGCAAGTATATTCAGGAAACGAGAATGTGCCTGGAATAAAAAAGGACAATTAGAACAAGGAAAGATTGCTTTTAATACCAAACTAGACTTCATTTTCCAAGGAATTACTCCTATAGTTCTTAGTTGCTAGACCCATTTTTACTTGGTTAAGATGAGATCAGGTAGGTGACACAGTTATCAAGAGAAGCCAACCTTGGCTATCATGTCAAGTTGGAGAAGCTTTGAGCATATGATCACAGGAAATTTACAGAAGTCATTTGTAAATGTTAAGTTAATCTTAATAACTTCAATCATTGGAAATTGATTTACTATTCAATCTGTTATGCTAATTTCTATACAAAATAATTTCTGGTGAAACTGGATCTTCTGTTTTTAAGCTAAGCTTCCTGGTTTGATAACAGATTTAGTCTTGATTTGTTCTTCAAAAGGTAAGAAGCAACACACACAACTTCAGAGCCCCTGATCAATTTGGTCTGTATGATTTAAAAACACAAATTTTCATTGCCCAGGGCTTACCAAGAAAAACAAGTTGATTTCAGCAATCTCATTTCACTTCTACTAAGTTTCATCTAAATAAATAAATTCAAAACCATAGACTTGCAAATTATCTGGCATTTTCCTTTTGATCAGCTTAAGAGAGATAAGTTTATTATTGACTTTAGACCCAAATGGTAGAATTAATATCTTCCACAATTCTTCTCTCATTTAACATGAAACTAGACCATAAACTTTCAACCTCCATGTGCCAAAATACATAACTCTGTTTACTGCTTTCTGCCTTTCTAGCAGGACTTTGCTGATAGGTGTTGACATAAAAAACAACAAGTGTACTTAAAGAGGATGACCAGCTCATTGCTCAAGCATTCGCTCCAGAGTTGTTGCCCTGTGGTGGAATTGGTAGTCCAGAACCTGGTCTTCAATTTTACAGGCCCAGATATATGATTATCTGTGTGCATGCAGAGATGGCCAAACTCAAGTGGAATGATACACTAATAATGTTTACAAATGGCTAAAGCACAAATCAGAAAGCAAATTTGATTATTTTCAATAAGAAATAAAATTGACAAGTCAGGCAGATAATCTGGTAAACTTGAAGATTTATTCCATACTATATAAACAGATTGATTTGTGAGTGTGGAAAGAGAAAAATCAGTTGAATTTTCCTAGAGCCTAGTGTGAATCAGCTGTGATACTTGATATACTCATCCCCTGTAGGGATCAGAATATTCAGAATATTTATTTCACCAGAGTACTTGCTTCCCTGGATGATACTGCAAACATGCTGAATAATTCTTAGTTTTTGGTTTCCATTTTTAATCTGTTCTTTTCACGAGTTCGTTCTTTATATAATTTATAGTACAGATTATTTTATGTGCCTATATTCTTACCCTGGCATTGTGGATTAGTCAGTTTTCCAATTCTTTTCTCCATTCATTTTGAAAGCTTTTTTTTTTTTTTTTGAGACAGAGTTTTGCTCTGTCGCCCAGGCTGGAGGGCAAAGGCGTGATCTCAGCTCACTGCAACCTCTGCCTCCCGGGTTCAAGCGATTCTCCTGCCTCAGCCTCCCGAGTAGCTGGGATTACAGGCACCTACCACCAAGCCCGGCTAATTTTTGTATTTTTAGTAGAGACAGGATTTCACCATGCTGGCCAGGCTGGTGTTGAACTCCCAACCTCAGGTGATCCGCCTGCCTCGGCCTCTCAAAGTGCTGGGATTACAGGCGTGAGCCACTGCACCCGGCCTGAAAGCATTCTTTTAAGGATAGGTAGCTTCTGGAGATAGTGAATATCAGTAACTGTGTGTTTATTCATTTAATTTATAAAGATCAGTATTATCTCTACTATATGTGAACATTTTACAGTAACACCAATATGGCCAGATATGCTGAACATAATGGTGTTCCCAAGACCTGGGCAGTGTATATAGTAGTGTTGTATATAGACACTTTTGCTTCAGGCTGGTATTATGTTGGGATAAAAGAAAAGGAGCTGAAAGACACTTAAAAAATAGTGTCAAGGCTGGGCACGGTGGCTCACGCCTGTAATCCCAGCATTTTGGGAGGCTGAGGCAGGCGGATCATGCGGTCAGGAGATTGAGATCATCCTGGCCAACAAGGTGAAACCCCCTCTCTACTAAAATACAAAGTGTGGTGGTGTGCACCTGTAGTCCCAGCTACTCGGGAGGCTGAGGCAGGGGAATTGCTTGGACCCAGGAGGCGGAGGTTGCAGTGAGTTGAGATCGCACCACTGCACTCTAGCCTGGTAACAGAGCAAGACTCAATCTTAAAAAAAAAAAAATGGTATCAAGTATGAAAACAGACTAATTATTTTTATTCATTTGTTTATTTAAACTGGAGTCTCACTCTGTCACCCAGACTGGAGCGCAGTAGTGTAATCTCAGCTCCCCACAACCTCTGCCTCCTGGGCTCAAGTGATGATTGTGCCTCAGCCTCCCAACTAGCTGGGGCTACAGGCACACACCACCACACCTGGCTAAGTTTTTGTATTTTTGGCAGAGATGGGGTTTCGCCACGTTGCTCAGGCTGGTCTCGAACTCCTGAGCTCAAGGGATCCACCTGCCTCAGCCTCCCAAAATGCTGAGATTACAGGCGTGAGCCACCGCGCTGGCCAAAAACAGACTAATTAATTTTCAGAGCTCTCACGAAAGGCACATTCTCCTCCCTCCTTTTCTTGCTCTTGACCTTGCTATAGTAAAGCCAATACTGAACTCTGTAGAGACACAAAGTAGAGCTTAATCTTCTTGGAAAGGGCACAAATTACTAGGTAGGTATATCAGGGAGGTTTCAGATTCCCTACGGCAGATGTGCTGAGTGAATTTAGTCTGCTTCTCCCAGGCTCAAAGGGCAGAGACTCTTTTTTATGACTTCATTTTGTGATGTTAGTCAAATTAAGGCCTGGAGTCAGGAGATAGCCCATAAAGGCTCATGTTAGTCCTCTGATTGAATCATCAGAAGAGAGACTTGGGTGGCTCTTAACTTCAGGAAAGCCACACTTATAATATCCCCTGTAAGGCTGATCTTGTAGTATTTTGAAGACTTCCTTTTAAATAGATTCCATAGGCTTTTGAATCATTGTTCTCACAATGTTATGTATAATATGCAAATGCTAAAGTAAACACAAACACATGTTTGAATTATGAACCCTAATAGATAGGAGGAAGCACTATTCCTAATTCCTTTTGACAGTGTCAGCTCTGCCAGGGGCCCAGCTGAAGGCCTTCTGCTCCCTGACACTATTGTCGTCTTCAAGGCCTTAGAAAATCACTTCCAAACTCTAGCTTTTAGGGAAAAGGTAATTTGGCTTTTCTGGGAAAGCATGATGCAATAGATTCATCCAGAAGGGTGAAGAATTCTTATAATCTCAAACTGCAGGTGGAGATCTAAATACATTTAGAAAGGAAATTTGTTGAGAGTGCCACCAATTGTCTAAAAAGTAAGTACTAAAATTACCAGAGGTGGCTGGGCACAGTGGCTCACACCTATAATCCCAGAACTTTGGGAGGCCGAGGTGGGTGGATCACCTGAGGTCAGGAGTTCGAGAACAGCCTGGCCAACATGATGAAACCCTGTCTTTACTAAAAATACAAAAATTAGCTGGGCGTGGTGGCAGATACCTGTAATCCCAGCTACTCAGGAGGCTGAGGAAGGAGAATCATTTGAACCCAGGAGGCAGAGGTTGCAGTGAACCGAGATCATGCCACTGCACTCCAGTCTGGGCAACAAGAGCGAAGCTCTATCACAAAAAAAAAAAAAAAAAAAAAAAAAAAAAAAAAAAATTACCAGAGGTGTGTATAATAATGATTTTAAATGAGTACATTCAAACCTTTTTCCTTGTCTATAAATTTATGGCCTTGAATAATAATGCCTTTAGGGCATCATTTTTATGATATCAAGAGCAAAAAAGATAGAAAGTTATCATCACAAAACCAGAAGCTCTAGCCTGCTGTAAGGGGTAATGTATGAGATTGTTGGATTTGATAGCAGATTACTGGGCAGATTGTTAAATTTGCCTTCTCTGGTGATCTTTTACATTTCGACAAATTCTTCCTTGTTTTGAGATGATTTAAACATATGGTTATGAAATGGATCAGAACTTTTAAGTCAAAATTGAAAGTTTTCTTTACTGCCTGGAGTACAGGTGTGTTACAATGAATATATACATAAATAAATGGAAGATTATGCACAAGTTGGAAAGCATTCACTTTCTGGCAATATCTTCTGGAGAAGCAAAACAATGGAGAAGAGGAAAGTTGAGAAAGCCGAATTGCTGTGCTAAGGTCATAATTCTCTTACTCTCTAATCTTCTGAGTCTCTTCATTGTGTCAGAGTTTCTCATCACTGGAATGGAAGCTCCACACAGGCAGGGATCATCATCTGTGTATTTATTTTTTATTTATTTATTCTTTTTATTTTTTGAGATGCAGTGTCTCTCTGTTGCCCAGGCTGGAGTGCAGTGGTGTGATTTCGGCTCACTGCAACCTCCACCTCTCAGGTTCCAGCAATTCTCCTGCCTCAGCCTCCTGAGTAGCTGGGATTGCAGGCGTGAGCCACCCTGCCTGGTTACTTTTTGTATTTTTAGTAGAGACAGGATTTCACCATGTTAGCCAGGATGGTCTCGAATTTCTGACCTCAGGTGATCCGCCTGTCTTGGCCTCCCAAAGTGTTGGGATTACAGGCGTCAGCCTCACCCGGAATCATCTGTGTTTTTAACTGATGTATCCCAATCATCTAGAAAGTGGCTAGCACATAGTAGGCTCTCAATTTGTACTTACTGATTAAACAAATCCATAACATGATATTAATCATAGCAGCCTCTATATATTTGGCTTGAATGTTTCATGGGGGAAAAATGAGACAAAGGAGCTTGAACCTCCTTGGAAGAAGATTCTTACCTAAATCCAATTAGAGTCAATTTTTTTCATTGCTTACACAGCCTTCCAAATCAAAATCGTCTTGAAACCAGCAGCAGTTGACATCTTCCAGAGGTAGTATGATGCCAAATCTCAGCCTTGCTCACCTCCCTTAGTGTGGCCTCAGCTGCATGCTGAAATATGGTAGCGAAAAGACTGTGCTCTGAATAACAGATCCCAGTTTTTTCATTAGTTATAGGACCTTGGCCATGTTTTTTAACCGTTGATAATTTGGTTTCCTAACAATTGGGACATGAGTAATATCAACCAGGGAGTTCTAAGGATAAAATGAGATAATTCATGTAAAGTTCCCCGCATAGTACAGCACATGGGAAACACTCCATAAATGTTGAATTATAGCATTTTGCCATCAGAGGATTTCTTCTCAGTTCATTTTCTTCTGTTCATTTTTCTGCTTGAGCACTTGTATCAGTTTCCTTGGGCTCCCGTAAAAATGACGACAAACAAGATGACTTACTACAGCAGAAACTGCTCACTGTTCGGGAGGCTAGATGACCAAGGTGTTGGCAGGGCCCGGCTCCCTCTGAAACCTTTGGGAAAGGATCTTTCCTTGCACATTTCAGTTTCTGGTAGCCCCCGACATTCTTGGCTTGTGGTGGAGAATCTCCATCTCCATGTCAGTCTTCACACGGTGTTCTTTCTGTGTCTCTTCACATCATCTTCCCTCTACGCATGTCTGTGTCCAAATTTTAACTTTTATAAACACACCAGTCATCTTGGATAAGGGCCCACCCTAGTGACCTCATTTTAATTTGTTTACTTCTGTAAAGTCCCTATTTCCAAAAGAGACTACATTCCGAGGTACTCGGGATTAGGACTTTAGCATATTTGGTGGAGAGGGACAAAATTCAACCCCTAATAGAAAAGCAGATAGGAAAAAAATAATGAACTGAGAAGAAATCCTCAGCTAGCAAAATAATAGCATGATTCTTTCTTCTCAACTAAGTGTGTCCTTCCTTCCCCAGTGGGGGTGGATCGTATAATTTGGCAGCGAATTAGGAGCTTTTAGGTTTAGGCTTACCTGTCTCACTAACAGTCTACATCAAAAAAAGTCACTCAAATTCTACAGACCTGGGTTACTTCAATGTAAAATGAAGGGGCTGAACCAGATGATTCTACCATGGCTTCTAATTTCAAGAGGCCATGTTTACAAAGTGTGGCCCTCTTCTTCTCAACTACAGTCAGTGTCTACATCTCCTGGATTCTCCGTGCATCTTGATGTTCCTGTAACTAATAATAAAGGCTCCCATCATTACCACAAAAAAATCAATATGTGAGATAATTGATATGTTAATTAGTTTGATTGAGCATTTTCACAGCACATACATATATCAAAGCATCACACTGGGCATCATAAATATATATAATTTTTATTTGTCAATTAAAAAAATAAGAAGAAGAAAAAGTAGTTCTGATATATCTCAGGCAATTTCATTTGTCCCAATGTATACTTGCATTAGAATCCCATTGTTCATAATGCTATTTAATGAGAACACTGGTCTTTTCAAGTGAAAGTTTTATTAGATTTAGATTGATAAAATATCTAAATAGTGCCAGTGAGCCTTTTTGTGTGTGTTTTTATTGCTTTTTGAAATTTTCTAAAATTTGTTGACATTTGTTTTAATGTCAAACACCCTCCACATAGAAATAAGATCCGAGGTATGAGGGTTTGTACTATGTGTCTTTTTTGATTATAGTATAATACAACTCCTGTGAAAGTCATAAAACCAAAGTTCAAAGGATTAGAGGAAATGAGAAATTATAGTTGTCCCTGGTTATCTGCAGTTTTGATTTCCCCAGTTTCAGTTATCTGTGGTCAAGCACAATCCAAAAATATTAAATGAAAATATCCTGAAATAAACCATTTTTAGTTTTAAATTGCAGGCTGTTGGGAGTAGTGTGATGAAATCTCACACTGTCCCATTCCCATTCCCCAAGGATTTGAATCTTCTCTTTGTCCAGCACATCAGTGCTGTCTATGCTACTGGCCCATTAGTTACATAGTAGCCATCTCGGTTATCAGATCAACTGCCATGGGTATCCCAGTGCTTATGTTCAAGGAATCCTTATTTTACCTAATAATGGCCCCAAAGCACAAGACTAGTGATGTTCATATATTATTATAATTGCTTTATTTTACTGTTAGCTGTTGTAATTAATTTCTTACTGTGCCTTATCTTAGGTAGGTATGTATAGGAAAAAACATAGTATATACAGGGCTCAATACTGTCCGTGATTTCAGGCATCCACAGGAAGTCTGAGAACATATCCTCTAAAGATAAGGGGGGACTACTATAAATACTGCCACAGATTCACAGACTATTGACAACTTTACTGAAAGTTTGCTTAGATTATCATTATACTTAAAAGCACAGTCTACCATTATACTTAAAAGAAGTCTACTCTGCTGCAGCTAGAAGAAAATTTAAGAAAGAAAATTAGAACTCTATGCCAACTCTGGGATATAACAGTTTTAGAGTGCCCTAGCCAACAAGGGTTGGCCACAGATAGATTCAAGATCACCAAATGGCATTTTCTTGGCCTTGTCTGAAAACTGCTGCCCCAAGTGTTCACAGGATTGTTTCTTTCTCTTTCAGCTTCCTCCATTCTCAAAAGGGAGAAACGACTGAGGACAAAGAATGTACATTTTAGTTGTGTCACCGTGTACTACTTCACCAGGAGGCAAGGCTTCACAAGTGTGCCCAGTCAAGGGGGAAGCACCCTGGGGATGTCCAGCCGCCATAACAGCGTGCGCCAGTACACTCTTGGCGAGTTTGCAAGGGAGCAGGAGAGGCTCCACCGGGAGATGTTGAGAGAACACCTTAGGGAGGAAAAGCTGAACTCCTTAAAACTAAAGGTAAAAAACAAACTCATTTTCTGCAAAGTCTCATATCCTTACAGCAATTTGATTGAGTTAACCATTTTCATATTTATAATCACGAAACAAACTGGGCACTTTACATAACAGACTGCTTGCTGACATTTTTTTAAAGCAAAACGATATAGTCTGTTTGCTAAAAGCAATGTGGGAAACTTACCTGACATCATTTATTCATTCATTCCACCAATATTTACTATTGAATATTGTGAGATCATATGCCCTGTGCTTGGGCTAGGGCTAGTAGGAGACCAAAAATAGATGTGGTCCTCTCTCTATAGGAACTTATAGAATAGTAGAAAAGAAAAATATTAATAAAAGTGCTAAACAAAATAAAAGCACAACTTCATTGAGTGCAATGTAGAAGAGTTGCAAGGTATTATGAAAGTTTATAATAGGGAATTGATGTGGTCAAGGAGGTCAAGGAAAGCTTTCTCAAGGAAGTGAAATGAAAATCTGAAGAGGTGACTAGGCAAAGAGGATTGGCAAGAGCATTTCAGATATCAAGAAAAGCCAGAGCTACTGTATTAGTCTGTTTTCATGCTGCTGATAAAGACACACCCGGGACTAGGTAATTTATAAAGAAAAGGAGGTTTAATGAACTCAGTTCCATATGGCTGGAGAGGCCTCACAATCATGGCGGAGGGCAAAAGGCACTTATTACATGGCGGCAGCAAGAGGGAAAGTGAGAGCCAAGTGAAAAAGGAAACTCCTTATAAAACCATCAGATCTCATGAGACTTATCACTACCATGAGAACGCTATGGGGGAACTGCACCCATGATTCAATTATCCCCCACTGGGTCCCTGCCACAACACATGGGAATTATGGGAGTTACAATTCAAGATGAGATTTGGGTGAGGACACAGCCAAACCATATCAGCTACCTTGTGCCAGGAGGGAACACAGTGAGTCCACAATGGCTTGTGTGGCTGGAGCAGAGGCAAGAAGAATGAAGTAACGTGAAGGAGGCAGGAATGAGGCTTTGTAAACCATATTAAGGTATTTTTTCCTCTACTTCCTAAGGCCATCAAAAGTCGTCAAGAGTTTTAAGCTGAGTTGGAGTGGCAGAATATGATCCAGCTCACGAAATGGTGGGAGAAAAAGTTATGGGTAGGGTAAGTGGTGTTGAGACGGGATGGAATATATGAAGTTAGACCAGTTAGAAAGCTGTTACCACAGTCAGGGAGAGAGGTGACAGTAGGTTATATTAGACTGATGATGGTAGGGGAGTCGGAGAGAGATGAATAGAGGGAGAAATTTAGCAAACAAAATCAGCAGTGCTTAATGACAGGTTGGATTTAGGAGGAAGAGAAGGAGATTGTCAGGAATGACCCCTAAATTTCTGGCTTGCAAAACTGAATGGGTTGTAGGTGATAATACTGTTTTGCTATGACAAGGAACACAGGAAGGGGACAGGCTGGGGGTGGGATGTGGATAGTGAGATCATTTTTGGACATACTGAGTTTGAGGGGCTTTTGAGTTACCAAGAGATGTCAGGAAGGTATCCAAGTGGAAAAACTTATTTTTGTGCCACTTTAGAGATTAAATGGAGAGAATTATGACACTGAAAACATCTTTTGTCAACTAAAGACACTCTTCCGTTGGATTATCACCTTATCAATTGATAGGAAATATTTTTCCATCATTATTTAATGACAACGAAAATCTTTCTTAGGTAATCCAGCGTACTTAACATAAATGGTCGTTTGTTAAATACCTGAAGCACCATAAGCACAGCTGGGTTAGCATTACTTTTAGTTTTCAGAATAAAGTCAGTCAGCAGGGGTGTGATGTGTGTTTCAAAACATCTTGTTTTCATGTACTTTGCAATGTATGTACGTGCCATGTTCCCAATTTCATGGCAAAGCAGTCACTTAAATTAAGCTGGATACAAGCTAGCTTAGAGCATGTCTCTTACTTTGGCAGTATTTTTGGCAGGTTTCACTGAAAGTCTCGGGTCTCATTAAAAGTTTTGTCAGTAGCAATCCTCTATTATTGTTGTTGTTTTTTATGCTTGCTCTGCATGTAGCTTAATTTAGTAAAAATTCTCAGATTTGCTTCTCTTCTGAAATCCACCCTCTGCCTTTGTCACCCACGGCAAACCAACTCTACCCTCTACCCAAAGAGTGAAGTCGTTCTCCAAATTCAAGTATTGATAGCACAATAGTAATGGCTGCCAATTATTAAGTGATTTTATTTGCCAGGTACTTTATGAACATGATTTAATGTAATCCTCAGGAAGACCCAGTGGAATAGGTAAATTATTAGAACATGTTTACAACTGAGAAATAAAAGAAGCACAGAGATGTTAAGTTGGCTCATCCAAATAGAAAATGGATTCTATTATTACTTCCTATTCTTAAATTAATTGATTAGCTCCTATAGGCATTGAGAAAGACAGTCTTTGTACCTTTGGGGAGTCATCCTCTCTGGGGTCTGGTACTGTGTGCAGTGGTTTTTAACAGCTGGAGGACTGACACGCTGTCTGAGAACCAAAAGATTTATTGTGGTGAACTCCGAGACACGTGATACATGTGATGAATGTAAGGGGAAGTCACAAACCTACAGCAACCTTCTCCCATGTGCTATGTACTATAATTTGTATCCAGCTACTTCCATACATTTTTTAAATAAGCTGAATGAGAAAAGAAGGAGCCAAAAGACCACTCTATTACTAATTTGTTTTTTAAAATTCTGCTTATTGTTGGATGTTGGAGAGGCAATCATCTGAGCTAGTGTCAGGTATCAGTTTGTTATTGGTAATTGAAAACACAGTTTTCCCCTTTGGTGAAATGTAAACAAAAGGCATTTGGTTATAATCACTACTTCCAAATAAATACCAACCTAAAAGATAATGACATTTTGAGATGATCCAATCTTAACCTCACTGTGCTTAAAGTATTCAGAAACACATGTCACACAAAGCTAAAAGATCACAGCAATATGAACCAGCTTTTTAAAACTCTGAGGAGAATTAATGGAGAAAAACTTGTGTATATTTTCATTGTAATTCCTCTAGTATGTGAACTTTTATGATTTTTAAAATATTATTGACTGTGGTTTAGCTATCCAAAGCCAGCTACCCCAAAACATAGCTATTCAAAAATTTCACTCTGATACTTGAAATTTCACTTTTAATGTGGTATTTGTTTGAAATATAAACACCTCTGGTGTAAGTAACAAAATATAGATGCCCCTCAATTTGCAGTGGAATTATCTCCTGATAAACCCATCGTAAATTTAAAATATCATTAAGTTGAAAAATGCATTTAATACACCTAACGTACTGAACATTATGGCTTAACTTAGCCCACCTTAAACATGCTCAGAACACTTACATTGGCCTACCGGAGAGGAAGATCATCTGGCCACACAGTTTGCCATAAGGTAGCAGTTGTTCATCCTCATGATTGCATGGCTGACAGAGCTGTCCCAATACCCTGTATCATGCAAGGATATTGCTAGCCCAGCAAAAGATCAAAATTCAAAATTCAAAGCCTAGTTTCTACTGAATGTATATTGCTTTTGCACCATCATAAACTCATGAAAAGCCAAACCATCATAAACCAGGGACCTTTTGTAAATGTGGCTAAATTGATTTCATTATTTTGACTGGGGCAGCAGAAGGGTCATTGGTACGGAAAAGCATTCCAGAAAGAAAAGTAAGGATTGTTAAAGACAAACTTTGCTCACTGTGAGTTGGCCTGAGTTGGTCCTTTGTGAGTGACAGTGAATTGCCCGCTGAATAAGGAGTGAGGAAAGGCAGCATCTGACAAGAGAGACAGTTTCCAAACCCATCATTATGGAGACATGTAGTACACCATGGGAAACTCACCGAACTCAGAGCTAGATAGTTTTCCTTCTACTTCTTTGAGAACCAACAGCCCCAAAACAGGAAGAAGAAGTTCCTCTTTCCACTGTCCCTCTGTATCTTTCCAGGGTGTCTTTGCTGAGTTCCAAATAGAGAACACATTTATATAATGGCACCTCTCATAATGGGGCTTTAATAGAGAAATATGAGAAAAAGAAATACATGCATATACACTTCTAGATATTATAGTACATCTATAGATGTTATTTTGGAAACAAAATAAAGATGTTATTTTGAAAACAAAATAAAGATGTTATTTTGAAAACAAAATAAAAGTAGGAATGTATGTTTTGATCATAAAATTGCTCCTAATTTAGTAATTCATCTTCCAATCAAGTTATGATTTTAGATCTATCAAAAAATAATATGTATGTATTACCTTAGTAGAACAAATCCAATTCTATTTGGGGGAGTTCAAGTGTGTCTTTTTTTGTTAGTGGTGCTGGTCTTTCAAACATTGTCTATAAACAACTAATAGAGAAAACTGATTGAATAAAATGCATTTCTAGAAGAAATAAGTAGCTTTAGATTTCTAAATTACAGAGCACAGTTCTTCTTCTCTGTCAAGCCCATTCAAACATGTCATACTCTTCACAGTAATCAATGCAGTCATCTTAATACTATACACTTTTCCAAATTAAGTGCTTAGATTTCATCATCTGCACCACATTGTTGAACAATTACATTAGACTTTATTCCCAATTCACATGTATCTGTAAAGTGCATTAGGCAGCCATTTGTATGTTTTAAAGAACATTGGTGTTCCAATTGCCTCTGGGTTCTATCATACTGGATTCTACCACCTTGTTCTAAGAAATTTAATTTAGCTTTCACAGCTTTGGCTTGCCTTTTTATTTTTTCAACCCAAGTTGTTCCTCCTATTTCTGAGATCCAAGTGTCTATCTTCATTCTTGCTGCCATTTCTAATTGCTTTTCAGAATTATGTACTTTTCTCAAGTTTTCAGTCATATGTTCCTTGAGTAATGTGTGGCTGTTACTTGCCCTCCTTCCCTCATTTAAAAAACAAACAAAAAAAGTTGGCAGATGGTAACTCTTCCTTTAATGATTAACCTTTAAAAAAACTCTACATAAATTTTTTTCATCCCAAATCTCAGATTTATGACTGCTTTGCCCATTTAGTGACTTACCAATGCAATATTATAATTCTCCACTTTACCTCCAGCCCTGCCCTTTGTATCTCCTCAAAAGTCTTTTGATTTATCTTCCAGATAAGGGCCTTAAATGCCCTGATAGATAGAAGAGATTAGAGGCTTTTGAGAAACAGTTGAACTATATCAATCATCAACATTTTTGGATGTGTTATTAACTATTTCCCCATACTCTGATTCTTTATTAGATGTGTCAGAACCTGCTGGTCATGATATGTTTGAACTCCACTTATCCTTACAGAATTTCTGTTAGATTGTAGAGATTATGCCACAGCATACTTAGTGTCAGAGCTTCCGGAATGCATCCCCAAATGGAGGCCCACTTTAACATCAAATGGAAAACTTTGATGTGCTCAATACCTGCTCTGTCACATACACAACCTATTTTGACAGAAAATAAACCTAAACAAAATGATGGAGACTGAAAGGGTGGGCTGCAGCCCTGGGCAAATGCAATACATTTAAGAATATGTTCTTTCAAAATATTGTTGGTGTTTTAGTTTAAATGGAACAACTAAGCATATGTAATCAAATCTTTAGTTTCTTTCTCTGCAACAACCATTGGACTGTTAATTTAGGGAAGTCAATTGCACTGATTCTACTGATTAAAATGTGGGGTATATTCAGTGATGTGCTGGAGCCAGCTTGTTAAAGTTGCTCACTAAAGTGGATTGTGTACTTCTCTTCCCAATGGTAGCTTGAAATCAGCTATGATGGGTGTATTTAAACCATGAGATTTGGCAAACATGACAAATTAGATTTTTTTTTCCAGAGTGTCAGTTGTTAAATATTTACTAGCATTCTACTAGATCCGTCTGGCTTATTAGCTACCACTGAAAGAAGCGATGTTGGTCTAAATCAGAGGGTAGGAGAAAAAAATTTGAGAGGAAATTTTCATATGTCTTATATGTCGATACTATCATCATCCCTCCTGGTGACTGTGTGGTAATATGTATTCCAGGGTCCTATTGTGACTTCAGGTTGTTGAAATTCTCATAAGCTAACAAAACAACCAAACATTCCTAGTTCTTCGAGGGTATAATTAAATTGGTTCCAGTTTGCCACCTGCAATTAACAGCTAATGAGCTAAAGAACTATATTATAAGATGTGACTCAATATCCAAATGATATACATATTTTCCTTTAGTTTTCCAGAGACCTTACAGACTAGGTCACTGTCCAACTTGTACCACAAAACCAGGAATTTATTGTATTAAAAACATATCCTATGCTTTCTAGCCTCTTATTGAACAATTCTGGTGATCCAGAGCACACAGCTTTTTGAAATAGCGCATTTCATTTTGCAGCTTTAATTGTTAGAAAGCTCTTCCTAACATTGAGCAACCTGCTGCCATGTGACCCGAATTCTGCCCCATAAGTACACAGAGTAAATCTTCCCTATTTTCCGAATTCTGGCTGTTTGAAAGCAATGGTGATGGACATGCAAATATTTGAAGAAAGCTTATGGGCTCTATATGTTTCTGTTCTGCAGGATTAAACATCCTTGGTTCTTTCCACTGATCCTCCTGGGGCATGGCTTTTAGGCTCTTTGTTGCCCTGGTTTCCTTCCTCTGGATACAGGGCTATTTATGTCTCCTTTATAATATGGTACTTGACCTGGACATGGTGCTCCAGGAATATGTTACGTTATCTTCTCCCAAGTTCGGGATGTTCTTTCCATGGAATACACTAAGGATATAGTGGCTTTTGGACTGTGATCAATTTTTTTTTGTTCTTAGTAAGCTGGTGGTAAGCAAAAAACAAACAAACAATAAATAAGCTAAACTAAACAAAAAACAAGCAAACAAAACTCAGATCTTTTAAGCCAACTCTGCATTATGATATAAACCAAAATTTTGTAACATCTCCATGGCAAAAGCCCTCTTTAGTGCTAGACATGGCCTGTAGAGAGTGATCAATAAAGTTTTGTTACATTTAATTTCAATAAACTTGGTCTTGTCATCTGTAGATGTGATAAGCTTGCCTTTTAGGTCTTCATCCAGGTTATGGACTTAAAATTGCATTTAACAAAACAGGGCCAAGTTTAGGATATCCTCTCAAGGTAGCTATCCTCAAGAGTAAAAGGAGAAGCACCCCACCATGACCCCCAGGGAGAAACATTGCCAGGGTGCGCCACTGCTACTGATAGGATGTATAGATGCCGTTATCCTTCATTCCTGGCCTCCTTGTTGGTACAAAAGAGGCTGAGCATCACTGGTATTAGAGGCATTTTTACTGCTCAGCTAACTAAAAGTCATATATCCAACCATATTCTTATTAATCAGATTACATTCCATTTTCCACATGAAGAGCATAAGAAATTCTGTCAGAGTGAAAGAATGGGAAATTCTCAGAACTATATTCTTGTCTTAGAGACAAAATAAGAAATTCTCTGGCCGGGCAGGGTGGCTCGCACCTGTAATCCCAGCACTTTGGGAGGCAGAGGCTGGAGAATTGCTGGAGGCCGGGAGTTAAAGACCAGCCTGGGCAACATAGTGAGACCCCTTCTCTACAAAATAATTTAAAATTTAGCTGGGCAGTTGCATGTGCCTGTAGTCCCAGCTACTTGGAAGGTTGTGATGAGTGCATCACTTGGGCCCTGGAGTTCAAGGTTGCAGTGAGCTATGATTGTGCCATTGTACTGTAGCCTGGGTCCCAGGCGACAGAGTGAGATTCTGGGAAAAGAAAGAAAGAGAGAGAGAGAGAGAGAGAGAGAGAAAGAGAGAAAGAGAAAGGAAGGAAGGAAGAAAGGAAGCAAGGAAGGAAGGAAGGAAAGAGAGAGAGAAAGAAAGAGAGAGAGGAAGGAAGGAGGGAGGGAAGGAAGCAAAGAGAGAGAGGAAGAAAGAAAGAGAGAGGAAGGAAGGAAGGACGGAAGGAAAGAGAGAGGGGAAGAAAGAAAGAGAGAAAGGAAGGAAGGATAGAGAGGAAGAAAGAAAGAGAGAGAGAGGAAGGGAGGAAGGAAGGAAAGAGAGAGGAAGAAAGAAAGAGAGAGAGAGAAAGGAAGGAAGGAGAGAGAGGAAGAAAGAAAGAGAGAGAGAAAGGAAGGAAGGAAGGAAGGAAAGAGAGAGGAAGAAAGAGAGAGAGAGAAAGGAAGGAAGGAAGGGAGGAAAGAGAGAGAGGAAGAAAGAAAGACAGAGAGGAAGGAAGGGAGGAAAGAGAGAGAGGAAGAAAGAAAGACAGAGAGAGGAAGGAAGGAAAGGGAGAGAGGAAGAAAGAGAGAGGAAGGAAGGAAAGGGAGAGAGGAAGAAAGAAAGAGAGAGAGAAAGGAAGGAAGGAAGGAAAGAGAGAGGAAGAAAGAGAGAGAGAGAAAGGAAGGAAGGGAGGAAAGAGAGAGAGGAAGAAAGAAAGACAGAGAGGAAGGAAGGGAGGAAAGAGAGAGAGGAAGAAAGAAAGACAGAGAGGAAGGAAGGGAGGAAAGAGAGAGAGGAAGAAAGAAAGACAGAGAGAGGAAGGAAGGAAGGAAGGAAAGAGAGAGGAAGAAAGAGAGAGAGAGGAAGGAAGGAAGGGAGGATAGAGAGAGATGAAGAAAGAGAGAAAGGAAGGAAGTAAGGGAGGAAAGACAGAGAGGAAGAAAAGAGAGAGGAAGGAAGGAAAGAGAGAGTGGTGTTAAGAGAGAGAGAAAGGAAGGAAGGAAAGAGAGAGGAAAACAGAAAGAGAGAGGAAGGAAGGAGAGAGAGGAAGAAAGAAAGAGAAAGGAAGGCAGGAAGGAAAGAGAGAGAGGAAGAAAGAAAGAGAGAGAAAGGAAGGACGGAAGGAAGGAAGGGAGGAAAGAGAGAGAGTAAGAAAGAGAGAGAGGAAGAAGGAAAGAGAGAGAAAAAGGAAGGGCGGAAGGAAGGGAGGAAAGAGAGAAGAAGAAAGAAAGAGAGAGAGGAAGGAAGGAAGGAAGGAAAGAGAGAGAGGAAGAAAGAAAGAGAGAGAGAGGAAGGAAGGAAGGAAAGAGAGAGAGGAAGAAAGAAAGAGAGAGAGAAAGGAAGGAAGGAAGGAAAGAGAGAGAGAAAGAAAGAGAGAGAGAGAAAAGGAAGGAAGGAAGGAAAGAGAGAAAGAAAGAAAGAGAGAGAGAAAAGGAAGGAAGGAAGGAAGGAAGGAGAAAGAAATTTTCAGGACTAGAGCACTGGTTTTCCAACTGTAATCCATGGGGTCTGAGATTAGGGACCAGGGCAGAAAGCCCAAGATGCAGATCTCATTCTCACTTTTATCTTCCATATGTTAAGCTTCTGCGTGGAATTTTAATTGAAAAATGGACACATTCCCTGTAGTAAACTTAGGCAATAGTCTAATAATTACTGCTCTTTTTTGTCACATGTACAGAGACCATCTTTTTAAGTATTTTTTTCTAGAATATTGTTATTCAGAACTAGCTTTTTTTTAAAAAAAATTGTTCTCACTTTGATTATCTTGTAATTCTTTACTCCATGACTCTTCAAAACTGTTACACTGCACAACCATAACTTCAAGCTGTTTCATTGCCTCAAAACATAAATTGTCTGGGCCTGGAGATTCTTCCATAAAACAGCGGAGTCCTCTTTCGCTGTCTCCTCACCTCCCTTTTGCTTTAAATCCTTCCTGACATGCCTGTTCTCACATTTTTGGTTTGAAGGTTTTTCTTTTTGAAAAAGACTATGGAATCTGAATAGGAAGTAAATAATTCTGCTTTGTGACTTTGTACCTAGCCTTCCTTTTCATGTCTATTCTCTCTTCCACCCCACCACTTCAATAACTTGCACATATATTTTGTGCTCTTACAACATTATATCATATTTATTACACGGTCATCTCCCCCAGCAGACTGGAACCTCCTTATATGGCAGAACTGTTGTACATCTATAAAACTCCATACCTAGTACAGTGCTTGGCAATATGCCATAGTGATTAAGAATATTCACTTATTCATTTTAAAAATGTATTAATCAATTACTATGGGACTGGTAATTATCAAGGTGCAAAGGATACACTGGTAAACAAGACAGATGCCATCTCTGCTCTCAACATGCTCACAGTATGATAGGGGAGATAAACATTAAATCAATCACCAAAGCTAATATAGTCTTACAACACTAGACCACAGGCTATACAGATTTCTCAGGCCAGGATAAATAAGTTAAAAGTCAGCTGAGAAAATCAAAAGAGTAATACGTTAGCTCAACCAGCTTTATCTGATGTCCTCTCCATTAGAAAGGCCACCTCCACATGCCCAAAAAGTAGGACCCAAAGGAAATACTAACTGGTGAGATGTTGTATCTTTGGTTTGCTCTCTGTTTTCTTCTTTCCTGAGCTCTTGCTTTCTGTGTCTGAATCATATCCTTTCTTTCTTTCTTTCTTTTTTTTTTTTTTTTTTTTGAGACAGAGTCTCGCTGTCACCCAGGCTGGAGTGCAGTGGTGTGATCTCAGCTCACTGCAACCTCCACCTCCTGGATTCAAGCAATTCCCTTGCCTCAGCTTCCCAAATACCTGGGACTGCAGGTGCCTGCCATCAATCCTGGCTAGTTTTTGTATTTTTAGTAGAGACAGGGTTTCACCATGTTGGCCAGTCTGGTCTTGAACCCCTGAGCTCGTTATCTGCCTGCTTCAGCCTCCCAAAGTGCTGGGGTTACAGGTGTCAGCCACCACGCCCAGCCCATATCCTTTATTTCTGAGTGAGCTATTTCTAGGGAAGCTTATTCTGCTCTTTTATCTCTTGCCCCACAGCACTGAGATCAGCTCTTAGAGTGTACTGCCACGTTGTCTTTTTTTGTTTCCTTTTGTTCAGTTTTTCTACCATTGCTCTTAAGAATTTTTACTCCAACTGGTCTTGAAAGCATGGCTCAAGCTTTGGAGTCAAATAAACCTAAGTTTGATCTTCAACATCATCATTAATTGGCTATTTAGCTAGACTTTGGCAAATTATATTCTCCGAACTTCAATTTTCTCAACTACAAAAAAATTTTACTTTATAAGATTGTCATGCAAATTAGGTGAGATAATTTATATACAGTATGGAACTTAATGGCTAGTATTTACTATATGGCAGCTTAGGTCATTCTCAACATCATCATCCTTATTATAATATGCAGTAATCAGTGTCTGTGAAGTTGAATTAGTTTTTCACATTCTTGTTTCTGGAAATCACTCTCTTTTTCACACGTGTGAATAATTCAGTAATGACCAGAAAATTTTGTTAGTAAACATAGCTTTTAAGTGCTAAAAAGAAGTGTTTTTATTTTTGTTTTTTGTTTTATTTTGTTTTGCCCTGGCATTTTAGTCAATCTATACTTTTAGTATTGTTTCTCTCTTCTAATCATTTTATTAGTTGAATTGAATTAGGTGTTTGGGGGCCCTTGATGGCACCAAAAATTTCATCTCATTAAAATTTATGGAAGAACTCATTCACAACATGATATGGTAAAAACAAACAAAAAGTTGAGCCTTGATTTTTATTTGGGATCCCTATATTTGGCTCAAAGCTGTCTGGGTATCATTCCACTGATTCTGACAGTAATGTGTCCCATCCCTCAGGTATGTTTAGATGGGCAAAATGATTTATTTCTATAGGGCTTTGGGAATGGTTTTCTCACAGTTATCAGTGCATACGAATCTGCAAAATTAAGATGTTTGGTTTCCATCTGTCAAAAAAAAGTTATAGTGGTTTTATTTGTAGAGAGTCTGAACAAGTTTACACAGTGGCTTAAGAACTAAGTCCATCTTAAGTGTCATCATTGAAACCAAGCATACACACATGTGCATGCGTGCCCACTCACACATGCCCACCCCACACATACATACACACAGGGGCCTTGACCTGGAGATCCTAACAGTACAACATAGATACATGCATACAGAGATAGGATAAACATAAAATAAAGATGATTAAGTCAAATCATAAATTAAGTCAGTATTCATCACCTGTAAACTAGCTAAGCCAAATGGCAAAGAAGAATTTCTCTCTGGATAACTGCTATTTATCTACTTTTAGCTCTTCAATTATGGACCAAGACAGGGAGTGATCCCATGCAAGTTCAATCATCTGGATAATTTATAGGTCAATGACTGTATCATGCTCTGTCCTATCTCAGGCCTTTGAAACTATTGTTGCTCAGCATGGAATGCCTTCTGTCACCACTGTTCATTTAACTGCTACTCTATTTTCAGATTTGAATATTGAAGTCTTCCCACTTCACCCCACTGCCAGCCCCACTGCCACCCTCCTACATAACCCTCAAATGCCCCATGTTCACCCTAAGCTAGGAAATCCTTATGAACTAGGTTAAAATTACTAGACTCCTTGTCTCTTTACTCCAGTTCATTGGGATCAAGGGCTGTATGTTGTGCACCAGTACACCTAATGCCTGATTCCAAATAATCATAAAAGATTGTTCAGTACCTGTTAAGTGTATTAAAAGAATAGATATATGTAATTATTACTACTTTTAAGAGCACAAGCTGTAGAGTCACATAGTAGGGTCGTAACTTGATGCACATCCTCATTACTTGCAATCTTGGGCAAATTATTTAACATTCCTGTGCCTCATTTTCCTCATCAGTTAAATGAATACAATGATAGTATTTGCCTCATGAGATGTATATGATCCTAAATGAACTAATGCAGGTAAAGTGTTTAGAACAGTGCCTGGCACACAGATGCGAAAGCTGTTATTAATATTATGTCATATCTGCTTCTACCACTTCTTTAACCCCCACCTGCAATTTCTCTTTCTTTCACACTCAAGAAAACACAGAAATAAAAACAGATTTAAGAGTCAAGGCTATTTGGTAATCTCTTTAAATCACATTTTTTGCAGACTTGCTTTGAGCTCTTGGGGAGGCAACATTATTTTTTTGAAAAAAAAAGAAAAAGAAAACACTACAGGAGAAATGATTCAAGTCCCAGATTGGCAGTATCTACTTGAGAAGAGAGCATTCATTTGAAAGTGCTGGTTATCCTATCAACAGACTAGCTTTTAGACACATTGTGTTTAATTCCATGTTAAATTCCCAGCTTTGTCTTGAGTACCATAGAAAACTCATAATCTATCTGTGAGATATAAAGAAAAGCATACTGAAAGAGGAGTCAGGAAATTGGGCTCTGTAAGTATGTCTTAGAGAAGTTACAATTAATTTAAGCTTCATTAATGCATGAAATAAGGATGTTGCATTTGACTAACTAAAGTCTGAACATTTAATGATTCTATTTGAGATAGAAAAAAAGATTTTAAAGGTAGCATCATGTCAAGAGGAAAAAAATGGACAAAATGAATACCACTGTGAATGAAGATGGGTTGTATTAATAAAGAAAACGAGGTTTAATGGACTCACAGTTCCATTTGGCTGGGAGGCCTCTCAACCATGGCAGAAGGTCAAAGGCATATCTTACAAAGGCACATGGAAGCTGTCAAGGCTTGGGGCTTGCACCCTCTGAAGCCATGCCCCGAGCTGTAACTTCACCCCTTTTAGCCATGGCTGGAGCAGCTGAGACACAAGGCACCACATCCCTTGGCTGGACATAGCAGGGGGGCCCTGGGCCAGGCCCAGGAAACCATTTTTTCCTTCTAGGCCTCTGGGACTGTAATGGGAGGGGCTGCTGTGAAGGTCTCCAACATGCCCTGGAGACATTTTCCCCACTGTCTTGATGATTAACATTCAGCTCTTTGTTACTTATGCAAATTTCTGTGTCAGGCTTGATTTCTCCCCAGGAAATGGGTTTTTCTCTTCTATTGGATTGTCAGGCTGTGCATTTTTCAAACTTTTATGCTCTGCTTCCTCTTGAATGTTTTGCTGCTTTGAAATTTCTTCCACTAGATAACCCAAATCATCTCTCTCAAGTTCAAAGTTCCACATATCTCTAGAGCGGGGAAAAAATCCACCAGCCTCTTTGTTAAAGCACAGCAAGAGTCACCTTTGCTCCAGTTGCCAACAGGTTCCTCATCTTCATCTCAGCCCACCTCAGCCTGAACTTGATTGTCCATATCACTATCAGTATTTTGGTCAAAGCCATTCAACAAGTCTCTAGGAGATTCCAAACTTTCCCACATTTTCCTGTCTTCTGAGCCCTCTACATCTCTAGGAAGTTCTGAACTTTCCCACATTTTTTTCTCTTCTTCTGAGCTCTCCAAACTGTTCCAACCTCTGCCTATTACCCAGTTCCAAAGTTGCTTCCACATTTTCAGGTATCTTTACATCATCACCCTACTCCTGGTACCAGTTTACTGTATTAGTCTGTTCTCATGCTGTTGGCAAAGACATACCTGAGACTGGGTAATTTATAAAGAAAAAGAGGTTTAATGGACTCACAGTTCCACGTGGCTGGGGAGACCTCACAATCATGGCAGAAGATGAAAGGCACATCTTACATGGCAGCAGGTGAATAGGGAATGAGAACCAAGCTAAAAGGGTTTCCCCTTATGAAACCATCAGGTCTCATGAGACTTATTCACTATGGTGAGAAAAGTATGGGAAAAACCACCCCCATGATTCAATTATTTCCTACTGGGTCCCTCCCACAACATGCGGGAATTATGGGAGCTACATTTGGTTGGGGACACAGCCAGACCATATCATGCATCATGGAGGAAAGGAGTCAGCAAGAGTAAGTGAGGCAATCCTGGCTGACTGCCTCCATTTATTCACACTAGCTCTTGAGAGGGTAATTGATGTGAGTGGGTGGACAAAATTAGGGAGCTCATTGACTTTTTCCCCTAAAATGCATTTGGAAATAATCTATGTAGTGCTCTGATTTTAAAGAGCATTTGAACTCAGTAGTTTTGGCCTGGTTTTTAAAGAAGCAAATGGGCACAGACTGGAAGAAAAGACTGGGGAAGGACTTCAAGGGGATAGCAGGGAATAGGAATATGTCTCGAAGGCTACACACCAAACCAGAAACTGTGAGGAGGAGAGGATAGGCCAGTGACCAGCCTAAGCTAGAGTATCTCCAGTCTTTATTAGAAATGATAGAGATGATATTGAGATGATGAAGACAAAACCCTGCCAGCTCACTTCAATGTTAATGTCAGATTTTGAAAATCTAGATTAGAAAACTTATAGTTTATTGAGCAAGAGTGAAACAGTATGTAGCTCTTTTTTTTTTTTTTTTTTTTTTTTGAGACAGGGCATCACTCTGTCACTCAGGCTATATTATAATGGTGCAATATTGTCTCACTGCAACCTTTGCCTCCCAGGTTCAAGTGATTCTCGTGCCTCAGTCACATGAGTAGCTGTGATTACAGGTGTACCCCTCCATGCCTGGCTAATTTTTGTATTTTTAGCAGAGATGTGGTTTTGCCATGTTGCCCAGGCTGGTCTCGAACTCCTGACCTCAAGTGATCTGCCTGCCTCCGTCTACCAAAGTGCTGTGATTACAGGCATGAGCCACCACAGCTGGCCAGATTCTTAATTAAATTTTTATTTTGAAATGAAATTCCTTATTCTAATTTTAGTATGCAGGAATAAGAGATGCAAATTTTACTTCTAAGGGCACTTATATTTGGAGTAAACTGAATCTGCAGTTCATATGACATACAGTTGTTTGTTTTTTAATTCTTAGGCACGAATTGGTTATTCATGTTGCCCTAAAAATTTTGATGTTTTTAAATATTTGCTAAAATCTTACTACATGTTGACTTTTAGATTTCATATATTATCTGATAACAACCATTTTTTAAAAATTAGGCTGATAACCATTTTTAAAAAATAGAGGTGGCTCATGCATGTAATCCCAGCACTTTGGGAGGCCAAGGCAGGTGGATCACCTGAGGTCAGGAGTTCGAGACCAGCCTGACCAACAGGATGAAACCCCATCTCTACTAAAAATACAAAAATTAGCTGGGCATGGTGGCAGGCGCCTGTAATCCCAGCTACTCAGGAGGCTGAGGCAGGAGAATCACTTGAACCTGGGAGGCTGAGATTGCAGCTAGCCGAGATTGTGCCATTGCACTCCAGCCTGGGAAACAGAGCTAGACTCCATCTCAAAAAAAATAATAAATATAAAATAAAATAAAAATAAATCAATCTCTGTTGATATAAAATGGAGATTTTGTTGTTGTAATGTTACCAACTGCACAAGTAAGCATAAATATTACAGAACGTGGAGATTAAGTAGGAAGTATTAAAGGGAATCATGCTACCCAAGTCCTGGGTGTGCTACATGTGCTGAGGAGTCAGGACTTTGCTGAGGTTCACAGAGACAAGCCAAGAATTAATGAAAACAAACCAAAGTGCCATACAGTGGTAAGATGTAAAAGGGAACACTTCCTTTCTGTTACTACAGCTTTACCTATCACAGAGGATCGAGTGTATGTTAGGCAATTATAACTTGAATTCCTTAGAAAATCAGATCTTTACAGCTAAAAACATGCAGCTTGTTACAAATAACAATTAACAAAAACGACAAACACAACCAGTCAATGTGACATCCTACTAGTGGCTATCACAGTTTAAACAATACATATGTAAAGAAATGCCAAGGAAGGAAATAAATTTTAGATTATACCAAGAGACAAAACCCAATAAAGAGGAATGTGTACCTTTTCATGATCACAGATTTTAACTCTGAAACATATATATATATATAAATAAAATATATATATTTATACCTTATAAAGTATTCATATATATATAAATACTTCTGAATATATATATATATATATATATATATATATATAATTTGTTTATTTATTTAAATAGGGTCTCACTCTGTCACCCAGGCTGGAATGCAGTGGTGCAATCATGGCTCACTGCAGCCTGACCTCCCGGGCTCAAGTGATCCTTGCACCTCAGCCTCCCAAGCAGCTGGGACTACAGGCACCCACCACCATGCCCAGCTAATTTTTGTGAATTTTTGATAGAGATGGGGTTTCATCATGTTGCCCAGGCTGGTCTTGAACTCTTGGCCTCAAGCAATCTGCCCACCTTGGACTCCCAAAGTCCTGGGATTACAGGCACGAGCCACTGCACCTGGCCTTTGTGATATATTTAGTATATACACTTGCTAGTGTGTTATTTCCTCTATGAAAGTTTCTCTGCTTGAGGGCAAAGTCCAATCTTCTATTTGTTTTTTAATACATTCAGAGTTTTCCAGTTTGAGGATTTTTTCTAATAAAAATTCTTATCTGAATGTTAGACTTTTTCCTGTAAAGATGAGACAATGATGTCTGATGTTGCAAGTATTTTAAGTGTGTGATGGATGAACTGTTGTTAAGCTCACCAAGCATAGTAATAATTATAATTAATAAATTTTAGGAAGTGATAAATTTAAATATGAAAGAATTAAAATCCCTTCTGTATTTAGAACTTCCATGATTTTTCTCATGGAGTTTCTGCATTAATTCTATGCTGCTCCTCAGGGTAGATATCTTGCTCATATTCAGAGAAAACTTCTTTTTCTAAATGCTTTTTTATGAAGGAAACATAACGTGATACAATAGTAAGAAATGAAGTACTTATTCAGGGCTTACTGATGGATGAGATTAATTTAGAGAAGAAATATAAATAGAAGCAGACTAATCATGTGTATGTGAGACCGTTTCCACATGAGCTATTATGCAGAAGGTACCATTTTGGGTGAGGGTTTGTGTGAACTCCTCTGAGGGCAGAGTTTATTGTTTCAGCTGTTGGTTGCTGAGAGCTTGAGGGCCCTGCCCTCTGTTCTTTGTCTTACTAAGAGCATGCTGACCTGACTGATTACTTCATATCAAGCCCTCATTCTTGGAATGTTCTGTAGAATAATCATATTTGTAATCCCTGTAGCACAGTGCAGCACACCTTTATTTCCTGGTGTATGGTTTTGCTGGAACTCAAAAGACAGAGTTGTTATTTCAAGGACAACATATTTGCTGAGTTAGGTGGTGATGGCTTCCACAAGGATGCTATTATCTCTGAACAAGGACACATTTATTCCAACATTGGAGCTGCCTATCATGAAATGAGTCTAAAGATAGTTTTCACTGATGAGCATTTGTAACCTTTGGTGTTTTTCACATAGCACTCTCTAAAAGCTCCAACAACTGTAGCTCCTAACATTAGGAGTTTATGAGTTCCAATTAACAGTCTTCTGTTACCCGTACATTTAAAAGCCTAACATTTTGATGCCTTTATTTTTCTTTCTGTGATTTCTCCTAAAGATTAAAAAAATGATCTAACAAACACTTGTTGATTATGAGGACATGATGATATATAATAGTTCATTCTCACCCAGTACAAACATACAGATTTTGTACCCTGCCCTTAATGAGTCTCTTATTTGCTGCTTTGTGTTTTTAGATGACTAAGAATGGCACAGTAGAATCAGAAGAAGCCAGCACTCTTACACTGGATGACATTTCTGATGATGACATTGACCTGGACAACACAGAGGTAGATGAGTACTTCTTCCTACAACCTTTGCCAACAAAAAAACGAAGAGCTCTGCTGCGTGCCTCTGGAGTGAAAAAGATTGACGTGGAAGAAAAGCACGAACTCCGAGCCATCCGCCTCTCACGAGAGGACTGTGGCTGTGACTGCCGAGTGTTCTGTGATCCAGACACGTGCACCTGCAGCCTGGCTGGCATTAAGTGCCAGGTAAGGGTTGGGAATTCAGGGCATCCAAAGACAAGACATTGTCTACCACCCCCTAAGGAGGCAGTCATGGTACCTATAATGAAGCTTCCCACATGTAAAAGAAAATTTTTTGGCAAGGCAAGACATGTAATTCAGGAAGAAAGACATAATTCAGGAAGAGAGAAAGACTAATTTAAGGCCATTCATGGGAATACATAAAATGCTTATACATATAACATATAATCTGAAAGACAACCCAAGTAGCAGCTGAGTTAATTAAAATTATTTTATCTTGGATTCTTGTATTATATCACCTTATTTCAGCTTTTTACCAATGTTGAAGGAGATCATGACATCCCTAACACTGGAGTGTGTATTTTCTGATCCATCCATGGGATATAAAATGATGATTGATTAAAGGTGGTTGGATTAGTGGAAAAATTACTAGATTGAGACTGCAGAAAATGAAATTGTACTTCCATCTTTGCTGTTTGCCAACTATATGAAATTGGCAAGTCAGGCCCACTGGGTTACTTTCTTTATCTCTAAAATGAAGGAACCGAACTAGGTCAGGGGTTGGCACCCTATAAGTTCACAGGCCAAATCCGACCTTGCCACATGATTTTGTAAATAAAGTTTTATTGGATCACAGCCACATTTTTTTCTTTACATATTGCCTATGACTGCTTTCTTGCTCCTACAGCAGAATTGAGTATTGTGGTTGCCACAGAGCCCATATGGCCCACAAAGCATAAAATATTGACTCCTTTGACCTCTGCAAATAAAAAGTTTACCAACCCCTGATGACTGGCAATCAGATAATTTCCTGGTCCCCCTTCATTTATAATGTCATTGGTGCGCTATGATTAGTGTCACTATTTTATGCAGAAACTTGGCTTTTTCAATAAGGAAAGCAACTCAGGTAGTCAAAAGAAGAGGGCAGTGCCTATCTGCTGAACAGTTGCTTAAGATGGGTTCACAGAAAGATTCATGAGTAAAAAAAAAAAAAAAATACAGATACAAATTCTGGCTCTAATATCTGCTATACTTTTTACTGGGGCCAAGATGATTGTATTAGAATAGTCTGCCTTCTCTTCTTTAGCATAGGAAATTCCATGGCTGGATAAGGTGACAAGCAGAGCAAGTTTTTTTCTCTTGCCTATACTCTGGTCTGCATACAGATTAATCTGTGGAATCTGAGACAATTGGTAAATCTCTCATGAATACCCTTGGATTGTCCAGAACCCCACCTCTCACCTGAGTGAAGAGGTCAGTCCAACACTTGTTGAACCCAAACACTCTATCTTCGGTATCCAATCACCAAAATAGTTTTGGAATATTGATGAAACGTACATGCCCTTCCTTCAAGAAGATTGTATCTAATGGAATGGAGAGGGAAGGGGGGACTCAGGACCTAAACACATGAGTCCCCCAGTCATAGTCATGAATGTGCATATCCATTGCAGCGCTCCAGTACAGTACACACACATGCACCCATGTACCAAGCACCCCAAACAATAAGAAGGTAAGCAAATGAGAGCAAATTGTGAGGTTGCATGATGCTAAGTTGTGTAAGTCCATTTTATAATAAGCAAAGGGAAAAGCACCTTTATAATAAGCAAAAGCAAAAGGAAAAGTTAACATGGGGTACATCATATATGTTAGATTAATAGCATGTGGAGAGGAGTACAGTAAGTTTGCTTGTTTAAAATCAGGCACAAGAGCTGGGGTGCAGCAGAAAGAAAAGGAACTTGGGGGAAAGACAGGAGCATTCAAAACATGGGAGCAAAATTAAAGAAGTGGAGGGAAGGGAAAGTAGGGAATACAGAAAAAAGGGTAGAAAGCCATGGAGTGGGTCAGTGAACTGAAAATACACACTTATGCCCATAACCCATTTTTATTTTGAATATAGGTATAAAAAGCAGTTAACTCTTATGTTTTAAGCCCTCACTTTCCCCTTTTCATTTCTATTTGAAGTTTGGTTGTCATTTGCTCTGGCATATGTGGAATTAAGTGGATGGATTACTTAATTCAAAGAAGTTACTGAAAAGTTCTGGGCGTTTATTTGGTTTGTAATAGTTCCATGGTGCTAATCTGTGTTCTTCCTTCCAAGGTGGATCGTATGTCTTTCCCATGCGGCTGCACTAAAGAAGGATGTAGTAACACAGCAGGTAGAATTGAATTTAATCCTATCCGTGTTCGGACTCACTTTTTGCACACAATAATGAAACTTGAACTGGAGAAAAACCGAGAGCAGCAAATCCCCACGCTGAATGGCTGCCACAGTGAGATAAGTGCTCACAGTAGTTCTATGGGCCCTGTCGCTCACTCCGTAGAATATTCAATCGCAGACAGTTTTGAGATTGAAACTGAGCCCCAGGCTGCAGTGCTGCACCTGCAGTCGGCTGAAGAATTAGATTGCCAAGGAGAGGAGGAGGAAGAAGAGGAGGATGGGAGCAGCTTTTGCAGCGGAGTCACAGATTCTAGCACGCAAAGCTTGGCACCTAGTGAGTCAGACGAGGAGGAGGAGGAAGAAGAAGAGGAAGAGGAGGAGGAGGATGACGATGATGACAAAGGAGATGGCTTCGTGGAAGGTTTGGGCACCCATGCCGAAGTTGTCCCTCTTCCTTCAGTTCTTTGTTATTCTGATGGCACCGCCGTTCACGAAAGCCATGCAAAGAATGCTTCTTTTTATGCCAACTCTTCAACTCTGTATTACCAAATAGATAGCCACATTCCAGGAACTCCAAATCAGATCTCTGAGAACTATTCTGAAAGAGACACTGTCAAAAATGGTACCCTTTCGCTGGTGCCTTACACCATGACCCCGGAGCAATTCGTTGACTATGCCCGACAAGCAGAAGAGGCCTATGGTGCCTCCCACTACCCAGCTGCCAACCCCTCTGTAATCGTTTGCTGCTCCTCTTCCGAAAATGATAGCGGTGTGCCCTGCAATAGTTTATATCCTGAACACAGGTCCAATCACCCTCAAGTGGAATTTCACTCATACTTGAAAGGCCCCTCCCAAGAAGGGTTTGTCTCTGCATTGAATGGTGACAGTCACATTTCAGAGCATCCTGCTGAAAATTCTTTGAGCCTTGCAGAAAAGAGCATATTGCATGAAGAGTGCATCAAATCACCCGTGGTTGAGACAGTCCCTGTTTAGTAGCTTAAATTATTCTAGGACCAACTCTTCTCTTATTTAAGGCACTGTATTTAATTGGATTTCCTGGGCTCATCATTGTTTAAACTGAAGACCAAGAAAACTTGGACGGTGGTTAATCTTCCAGACTGTATTTTGTTTTTTCCTTTCTAGCCACATGACTGTGGCATTGCACAAATACAGTCTCTGTAGGGATTTTAAAAGATTTCAGACTGTTTTGATAGAAAAAGCTAAATTTTAAAATGCATATCTCACAGTTGCCTACCTGTCAAACTGTGTGAAACCTGCCAATCTGTGTAGATCAGAGCTCCAAATTTTGGATTATCGGGCCTGTGCAAGATTGTTAACTAAGGCTGGGAAATAATAAGATTTAGAGTCCTAATTTTCAATATATCTGAAGATAATGATGACTTTTTAATGTAAAAGTAATTATTGTAAGAAAAAGATTTAATTGTTCCATGTGTATTTTATTTATGGTAGTTTAGAAGACATGTTTTGATGAAAATGAACAGCCGCATGTTCATTCAAGCTGAAGATGCATAGCTAGTTCCACAGAGCATGCCCACATGGATTGCATCTGGAATCCATTCACATTTTTATGATCATGACTGATCAGATTTGCAAATTCTTAAGGGTGAAATAGGCCTATTTTTGCTATTTTGGACAAATAAATGATTCTATATGTGCAGGTCCTTACACAGTTTTCTCTAAAGTTAAGAGTTAGGACAATCCTCTGGGGAGAGTCTAGTTCACTGCCCTCCCTCAGCTGACTCCAGAGATGGAGGTAGAAGGAATTGCCTTTCTTTTTTAAACAGCATCATCTTGATTCTTAGCTTGGACAGCACCTTTAAGCTCTACCCCCTACATCAAAATGCACTTTAGTGCCCCTTCACGGTACCTCGTGTGGGGTGGGGACTGAGAACTCTTTGAGATGAAAAAATTTAAAAAAAAATTAAAAAGATCTTTAACTATTATAAGGTTCATATAATTAATATAGAGGAATCATCCAATGATACTTATGAAGGGAAAATGACCTATTTTCCTTCACCACTCTGAGGACCTAACTCAGTAAATGCAGAGGAGGCTGAGGAAACATGGAAGAGACACGACCTCAGCAACCAGCCTTTTCTCCAGCGTGATCAATCCATCTCTACAAAATCAGTGTATAATGAGATTTCCACTTAGTGACTAGCTGATTGAAGGGGGGCCTCTACCCAAATACTCAACTAGGCCTTTCTTTTCTGAAGCATTTTGATTTGTCTTGCCTGGGACAACTAGCAGAACAGTCCAGAATGCATTGCATACTTTCTAATTACCTCACATTCTCTTATTAAAGAGAACAGATAGAAATAAAACATGCACTCCCCACCTTTAGATTACCTGCACTTGGTTCGTCGGAGGACTTCTAGGATCCCGTTTCCCTGTAAATTAATTTAGGTAACTAAATAGTGTAATTCTGCCTTTTTTTTTCCAATGCAATATGACTATGCTAAACCTGTTTCATATTTTTGACCTTCTATTGTTATATCACTTCACATGTTTTATAACTATTTGAAATGCGGACATGACTTGCTATTCAGTGACTGCATCGCTACTTATTTTTTATGTCTTTTAGACTTGGGTGTTTAGAATTATGGATATAAATATATTGTAGATCTCAATTTCTAAAAAAAATATTTTATTTAATTGAACTTAAAAATGCTTGATCTAGAGAAAGTCCTCCAGTGGAAAAGTTTCTACTAAACTTTGTTTTGGGGAAAAAATGTTTACTTGGCAGCTCTTCCACTGTGCAGTTGGTTTCTGCCCCTTCTCTTCCCCCCTACATTGGGCCAAATTTATAACTCTTAATATTAACATTAAAAGAGCTTTGGGTTTGTCTTTATGTAGGTTGCAGTAATGAGAGCAGGGTTGTTCCTTTTGAATGATTGGCCCTTTGGGCTAATCAGAATGAGGATTTGTTGAAATCTCAAATATACATATATATATATATATATATATATATATATATATACACACACACACACACATACACATATATATACACATATATGTATGTGTGTGTGTGTGTGTGTGTGTGTGTATATATATATATCCCATGTTGTCTGCAAAGTGACAGTTTTTAGTGCTTAATCTCCAAAATTTTCCCCCTACTGATACAATCTAAAGAGCACAGGCCCAAAGAGAAAATGACAAGAGGCTATTGTTCCTTCATTCAAGCACATGAAAGGATCATGTGTACTGTATTTGCTGGACCATTACAAGCTCTTGAAGGATCTGCTTGTGAAGTACTCTGAGGTTATTCTTGGAACACAGAGTGTGGGAGAGTGGGGAAGAGCCAGCTCCAGCCTGAGCAAAGCTGAAGGGTAGAATGACAGTCCAGTTTCTGAAAAGAGATATTTTAATTTTAGTTCAGCTTTATTTTCCTAAGACGATATGAAGCCTACTTTTTTATTTTTGGCTAGGTCTTTGTTTTCTAGCTTTGTTTCCAAAAGGATGCTTAAGAAAACAGAGTTTTTTTCCCCTATCCATTTATCTAGGGTAGAAAGTCACTGCCCTGTGAGAAGAATTACCCTTCCAATCATGACAGCTTCTATTCCAACTTTTCATATACCTGACTAACCTGTAAACATATCCCACAAACCACATACACAGGCTACCTATTAAAACTCTCCCATATACCTAACACATACACATGCACACACATACAAAATATATACATATCACACACTTAGAGAATGACAGATTTCAGGCAATGGCCAATAGTCAGTATTGAGTTTTTCTAACCCCAGAATCTGGTTGGGCTTTATGATCTAAAAAAATGTGGTTTAGAAAAGAGGATAATTGGTAGAGCTGTAGTTTGAAAATATCAGGTCAAAGTTGCAAACATACTTATGATGGAATCATTTCATTTTTAGTTCCTTTCCCAGAAAAGCTGAGAGAGCACACTGTTCCAGCTGACTTTTTTTTCCATTAATAGCCGTTCTATTCAACAAAGAGCTGCCCACATGCCAGGAAAGTGCTACAGTCCTTCTAAGCTTTTAAAAATGGGGATCAAGCTACATGCAGCCAGTTGGAATACTTAAGATCTTTATGCCAAGACACAATAACCTGACCTGCAGCTGTTGTATTGCCTCCATAGTATATCTAGCCAAACTGTAGTCTTTGACACACAACTTTTTAGTCATTCACTATCAATTGCAAAGCTTCATGCTCCAGCCCTGGCTATTCTAGTACCAGTCCTATACCTTTAAATGGGACTTAATTCCCAGTTATAATCCTGGCCGAATTGATTTGAAAGTCAAGTGGCTGAAGCAGCTTGCATCTCCTTTGTCATTCCCAATTTCCTTTGGGAGAAGTCAATGAAAGAGATTTACTTAAGTTTTTCCTCCTTATCTCTTGATCATTAATTATTAAGACATGGGTAAAATTCATTTGTCTCATGTCTTTTGGTTGATTGAATAATATAGTTACTTTTTGAAAGCCCATCATTTCTTTGTGATAAAACCATTTTCTCAATGTGACAGCCACATGTAAAATGTGAAACTAATGTTTCTTAGTATGTTTAAAATCTTCACAATCATATATGGCCCTGCAATACTCCCTGAATTCCTTCCCTCCAAAAAAAAACTATGAGTTGCAAAAACACTAGTTACGAATTAATCAAGAAGCAAAGAGAGTATGTTAAGTGGCTATGTTCTTTAAAATTTTACATTCTAATAGATGACTTCTAGGCAAAATTTTGGTATGATTACCATTAAACAGGAAAACATACCATGATTTACTTTCTATAACTTGCTAATCACTGTTTCTTTTATTTCAATTTTTGATATTGTTGCACAAGTTTATGACTCTTTGGTCTTTATATTCAAAATTTATTAAGTATCAATTCTTTCTTTCAACAAATATGTACTGAACACATGCTGTGTTAGAACAACTGTCTTGGGTAGTAAAAAGAGGGGAACACTACAAATTATAATGGATAATATTAATGAAGGGTGGCATGAAATAATCAAGCTTTCTCAAATCCTCTTAATATGTGATTTTATCAAGTGACATTAGAAAAACTGACATCAGTTCTTGTCTAATTATATGTGAGCTGCAACTAAAAGATGCTTCCTTTACCTAAATTATAGAACTCACTGGATCGCCCTTCATCTCTCTCCCTCCATCTGAAATGTATGAATTAAATCAGGACTCAGCTAGGACTGAATCAAATGAAAAAGAAATTTTCGATTAATTGCTTCTTCAATGTTAGACCTATATAAGTGATGCTAAATTTACACCAGCAAACTCCTATCAGACAGTTTCAAGGAGGATTTGACTCATGCATAACCCAGGAAACATTTCAGGAAACTTTTAAGACAACAGTGTGGAACACAATCACTCTTACTTCTATTTATAAAAAGCCTATCAAAACAGCAAAATCCTGTTGCAAATTCCAAAGACATCACTTTGCAGCAGGTGGAAAACAGAGAGGTTGTTAGACTCCATCACTTTCAGCTGGAGTTACAAACCATCAAATTAGCAGGTGGAAAATTTATATTCTCAGAAGCCAACAGGAGACTGCCTTTTTAAAAGGTGTCATGAAGCCTTCTATTTCTCCAAACAACTCAATATTTCTCTTTAAAATGGCATCTCTGTTCCTTATTCTCTTGATGACAGTTTGCAGTGCCATTATAGCCAGTGTATTAAATACCAGGCTTTAATGGGAAGCACCTTTGTGCTTTCAAAGGCAAGACTTGTCTGTAATTTTAAATTAGAACTGTTGGTTGTATTCTTACCACAACCAAAACCCAAAGTTTAAAGGCTTGATTACTCTATATTAGGTCTAATATGAATTTTCACCTTCTGATTGCATTACTTTTTCTGAAATCTGCTAACTAGTGCTGGAATAACAAAAATGCCTAAGCCAAAATGCTGTAGCTCTGCACCAACAGCACAGCTCATCAGATGTTTTCTATAGTAGTAAAGAATTTGATTGACTTAATTGAATATCAGCAATTTTAATACCCACTAGAATTATGGAAGTATCAGAGTGGAAGTGAGGACGCAATAAAAGCTTAATAAGTGGTGGTGTCTTCTAGGAATTATGAAAAAAAAAGCTCAGCAGAGCTAAGCCAGATCTTATTACATCATAAAGACTAGAGTTACAAATGGCAGCCCCAAACCTAGAAGGGGCAGTTACAATGTGGACACCCTTTCAGCCCAGTTGGTGCTCACATCTGCTGACCAACATTCATATCAATTACATTTTTACAGTCTGTAAGTCATTTGATGCTTTAGAAAATAAAAACACACACCTACAGCATTCTAAAGAAACTATTTTGTTAAAAAATTTAAACACATTTTATATTAAAATAAGTGATCAATGACTTTCATGATTGTCAAAAGTAAAAAGTGCAGACATTTAAAAAAGCTCTTCTTTCACATTTTACCTACCAAATCTAGATATTCAACGTGAGTCCTTAAAACAGTCACTTCTAAATTTTATTTTGACTCCTTTCTTGGCTTTTTCAAACTGGACCATGAGACCCCCTTCCTAAACAATGCAGTTGTTTTGTTTTATTCTTTTTTTCCAGAAATTCAAGCTGAAACATTTGATATGACCTGTGTTTTACCTGGTGATCAGTTCTCAGGCTAGTCTAAGTCTGTGCTGTCTTGGCATGCCTTGGGTTTCCTATCCTGAGAGTGGTAATGCCAGTAGAATGATGGGAACCAGGAGAGTGAATACGACCAGATTCAAAGCCTAAAACAATATGTTTCAGTTTACTTTTATATGTAGATTTTTTAAATATTCACATCTAGCCTGGAATTTTAGTAAATACAGATACTTGTTGTATCCATGGGAAATGAGGTCATTTCAAAGATGTAAGTCACGTTGGTGACTACTTTCTTTTACTTGTGATAAATATATCACTATACAGGGTAATTGCTTTTATAAATTTGATCCTTTGCATTGGCTTATAATTCAAGAAATGTCAACTTCACTGTGTCACTTTATGTCATCTCTCATAAAAGTTTCTGGCAGGACTAAAGTTTCAAAGGAATGTGATAGAATTTATTTTGGATAACATTTGTATTCAGCATGCTAATGATGTAACTCCTCTCTTTATCATTACCACGGTGATAGTTAAGTTCATTCGTTAACTCATTTTAGTGACATGTGAGGCCATTTAAATATTTTTAAGATAATGTATATTGATTAGAAAGGGTTAGAAGGAGACAAATTTATGGTAGAAATTAGCCTTGCCATTGTCTAAGTTAATTTATGTGACCTGATTGAACAGTTTTAGTTGTAACTTTAGAGTAGCTTCTTTGTTAGAGGATCTCTTTCCTTTCTCTTTTGGTTTTCTCCCAATATTTTTATCTGTCTTGGGATTATCTTAAAAGGTATTTATTAATGAGTATTTGGAAGAAAATTGACCTAGAAAATGTCTCTTTTAAATTTATCTAGGTACTTGTATCACCAGAGACCTTCATCAAGTCCTACTGCCACACTGGATAAGGCCACTACCCCCGACCCTTCTTGTCAGGGACATGGCTTCCTAATAATGGTTTTGCTGTTGTCTCTACATAGGGGACCTATGGAAAAGGAGTTTGAAATTTCTACCTTTGTAGTACATTGTATCCAATTTTGTTTTGCTCCTCCTTTTCATGTGGTCACCAAGCTTTTTTCCTTAGCCATTAAAAAAGCCACCCCTCTTTAAAACAAATTTAAAGATCTATATACATTTTTGCAACTTTATTTAATAAAAAAGAGAAGAAAAAATAAAATCTAAATCTCAATTACCCTAAAGTGGAAAAACCTAAGTATCTAACCTAGGAACTTGTTGCCTGGTGGTGGTTGTTGTTGTTGTTGTTTTTTAATTTATTTAGTGTTGATCCTTGAGTTATTTAATGGTATCCAAATGATATCTGAAAGTGATTGATTTTAAGATGTAATAGTTGGCAAAGTCATTTCATTTGTGTCTCAAACAAATAAAGCCCACTGCCATGGGTTACCATCTGAACCCTGATTCATTAGGCACTAGTCATGCCAAATGGGGATCTCAGAATAGTTTAATCTTTTCAAAGATACTCACAATGGCCAACTGTGTGTGAATACTGGAAAGTTTGAGATTCTTCTATATTCTTCAAATTTATGGTCCTGAGACTAGGAGGGATCTCCAGAGGTCATATGGCTCATCGATCTACCACCAGGGAAGACTGTCACTTAGGCATGCCCAACAGGAGAGATCGCCATCTATTCTTAACATCTCTAGGGAAGGCAGTTTCCTTGGCAACACAATTCAGCTCTCTTAGGTTTTCTCACAATAAGAAAATATCTTGGCCAGTCTTTGAGGGTTAGGCACCTGGCAACAGTTGTGGTGATTTGGGCCATTGTACTAGGGGATTCAAGGGAAGTTGGGTTTCCCCCTACATTTGGTGATTATTACATTAATATATGATCATTCCATAAGTCTCCTAAGAAATCAGATTTTTAAAGAAAGACACGGATTCAGAGACAATGGTCTGTAACATGACCAACTTTTGACAAATATGGCTGTACTAGGTTTTCATTTTTGCTGTTGTTGTTGTTTGTTTTTGTGATTGCTCTTATGTCGGTAGGTAATGTCAGGAAAAGTGACTGTTTCAGATCCCCAGTACAAACATCAGAACTAGGATCAAATGACTTGACTTTTAAGCTGTTCCATTTTCTAAGAAGTTACAATTACAAAAAGTAAGCATTTTCTACATTCTTACTTCTAAGTAATGACCTTCTCATTAATCTTTCCTTGGCTTAAAATGACAAATAAGAATCCAAAGTTTTTCCACTCCTCCTGTGGGAGATAGGAATAGTTGTGAAGAGTCTGATGGAATAAAATGACTCCAGAGATTTACACAGCCACCATTTGATCCCAGCCTTTGTCCTTGTGTTATTTAAACAATGGCTTCCTGCTTTCTCAGGGGTCAGGAAAATGATTTAAAAATTTGTCTTCTTGACAAGGCCTGAAAACGAAGGGAGGTGTCGTGGAGAAATGGTGATTTTTCTGGTTACATCACTTGATTCAAGCACTCCCTGGAGCTTTCAAAGCCTTTTTTATCTGCTCAGAGTTGACACCCAACTCAGAGTCAGAACTCACCAGAAGATGAGGAACACCCCCGAAATCAATGTTTCCTTTCTCCATGGGATTTTTTTCAATCTTGGTACAGCTGCATATCTCCCAAACTCGGATGCTCTTGTGAAATGACAGCCACATCAGTGTGGTTACTCCCCACAAATAACACTAGGGGGAAATGACCTTTTTTATTTAAAAAAAAAAAAAAGGCTAATGCTATAGAATGATCATGTAAAGAATGTTGAATAAAATTTGGCCCATGTTTTAATTGACTCTAGGCACCTCTATTGAAATAAGTCTGAGGCATAGTTTGTGAAACATGTTTCAAAAGTGTTTGATGTATAATAAATGCTAGAAATTTACAGTACAGAAATAGTAAAAAAATAAAATAAAAATAAACCTGTAGATTACAGCTCTGTTCCTAAGAACCTCAGCCTTTATTGTGTCTTAGTAAAGTTGATCTGCTTTATTTTTAGTTTATTGAATTTCTGGTGTACTAGCCTCTTAAGATAGAACTTTTAATACATATGTACTGGTTAATGCCTGTTTACGCAGAAAATGGCACTTTGTTCTTTCAGTGTGTTTCCCTCAGTGTCACAGGGTATATCAATTTGATAGATCATTTGACATTTGTCAAAAATACGTTTCCCATTTTAAAAATATGTATAATTGGTTGCATAGACATATGTCACTTTTTGCAGTGTCTTCATCTTGATCATAGTTTTAGACATCAACTATGTCTCACTTTCCAACTGCCATAGAAATTTGGTACATTTGCAAATTCTGGTGGAATCTAGTGAGCTGAATGTATTGGTAGATCAAATGATCCAAAGGACTTGGGTGTTATCCTTCAGTCTGTGTTGAACCATTCAGATATTGGGAATGGTCCTTACACAAGGGAAGTCTTTTGAGAATATTTGTTCTCTTATTTTTTGTTTGTTTGTTGCTGGCAAAAAAAAAAGTAACTTTAAAAACTCAGAAAAGCCACTGAACTGTATTTTGTGACCTTATGATTAGTTTTATCTTTCAACTGATTTTTATTGTTACTTTTACTCAATATCAACAGTACTTCAATAGATATTTATTAGTTATGTTCAATCTAATGACTTAAAACAGTTGAAAAGGAGGAAAATCAACTCCAGTCCACACATACAGTCATGTTACATTAAGATGTCATGTTGTATGTCACACAGTTTCTAGATTGATTTCTCTTGTGTATAAGTTATAACATCAAAAATGCCAAAGGGTATATAAAATAAGCTACAATAATATTCAACAGAACTTAACCTGGACCTTATGTTGTAATAATTTATTCATATTAGCTGTAGTCTTCTGTATTTATATTTTCAGTATTTATTATGAATGACATGGAAATTCGTGTATTTATTGTGGCTTTTTATTGCAGTGTGTATATATATATAACAAATAAGCATTTTTAAGTCTTATCCTTAAGTTTCTTTTATTAGTGGCACTTGTATTATGCTGTACTTTTTATTACATATTGTACAATATCTTGTCCATTTGTTTGCAGCAGAGTAAAACCGGTTTCTAAGTTGTATCTACTGTTGCATTTCTGTTGCCTGTTGTGTAAAACCTTTGTTCTTACATCCTGAACTGCAATCCGTTACGCTGTCCCAGCACACACAAGGATACCTCCCTTCCACTGTGTAACAGATAATATTCTTGAAAAGTTGTGTGTGAAGTCAGTTCCTGTGAAATGGTTCATTACATTGTCATTTCAAATATGTGTTAACTTTATTGGGATTTATCCCTAAGTGAAGATGCTTATAGCACTTTACTTTCTCAGCTATTCAACCCCTTCATCAAGTGATGATGTGTAAACAAACACAAGGGCCAGAGGAGAACTCTTTATGTAAATGAAATTTGGAGGCTATTTTTACAAGGACAAATTCAATCTCTTGTAAGTAGTATCCTTTCACTTAACTGCTTAGTAGTATTTTTGTTTTGCTTTGCTTAAAGCAGAATCTGTGTGATTTGATGTTTAGAATATATGCGTGTGCATGGTACGTATATGTGCCCAACTGTTTAAAGCTACTGGCTTAAGGTAACTAAAACTTAACTTTTATTGGCAGTAGGATGAAGGAAAAAAAATTGCATTTTTTTAAATCTCCTATCATATCCAAGACACTTTCTTCCAACAACTTGTTTTATATTTAGAGACTGGATCTATATTTTTAAAAGCAAATAATAATATGTGATTTTGTGATCATCCTAAAACTCAAATTTGAACATGTTATTCACTGAATTAAACATATTTTGTGGTGTTCCCTCCTCACTGCCAACAAAACAAAATTCAGACTCCTTGGAATGCCTCACAAGGTCGCCTGAGATCTGGGTACAAGCTCTCCCTTTACTTCCCACGTCTTCTGCTGCCCACAAGAGCGGTTCCTTAGATTTCACCTGCTAGTCCATTTTCCCTGCTTCTGTTCAGCTTGTCTCTTCTGCCAAGAATATACACCCCATAAACCTATCCCGACAGCACAATTCTAGTGACCATCTATTTATTTATCAAGAGAAAACACAAATATTCTTTCCTTTATGTTGCCCTTCCAATACTCCTGAAAATCGTTTGCCTGTTGTTTTATGCAAAGCAGACATGTATTAGAGCCCCTTCGAGTCTCACTGCACTAGCTTATTTATGCATCTACTCCGCCTCAGTACTTCCTGAGAACAGAAAACACTTCTCATTACTCTGTCTTCTCAGCATTCAGTTTAGTGTTTAAAACATGGTAGAGACTTAAAATACATTTACTGATGTATGCAAAGTAAAAAATTGAGTGATGCAAAGTCCACTCCTGTATAGGAGTTCAGATGAGGGAAAGATGATTGGCTGAAACAGTGGAAAAGGTGTCAGATTCAGAGAGAGGGAGAATTTCAGCTAGCAGGGTTACCCCCATAGTCCACATTATGGAACAATTTGAGGAAAGGCTGATCAGAACAACATCACTCTTCTGGTGGGGGGCAGAAGGACCTGGTTAAGAACAGATAATTTACTATCAAGAACAAATGACAAATCAGGTTAGGAGAGTGCATTTAGACAGTGCAAAGCTTTGAAGACCAACCCAAGGAATCTGGCTCATATCCTTAGGGAAATAAGGATATTTCCTTCAGGAAATCCTGAAGATTTTAGAAAAGGAAAATCAATCAAATAAGAGTGATTTGCAGTATGGAATATCAGTGTGGCTACAGTGCACAGACAGTTTGGGAGGATGGAAATGCCAGAGGAAAAATCTTTGCAGTAGCTATTGCAGTCAGTATTCATTAGAAAAAATAAGAGTTAAGAACCTACTCTGATTTAGGATACTGTGCAAGAATGTGCTACAATGAGGAGGGTGTGGGGGAAAAGACAGGCAGAGTCCCTCTAGACAAGCAAGTAGAAAGATGTGGGTAATTACAGCAGAGAAAAAGTCAGCTATTTGAAAGCCTATTACGATGTGAGAGATTAAAGGTAACAAAATAATTATGAGCCTAAAATACCATAGGTGGAATATGGGGAAGGACATAAGAAGATAAATATCATCAACATAAATTAGAATGTTATAAGGAGGAAGAGATGTGTTCATTTTGGACAGCTTGAATTGATGCTGGGATACTCAGTGAAAATAACAAATGGACGGAAGGAAATGTAAGTCTAGAGCTTAGACAAAGACGTAAGATTTGGAGCGAATGAGAATTTTAAGAAGAGAATATACATATATATATATAGAAGGAACTAAATAACAGACAGGACTGAAGCTTTAGAAAGGCTAGTGTTTCAGGTTGTGTTTGCTGTAAGCACACAATTCTGAGATGGAGTTTAGCATGCAGGATTTCCATGAGGAATCAATTCTTGTGGGAGCTAGCGGGAGGAAGCAGATTAGGAAAAGACAGAAATCAGGCTGTGATGCGGACCGACCCCACTGGAGTGCTCTAGAGGATAAGGGATCCTCTGAGTCATCCCCTCGCGGGCTGAAATGGCTGGGCCTTTATAGCCACGCCACAGTCAGTCTCTGGATGTCTTCCACCCCAGAAAGGGAGTGCTCTCAGATGAGTTGGCACCCTGCAGTGAGGAGAAAGCCTGAAAAGAGCTGAGAGCTGGAGGATGTTTTTCTGACAGCGCTCTTAGGACCTGGGACAAGTCCTTCCTTGAAAGGGAATTTTTGAAGGTAAAACAGCTCTGTGTCTTCTACATCCATCCCTCAGGTCCTCAGATTCATGTCATCACTTAAATTTCAGGGAACAGCTCCTTCAGGATTCTGGTGGGCCTCTCTCCCTGGGGGAAAACTTAAAGGAGCAAGGTTAGTAAAATAAATTACAGTTCCTGCCACTCTGGCTGGTCCTAAAGCCACAACTAAAACTGACCATCTCCCTCTCTCACTATTAATTCTACATTCTTCTCAGCTTCATCAAACACAGTTGCTAGCCTCAATGGCTTACTTGGTGGTGTGACCCAGAGCCAAAAGGCACCTAAGTGAATATTACTTCCTGCTCCTATTATGAAACAGTAGGCCCATCTCTTCCTGAGGATCAAGGTCAAATACCTCTACCAAGATGGTGAGGTATTTTTTCTCCTTGCCTAAAAATCCTAGGATGTAGCAATAGCTTAAGTCCAATGGGACTCTTTAGTCCCCTGATAAAAATGTGACCTCTTTGGGGACTAGGACCTTTAAGACTGCAAAGACATTTAACCCTATAGAGTTGTGGAATAGGAAGCACAGTTTTCTCCAGTGGGTCATGTTAAGTAGAGACATTCCTGCTTCCACCCAGTAGAGTTTGCACCCATGTGTTCTTCCTATGGGGGACATATTATTATGTAAAGGTTTTTTATTCAATCTATATACTGGATCCTGGAGGATAGTAACGAATTCATGCGGAACATCATCTCCAAACTTGCACTTCAACTGCACCTTCTACAGGCCAGTCAACGCTCTGTCAGGCCGGGAGCTTTGAAGTCTATGATATGATCAGTGGGTCTCATGGTCATGTGCCCATGCTCTGATATGATGTTATGTGGGATCCCATGTGAGCAGATCAAATATACTGTTAGTCCTTGAATAACGGTGTTTGCCAAGGCCCTGCAGGTAAGAATGGCAAACTTATACTTGGAATATATGTCTATTTTTATTTAAAACAAACAACAAATAAAAACACAAAAAATCTCTGGCCCTTTTAAGATGGAAGGGGCCCAATGTAATCAATCTGCCAACAAGTGTCTGGTTAGGCTCCAGAAGAATAGTGCCATATGGAGGGCTCAGCATCAGTCTCTGTTGCTGGCAGACTGTACATTTGGCAGCAGCAGGAGCTTTATCAGTCTTGGTAAGTGGCAGGCCATGCTCATGGACCCAAGAAGAGCCTTCGTGGCTCCCACTGCCACCCAATCCATGTACCTATCACAGCAGCCCTGGAGTAGCCAATAACTGAGGCTGGCTGCTTGCTGCCAACCGGCCAAGTTATTCTGTCTATATCAATACTATCAAAAAATATATATAATGTGAGCTACAAATGTGAGCTGCATATGTAATTTTAAGTGTTCTCATAGCCAACTTAAAAAGAGTTAACAAAAAGATAAAATTAATTTAATGATATATTTCACTTAACCCAATATATAAAAAATTTCAACATGTAATCAATATAAAAATTATTAGTAATATTTTACATACTTTTTGGAAGACTAAGTCTTTGAAATCCAGTGTGTATTTTGCAATTACAGCACATTTCAATTTGGAGTAGCCACGTGTGGCTAGTGCATACAATATTGGACAACACAGGTCCACACCATTGTTTAATATGTCTTCTGCAGTGGGTGCTCTCTAGTTGATAGGTGTTAACATGTGACACAAAGATCTTCACACTTTGTGTCCACTCTCACATGTCATTCACATGCTTATACTCCAAGACTCCTATTCCCCAATCTTCTGATATCTCTGCTTTCAGCATCCTGAGCCAGGCTATTCACTTCTACCCACCAGTCCATATATATTCTAACAGAGCTCCTATTTATTCTTCCACACAAAGAGAATAACCGGGTGGACCTTAAAGCTCTACCTATTTTAAGGATTTTTCTCTAGCCCCATGAGCTACTCCTGAACAAGGCTGCAGTGTAGCTGCCATGCATTTTTGGCTTGTTTGGCATCCACCTACTAAACCAGCCCATCTATAAACCAAATCTGAAGGCTTTTTCCTCCTCCAGCAGTGAGCCATGTGGCATCCTCCATATGGAGTGAGGGATGAGCTGTGGAAGAGGTTCAGGGACAACAGTGGCAAATGACATGGAAGATGGGACTGTCTTGTCATGCAGCTTTTTTTGTGTCTTCCAGTCCTATTTATGCTCAACCCAAGTTTTCTACTTCTAGAATCCATCTCTTAAAGTTCTGCTAGCCCTGCCTTAAGATACGTGGTTCTACAGGTGCAGTGCCTTGGTGTCCCATAGCAGGCACATAATCTCCATGAGGCTTCAGTAATATATCAGGAGTTGTTTCTCAAAAGGCATACAAATAACTGCTACAGATGGCAAAGCTTTAATCCCATAGCCTATGTTGGGATTCTACCACTGGCACTTGACATAACCTCCACACAGCATCTTTTCCCACCACTGCTACCACTAATATCACGGTGTCTGCTGGCCTACATGACCCAACAACAGGGCTTGGTGGACTGCAACCAATACCTCCTACTGAGATTTTTCCTGCTCTACGTCTCACTCAAAGCTGGCAGCCTTTTACATTGCACAACATACGGGTCAGAGCAGTATTCCTGAATGAGAAATACGTTATCAAATCTAGAACCTGAAGAAGCTTACCAAGTGTTGTGCTTCTCTTTTCATGGTGGGAGTTGCAGCATGTAATAATGTATCTTTACTATGGAAGAGACAACCTGAACTCCCCACACCACAGAATCCCTGAAGACTATATTAGTGTGGCAGCCTCCGACCTCTTCAAAGGGTTTATCTCCTATCCTCCATTTTGTGTGTGTTTCACCAATGCCACCGGCATGCTGACAAGTTATTGCTCATCTGGCCTAATTAGCATAGTATCATAAAGGAGTGGTATTCTGTTGGAAATCTAGAGAGTTGAGATCTCTTTGTGCTATATTATGACAGAATACAAAACTAAATATATATTGTTGCCTATTCCACGCACATGCAAACAATTTCTGATCCTCTTTTTCTAATTGGAATAGAAAGAAAGACATTTGCCATTCACATGACCTCATCCATGTTACTGAGGTTGGTTAACCCACTCTAGCAAAGATACTACATCTGGCACAGCAACTGCAGTTGAGGCTACCAATTAATTGAATTTGCAATAATCTACTCTCATTTCCCAGGATCTCTGTGTTCTGCAAGAGCAAGTCACTGCATTAAGACAACTTAAGTGGGGATATGATAGCAACCACCACCCTTATATCTTTTAGGTTCCTAAAGGTACTAATAATTTCCACTATTCCCCATGCGATACAACTTGTATTTTATTTACTACCTTGATTTGGGTGGGGGATATGAACAGTTTCAGAAACATCCACTTGGCTCTCCCCACTTCTATAGCCTCTGTCCCACTCACTAAAGGTTCAGTGTTGGGATTGCATGTATTCCAAACATGAGAACTTCAATTACGTACTTGGAACCAGGGAAAATGACCACTGTGTGGGTCCTCAGACCTAGTGGACTTACTGCAAGCCAGATCTCTGCCAGGAGTCTGTTTTTTTACCTGGTTCTTATATGCTCCCACTTTAGAACAGGAGGGCCCCATGGTAAGGCTTCAGTTCTCCAGGTATCAATGTCCACTCAGACCCAGTGTCAAACAGTCCTAAAATGTTTTGAGTGTTTCCCTTTCCCTTGTACAAAGTCACCCAAGTAAACAGTTGTAGGTACTTTTAAAGATGGACTGGGGGAATCATCATCATAATACTTGCACTGTGTAGCTGGGTCTTTCTTCCTAGGGACCTGGCCATTTCTTTAGTCAGTGGGTCCTGGGTCTGAAAACTAACTCAGATCTGGAAAGTGGGCAAAAGACTACAACATCTTATTGGCATGACTGCCTTATTGGAGTGAGTTCCTTCAATAATTAGGGCTTCTAATTATTTACCCTAATTTCTCGTGATGGTATAAACCAAAGTATCCTTGTTGGCTGCCCATCTATTTAGTCCCTAGGGTTATGAGTTTCTATTAACCATCTCCATGACTGTCTGTGGGTCAGGCCCCATTGGCTGCCACTCTGGCTCTGCTGCTCATTATGATAATTGCATCCACCTGCTTTTCAGCAGTTATGTGGCACCTCCTGTTCTCTGTTGTTTCAGGGTCTTTTCATTTCCATTGGATTATTTGTGCCTCAGTACCATCAGTGATGGAGTTCACATTACTAGCCAAGTGACAAATGATAAAGCTTCAAAATTTATCTTATCAACTTCATTTTTGGACTATTCTGATACCAAATGTCAGATTGGGTTTTTAAAGACTCTAAAATGGAGTTGGACTTGCAAGATATTTATGAAGGTTCAACAGCTGTGGAAGCCAGGAGGAGGAAGCAATCAAACAGAGAGACAAGATGAATTATGAAGCAGGCGTGACAGAGCCTCAGCCCAACCCTCAGAGAACTCCAGAGCCATATGACCCTTTGGAGTTGTCCCCTAGTGAGCCAAAATTTTCAGATCTTTATATGTCCTCCATGGTCAGTCATTGGATATGGATAGCTAAGGAAGGTTGGGCTTTTGAACAAGGCATCACTCTGCAACTGAGGTCATCTCTGAAAAAGAAGTAACAAGTCAGCCCTGAAAGAAACCTGAGTGGTGCATCTCCATATCCATCACAGCCAGATTTGGGATTCAAAAGAAGAAAATAAAGACATGATTTTGTATCCAAGAGAATCCAGAGTAGGAGTTAAGAGAGCAATGGAAAGTCTTGAGCTCGGGTTTTAAAAAGGAACATGTGTATTTACCAGATCAGGAATTTTCCTTCCTGAAAATCAGATCACACATGGAATACCAAGTTCAATTATGGCTACTGCAGTTTAAAAGGAATATCCACTTACTGAAATGTGTTCAGAGGAGAATGATCAAAACAGTAAAGGAGCTAAAAAACACAACAAAGGGCTAGTTAAAGGAATGAATGCTTACACAGAATACAAGTTTTCTTTAGACAGCTAAAGGGGCTTGAAATTATTCCCTGTGGAATCAAGAGACAAAAGTCTAGGAAAACAGAAGTTAGAAGTCTAGGAAGACAGAATATAGGGAAGATAATTTTAATATTAAAACCAAAAGAAAAAGTACTGTAGATATAAATTAGCCAGATGAAGGGGAAAAGAGGCATTTTGGATCAAAGCAGCCATCACAGGCAACCGTGAAAAGTTCAGACTGGCCAAATATAAGACCAATAGAAAGTGGCCGGAAGGGAAAATGACTATGAAGTCAATGTCAGATCATCAAGTTCCTTGTATCTCATGCTTAGGACTTTGGCTATTATGCAGTGAAGTAGTGCCTGGCTTGGCACTTCAAAAGGTGAATCTGACAGCAAGGAAGATAATGGATTAGGGAGAGGCATGAGATAGAAAGCAGGTAAACCAATTAAGGGTAGCTATGATCAATAGAATTCATGTCTGTCTTTCTGCTCATTGTATTTGCAGTACCTGGCATTGAACCTTCATATAAAAGACCCTCAATAAATATCAAATAGATGAATGTTCGAGGAAAGTACCAACGGTTGTCTGAACTAAGCCAATGGCTATGGGAATACAGAGGGGTTAACATTCAAAAGATCTGTAGAAGGTGGAATGGAAATTAAAGGAGAGGAAGAAGTCAAGGATAATAGATTTGTTGATTTGTTCCTAGTGGCATACCTGCTGTGGACCTGAAATACTGAAGGAAAAGTGGTCGGTGGGCAGGTGAAGGGAAGGAAAAAAAGATTGCTAAAGGTCTCATTTATCATCTATGATTAGGCTCTATCTGTTGCTGAAATTTCTCAACAAAGTCTCTACTAATGTGCTTTCTCATCGATGTTTTCTATGCACAAGTTCCCCGTGATTACCAGCACCCTGTCAGTATAGAACAGCCTGTTTCTTTGCTTTTCTCTGGTAAAGCAAAGCAGCAAGCCAATTACTGAGATCATTCAGATGAAAATTTTACTTTTGCCTGAATTAGCCAGAGAATTGAAGCATAAATGGACCTTTTCACTTGACTGATTGAGATAATTGCCTCACTTTTCTAGGGGAGACCTATAGCTGGGAGGCTGTATTTGGTCACCAAAACATGTTTGTAATATACATTATTGACTTTCTTGAAACAACTCTGGTTGGCTAGGTGCCACACTCAAACACTTGCCCTCATCTTTTTAGGTATTTGAAACAATACAGAGAAATACCATGCCTCGGAAACTCAGTGTTGAATTATTTCATTCTTGGGCAGCCTTTAAACACATCAGCTCAGGCCTCCAGAAGAGGTAAAGTGGCACCTAGGGGAGTCTGGGAGAAGGCGGCAGGGCAGGAGCTTGGTTCAGTGGATAAAATGCAAGAAGTGAGAATTAGCTCCAGGTGCATGGGAACAAATGGCTTTTCCTGAAAGAATTGGGTAGGTAGACTTGAAAGAAACATGTAATTTACATTTACTATTGGGAGGGGTGAGAGGGGTTAATAAAGAGAGCTGAGTAGGGGCAGACAATTAAAGCAGCAGCAGGGCTCAGATCAGAGCCTTTTGGCCTGGATCTTGGGTAATAGAAGCATTTTCTAACAGCATGAGACATGGGAAAAGAAGGCTTCTAAAGAAACAGCACAGCATCTGAGCTTTTCTGCAGCTTTTGCTATCTGGTGGCCTGCTATGACAGCCTGGGTGTGTACAGACAATGTGTGGTCAGTACTGACCTACAAAATTCACTGAAAAGCAAGATGTGTATTAGAAAAACTCGTACAAACTTCAAGTCTATGAGGAAAGGTTGTCATGTAAATGTGTCTGTAATTACTTTGTGATGGCTCCCCTTACTGGCCAACGGGCAGAACGTCCTAGATCCTGAAGAGAAGTAGGAGGAGGTAACGCTGAGGCAACCTGGTTAATTTCTAAGTTTCCTGTATTAAAATATATATATATATATATATATATGTGTGTGTGTGTGTGTGTGTGTGTGTGTGTGTGTGTGTGTTGCTAAAATAAATTTTATTATAAACTTATTTTATTAAAATAAGTTTTATTTTCTGAGTATCAAATAAAAACAGAAATCCCAGCCATGATATTTATAAAATCCACCAGTATTATTTTTAAATTTTTTATATTTATTTATCTTCAGTGGGTGTTTAGAGTCTGCGTATGGTTTTGTGACTATAAAAAATATGCCTGCTTTAATTTTTCAATTTTTAAACTTTTATATTACATATAATTTCAAAAGCAATTTGAGGTGATGGATGAGACATACCCACACATCAGGATTGATATATCCAAACAAGCTGCATTTTGGGGAGAGATTATATGCTTACAATAAGGAGGTTTTCATTGTTTAAAGCAACCTTGATTTTTTTTGCATTGTTTCATTGTTTGGAATATTGCTTTAACTGTGGCAAATAGATATACATTAAAAGTATATTCAACATCTTGTAATATCCATAGATCATTCAGAATCAACTATGTTGAACTAGTTGAACTAGAAAAGTTAAAATGTTGTATCCAAAATAATAAAAATGATGCACCTATCTTCTAAACTTTTCCCCAGGATTCCCAAAGAATAATCTTAAAAATGTCAAATAATGTTCCCACAGGCTATGTATGTTGCTGTTTATTTAAATATAAGTACTGGGATATTTTATTTTAAAGATGTTTTGTTTGTTAATATCTCTTTATAGGTGTCATAAATATTTTTATGTATATAAAAATTGGTCTAAGAGGACCAATTGAATTGCTAGTATCAGACCAATTTTTTGCTTTAATATAAACCCAGACTGACATATCTTGTTTACAAACAAATAATATTGGCATGAAAAAAGTCACACCATTACACAGATTTTTTATTTAAGCTGATCCTGCAATAGATAGGATACTCTTGAAATTAGCACTTTACATTAAAATAATTAATTTTCTTCAGATTTTTAAAATTCTTTCTGTACTTTTTTTCATATATGCACAGTATTAGAAGATTCTAAATTTGTTGCTGTAGTAACAAAAACCCCTCCAAACCTCAATGGCTTAAAACATGGTTTCACTCCATGTCTGTCTTCAGTGGGTGAGGTACGCCATCATCCTTTTTCAGGTGCTAAGACTGATGGAGCCTCCACCATCTGCAACATTGCAGGCAGGGGGAGGAAATCAGCTTCTTGTGCCCTGCTTCTTAAAGGTTTCTAACTGGAAATAACACATGTCACTTCCGCTCACATTGCACTGGCCAAAATAAGTTACATGGACAGAAATAGAACTGCATTTTACTTCCTTTTGTCTTAATTGATCCCATCAAAGATGCTTTAATCTTTCAGAGAAAAAAAAAGAAATTTGGGTCATGCTGTCCTACAATGTGTTTGGAAGGAGAACAGAAACATTGCTGAACAGCACCAATAACTCCCACATTCACCCTAACTGAGGAACTTTATCTTAATGCCGGGAAAGGGGACAGTGCTTTCACAGCTGAGAATCCAAAATAGTGACAGGATGTAGGGAAACTTATATTTTGATTTCTTTTTTAACAGAAAGAGGCCTAACATTATATTTGCTGGTTAGGTTTAATGTCTGAACTTCTTTTCAAGTCTTACTTTTTACTACAATAAATTGTGCTTAAATTGAGCTCTCTGGGGATTCCACAGGGATTGATCGATTTGCCTGGTTAGGGCTTTTCAGGATGGATGTCAGGAGTGGGGCAATGGCATGAGAACAGCTGTTTTCAGGGCTCTGGCCTCAATCTTGAGCGTTGCCATAGTGACAGCTGCCCGCAGGAACCCACCGGGAGCCCAGTAGGAGAACTGGCTGCCAGAGCTTTGTATCAGTGTGCCATCCCCAGCCTTTCAGAAACAAGCGTAATGAACTCTTTAGCCAGGGTGTTTCTGCCTACTAACCTAAGGGACAGTTTATTCTTGCTTGAATTGTCAACTGCCAGATGTCAGTTCAGGCAAATCAACTCTATTCCCTCTTTCCTCCTGTACCCTTTCTCTCAGCTTATTTTCATATCAAATTCCACTTTTCCCCATTTTATAGCTACATAATTAACAGCTATTAATAGAGCAAATTCAATTCATAAATTTAGATATAACAAAAAAATCCAAAGATACAAAGTCCTCTAACACAGCACTGCCCAATAGAATTTTCTGTGATGATATAAATGTTTCATATCTATGCTGTTCAATACAGTAGCCACTGGTCACCAAGTGGCAACTCAGCATTTGAAATGTGGCCAGTGCAACTGAGTAACCAAATTATTTAACTGATTTAATTTGAGTTCATTTTAATTTTAAATAGCTACACGTGGCTAGGACTAATGTATTGAGCAACACGGTTCTAGAATCGTATTCAAATCCAGGGAGTGGTACCAGCTAGAGCTGGCCAGGGAGGAGTCACAGTTAGCAGCATTCTCTCATTCAAAGTAGCGTGTTTATTATCTGCTCTAGAGCATATTATTATTATTGCTGTATAAGGTGTGCCCTGGCCTGCCCTAACTGGCTGTTGTAAATTTAATTATGTAGCTAAAGAGGAGGAAACGGAGGCATGATTATCTGGGCCGTTACAGGCAATATCCTCTAGAAGCAAGATTGAAAGGGAAAAGGTGTTACTATTTCTGAATAATATATCAGCCACATTACAGTGATTCTACAAAAGAACTGGATTCTAACTGGAAGTCATCAATTCTAGTCCCAAATTTTATGCTAGTAAATTGTATTACTTAGGAAGGACACTCAGTGGGAGGCTTGTGTGTGTGTGTGTGTGTGTGTGTGTGTGTGTGTGTGGCTTTATTTATTTATTTTTGCCTAAATTCCTCCTCTGTATAAAAGGGAGCGTAATAATATTCTCTGTGTGCTTATTAATATGACAGGGGCTTTATGTAAGTCTCATTTATTCCTTTTAAGAAATCCATAAATTAGGGATTTGTATGCAGAGTATATAGATGAGGAAACTGAAGCTTAGCAGAGTTAAGTGCCTAAGATTTCCCAGCTAATAATTGGAAGAATCAAAATTCATTCAAACTCAAGTCTGTCTGTCTCTAAAACCCAATTTCTTTCTACTAAATCCCATTAGAATGTTTCTAAAATCCCTTCTAACTCTTAATCATCACTAAGTGAGTGCCATGTAATAAATATATTGAATGAGTTTTGCGTACAACCCAAAATAGGATTCTTAACTGTATTTCATTTTTTAAAACATAGTAACAACTGTAACTACTAGTTATTTCCTAACCTGGAACCACTTAGGATTTCCTAATCAGTGGCTTTCTCCCCTGGCTTTGCATTAGAATTATTTGGAGAGTTTTTTAAAAATACCGATACGAGGTATTCTTCTCAAATAACTTAAATCACAATCTGCACAATGGGGCCTAGAGACAGTTTTTTTCTTGGTTGTTTTTGGTTTGTTTGTTTTTGAGGAGTTTTTTGTTTTGTTTTGTTTTGTTTGAGACAGGGTCTCACTCCATCACCCAGGTTGGAGTGCAGTGGCATGATCATAGCTCACTGCAGCCTCAGCCTGCTGGGCTCAAGCAATCCTCCCATGTCAGCCTCCCGAGTAGCTAGGACTACAGGCATGCACCACCATGCTCAGCTAATTTTAAAATTTGCTAGCGATGGCTTCTCACTCTGCTGCTAAGGCTGGTCTCAAACTTCTGGCCTCCAGACATCCTTCCACCTTGGCTTCCCAAAGTCCTGGAATTACAAATGCGAGCCACCATATCCAGCCAGGATAATTTGTTTTTAAGTCTCTTATATGATCTCAAAGTGCAGGTTGTGCTGAGAACCGTTTCCCTAATGTAAGGTGTAGAAATCTACTTTTCCATTGAGCCACCTGCTAGGACTTCAGGACCTGGCCTCCAGGAGGAAGCCCCCTGATAGCTTGGTTGATTTTATCTTATCAGTTTATGTTAGGGGAAACTGCCAAATTGAAATAAGAAAGCCATCTCCCGCAAGCAAGCCTCTCCTCCTAAAGACTAATCATAATGCAAGAGAAATTTTCCATTTCTCTCAGGAATCAGAATCCTTTGCTACATGCACAACTGGAAGGAAAGTAGTACAAATAGGAGGATCCTTACCTGATGGGAGAAGGGAGATCTTGCCATTCAGGAGTTTGCTTTGAATCTCTTTCCACGTGCATGGGTGCTGTCACAGTACATGTGACAGGCTGCAACAGGGTTTGAGAGGGTTCCTTGCTGGAAGGCAATGTCATAGGAAAACAGGTTTTATGAAGCAGTGATTCCCCCAAGGAGCAAAGGAGTTGAATAAATAGGATAGTTCCTAGACTAGAAGAGCAGGCTTGCCTACACTCTCACACCCAAACCAACTGCCTTCTGTTGTTCTTTTTTTGACCCAAATTCTATGCAGAATCTTCTCTTATCAAAATAAATAAATAAATAAATAATGACTGCAAACAAAAAACTCAATAGCTCCTAGTATTACTTAACTTTTGCATGATTTTAACGTGTCAATGCTTATCTTAAAGCACTGTTTTACTAATTTCATTCCTATACTTATCCTAAAAGATCTTTAGTGACGTGCCTTTTCTCACAGCAGGACGCTTCAAACTTGGGGGAGTTTATTTAAAATGCCTTTTTCTGGACTCCATTCCTGGAGGTCTAGAATGGGATGCATTCATAATATATATGTTAAGTGTTCCAGGAAATCAATAGGTGATTGGGATAGGCTAAATAATGGTCCCCCAAAAATGTCCTCATTGCTGTCCCCAGAACCTGTGAACATGTTACCTTCAACGACAAAAGGGACTTTGCAGATGTGATGAAGGATCTTGAGAAGGAGGGTTATTTTGGTTATGCAGGTGGTCACAATGTTATCATAAGGACCCTTATGAGAGGGAAGCAAGAGGATCAAAATCAGAAAAAGATGTGATGACAAAGCCAGAGGTAAGACTGATGCACTTTGAAGATAGAGGAGAGAGCCATTAGTCAAAGGATGCAGGCAACATCTAGAAGATAGAAAAGCAAGGAGACAAATTCTCAGATGGTTTCTAACACCCTCAAAAAGAATGCTGCTCTGCAACATCTTGATTTTAGACTTCTGACCACCAGAACTATAAAATAATACATTTGTGTTGTTTTAAGTCACTAAGTTGGTGGTAATTTGTTACAGTAATAATTGGAAACTTGTATAGTTATTCACGAAAAGAGTATTACCCCAAATAAAACACTTTCTATAGACATCAACTTCAATATCTCTTATTATTGTAAAGGATCCTGGAGCACTAGGAGCGAAGTAAATTGTTCAACTTCACTGAGGGACTTAGGGAAAATCCAGGACAACAGTGGAATTATCTTAGTTTGGCTCTATCTCTTTATCCTGGCGTTCAAGGTATCTTCCCCTAGTCTAGGCCAACCTTTCCCACATTATCCCATTATTTCTATATCCTTACTTCTATAAGCAAGCAAAATAGTGGATATATTTTCCCCCTGAATAAGCCCCATTATTTCTGTTTCACTACCTTGATACATAGACTTCCCTCTTCCTGAAGTCCTTCCATTCTCGAATGTTAGGTTTCACTAAAGGTCGGGTCCTGCCTCTTCCTTAGCTATCCAGCATTAGGTGAGTACTGACCTTGGAACTCTTATGGTGTCAGCATGGTTGCTCTTTAAAGATCATGATGAAGAATCCCTAGTCTATTTCTTCCTCAGTGTGATGATCTGGTTGGCTCTGAGGCTTGTGGATACTTCCTAAAGCAATATTGAAGAAAGAATGAATGACTAAAGACCTTAATCCAAGTCAAGTGCCTAGATTTTCAAGTTCCCTCTCTTTATGAACTATATTTCACTTATTTCCACAAAGTTTTAAAAATAAATACCCAATGAACTTAAAAAAATTTGTAGAGATGAGTGTCTTGCTTTGTTGCCCAGGCTGGTCTTGAACTCATGGCTGCAATCCTCCCATCTCAGCCTCCCAAAGTGCTGGGATTATAGCCATAAGCCACCACGCCAGCTGCAAAAAATTTCAATTACATGTTCTGTTAGTATACATAGATATCTTCCTAGTTTAACAGTAAAAATCTTCTCAGTTACTTGACTGATAGATGACAACTCAATATTTACATCTCATTGGGGTAACACAACATTTTAAAACATATTTCTTATTGGCATATACTTCACATAACATAAAATTCAGTTTTAAAGTGTGGTATTCAGTGGTTTTTAGTATATTCACAGAGTTGTCTGACCATTACCATTATCTAATTCCAAATATTTTAATTACCCCCATAAAGAAACCTGTTAACCATTAGTAGACATTCACCATTCTCCCTCCTTTCTCTAAGCCACTGGCAACTACTAAGCCACTTTCTCACTCTATGGATTTTCCTTTTCTGAACACTTCATGTCAATTAATCATACAATAATCAAGTGGTCTTTTATGGCTGGCTTCTTTCACTTCACATAATGTTTTCAAGGTTCATTAATGTTGTAGTATGTATCAGAATCTCATTTCTTTTTACGGCTGAATAACATTACATTGAATGAATATACCACATTTGTAATCCCTTCATCATTGACAGACATTTGGGTTGTTTCCACCTTTTAGCTAATATGAATAACGTTATTTGTGCAACAATTTTTGCTTTCTGTTGGTATTTGTGAAAATATGTTTTCAATTCTATAAGGCATATATATCTCTAGGAGTAGAATTGTTAGGTCATAAATCATTTGTATAACTTTTTGAGGTACTGCCAGATTGCTTGCCACCTTTTCAGTGGCTGCATCATTTAACATTCCCACAAGTAATGTATAAGGATTGCAATTTCTCCACAACCTTGCCAACAGTTGTTATTTTCCATTTTTATTATAGTTATGCTTGTAGGCATAAAGTAAGATATCTCATTGTGGTTTTTCGTTTTCTAATGGATAATGATGCTTACCATCTTTATTGGCCATGTGCATATCTTTTTTGGAAAAAATGGCTATTTAAATCTTTTGCCCATTTTTTAATAGTTTTTTTTAAATTGTAGAGAACATAGCCTTTAAAATTAAAATAAGAGTCCAGAAGTTGGGCTATATTTCCTAGGTGTTAGCTAGTATCTTGTCCCCTTTTCATAGATTTATTTGTGTATCTCAGGTTATCAGTGCCACTATAGATCTCCTCCCTCACAGCAATCAAACTTAGGACTTCATCCAGAAATGGGTGGAGAGACCACTCTCCCAGCTCCAAAAATGCTTACCGGGATGGTCAATGACTGCCTCCTTCTTGTTGCTCAGCCCTCTGAGAGTCCTTGGCTGGCTGTGCAGTTTGCTGCACCCAGTTACTTTCTTTCTTTCTCTCTCTCTCTCTCTCTTTGTTTTTGAGACAGAATCTGATTCTGTCATCCAGGCTGGAGTACAGTGGCACAAACATGGCTCACTGTACCTTGGACCTCCCAGGCTCAAGCGACCCTCCCACCTTAGCCCCCCAAATAGCTGGGACTACAGGCGCATCACCACACGTGGCTAATTTTGGTATTTTGGAAGAGATGGAGTTTCACCATGTTGCCCAGGCTGGTCTTGAGCTCCTGAGCTCAAGAGATCCTCTGGCGTGGGCCTCCCAAAGTTCTGGGATTACAGGTGTTGGCCATGGCACCCGGCCCACTCTGTTACTTTCTATTGCATTGCCTGTTACCTTATTTTATAGCTTTCATAATACTCATCATCTGATATTTCTCATTTGTTTGTTTGCTGATTATCTCTTCCTTTTGGAAGCGTGAATTCCATGAGGCCAAGACATTGCCTGTTATGACTGACTGTGTGACTGATGCTGACACAGTGCCTGTCACATGGTAGACTGGGGCTGAGGTTCAGTTCCCAGGGGTCTGGCTCCTCAGGAAGTAGCATGTGTCAAGGGAAGATGTGTGACATGGGGAAGAACTTTCTAGAGGAGTTACCAGGTCCTCCAGTATTAGACTCCTTTATTTTACTTTTTAAAAATGTTTTGAAGAAAATCTGGCAAACTACAAGCATACTCATCTTAATAGTAATTATCAGAAGCAAGTCCAGATTCCGGAAACTAATTTAACTCAATGAATGTGTTAAACTAGTTCAAGATTAATCAGAAACGCTTAGATGTCTTTATTCTTTCTGCAATCCTAAATGAAACATAATAAACACTTTAGGCTAAATTTTTGCATAGTTTTAAGCTCATCATTTGCATAGTAGTCTCATTGCTACCACAGATAGAAAAGATAAGGTCTGAATCTGTATTGCTCCCCAGGAAACTACATTTTAGCAGCACTTACCGAGTAGTCACACCCATCTAAATTCAAATCCTAGCTCTGCCACCCACCTTCAGGAAAAACTTGGCCAAGATGTTTGACTTATCTGAGTCTGTCCCATGTCTCACTGAGGCTTTCCCAAGTGGGGAAAATGGAGCCAGTAATACAGGCCTACAGAGCTGTTTGAAGATTATAAACAAAACATTGCCCACAATAAGGGATCAATAAATGTTAGCTGATTTTTCTCTCTTTAAATTTCTGTTTCAGCTACAACTCTGTTATGGGTAGGTGTGAGGGAAAGAAATTAGGTAAAAAAAAATCTAAAGAAAAAAACATTGGGGAAAATAAAATAAGAATTCTCATTTAGTTTGTTTCATGCGCGTCCGTGTGAAGAGACCACCAAACAGGCTTTGTGTGAGCAATAAAGTTTTTAATCACCTGGGTGCAGGCGGGCTGAGTCCGAAAAGAGAGTCAGTGAAGGGAGATAAGCGTGGGGCCATTTTATAGGATTTGGGGAAGGTAAAGGAAAATTACAGTCAAAGAGGGTTTGTTCTCTGGCGGGCAGGAGTGGGGGTCTCAAGGTGCTCAGTGGGCAGGAGTGGGAGTCACAAGGTGCTCAGTGGGGGTGCTTTTTGAGCCAGGATGAGCCAGGAAAAGGACTTTCACAAGATAATGTCATCAGTTAAGGCAAGGACCGGCCATTTACACTTCTTTTGTGGTGGAATGTCATCAGTTAAGGTGGGGCAGGGCATATTCACTTCTTTTGTGATTCTTTAGTTACTTCAGGCCACCTGGGCATATACGTGCAGGTCACAGGGGATGCGATGGCTTGGCTTGGGCTCAGAGGCCTGACATTCCTGCCTTCTTAATAAGAAAAATAAAACAAAATAGTGTTGAAGTGTTGGGGCGGCAAAAATTTTTGGGGGGTGGTATGGAGAGAGAATGGACGATGTTTCTCAGGGCTGTTTCAAGCGGGATTAGGGGCGGTGTGGGAACCTAGAGCGGGAGAGATTAAGCTGAAGGGAGGTCTTGTGGTAAGGGGTGATATTGTGGGGATGTTAGAAGAAACATTTGTCGTATAGAATGATTGGTGATGGCCTGGATACGGTTTTGGATGAATTGAGAAACTAAACGGAAGATACAAGGTCCAAATAAAAGAAGGAGAAAAATGGGTATTAAAGGACTAACAATTGGGAGGACCCAGGACATCCAATTAGAGAGTGCCCAAGGGGGTTCAGCGTAATTACTTGCTTGGTTGGCAAGTTTTTGGGCTCTATCCTTGAGTTTTTTAATGTTGTCATACACCAGGCCAGATTGATTTAGGTAAAAACAACACTCCTCATTTAAGAATATGCAGAGTCCTCCTTTTTCAGCAGTGAGTAAGTCAAGGCCTCGGCGGTTTTGGAGGACAACTGCAGCTAAAGAGTCAACTTGGGCCTGGAGGACTGATAAAGTTTGTGATATGTCTGTGATGCTAGCAGAGAAGTCATTAGACAGGCTACGGAAGGTCATGACAGACGTTGAAATGCCTGCTATTCCAGTACCGAGAGCAACAGTGGAGGCAGAAAGTCCTAAACCGACCATCAAGGGAATTAGTGGAATAACTCTTTTTTGTTGTGTCGGTGTCATGAGGGGAACAGGGAGCTCTTCGGTCCCATTTGCAAATTGAATTTTGGGGGTAAGGAAGACTAGTGTACATGTGCCTGTCCAATTGGCAGGTAGGCACATGTAGGTAGAGGATCCACAGAGGAAGAAGAGACCTTGTGCGAGGCAAAACTGGAGATGTAAAGTAAAAAGGTGAGAAGGAGTGCTGAAAGGGGTGTCTTGTACCCAGACTCCTAGGGATCCAGCTAGGGCGGCAGCTGTCAGAGGTTGTAATGGGGACTGATGGGGTAACTGCGTAGAGGGGAAGGTTCGATTTTCATGGTGTATGAGAAAACGTCGAGTATCTACGAGCAATCTTTCACTGTTATTTTCGGGGCTGGGTATAAGTAAACAAGAAGAGGGCCTGGGAGGAGAGTCTGATGAGCAAGGGGAAGATAGCCAAGGATGGAGTGAAATACAGGGCAAGTGTCTTCCTAAGCAATAATTACTGCTAATGTTTTTAAGTTTGTCAGTATTGATAGAGGGCTTGTCTGTAATATGGAGCTGGAAGGCTCCAATTGTTTCATTGATGTTTGTAGTTGGACTTCGGAGATGAAGAGTAAAGGAACATCGAGAAGGTGAAAGATTACCTAGGGGAATTCCAGTGGGTCTTTGCCAAGAGATACACAAAGGAGCGGCCACAGGAATAGTAGTTTGTGTTGTGAGAGGTCCAAATATGGGGGGAGTAGAGTTGATATAAGGAGAAAGGTTTTTTAAATAAGTGCGAAGGAGGGCGGCAGCTTGCTGATGTGAAATGTCTGGGGAAGTCTTGCTGGACCTGTCTAGAAAGTAAATGAGTTCTTCAGGAGGGTAAAGGTGAGGGCTGTTAAAGGAAGTTCGGAGGTGTAGGGAGATGGGAGATGTTGCCCAGTCTGTCTGTAAGGCGGGGACAGCTGTGTAGGCACTGGAAGAAAGGGAAATGCAAAGCCAGCAGTTGTTCACTAAGGAGGGATTAGAAGCGGCTAGGAGAGAATGGGTAAGGTTGATAGTGTGGTGGAGATAGCTGGGGAGAGGTAGAGGATGACATAAGAATGGGAATGAGAATAAGAGTGAGTATAAAAGTAAAGAATAGAACTTCATCAGGGTGGAAGTATTGGAGGGTGCCTTGCCAGCAAAGATCATCTATCCACTCTAAGACGGAGTTAAGAGTGGCAGTTTGGGGATAGCACCAAGAGATATCAGCTGTGATGGCTTGAAGAAACAGTGTAAACCGGCGGTGTAAACAAGAGTAGGGCATTTATAAGTAGTTGAGAATGGAGAATAGGAGTATGACCGGACAGAAGATAATAGGGATGACTAGTTTTTTGGGGCTTGGCCTAAGTGGTGGGGTGACTTCGTAAAGCCCTGTTGCAAAAAGTAGGGTAAGGATGAACAGACCTAATAGAATGAAGGGATGTATTAGGCTCATAAGGGTTATTACTGTTCTTCAGAAATATGAGTGAGTTTAAGGGAAGTGGGGGAGAGTACTTGCGACTTCCAGGAGGAAGAGGAGGGATTAGGCTGGCTGTCCGATGGACACAGCTTTATTCTGGAATGGTGAACCCAGTGGGGAGGATTCTGCAGGCAGACGGCAGTCGGGGTACTATAGATGACTAAGTAGGGTCCGGTCCATCGAGGTTGTAGAGTTTGAGGGGTCAGATTCTTAACAAGAACTGATCGTCCAGCTAGGTTGTCTTCATATGGCTGGGGATCTGGAGTAGGCAAGAGAAGATTAGCAGCCTGGCGAATTTCCTGTCTAGCCTGCTGGAGTACTGGAAGATAGTCGCCTAGAGGGCTGGTGTCTGGGATGAGGTTGGGGCCAAGCAAGAAAGTGCGTCCATATAAAAGTTCAAATGGACTGTATCCTGTAGCATCTCGAGGACAGGCTCTGATTTTGAGAAGAGCAAGAGGTAAAAGTGCTGTCCAATCCTTTGTAAGTTGGAGGCTAAACTTGGTGAGGTGTGCCTTTAAAAGACCATTAGTCCGTTCCACCTTTCCTGAAGATTGAGGACGGTAAGGGGTATGAAGGTTCCACTGAATACCAAGAGCCTGAGAAACTACTTGGGTGATTTGGCTAGTAAAGGCTGGTCCGTTATCAGACTGTATAGAGGTGGGAAGGCCAAACCGAGGAATTATGTCTGACAGAAGGGAAGAAATGACCACAGTGGACTTCTCAGACCCTGTGGGGAAGGCCTCTACCCATCCAGTGAAAGTGTCTACCCAGACTAAGAGATATTTTAGTTTTCTGACTCGAGGCATGTGAGTAAAGTCAATTTGCCAGTCCTGGGCAGGGGCAAATCCCCGAGCTTGATGTGTAGGGAAGGGAGGAGGCCTGAACAATCCCTGAGGGGTAGTAGAATAGCAGATGGAACACTGAGAAGTGATCTCCTTGAGGATAGATTTCCATGATGGAAAGGAAATGAGAGGTTCTAAGAGACGGGCTAGCGGCTTGTAACCTACATAGAAGAGGTTATGAAATGATGACAGAATAGAATGGGCCTGTGAGGCTGGAAGAAGATATTTTCCTTGGTCTAAGAACCATTTGCCTTGTGTGGGAAGAGATTGATAGGTGGAAGTTTCAGTGGGGGAGTAGGTGGGAGTGACTGAAGTGAAGGAGAAAAACTGGCCGTGAGGGACAGAAGTTGGAGAGCTAGCTGCTTGTCTAGCCACTTTATCAACATAAGCATTGCCTAGAGCAATGGGATCTGATGCCTTTTGATGCCCCTTGCAGTGAATGACCCCAGCTTCTTTTGGAAGTAAAGCGGCTTTGAGCAGAGTTTTTATTAAAGAGGCATTAATGATGGAGGACCCTTGTGTAGTGAGGAAACCTCTTTCAGCCCATATGACTGCATGGTGGTGCAGGATATGGAAGGCATATTTAGAATCAGTATAGATATTGACGCATAGTCCTTTTGCAAGAGTGAGGGCTTGAGTTAAGGCAACTAGTTCAGCTTGCTGAGAGGTAGTGGAGGGAGGCAGAGCAGTAGCCTCAATGATAGATGTGGAAGATACTATAGCATAGCCTGCCTTCGCTGGTGAGTGGCGATTAGGCCTGGTGGAACTGCCATCAATAAACCAAGTGTGATCAGGGTGAGAAACAGGGAAGAAGGAAATGTGGGGAAATGGGGTGAATGTCAGGTGGATCAGAGAGATGCAGTCATGAGGGTCAGGTGTGGTATCCGGAATAATGTGGGAGGCCGGATTGAAGTCCGGGCCAGGAACAATGGTAATTGTGGGAGACTCAACAAAGTGTAAGTATAGCTGAAGGAGTCCGGGAGCAGAAAGTATATGTGTCAGGTGTGAGGAAGAAAATAGATTTTGGAAATTATGAGAGCTGTAGAGAGTGAGTTGAGCATAGTTTGTGATTTTGAGGGCCTCTAAAAGTATTAGGGCAGCAGCAGCGGCTGCACGGAGACATGATGGCCAGCCTAAAACAGTAAGATCAAGTTGTTTGGACAAAAAGGCTACAGGACGCGATCCTGGTCCTTGTGTAAGAATTCCGACTGCACAGCCCTGCACTTCGGCTGTGTGTAATGAAGCAGGTTGGGATGAGTCAGGGAGAGCTAGAGTGGGGGCAGTTTCTAAAGCTGTCTTCAAGGAACAGAAAGAGGAGTGGGGAAAGGATTTAGGATCTATGGGGTCAGCTAAGTTTCCTTTTGTGAGTTTATATAATGGTTTTGTTAGGATGGCAAAACCAGGTATCCAAAGGCGAAAGTATCCAACCATGCCCAGGAAGGAAAGGAGTTGTTGTTTTGTAGAAGGGGTTGGGGCTTGAGAGATTAGTCAGACACGATCGGCAGGGAGAGCACGTGTGTTCTTATGAAGAATTATGCCGAGGTAGGTAACGGATGGAGAAGAAATTTGAGCTTTGGAGGGGGATACCCGATATCCTTTGGAGAATAAATGCTGAAGGAGCAGAAGTGTGTCTTATTGAGAAGATTCAAAGGAGGGGCTACAAAGAAGAAGCTCATCAATATATTGAATAAGGTGAGAAGCGGAGGGGTGGAAGGAAAGTAGATCATGAGAAAGAGCTTGGCTGAAGTAACGAGGGCTGTCCCTGAAACCTTGCGGCAGCACAGTCCAGGTAAGCTGCTGGGACTGATGGGTGTCAGGGTCAGTCCAGGTGAAAGCAAAGAGAGGCTGGGACGAGGAGTGCAGGAGAATAGTGAAAAAACCATCTTTAAGATCAAGCACGGAATAGTGAGTTGTGGAGGAAGGTATTGAGGACAAAAGAGTGTACAGGTTGGGCACCACAGGGTGGATAGGCAAAACAATTTGGTTGATAAGACGCAGATTCTGAACTAGTCTGTAAGACTTATCCGGTTTTTGGACAGGTAAAATGGGGGAATTGAAAAGAGAGTTTATAGGTTCTAGAAGCCCATGCTGTAGCAGGCGAGTGATAACAGGCTTTAATCCTTTTAAAGCATGCTGTGGGATGGGATATTGGCATTGAGCAGGGTAAGGGTGATTAGGTTTTAATGGGATGGTAATGGGCATGTGATCAGTTGCCAGGGAAGGAGTAGAGATGTCCCATACTTGTGGGTTAAGGTGGGGGGATATGAGAGAAAGACGCGAAGGAGGCTTTGGGTTGGGGAGAAGGGCGGCAATGAGATGTGGCTGTAGTCCAGGAATAGTCAGGGAAGCAGATAATTTAGTTAAAGTGTCTCAGCCTAATAAGGGAACTGGGCAGGTGGGGATAACTAAAAAGGAGTGCTTAAAAGAGTATTGTCTAAGTTGGCACCAGAGTTGGGGAGTTTTAAGAGGTTTAGAAGCCTGGCCGTCAATACCCACAACAGTTATGGAGGCAAGGGAAACAGGCCCTTGAAAAGAAGGTAATGTGGAGTGAGTAGTCTCCGTATTGATTAAGAAGGGGATGGGCTTACCTTCCACTGTGAGAGTTACCTGAAGCTTGCCGTCCGTGATGGTCTAGGGGGCTTCCGAGGCGATCGGGCAGTGTCAGTCTTCAGCCGCTAAGCCAAGAAGGAGTCAGTCAGAGAGCCTTGGGCCAGAGTTCCAGGAGCTCTGGGAGTGGCTGCCAGGTGAGTTGAACAGTCTGATTTTCAGTGGGGTCCCGCACAGATGGGACGCAGCTTAGGAGGAATCCTGGGCTGCGTGAGTTCCTTGGCCCAGTGGCCAGATTTCCGGTATGTGTAGCAAGTTCCTGGGGGAGGAGGTTCTGGAGGAACGCCTGGCTGCTACAGTTCAGGCGTTTGGAAGTTCTTGTGTGCTGGAGATGTGGCTGGGGTTTGTCTCACAGTGGAGGCAAGGAATTGCAACTTTTTTCTGTTATTGCACACCTTGAAGGTGAGGTTAATTAAGTCCTGTTGTGTGATTTGAGGGCCAGATTTCAGTTTTTGGAGTTTTATTTAATGTCGGGAGCAGATTGGGTAATAAAATGTATATTGAGAATAAGATGGCCTTTTGACCTTTTAGGGTCTAGGGCTGTAAAGTGTCTCAGGGTTGCTGCCAAATGAGCCATGAACTGGGCTGGGTTTTTATATTTGATGAAAAAGAGCCTAAACGTTATCTGATTTGGGATAAAGAAAAAGGAGCATTAACCTTGACTATGCCTTTGGCTCCAGCCACCTTTTTAAGAGTAAATTGCTGGGCAGGTGGGGGCAGGCTAGTCATGGAATGAAACTGTAAGCCGGACCAGGTGTGAGGAGGGGAGGCGATAAAAAGATTATAGGGTGGAGGAGCGGAGGCTGAGGAAGAATTGGGACCTAGCTCGGCCTGGCGACGAGCAGCCTGGGGAGGAGGGGAAAGGTCAGATGGGTCTGTAGAAAAGGAAGACCGGAAAGACTCGGCGACGCTTGGGGTTGGGACTGAGGGGACAGGCGGGAGGGAAAGAAGGAGGATCTGGGAGGCATCGCATTGTGAACAGAGGCTAGGGAGGGAACGAAGTGTGAAAAATGCCTGGACATAAGGCACCTCAGACCATTTGCCCATTTTTCGACAAAAATTATTTAGGTCTTGTAGGATGGAAAAATCGAAAGTGCCATTTTCTGGCCATTTAGAGCCATTGTCAAGTTTGTATTGGGGCCAAGCAGTGTTGCAGAAGAAAATAAGGCATTTAGGTTTTAGGTCAGGTGTGAGTTGAAGAGGTTTTAAGTTCTTAAGGACACAGGCTAAAGGAGAAGAAGGAGGAATGGAGGGTGGAAGGTTACCCATAGTGAAGGAGGCAAGCCCAGAGAAAAGAGTAGAGACACAGAGAAGGGGTGGAGGGTTCTTGCCCTCCAGAAAAGCAGAGAAGGTGTTGGGGCACGGAAATAAGGGATTGGGGCACAGAGATAAGAGGTCAGGGTGCGTAAATAAGGGATTGGTGCACAGAGATAAGAGGTTGGGGTGTGGAAATAAGCAATTGGGGGGTTCTTGCCCCCTAGGAAAGCGGGACTTGCCACTAAGGGTGAAGGAGAAGGGGTTGAGGGGTACTTGCCCCTGCCCCAGGAAAGCGGGACTTGCCACTAAGGGTGAAGGACCAAGGCAGGCGTCCCTGCGTGGTCTGACACCCTTGAAACGTGAGTGTAGAATCAGAGAGGCGTCCCTGCAATGATGAAACACCAAGGGAAGGCTGCCTTCCCAGTCTGTGACCGGAGCCGGAGTTTTGGGTTCACGGATAAAACATGTCTCTTTTGTCTTTACCAGAAAATGAAAGGAATTGAAATTAAGAGAAGGGAGAGATTGAAGTGTGGCACCAAGATTGAAAGGAGAAAGAGGTTGAGGGATAGTGAGGGAGGTTGGAGAAGAGAGTAAAAAGAGGCCGCTTACCGGATTTGAAATTGGTGAGATGTTTCTTGGGCTGGTCGGTCTGAGGACCTGAGATCGTAGGTGGATCTTTCTCACGGAGCAAAGAGCAGGAGGATAGGGGATTGATCTCCCAAGGGAGGTCCCCTGATCCGAGTCATGGCACCAAATTTCATGCGTGTCTGTGCGAAGAGACCACCAAACAGGGTTTGTGTGAGCAATAAAGCTTTTAATCACCTGGGTGCAGGCGGGCTGAGTCCGAAAAGAGAGTCAGTGAAGGGAGATAAGCGTGGGGCCATTTTATAGGATTTGGGGAAGGTAAAGGAAAATTACAGTCAAAGAGAGTTTGTTCTCTGGCGGGCAGGAGTGGGGGTTGCAAGGTGCTCAGTGGGCAGGAGTGGGGGTCGCAAGGTGCTCAGTGGGGGTGCTTTTTGAGCCAGGATGAGCCAGGAAAAGGACTTTCACAAGGTAATGTCATCAGTTAAGGCAAGGACCGGCCATTTACACTTCTTTTATGGTGGAATGTCATCAGTTAAGGTGGGGCAGGGCATATTCACTTTTTTTGTGATTCTTTGGTTACTTCAGGCCATCTGAGCATATAAGTGCAGGTCACAGGGGATGTGATGTCTTGGCTTGGGCTCAGAGGCCTGACAGTTGGATAACAGTTCATGAAAGTTTTTCACTGCATTATTGACTTAAGGATTCAGCACCATTTGGGATTTCCTCTTGGCTAGAAGTTGGATTTCTATACAATTTCCTTTTTCTGTGGGCAGTGTTCCCCAAACTTAGCTGGATAAAGATGTTATTTGAGAATACAGATTCTGGAATGCACTTCAGATCTCCAGGTCAGAACCTTGGAAACTCGGTCTTCAAGGATCTTTGTGATTGCCCAAATATAGAAAAACAATGCTGTATTTTTTTTATTCTTTGCCAGAAATTAGGTAATTTTTTATTTCTTTTCTACGAAGACCAAAAAATGAACATGAAAGATAGTTAGAATATATTTGGCTTGACTACAGAGATAGAAATGATGCTAAATAATTTAACAGGAAACTTAGGACCGTAAGAATAAGCTACTAAAGAACATTATGTCAAGCACAAACAAGGTAAGGACTTGCTTGAGATACATTTGGTCAAATGCTGTAGGCGTATGAGAGATGAAACTTAAGATTCTCAATTTCCTCTTGTGTCAAGATCAACTTTCCTCTTGTACGGCTGTACCTAATTTAGTATGTGCACTACTGAAAGATGTGTTGATTCAAAGTGACATGTGCACAATGCATTTCTTAGTTTGCAGTCTTTGTTTATAAAATTATCTCTAAAGTAGTTGCTTAGAGCCATATAAATATATTCTAGGAGATGTAGTAAGTCGTTGAAATGGTTAATATGCTTTTAGATTTTTATGATATGATTTAAAAAATCCATTTGAAATAACAGCAGGACAGTTCAAATAGTCCTATCTTAAATTCTGGAAGTAGAGGCCAGGCTTGGTGGCTCACCCCTGTAATCCCAGCACGATGGGAGGCAGAGGTGGGCGGATCACGAAGTCAAGAGATGGAGACCATCCTGGCCAACATGGTGAAACCTCATCTCTACTAAAAATACAAAAATTAGCCGGGCATGGTGGCGGGCGCCTGTAGTCCCAGCTACTCGGGAGGCTGAGGCAGGAGAATGGCATGAACCCGGGAGGTGGAAGTTGCAGTGAGCCGAGATTGAGCCACTGCACTCCAGCTCAGTGACAGAGCAAGACTCCATCTTAAAAAACAAAAAATTCTGGGAATAGAAAGTCATGGGGAGAAGGAAGGAAGACTGCGCCAAAAGAAGAAACAAACGGGTCCTACATTTCCTGAGCGTAGAGCAGTCTAAGAAAAATGCTTTTGCACGTTTCATTGTCTTTTTTCCAACTCTCATTGTTTTTTCCATCCTTCTCCTCTGGACTATAGCACCCTCACAGATATAGTACAAGTAGGCCAGCCACACCCCAACCAAAACTCTCCTCCACTTAACAAATAAATCTTTTATTTCCTCAAAACAGTGCAAAAATCTCAACTAAGTTTAGAAAAAAGGTTGTATCTCACTCATAACTTTCTATCATCTCAATGATATCTATCTTATTTTATAATGGAAGCTATAACTCAAGACACATATAAAATTTAGGGAATGTTAGGCAGTATAAAAAAACTAAAGAACAAATCAAGCTATAGATAGGAATGCCAGAGACTCTAATATTATCCCACTTTTTAAAAGAACTTGAGGGGCACTACCTCTTACAGTATTCATGGTTGTCTGAAACGTGAAATTGAATATCAAGTCCTAAAAAATTCAAATTCCCTTTCTTCATGCAATCCCAATTCCCCTAAATAGGAAGCACTTAAAAATAATTTGTAACCAAAAAAATCTCAGTAATGCCCAGGTTTCAGTAATATGCCAGGTCAGAGAGAGGTGGATCCATTCCTTTATTTAAATTAAGTTGGTGTCATGATATCTTCATTATACTAAGGGAAAAGTAAGGTTTAAAAATAGAAATTCATGGTTGTTTTGTGTTGTTTTTAGTTGTAGCTGTTGTTTGCTCTCCATGTTTTATTTTTACGTACTTTCAAATTTACAGAAAAGTTGTAAGAGTGCTGTTATGGATGGGATGTTTGTATCCCTTCCAAATTCATATGTTGAAATCCTAATCCCCAATGTAATGTATTGGGGAGTAGGGATTTGGGGAGGCATTGAGGTCATCAGGGTGGAGCCCTCATAAGTAGGATTAGTGCAGTTATATATGGGACCCCAGAGAGCTCTCTTGACCTCTTTTGCCAAGTGAGGATACAATGAGAAGATGGCAGCCTGCGCCGTAGAAGAGGATGCTCGCCACAACCCAACCACGCTGGCACCCTGATCTTAAGCTCCCAGACTCCGTAACTGTAAGAAATACATTTCTATTATTCATAAGCCCCCTAATCTATGGTGTGTGTATATGTATTCTTTTAATATACTAGCCCAAACTGACTAAGTAGTACAGAAAATTTTCAAAAACCCTTCACTCAAATCCCCCAAATATTACATTTTACCTTGTTTGCTTTATCTTTCAAACATCTTTTTCCCTGAATCATTTAAGCCTATGGTCTGGAAATGATGCCCTTCACCACTAAATCCTCCAAATCACCATGGATCCAAAACCTGCTAGCTGGGTGAGTCTCCAGACCCTCTGAAGGATAAAGGCCCATAACATCTCTCCCTTGGCTTTCAGATCAACATTTGGTTCCAGTTTCTAATAGCTGGAACATCTCCTTAGAAATTTGGAGCAGCTTCTGGACTTCTCTGAAAGCAAGAACAGAGTAACTATTGTCCACTCTACCAGAGCCTTTGCTTTCTAATGCTTTTCAACATTTAAAGCCACTCCAGTATTTTAAAAAATACAGCTCTTCTTTTACCTTAGCTGCTGACCTAATTTAGCTGAACACATTTCATTAAATATTTATTAAACATCAGTTCGTGGAAGCACTGTATCAAATGGGTACACAAGGGCAATGCCCACTGGGCAGGTTTCCAGCTCATCAAAAAGCACAGCTCTGAATTAAGAGGGTGGCTGAGGCTCTGAAAGGAATAAGGGCAACAGTGAACTTGACTATTTGAAAAAATGTTCTGTGATAATAGTAGGAAATAAAAAAAGATGAGTTAAAGAAGCGGAACCAGGAACATGATAAGCACAGCATAAGATCAGCTATATTTCATCTTCCTGTGTAGGTACTGGAATATGATCTTTTCATTTAATTTGCAATTGCTCATTTTCTTGACAACAAAAGGCAGATCCAAGTGTTGTGGAGGCTGAAGATTATATAATTTGGGAGTTTCTCATTAAAAAAAAAATGAGAACACAAAATAAAGTGTAAAAATAAATACTTAAAATGATCATTTTATCTCAACAAATACATTTTGAAATCTGAAAAATGTCACAAAAGTTAATAAAAATAACAATTTGCCAGACACAGTGGCTCATGCTTATAATCCCATCACTTTGGTAGGCACAGGCAGGAGGATCACTTGAGCCCAGGAGTTCAAAACCAGCCTGGTCAACATAGTGAGACCCCATCTCTACAAAAATAAAGCAAAAATTAGCCAGGCATAGTGACATGTGCCTATAGTCCCAGATACTTGGGAGGCTGAGGCAGGAGGATTGCTAAAGCCCAGGAGGCCGAGGCTGCTGTGAGCCATGATTGCACCACTATACTTCAGCTTGGCCAACACAGCAAGATCCTGTCTCAAAAAATGTAATAGTAATTTTGTTAATTAACTGACATGTCTCTATAATATTTTTTTCTGCATTGTTTAGCTGGATGCTCTCTTCATATAACAAGTACTTTCCACACAGAGAATATAAAAAATAATTCCATCTTACCTCTAGCATAATTGGATACAATTTTTATCAATAATAAATAAATTGACTCCATCATTAGAGCCAATTTAAACAATTCTTTAAATTTCCCCCTATAATTATATCCTTGATCTTCTTGACAGTACAGGCAAAATTTTCCTGTAATTAACAATGAGAGGGTCAAGTCCCCTCTTGGAGGAATTTATCAGAGTCTTTCCAAACGTGGAACCTTTTGTTAGAGTGAGTGTAAAAAAAAAGAACAAGAGGACCTCAGGACATGGGAGAGAAAGAAGGACAATGAAAATAAACAATAGCCTTAAAAATAGAAGCGGAAAACAGAGCTAGGTGAGAAGATGCTGAAACTATCTTTACTGAACACCGACTCTTAAGGCTTTTGGTAACTTTTTCTCTTCTCCCATCACAAAATAAATATGAATGCCAAAGGGCAGGCACACTTCCACTGTTGAGAGAAACAGATCTAAAAATAAGTAGGAAGCAGACAAGAACGAGCAATGAACATGATGAGAACCATGGTGTCTACTTTTAGGTTAACTATGGAGGCATGTAGGCACAGATGGAGGAAGTTAGTTTATCTTTGCTGCTGCACTTAAAAAATAAAAACCAAAAATATAAATGCCATCAAAACATTGACTCTTCTCTAACCAAAATTTTTGGTTTTATATTTAAGGCCAAGCCCATTTAGAAGAAAAGCACATTCATTTGGGTTTTGTGGTTTGGAGAAAGGACTGCCAGAGAGGAGGTGAAAGCCACAGTGGAGCATTCCTGGACAATCCATTGCAGGCTTGGGAGATCACCATGCAGGCAGCTCCTGCTCCATAATAGCCAAAATAGCAACATGACCACAAATAATTCAAAGGCTGAAACATTTTGTTCCCACCAGTTCAAACTCTCCTGCTTCTGTCAAATGGCTGGTAATCCTATCTCCTCTACTAAGCCTTTCCTAAATGAAACAGTGGCAACTCCTTTTGAATTCTACTATTTATTACATAAACACACAATTCCCGTGGTTCCCTTATCACTCCATTAAATGCACTTGCCCTCTGATTGAAACACAATGCAAATCCTTTTATGCTACATTTGTTCAATGCTTGTTGCCTTGACTGTATATAGCCTTAATATCCGGTAGGTGCTTCTAACTTATTGTAAGTTCCACATCTAATTCACAAAGTATTTTGCTTAGCAATGCCTCTTATGATGCAAATAAACTAGTATTTATCACGAGTGCTTTAGGATACAGACAAGAAGACTATTTTAGAGAAAATAAGAATTAAATAATGGTAAGGAAAGCAAACCACCCCTGCGATGTGCATGCTCTCCACCACCACCCCTTTTCCCTCCCTGGATGGTGTCTCACTCTCCACCTCCTTTTTGTCACTTGTCCTTGGTCACACATCAATCTGCCCTCAGCCCTCCAGAGAAGACTTATTCTTCCTGCCTGAAATGTTATTTCTCCCTTGTTCATCTAACCTTGTTCCTTTTTATTAAGTGCTTTATATATACGGAAGACTACATAAATTATGTCTTCACGTTAAATAATAGTAATACAATGAACACCTGTGCATCCACTTTAAGAAATAGAATGTATCTTTGAAGTCTTTGTGTGTACTGTCATGCTCGTGTCCTTCCACATTCCAAGGTAACCATATTCCTAGTTTAGTGTTAATCACTGTCTTGTGGGTTAGTCCAAGTCTTGCTATTCTTTAGAGTTTTACTACCTATTTCTCCCTAACAATACATATATTTAGTTTGAAAAAAAACTCAGAGCAATCGCAAGCCTAGTGGAGTAAGAGAAAGATCAACATTGACACTAAGAGAGGACATGTCCCAGAAGATGAGCTAACAGAGGCTCTCCGTTACAGCATGGCTTCAGTTTCCCCAGGAGTTTACAAAAGTCATTTGCAGGGAAGTCAGAAGGAGAGAGACTGGGGATGTCGGGCTCTCTAAGACAGGGCATTGGGGTGGTCTGTGAATGTGAGTCTGGAGCTGGAGGTCTCCAACCATAAGGACATGAGAGGTGGCAGCTCTGCCTTCTCCACTTCTGAGTTCACCACAGCCCACCTCCTGCTCTTCAGAGTAGGTGGAAGATCACCCTCTTTTGCCCCATCTGAAGAAGAAACTCCAGATTACTAATGGGAAGCTGAAGGGCAGTCAGCCAGGCTGACTCTAAGTTGTCCTTCAAAATGTAGCTCAGGGTTTCCTCTTCCAGCAGAACTTTTCTGACACCCACATGCAATGACCAGGGTCAACCTTTTAACCCCCTGTGCACTCTGTGCTAACCCCTATCAACAGCTCTCCCTCCTACTGCTGTCCCTCTTCCTTATTAAACTGGATGTTCTTCGAGGGAATAAATTATCTTATCAATTTTACTAATAATAACAGTATCATCTGATATTTGCTTTATTTTATAAATGTGGACAAACCTCATTAACATTAAATACCAAGATTTAAAAATTGTAAGGCAGAATATGTGTTCTTGTTACTCCGAATTTATTGGAAATAAAGAATTTTGAGTGTCTCTTCTATTAAAGAAGTTCTGTGAGTGTTCCTTGCATTCTTCTTTCTTCAGGCATGCCTCATCTCATAACATTTCAGTTACTGTGTCATTTGCACAGTTGAGACCTTTCCACATGGATACACGTGAAATAAAGGTGTTACAAAAAGTAGTATTTTTCACTTTACTTTGTGCCTAAAAACAAATACACGTGTATGGTACTACATAAATTAAAAAATATGATTTAATTATCTTCTACTTTTTATAACACGCCTGGAAATTGTTTTTACTTTTATAATTAGGAGGTGAACAGCAGGTCTACAAAATATTAACAGAAAAAGCTAATACCTTTTAATTAAACTTTTCTAACTATAACTTTCAAGATAAGTACCTACACTGTTTTAAAGTAAGCTATAAAATTAAAGTTAGTAAAAAGAAAAAAAAGATATTAATATATCAGACATTACCTCACCATCCAGAATTAACCAGGTTATAATGCTGCATATCCTCCCTGATATCATGTATTTTTAAATAAAATCATTCTGAATATTCTGGTCTTTACCTGATTTATTTCATTCAACATATCCCGGTTATCTCCCCATTTCAATAAATGCACTTCTAAAGCCATAATGTTTAATGTCTGTATATGAATCTCTAAGCATGTAGTAAAATCATAATGCAAAATAAATAAAAATAAACACAAAATTCAGAAGACTGGGTGTTTTTTTAATGAGAGAATTGGATTTGTTAAGGGTTTAGCCATGATTCCAAACACACACATATTTTTCATTATTTGTATACCGTACATGTTTTATATCTAAAAATTTCCATATGAATATTATATTATTTCATAATATATGAAAAAAGCACTCATTCCAATAAGTGTTTGTATTTTTTCCCATCTTTCACTAAACAAACCCCTGACAAATATTCTTCTATTAAAATGTTGCAAATATCCTCTTTTTAATCCTAGGATAAATTTCTAGAAATAGAATTGCTGAGCAAAATGGTTTGTACAATTTTAAGGCCATTAATATATATTACTAAACTGCCACCCAGCAAAGTAATGTCAATTTCTATTCCCATCAGCAATGAATGAGAGTCATTTTCTCTCATTCTTTGCCAACACTGAACATAATGAAGAAGAAAAAAATCTCTGCCAATTTGATCAGTGAAAATTTGTGTTTCATATTTTCTCTAACTTGCATTTCTTTAACTACTAGTGTGATTAAACCTTTTTAAAGTTTTTACCCATTTTTTACTTTTTCTTCTATTAATTGCTTATTAATGGTTTTTATTCTGTTAGGGTATTATTATTCTTATGTATTTATAAGGTTATATAATTAAAGATTTCGAACTTTTGTCTGTCTAATTTGTGGTAGGCAGAATAAGGCTTCCCCCAAATGTCCACATCTTAGTCCTCAGAAAGCCTCCAAACATCTTATGTTACATGACAAAAGGGAATGGAGGTTATAGATGGAACTGAGGTTGCTAATCAACTGACCTAAAATAGGGAGATTATCTTGGATTATCCAGCGGACTAAATGGAATTACAAGGTTCTTAGAAGTAGGAGAGAGGTGGAGGAGGGATCAGAGTCAGAGAGAGGCTTGAAAGCGCTGTACTGCTGGCTTAAAGATGGAGGAATGGAGCCACAAACCAAGAAATGCTGGGGGGCTCTAGAAGCTGGAAATGGCAAAGAAATAGATGCGCTCTTGAAGCTTGCAGAAGAACACAGCTCTGCCAGCATCTTGATTTTTGTCAAATGAGACTCATTTCAGACTTCTGATCTCCAGAACTGTAAGATAAATAGATTTGTGTTGCTTTAAGCCACCTATTGTGTGATAATTTGTTGTAATGGAAATGGGAAACTGATTCACAAGTTGCAAATGTTTTCCCGATTTTTATATACATAATCTTTACAAAGCAATCAAAATGTCCCTTATATTTAGTACCATTTTAAAATGTATTCATTATACCTCTTCTATGTTCAACTACAGTGAAGCAGATAAAATTTGACCAAAAATACAATTTTTTTTTTCTTTAAAAAAGGAGGGGGTTTCCTCTTCACCCTTTCTTTCTCCTTTTCTTTTCCCTTTGCTTGGAGGTGGCTGGGAGCTGAGGAAGCTAGAAGAACAAGGAGAAAATGGCTGAGGAGATAGTCCTGGGGTCAGGAGCCAAAAAAAGCTGATGACATAGTCAGTAGATTGGTTATATGCAGGGGGATTAAGGAAATAAGCAAATATTGAAGATAGTGAGAGCCAGGTTTTTCACTGTCAGAGAAGGGATTTATAAAAATGCAAATGAGCCAGTGCTTTGGCTCATGCCTATAATCCCAGCACTTCGGGAGGGCAAGGCGGGTGGATCACTTGAGGTCAGGAGTTCGAGACCAGCCTGGCCAACATAGTGAAATGCCGTCTCTACTAAAAATACAAAAATTAGCCTAGTGTCATGGCACGTGCCTGTAATCCCAGCTACTCGGGAGGCTGAGGCAGGAAAATTGCTTAAACCCTGGAGGCAGAGGCTACAGTGAGCCGAGATCTCATTACTGCACTCCAGCCTGGGTGACAGAGCAAGACTGTCTCAGAAAAAAAAAAAAAAAAAAAAAAAAAAATATATATATATATATATATATATATGAAAATGGAGAAGGCTAAGGTATTACGTTGTCATTGAGAAAAAGAAGGAGGGAGGGAGAGAGGTACAGATGAAACAGATATATGTATATATATATACACACACTTTTATAATTAGATGGATATATATAGAGAGATAGATGATATATAAATACAGCTCTGTCGGCCTGGTAGTAATGAGTATACTAAGCACCCAGATCTGGATTTATAAATGCCTCTACCAAAAGGAACCAGACTGCAGAGAAAAATAGTTGATTCTAAGGTTGAGACATGGAAAGTACAAAATTAGCCCAAAAGTATGGAAATATTCTAAGAATGATGGAAACATGCAAAATAAACCCACGGAACTTAGCTTGAAGAGGCTCTCATGGCCAAATCTGAGACACATGAAGTATCAGAATAAATGTTGATAGTAACCAGATTATAACCCATTGAATAAAGTAGGAATCTATCAGACCATAATGAATGAATAAATGAATAAAAGGAAAAAATTCTTGCAGTATAATGCCAACAAACTAATGTGGAAAGAATGATGACACATATCAGAGAGGAAGTTGAATCAGGTAGGAGTCATCAGTGGATGCCAAAGCCAGTGGGTAGAAATTTGATGAATAATTATATATTTGCATAGTCTTGAGTATCTCCCCATGAAACACTTCCACTCACAAAGGGGAAAATGGTGGACCTATGGTCCAGGAACCTGGCAGACACCAACTTGAACAGGTTGTCAATGTTAACATCTCCAGGGTTCAGATGAATTAACATTGAAGGATTCCTCATATACTACTGGAAGTACAATATCATTTCAGTGCTATTCCTGATAAGAATGTATGGTGTGAGTGTGAACATGAGGAAATATTAGATGGTTCCAGGTTGATTGATGTGGTTTATACTCTAAAACTGCAAATTACATGAATGTCAAGGAAAAGACTGTCAAGCCGCTCCATGTTGAAGGACACTAAAATACATGACAACCAAATGCAATGCATGATCCTGGATTGAGTTCTAGAACAAGAAGGAGAAAGAAACATTATGGGAACAGGAATATTTGAATGAGATCTTTGGAATAATTGGCTGCTAGTATTATATCAATGTTTATTACTTGATTTTAGATAGTGGTATCTCTATTACGTGGTAGAGTGTTTTTTGTATGCAATGCACTATGGGGTGTTAGGAATCACGGGACATGCTGCCTACAACTCCTATGATCCCAAAATGATTCAGGAAAAAAAGAATGAAGTGTGCATGTGTGTGTATGTGTGTGTGTGTGTATGTGTGTGAACTTTCATGCCACAAATATTTATTCAAGCCTATAAGAGATGCTAATCACTGCAAACTAAATATTGATAATCCAAGAATTTAAAAAATGTAATAGTTAATACTTTATCTTAGTGGGCAATTAAAAATAGAAACAATGGCTAGAAAAATAGTTTTACACAAGAGGTAATTAAAATGGGCCTAGAAGACCATAGATTTCAAACATTAAGGAAAGTAATAAGCAATAGGCAAAATATGGTAGTGTAAAAGTGAATGGCATTTCAGGGAATAATGAGGTCAGTACGTTAGATGTAAGTGACGAGAAGGAATATAGCGAGGGGAAGAAATCCCTAAAAAAAAAGAAGAAAAGAAAAAAACCTAGAGGCCAAATTATGACACTAGAGCCTTTGGACAGTATCTGCCCGAAGATTAGAAGCCGCTGTAGCTGGGCATGGTGGCTCGTGTCTGTAATCCCAGCACCTTGTGGGCAAAGGCAAGAGGATTGCTTGAGACCAGGAGTTTGAGACCAGCCTGGGCCACATAGCGAGACCTCATCTCTAAAAAAAAAAAAAAAAAAAAAAAAAAAAAAATTAAAAATTAGCCAGATGTGATGGTGTGCACCTGTGGTCCCAGCTACTTGGGAAGCTGAGGTGGGAGGATGAGGCTGCAGTGAGCCGTGGTTGCATCCATGCACTCCAGCATGGATGACAGAGAAAAACTTTGTCTCAAAAAAGAGAAAGTCATTGTAGGCTTTTAGTGGGCAAATGAAGTATTCAAGTCTGTAAGTTATTAATCAAATGCAGTTTAAATATAAAAGCCCATATAAAAATATAGTTTAAGAAATAAGCACCAGAACAAACAATTTCTGAAACATTTTCAGTGGATTATTTCCAATGGAAATAGATAAAAATGTGTCCAATTAAAGAATCCATTATAAAAATAGGTTATAAGATAAAAATGTAAACATTCTTCATACTCAGCATCTCCAAGTACTCAAAGATCCCAGAGTCATAGCACTTTAAAACTAATGTGATTTTTATAAAGGAGTGGAAAATATGCTTAGCATGCAGCATAAAAAAGTAAAAATATTAATCTGTGCTTTTTAATATGGCAGGGAACATCTATTCTTTCATTTAAACTGGAGTCTCGCCTTCTCCACAAAGACACAGGGAGAGGAAAATAATTGACAAGAATAGGAAGTGAAGAATTTATGATTCTCAATAAAAGTATGTATTGAAACAAAATCAGTACTACACGTCTTCTAAAAATTGCTGCTGGATGGCCTAATAAAGTCTAGGTGCATGCAAGACAGCTGAAAAATGTACTTGTTACCACAAGAGGGAAGGTGTTTCTCCAAGTGCTTTGCAGCAATCTACCAAAGTTTTGAAGTTGGGGCAGTAGAGTTGACTGACATACCCTGAAGCCATCTCAGTATCAGTCTAGTGGTAGGGCAGGAAAGCTGAGAGAAGTCCCTCTGATATGCATTAGAACTTCACCAGCTGCCAACTGAAAGCTGAGTGAAAGGCCAAGAGAAGTATCCCAAGTTGCAGAAAAGTGGGGGCCATACTACAGAGAAAATATAACTCCCAAGTGACCTAAAGAGTTGGACAGTTTAGTTATAAAGCAGAAAGACCTCTTCCATGATTTGAAAAACAGGTGTCTGTGCCATAAAGTATAAAGAGATCTGAAATCTCACTGGTGTATAATCCTCAAGCTCTGCTGAAGACCCTAATTCTGCCCTCAGAATACTTTTATACAATAGTGAGCTGAATCTTATTAAAGTTATAATAAAATTCAAATGTTGCTTAAGAACAGATTAAATTGACCCAATTCCCAACTCCAGCAGCTTGACAGAGGAGCATGCCCTTTTCTGTAGATAAATATTGTCAGTCTCTACTGTTTTTTCATATACAATGCTCAGTATAAGACCAATAACAAAAAAGACAAGCAGGAAAGTGTTACCCCCATGACATGCAATTTACTCATGTAACAAATCTGCACATGTACCCACTGAATCTAAAACAAAAGTTGGAAAATAAAAACAACAATAGGATATTTAGAATATCCTCAAATTTGGAAATTAAGCAATACACTTGTAAAGAGTTCATGAGTTGAAAAGATAAACTGAAAAATAATTTGAGCTGAGTGATAATGAAAACACCATATATCATAATTTGTGGTGTGCAGCAGCTAAAGTATTACAGGAGAATTTATAGCTTTGAACAAGAAAAAGGGTTTAAAATCAATTACTCAAGCTTCCACCTTAAGGCACGCACCACCATGCCTGGCTAATTTTTGTGGGGATTTTTTTGAAGAGATGGAGTCCCACTATATTGTTGAGGCTGGTCTTGAACTCCTGGCCTCAAGTGATGCTCCTGCCCCAGCCTCCCAAAGTGTTGGGATTTCAGGCATGAACCACTGCATGAGCCATGAAATTATATTTATATTACACATTATCTTTCAGAAAATAAAGGTGGAGAAAACAACTTTCCAAATGGTTCTATGTCCAGCATAACCTTGATAATAAAACCTGACACATTATAAGAAAATTCCCAAATAATATCTTTCACAAACATAAACACAAAAATCCCCCACAAAATATTAACAAATTAAATCAATCAAAATATAGAAAGTATTTGTAATGCAGGTTGTAGTCAGGGCAACTAAGTGAGAACAGAAATAAAAGGTATCCAGATTAGAAAGAAAGAAGTAAAACGATTTCTACACACAGATAGCGTGATCTCGTATACAGAAAGCCCTAAGGAATCCACTAACTATAAAAACTAACAATTCAGCAAGGTTTCAGACTACAATATCAATATATAAAAATCAATTTTATGTCTATACACTTTCAATGAATTCAAAATAAACTCAAAAACAAAACTAAGAAAATTTATAATTGCAGCAAAAAGACAGGAATAAATTTAACAAAAGAAGTGCAAAATTAATAGTCTGCAAACTATAAAACATTATTGAAAGAAATTAGGTATTACAATAAATGGAAAAACATCCCATGTTCATGGATCAGAAGACTTAATATTGTTAAAATGGCAATCTCTATTAGAATCCCAGATATCATTGTGGAAATTGACAAGCTGATACTAAAGTTCATATAAAATCGCAAAGGGTACATAAGAGCTAAAACAATCTTGAAAACACAGAAAGCAAAGTAGAAAAAAATCACACCTCTCAATTTCAAAATTTACTCCAAAATGATGGCAACCAAAATAGTGTGGTGCTAGCACAAGGACAGAATATAGGTGAAAGGAACTGAATTGAGAGACCATGTTTCTATGGTCAACTGATTTTGACAAGAATGCCACAACCATTCAGTGAGGAGAAGAATAGTCTTTTCAACAAATGGGGCTGGAACTATTGGATATCCACATGCAAAATAATGAGGCTGAACCCTTACCTCATACCATATACAAAAATAAACTTAAAATGTATCAAAGACCTAAATTTAAAACGGAAAACCATAAAAACTCATTGAAGAAAACATAGACATAAATCTTCATGACCTCAGATTTGGCAAAGGATTCTTACATATGGCATGAAACGTATGAACAACAAAAGAAAAAAAATTGATAATTTGAACTTGATAAAAATTAAAACCTTGTCCTTCAAAGGAAACCACCAATAAAGTGAAATAACAATTTCACAGAATGGGAGAAAATATTTGCAAATCATATCTCTTATATGGGACTTTCCAAAATATATAAATAACACAACTTACTAAGAAAAAAGACAGCCCAAATTAAAAATAGGCAAACCACAATAAACATTTCTTCAAGGAAAATATACAAATGGCCAATAAGCACATGAAAGATGTTTAACGTAATTATTTATCAGAGAAATGCAAATAAAAACCCAAATGAGATACCAATTCAAACACACAAGGATGGCTAGAATCAAAAAGTTAGATAATAAAAAGTGTTGGTAAGGATGAGGAGAAATCAGAACCCTCATATGTTGCTGGTGGAGTTGTAAAATGGTGCAGCCACTTTGGAAAACAATAGGTAATTCCTAAAGTGATTAAACATAGAGAGACAATATGACCCAGCAATTCCACTCCTAGATATGTACTCAAGAGAATTAAAAACATGTTTTCAGTCAGATGTGGTAGCGCATGCCTATAATCCCAGTACTTTGGGAGGAAAGGCAGGTGGATTGCTTGAGCTCAGGCTTTAGAGACCAGCATGGACAACAAAGTGAGACTCCATCTCTAAACAAAATACAAAAATTAGCTGGGTGTGGTGGCATGTGCCTGTAGTCCCAGCTACTCAGGAGGCTAAGGAGGGAGAATGGCAAGGCTGCAGTGAGCCAAGACCATGCCACTGCACCCTAGACTGGGCAACAGAGCCACACCCTGTCTCAAAAAACAAAACAAAACAAAAACAGGCATTCAAACAAAAACTTATGCACAAATGTTTTTGTGTATACACAGCAGAATTATTCATAAAAGTCAGAAAGTGTCAAACGTCCAACAAGTGATGAATGAATAAACACATATGGCTTATCCATATAATGAAATATTATCTGGTCATAAGAAAAAATGCTGATACTTGCTGAAGTATGCATGAATCTTGAAAACATTGTGACTAAATTAAATAAGCCAGTCACAGAAAACCACATATTATATGACTCCATTTATACAAAATGTCAAGCATAGGAGTATCTCTACAGACAGACAAGTAGATTGTTCTTTTTTTAATCCTATGTTATAAAAGGAATACTTTGTTATGACCAAGTGTAGGTTATCCCAAGTATGCAACGTTGGTTTCACACATGAAAAGTACAACATGAGTAGGATAAAGGATAAGATCCTATCATGGACTCAATAGAAAACATATTTGACAAAATTTTACACTTATGCATGATAAAAACTCTCAAACTAGGAATAGAAGGAAATTTCCTGAATTTAATAAGTGCAAAATCTATAGCAAAGACCACACTTAAGGATAAAACAGTGAATATTTTCCTCTTAAGAACAGAAAAAAAATGCAAGGATGTTCATTATCACTTCTATTCAACATTGTATTACAAGTCCCAATAAATGTAATAAGGCAAGAAAAAGAACTACAAGGCATAAACATTGTGGGGGGAAAGTAAATTAACAAGTAGATTCCAAAATTTACAGAAAAAATGCAAATAATCTAAAATAGTCAAAATAATGTTGAAAACAGAATAAGTAGGACAATACACAATCTATAAAACTACAGTAATCAAGATAGTGTGTGTTGCCATAAGCAAAGACATGTAGACCAATAAAATAGAAGAGTGAGTTCAGAAATTGACACACACAAGCATAGCATCCATTGATTTTTTTTTTTTTACCATTATTATTTTTTCTTTTTTTTTTATTATTATACTTTAAGTTTTAGGGTACATGTGCACATTGTGCAGGTTAGTTACATATGTATACATGTGCGATGCTGGTGCGCTGCACCCACTAACTCGTCATCTAGCATTAGGTATATCTCCCAATGCTATCCCTCCCCCCTCCCCCCACCCCACCACAGTCCCCAGAGTGTGATATTCCCCTTCCTGTGTCCATGTGATCTCATTGTTCAATTCCCACCTATGAGTGAGAATATGCGGTGTTTGGTTTTTTGTTCTTGCAATAGTTTACTGAGAATGATGATTTCCAATTTCATCCATGTCCCTACAAAGGACATGAACTCATCATTTTTTATGGCTGCATAGTATTCCATGGTGTATATGTGCCACATTTTCTTAATCCAGTCTATCATTGTTGGACATTTGGGTTGGTTCCAAGTCTTTGCTATTGTGAATAATGCCGCAATAAACATACGTGTGCATGTGTCTTTATAGCAGCATGATTTATAGTCCTTTGGGTATATACCCAGTAATGGGATGGCTGGGTCAAATGGTATTTCTAGTTCTAGATCCCTGAGGAATCGCCACACTGACTTCCACAATGGTTGAACTAGTTTACAGTCCCACCAACAGTGTAAAAGTGTTCCTATTTCTCCACATCCTCTCCAGCACCTGTTGTTTCCTGACTTTTTAATGATTCCCATTCTAACTGGTGTGAGATGGTATCTCATTGTGGTTTTGATTTGCATTTCTCTGATGGCCAGTGATGATGAGCATTTTTTCATGTGTTTTTTGGCTGCATAAATGTCTTCTTTTGAGAAGTGTCTGTTCATGTCCTTCGCCCACTTTTTGATGGGGTTGTTTTTTTTTTCTTGTAAATTTGGTTGAGTTCATTGTAGATTCTGGATATTAGCCCTTTGTCAGATGAGTAGGTTGCAAAAATTTTCTCCCATGTTGTAGGTTGCCTGTTCACTCTGATGGTAGTTTCTCTTGCTGTGCAGAAGCTCTTTAGTTTAATTAGATCCCATTTGTCAATTTTGGCTTTTGTTGCCATTGCTTTTGGTGTTTTGGACATGAAGTCCTTGCCCATGCCTATGTCCTGAATGGTAATGCCTAGGTTTTCTTCTAGGGTTTTTATGGTTTTAGGTCTAACGTTTAAATCTTTAATCCATCTTGAATTGATTTTTGTATAAGGTGTAAGGAAGGGATCCAGTTTCAGCTTTCTACATATGGCTAGCCAGTTTTCCCAGCACCATTTATTAAATAGGGAATCCTTTCCCCATTTCTTGTTTTTCTCAGATTTGTCAAAGATCAGACAGTTGTAGGTATGTCGTGTTATTTCTGAGGGCTCTGTTCTGTTCCATTGATCTATATCTCTGTTTTGGTACCAGTACCATGCTGTTTTGGTTACTGTAGCCTTGTAGTAAAGTTTGAAGTCAGGTAGTGTGATGCCTCCAGCTTTGTTCTTTTGGCTTAGGATTGACTTGGCGATGCAGGCTCTTTTTTGGTTCCACATGAACTTTAAAGTAGTTTTTTCCAATTCTGTGAAGAAAGTCATTGGTAGCTTGATGGCGATGGCATTGAATCTGTAAATTACCTTGGGCAGTATGGCCATTTTCACGATATTGATTCTTCCTACCCATGAGCATGGAATGTTCTTCCATTTGTTTGTATCCTCTTTTATTTCCTTGAGCAGTGGTTTGTAGTTCTCCTCGAAGAGGTCCTTCACATCCCTTGTAAGTTGGATTCCTAGGTATTTTATTCTCTTTGAAGCAATTGTGAATGGGACTTCACTCATGATTTGGCTCTCTGTTTGTCTGTTGTTGGTGTATAAGAATGCTTGTGATTTTTGTACATTGATTTTATATCCTGAGACTTTGCTGAAGTTGCTTATCAGCTTAAGGAGATTTTGGGCTGAGACAATGGGGTTTTCTAGATATACAATCATGTCATCTGCAAACAGGGACAATTTGACTTCCTCTTTTCCTAATTGAATACCCTTTATTTCCTTCTCCTGCCTAATTGCCCTGGCCAGAACTTCCAACACTATGTTGAATAGGAGTGGTGAGAGAGGGCATCCCTGTCTTGTGCCAGTTTTCAAAGGGAATGCTTCCAGTTTTTGCCCATTCAGCATGATATTGGCTGTGGGTTTGTCATAGATAGCTCTTATTATTTTGAAATACGTCCCATCAATACCTAAGTTATTGAGAGTTTTTAGCATGAAGGGTTGTTGAATTTTGTCAAAGTCTTTTTCTGCATCTATTGAGATAATCATGTGGTTTTTGTCTTTGGCTCTGTTTATATGCTGGATTACATTTATTGATTTGCGTATATTGAACCAGCCTTGCATCCCAGGGATGAAGCCCACTTGATCATGGTGGATAAGCTTTTTGATGTGCTGCTGGATTTGGTTTGCCAGTATTTTATTGAGGATTTTTGCATCAATGTTCATCAAGGATATTGGTCTAAAATTCTCTTTTTTTGTTGTGTCTCTGCCTGGCTTTGGTATCAGAATGATGCTGGCCTCATAAAATGAGTTAGGGAGGATTCCCTCTTTTTCTATTGATTGGAATAGTTTCAGAAGGAATGGTACCAGTTCCTCCTTGTACCTCTGGTAGAATTCGGCTGTGAATCCATCTGGTCCTGGACTCTTTTTGGTTGGTAAGCTATTGATTATTGCCACAATTTCAGCTCCTGTTATTGGTCTATTAAGAGATTCAACTTCTTCCTGGTTTAGTCTTGGGAGAGTGTATGTGTCGAGGAATTTATCCATTTCTTCTAGATTTTCTAGTTTATTTGCATAGAGGTGTTTGTAGTATTCTCTGATGGTAGTTTGTATTTCTGTGGGATCGGTGGTGATATCCCCTTTATCATTTTTTATTGTGTCTATTTGATTCTTCTCTCTTTTTTTCTTTATTAGTCTTGCTAGCGGTCTATCAATTTTGTTGATCCTTTCAAAAAACCAGCTCCTGGATTCATTGATTTTTTGAAGGGTTTTTTGTGTCTCTATTTCCTTCAGTTCTGCTCTGATTTTAGTTATTTCTTGCCTTCTGCTAGCTTTTGAATGTGTTTGCTCTTGCTTTTCTAGTTCTTTTAATTGTGATGTTAGGGTGTCAATTTTGGATCTTTCCTGCTTTCTCTTGTGGGCATTTAGTGCTATAAATTTCCCTCTACACACTGCTTTGAATGCGTCCCAGAGATTCTGGTATGTTGTGTCTTTGTTCTTGTTGGTTTCAAAGAACATCTTTATTTCTGCCTTCATTTTGTTATGTACCCAGTAGTCATTCAGGAGCAGGTTGTTCAGTTTCCATGTAGTTGAGCGGCTTTGAGTGAGTTTCTTAATCCTGAGTTCTAGTTTCATTGCACTGTGGTCTGAGAGATAGTTTGTTATAATTTCTGTTCTTTTACATTTGCTGAGGAGAGCTTTACTTCCAACTACGTGGTCAATTTTGGAATAGGTGTGGTGTGGTGCTGAAAAAAATGTATATTCTGTTGATTTGGGGTGGAGAGTTCTGTAGATGTCTATTAGGTCCACTTGGTGCAGAGCTGAGTTCAATTCCTGGGTATCCTTGTTGACTTTCTGTCTCGTTGATCTGTCTAATGTTGACAGTGGGGTGTTAAAGTCTCCCATTATTATTGTGTGGGAGTCTAAGTCTCTTTGTAGGTCACTCAGGACTTGCTTTATGAATCTGGGTGCTCCTGTATTGGGTGCATATATATTTAGGATAGTTAGCTCTTCTTGTTGAATTGATCCCTTTACCATTATGTAATGGCCTTCTTTGTCTCTTTTGATCTTTGTTGGTTTAAAGTCTGTTTTATCAGAGACTAGGATTGCAACCCCTGCCTTTTTTTGTTTTCCATTTGCTTGGTAGATCTTCCTCCATCATTTTATTTTGAGCCTATGTGTGTCTCTGCACGTGAGATGGGTTTCCTGAATACAGCACACTGATGGGTCTTGACTCTTTATCCAATTTGCCAGTCTGTGTCTTTTAATTGGAGAATTTAGTCCATTTACATTTAAAGTTAATATTGTTATGTGTGAATTTGATCCTGTCATTATGATGTTAGCTGGTGATTTTGCTCGTTAGTTGATGCAGTTTCTTCCTAGTCTCGATGGTCTTTACATTTTGGCATGATTTTGCAGCAGCTGGTACTGGTTGTTCCTTTCCATGTTTAGCGCTTCCTTCAGGAGCTCTTTTAGGGCAGGCCTGGTGGTGACAAAATCTCTCAGCATTTGCTTTTCTGTAAAGTATTTTATTTCTCCTTCACTTATGAAGCTTAGCTTGGCTGGATATGAAATTCTGGGTTGAAAATTCTTTTCTTTAAGAATGTTGAATATTGGCCCCCACTCTCTTCTGGCTTGTAGGGTTTCTGCCGAGAGATCCGCTGTTAGTCTGATGGGCTTCCCTTTGAGGGTAACCCGACCTTTCTCTCTGGCTGCCCTTAACATTTTTTCCTTCATTTCAACTTTGGTGAATCTGACAATTATGTGTCTTGGAGTTGCTCTTCTCAAGGAGTATCTTTGTGGCGTTCTCTGTATTTCCTGAATCTGAACATTGGCCTGCCTTGCTAGATTGGGGAAGTTCTCCTGGATAATATCCTGCAGAGTGTTTTCCAACTTGGTTCCATTCTCCCCATCACTTTCAGGTACACCAATCAGAGGTAGATTTGGTCTTTTCACATAGTCCCATATTTCTTGGAGGCTTTGCTCATTTCTTTTTATTCTTTTTTCTCTAAACTTCCCTTCTCACTTCATTTCATTCATTTCATCTTCCATTGCTGACACCCTTTCTTCCAGTTGATCGCATCAGCTCCTGAGGCTTCTGCATTCTTCACGTAGTTCTCGAGCCTTGGTTTTCAGCTCCATCAGCTCCTTTAAGCACTTCTCTGTATTGGTTATTCTAGTTATACATTCTTCTAAATTTTTTTCGAAGTTTTCAACTTCTTTGCCTTTGGTTTGAATGTCCTCCCGTAGCTCAGAGTAATTTGATCGTCTGAAGCCTTCTTCTCTCAGCTCGTCAAAGTCATTCTCCATCCAGCTTTGTTCTGTTGCTGGTGAGGAGCTGCGTTCCTTTGGAGGAGGAGAGGCGCTCTGATTTTTAGAGCTTCCAGTTTTTCTGTTCTGTTTTTTCCCCATCTTTGTGGTTTTATCTACTTTTGGTCTTTGATGATGGTGATGTACAGATGGGTTTTTGGTGTGGATGTCCTTTCTGTTTGTTAGTTTTCCTTCTAACAGACAGGACCCTCAGCTGCAGGTCTGTTGGAATACCCTGCCATGTGAGGTGTCAGTGTGCCCCTGCTGGGGGGTGCCTCCCAGTTAGGCTGCTTGGGGGTCAGGGGTCAGGGACCCACTTGAAGAGGCAGTCTGCCGGTTCTCAGATCTCCAGCTGCGTGCTGGGAGAACCACTGCTCCCTTCAAAGCTGTCAGACAGGGACATTTAAGTCTGCAGAGGTTACTGCTGTCTTTTTGTTTGTCTGTGCCCTGCCCCCAGAGGTGGAGCCTACAGAGGCAGGCAGGCCTCCTTGAGCTGTGGTGGGCTCCACCCAGTTCGAGCTTCCTGGCTGCTTTGTTTACCTAAGCAAGCCTGGGCAATGGCGGGCGCCCCTCCCCCAGCCTCGCTGCCGCCTTGCAGTTTGATCTCAGACTGCTGTGCTAGCAATCAGCGAGATTCCGTGGGCGTAGGACCCTCCGAGCCAGGTGTGGGATATAGTCTCGTGGTGCGCCGTTTTTTAAGCCGGTCTGAAAAGCGCAATGTTCGGGTGGGAGTGACCCGATTTTCCAGGTGCGTCCATCACCCCTTTCTTTGACTCGGAAAGGGAACTCTCTGACCCCTTGCGCTTCCCAGGTGAGGCAATGCCTCGCCCTGCTTCGGCTCGCGCACGGTGCGCGCACCCACTGGCCTGCGCCCACTGTCTGGCACTCCCTAGTGAGATGAACCTGGTACCTCAGATGGAAATGCAGAAATCACCGGTCTTCTGCATCGGTCACGCTGGGAGCTGTAGACCGGAGCTGTTCCTATTCGGCCATCTTGGCTCCTCCCCCGCATCCATTGATTTTTTAACAAAGGTACCGACACAATTCCTGTATTAGTCCATTCTCACATTGCTATAAAGAACTGCCTGAGATTGGGTAATTTATAAAGGAAAGTAGTTCAATCGCATGGCAGAAGGGGAAGCAAAGGCATCTTTCTTCACATGATGACAGGTAGGAGAAGTGCAGAGCAACAGGGGAAAAAACCCCTTATAAAACCATCAGATCTCGTGAGAATGCACTCACTATCCCGAGAACAGGATGGAGGAAACTGCCCGCATGATTCAATTATCTCCAGGACATGTGGAGATTATGGGAACTCAAATTCAAGATGAGATTTGGGTAGGGACACAGCCAAACCATAACAATTCCTTTGGGAAAGCAAGTTCCCAAATGGTGTTTGAACAACGGAAAATTAAATTAGTAAATCTCAACCTCCTACATCACTCTATGTACAAAAATTATTTCAAGATTAATCATTGACTTAAAATAAAAGTTAGAAAAATAAAGCATCTAGAAAAAACATTGAAGTAGATCTTCATACGTTTGAGATAGGCAAAGATTTCTTTAGAGCATAAAAAGCACCAAACATAAAACAAAACTTGATAAATTACACAACATCAAAAATAAGAACTTCTGCACATTAAAAAATGTTATAAGAAATAAAATCAAGCTTCAGACTTGGAGAAAATATTTACAACACAATTATTTTACAATACAAATATCTAACAAAGGACTTGTATTTAGAATATATAACGACCTGCAAATCAATAATGAAGAAATCTACTCAATAAATATGCATATAATATGTAAACATTTTACCAAAAAAAATGACTGTTCAACATGAACATAAAAAGGTGCTTATCAGGGAAATAACAATTAAAACCACCACAAGATACATACTAGAATGTTTAAAATAAAAAGGACTGAAAATACCAAGTTTTGGCAAGGAAGTGAAACCACTGGGAACTCTCATATATTGCTGGTGGAAATGTGAAATATCACAACCATTTAAAAAAACCTGTGGCAGTACCTTTTAAAGTTGGATATACATGGTATCCATGAATCCATTCCTAGGTGTCTACCTTAAAAAAAAGTGAAAACATTTTTCACTGGAAAATGTTAAAGATGTTTCATTGTAGAACTTTTTCTCCAGTGAAAAAGTAAAACCTTTTAACTTTTTTTTTTTTTTTTTTTTTTGAGATGGAGTCTCGCTCTGTCACCCAGGCTGGAGTGCAGTGGCATGATCTCGGTTCACTGCAAGCTCTGCCTCTCGGATTCACCCCATTCTCCTGCCTCAGTCTCCCGAGTAGCTGGGACTACAGGAGCCCACCACCACGCCCGGCTAATTTTTTGTATTTTTAGCAGAGATGGGTTTTCATTGTGTTAGCCAGGATGGTCTCGATCTCCTGACCTCGTCCTCGTGACTTCCCTGCCTCGGCCTCCCAAAGTGCTGGAATTATAGGCATGAGCCCGGCCATGTTTTCACTTTTTTTAAAGATAAAAAGACTTGTATATGAATGATCATAGCCCCCTTATTCAAAATATTCAAAAATTTAAAATATCTCAAATGTCTGTCATGAAAGAATGGACAAAGAAATTGTGGTATATCTATACATGGAATAATACTCAGCAATTGAAAAGACAGTCTACAAATGGACAAAACCTCATGGATTCATATCAAAAAACATTATAATGAACAACCAAAAGCAGATACAAAAATATGTAATGTATTATTCCATTTAGATGAAACAAAAGAATAATTGATGCTAATGCATGCTGATAAAAATCAGGATGGTTGCTTTCAGGGTTGAAAGTTTGAGTTGAGGGAGATGCAAAGCACTTTCTGGTGTGAAGGAAATATTCTAGATCTTGTTTTGGGCGGCAGTTATAAGGATATCTACAAGTCAAAACTCATTAAACTGAACTCTTAAATTCTGTGCATTTTATTATATACAAATTATTTTGCAATAAGAATTAATTTTTAAAAAGCAATAAAAATTGCTGCTCGGCGAAAACAAATTATGAATATACTATCTAACACACTTTCTGGTGTGAAGGAAATATTCTAGATCTTGTTTTGTGTGGCAGTTACAAGGATATCTACAAGTCAAAACTCATTAAACTCAACTTTTAAATTCTGTGCATTTTATTACATATAAATTATTTTGCAAAAATAATTAATTAAAAAACAATAAAAATTACTGTTCTGAGAAAACAAATTATGAATATACCATCTAACTCTACAGAGTACAGAAATAAAAAATATAGTAATATCTTTGACCTATTTGAAAGTCAACAAAAGAAAAGCAAGAAAGTGCCTACAATATGATTAAGTGAATGGCATTTATATATATGTATAATCATTTAAATGTTTACAGTTTAAAGGAAAAAATAGTGAGGAAAAGAATGCTATGGTTTTCAAATCCTACGGTTTGTACTAAAGTTGTTTGTCTTTTTTTTTTTCTTAGCTACCTGGCATCTGAACTCCCTTTCTGTGCCTGTGAAATTTCCACCTTCAACTGCAGAAGCTGCAAAGCCAGATACTTGCTTTCATAGCCTCCATTACTTTGAGGGTAGGGCACATGAATAGGCTCAGTTACTCTGACTTCAGCTTGGATATTGACTTGGGAACTAGTGAGAAAAGAAGCACTCAGTGGAGAATTAGTTCTGGCAGCAATAGTAGCAGTTACCTCGAGGATCTGGTCACAGTTATAGCAGGGGGGTCATCCAGTAGCCAATGTCAGCAGCAAACAATGCCAATGCCAATGCTAGAGAAATGAGAGGTACAAACCATTCATCTAGCATTTGCTGGCATCAGAAAAAATATCCTCACTAGTCAAGTTCTGCAGCATAATTTTAGCTTCAAAGCTATGCACTTTGTTTTATCCTGCCTGCCCATTTTTTAAGCCTTTTCTCTAGTGTTCCAAATGACTCTGTGAACTACTCAATATCCTTTCAACAAACTTCTTTTCCACTTGAATCATCCAGAGTTAATTTCTATTGCTGGCAATACTAACTCTGATGGAAAAATAAAATAATAAATGCACTCTAACACAGAATAACAGAAATAATGCTCCACCTAGTTAACAAGGATTTTACAAACAAGTAGAAGTTATTTGGTCTTCTTTTTAAAAATACGTTCTTAAAAATAACATTTTTGACACCATGAATTCCACCTGTGTTTTCAAACTATTTTTCACTATTAACATTATGTTTTAAAGGAGATACGTTTTCAAAAGATCCACTGGAAAAAATTAGACTTCTCCTATAATAATTTACACAGTGAGTGGCTGAGATTCTAAAGGAATATCATAAAATTATGATAATATTAAATAAAAGCAAATACTCTCATAACTTTCAAGGAAACATGCGATGACTGATGTAGTATCAAAGGGATATGTTTTGGAAGATGCTCTCTTCTATGTGACTGAAAATATGGGGACATGCTATACATTCTATTTTTTCTTATTGATTGTGAATTTGTTAGTCATCAATTTTGCTGAGTCTATTCAAAATTTCCACTTACATAAACTCTTTGAGTAATGAGTTTCATAGATATATTGTGTGCTATGCGAACTAGTACCTCTATTTCTTGGTTCCATTATTCTTGTACTATAGGATATTGTAAATAAACCTATGTTTTCTGTAACATATCTTTTGAAAAAATAATGCATCTTCTCAGAAAACTTTTCCTATCAAGAATTTTTGTTGTTGCTCTTCATCAGTCTAAGAAAAAACTGTCTTTTTTGTCCTTTTTTATTTTTGCCCATATTTTCCTCTTCATCCTCCATTCCTATGCTCATAGCCCATCCTCACTGGCACCAATTCTGTGTTTAATGTAAACGTCCTTGAAAAATAGTGTTGTTTCATTTCGAGGATATACTGAAGTTACCTAAATTTGAACATGATATGGATTTCATTATTTCTTATCTTGCTTTTGTGAAGATGACATTTTATGGAGACAAAAGATAAGTTCACACATAAAATTTCAGGTAGTGGTAAATGTAACAAGGAAATAAACACGGTGATTCAGTAGTGATTGGGTTACTTTATAAAAGATGGTCTCTTCTCAGAATGTTTTATTTGAGCTGAGAATAGAAACATATAAAAGATACTGTTACTAGGGGCATCCAGACCAAGAAAATGTTGGCTCTAAAGCAAGAATCAGTTTGATACACGAGACAAATCCAGGAGGCAACTACTCTGTCTGAAGCACACTCAGCACAGAAAAGGTGGTCCTAGATGAGGCAGGAGAAATTGGCAAGGAGTGGGTCATATAGGGTCTTGCAGGCTACAACCAGAAGCAAGAATTTTACTCTAAGAACAATTTGAGAGCCATTGGAAGGTTACAAAGCAGAGGAGCAATGTTGTTTTTTATTTAAAAAGATAGGTTGCTGTGAAAAAATTGGAAATCATCGAAGAATTAATGGGATTTCTTGTCAAGAGTATCAGATTCTATCTTCATTTTCTTCTGCTGTCTTCCAAAATCCCATTAAAATGACAGTAAAGATATAGGGAAAAAAATATATATCCATGGGGAGAAGAGTAGGAGAAGTTTAATGACAACACTGTTTTGAAGCCTGGAAAGCAAATTAATTAGTAGTTAGTCCAAAGCTATCATTGGAGAAAGCAGAGTAGTAATGCATTTCATACTACAGAACCACAGAAAGAATCAAGAACTGGTGGAACCAAGCGCCTCCAAAAGTGAGAAAGATACAGTTGGGGAGGAGAAGTAGTTGACGCTCCATTTACCAATCATTTAGACTCCTCGTTCCTCTCCTACACCCAAACAGAAGCTTAGACATTCATTCACTGGAGAGGATAAGATAGAGTGTCTCTAGAACAGGGGCTACCAGCACAGTTAAGAATCTTATACTGAAAATTCATCCCCAGTCCTCTTCTCCCAATGATTCTCAGGTTTACACCTTCCAGGGTGATTGGAAGATTCTTCTCTGGGGATCTAACTTGTCATTTTGTTTTCCAGCACAATGGCCGCACTTGGGTCAGCCTACAGGAAAGACCATAGTCAATAAGCCCTCCTCAGACTCAAGAGCTTTTTAATAAGTATTCAATCCTCTGTTCAATATGAACAATTAAAAATCACCAGACTTTAGAGGAAAGCATCTGTTATGAAATGCAGAGAGTAAATAGGGGGAAAAAAAGCAGCTTGGAGGAAATAGACTATGCAAGTAGATGAAACCTTTAAAAAAAGAACTACCATTAATATTTTTATTGATAATCTCAGAAAGACAAAAGAAAAAAATCACATTCACAAAATAATAGTGGTATTCAAGAAAAATTCAGAGAACAAGAATGTGCTTTTGGAAATTACAAATGACAGAAAAGAAAAACTCAATAGAAGGCTTAAAGGAGTACATTAAGAATACATCCTGGATATGCAAAGATACGGAATATAGATCAGAAAAGCTGCCCTCCTATATAGACTAGAGAATCAATATGTTAATGGTCTGATATAATAAGATTCCCAGAGAGAAACTGAGAATACAAAGGATAAAATTAATAAATATTTGGAAAAGATTTCATAATTTAATTACGTGAGTATTTAAAGAGCACAGTAAAGCATACTGTAATATAAGACTTACAGTGAAATTTAACACATTGTGGCAAATAGGATATCTATAAGTATTCAGAGTGAAAATAATAAAATCACTAACAAAGAACCAAGAATCAAAAATAGACTGGAGTTATCAATACTGAAATTTAGAAAAACAAACAAACAAAACTTTTAAAATATTGAAAAAAAATCCATCCAAGAAATCTATACTCAGCTAACCTTCTAATTGTGAGGGTAGAATACAGGTATTTTGGATATAAGGGTCTCAAAAACTGTATGCATCCTAAACCGTTCCCCAGAATATTACTGTGTAATGTACTCCTCCAAAATGAGGAAGTTAACCAAGAAAGAGGAAGTTATAGTATACACAAAACAGGAGACCTAACATATGAAAGAGAGAGAGGATACAGGATTTCCCCAGAAAGATGGTGAATGTGCCCAGCCTGACAATTGTTTGGATGCAGAAGTAGTGGTAGCAAATATTTTGGTTTATCCAGGGTTTGGGGTTTTCTAGGTAAGCACGATGGAGAAACAGACACATGAATTGACAGTGAACTCTTTCACTGTCATTGTTACAATGAGGAAATATTAAAACCATTCTGGATAAGAATAAAAGTATAGACTAGAGGAGAATGATAGTGAACAAGTAGCAAAATCAATGGTTTAGAAGTCCTGAAGAGATAGAAAAAGTTTCTAGAGAGCAAGAACTAGCATAAATGAGCTAGGAAAGGAGGTGGTAGTCAGAGACGTTAAGGTGATCAAGATGTTAGAGAAGATATAGTTTCTAGTGATGACCAGGGAATGTGTGGTTGAGGGAAGGAAATGTGGTTGTCAAATACAGAGAGCTCAGAATGCTGGAGTTATCTGCACCAATAATGAAGTCACCCATAGGGTGACACAAGTAGAGGTATAAAGAAAGAAAGGCCAACAGGAACTAAAGTATTCAATTAATGCAGGGAATGAATTAAGATAAATGACCTATAAATTCATGGTTGACAGCAGCACGAAGGGGTAGAGCATAATATATCCACATGACACGGCTTCAAATAAGCTGGGGCATTTTTGAAGAAGGACACACCTATCCCAAATCCTAGCCTTGAAGTGCAAGAGGAATGATAGAAAACAAAAACAAAAAACAATAACCCTCACTAGAATTGGAAGATTTATCCTTAATTAATGTCCAGTTCAGTTAAGGCAAGACAATACGTAGAATTTTCAGAGACAAAATTGCTGATATAATAGAGTTTTCTAATCAAAGAAGTTTGCAGAGTAGAAGGTTATCAGAAGGTGGGGGATTTATCAACTTAGAGATATACAAAGGATGTAGGATCTGCCAGGGAAGAATAATGATGATAATGGTTGATAGAGAGGCATTGACTTCTGGTCGTACTAGAAGTAATTATGGATGTCAAGCATGGTCAAAGTCATCATGGTAGTCTCGAAGAACCCTGGGCATTGGTTCACTGGGTAGCCTTTCTATTCAAAGCGCGGTACCAGGGCCAGCCGCTTTGGTATCACCTGAAAGTTTGTCAGAAATACAAAATTACAAGCTCTACCCCAGGCTTAATCAATCAGAATCTTATTCAATCTGATTGATTCTTAATCAGAATCTTATTCAATCTGATTGATTCTTAATGAATCAAAATCTTATTCAAACTGATTGATTCTTAATCAATCAGAATCTTATTATTGTGTGTACAAAAAGGTTTAAGAAGCATTACTTCAATTATTTACCTCTAAAATATGGGGTGCCTGTTTTCTCCTCTAGCTCCTGTCAGTGGACTCACCAGAAGTTGAATATGTTGACTTCATCATGGGACTATTTCTCTTTAAAACATCATTATGAGACCACATTGGTGACCACATTACTAAACTATAACTTTCTCCGCCTTCAGATGGGGACTATTTTGTATATTATTAGTGCCTGGTGCCTAATAAAATCCCAAAAACAGACACAAAAAATTTCCTAGGTGTTGTGGAAGCCTAGAGAGCGAGAGGGACTAGGCGTGCAGGAGGAATCTCTTTTGCAGTTGGGCTGGTGATGTGGAAAAAGTAGGACTGTAGGACTGGAAAAGGGAAGATTGGGTAGGTTGATAATTTGGAAAAGGTAATTAAAATATAAATTCATAAAAAGATGTCAAATATTTTAATTTAAAATATACACACTACACACACACACATACACACTACACACACACACACACAATGCCACATTTGTATGTGTATTAATTCCTTCACAGATATTCTTTTGTAGGGCCCAAGGCCTTTTATCTGAGTATGAACTGGTTTCTGAGAGTTCTGCAAACATCTTCCTTGCACAAAGCATACTAAAAATGCATTGTCTAAAGATATTTATTTCTGCTGTCTTTAAAGTGAATTGTGAAGCAATCTGAGTACAGAATCTGCCTAGTTTTTTGTTTTCCCTATCTTTTACAATTCTCATCTACACATAACAGCATTTTAAAAATGATTTTTTTCTAGTCCTTCCGATAAAGTCAACCTTGTCCTTTTTGCACTTATATTTTGATGGTATATAAAGTACTTAACTAAATTGTCCAATACTAGTCTCTGGTAATATAGGGGCTTAAAAAATCCATCATCATTGGTTATAGTAATGGGCAATTTTAGTGTGTTGCTTATTTTCTCCTATAGTTAACTCTGTGATCCCCTCTCAGATTTCAGTGAACTTGCCCATCAGGTTAACCCTAGTGGATCTGGCAGTGCAGCTTACCAACCGAGAGTTCTTAGGACTTGGTGCTCTGGAATGAAGGCAGCATGCCAGGTCTTCTGTAGCAACCAGACCATTTGCCATGGCAGCTTCAAATTGAGCAAGAATTCCACAATTTCACACTTGAGTGCAGTTAAGTCTCAGGTGGATGGCAGCCAGGTTCCATAAATAACTCTCGGTTATCATTGTTCCAAAACTCAAGACTTTTAAAAGGCACTACCTACCCTAAAGGTCCAGTCCTTAATGACATGATTTGTATGACACTTGAGCAATAGCCTGAGGCTGCCAAATCAGGTAAGAAGGACTTTCCCATAATAATATCAACCTACTCTAAGTAGATTTCAGTTGGATCATGATATATCAACATATGAGTGATACATGCAGGGCACTCACTTTGGTTTTTTTGAAAATATGTTTAAGTTCATTTATGAAATATTTTTGAGAAATAATTTTGTGTTTAGAGATATAATAAGCTCTAAGAGAAATATATGCTCATAGATATTCATGCCTAGTGGTACTTACCTTCTACTTTAAAATTATTTGCCTTTCTTTCTGACCCATGAGACATAGCTCAAAAGTAATAACAAGTCTTACTCTGCCTACCATCACTTCTGATATGGTTTGGCTGTGTTCCCACCAAATGTCATCTTGAATTGTAGCTCCCATAAATCTCACGTGTTGTGAGAGGGGCCCAGTAGTAGATAATTGAATAATGGGGGTGGTTTTCCCCACACTGTTCTTGTGGTAGTGAGTAAGTCTCACGAGACCTAACGGTTTTATAAGGGGAAACCACTTTCACTTGGTTCTCATTCTGTCTTGTCTCCCTCCACGTAAGACATGCCTTTCACCTTCCGCCATGATTGTGAAGCCTCCCCAGCCACGCGGACCTGTGAGTCCATCGAACCTATTTTTCTTTATAAATTACCCAGTCTCAGGTATGTCTTTAACAGCAGTGTGAAAACGGGCTAATACAACTTCTGATAGAAAATTAGGCACATAATACACATTAGTTGAAATAATCAACTGGAGAATGTAGGCTTTTTTTTTTTTTTTTGAAAGAGTCTTGCTCAGTCACACAGACTGAAGTGCAGTGGTGTAATCATAGCTCACTGTAGCCTCGATCTCCCAAGCTCAAGCAATGCTTCTGCCTCACCTTCCTGTATAGCTGGAACTACAGATGCGTGCCACCACACCTAGGTAATTTTATTTTTAATTTCATTTTTTAATTTTTACTTTTTGTAGAGATGAGATTTTGCTATGTTGCCCAGGCTGGTCTGGAACTCCTGAGCTCAAATGATCCTCCCACCTTTGCCTACCAAAGTGCTGGGATTAGAAGCTGAGCCACCATGTCCAGCTCAGAATGCAGGCTTTTTAATACAAATTCAAACTTACAAACAAACAATGAGAAGATAGGGTCAATAACCAGTATATGCTCTTTTTCGTACAGCTGAGGCTCTGCCAGATTTAAAATATGAAACCGATCGTATTTTACTTCGGGAACAAGAATACAGGAGATCTAAATATAAAATGACGAAAAACAAAAAAAAAAAGTGGTAAATCTCCTAAGCAAGCGTCAAATTTTTTTAAAACATCATTCTATCAGATGCTTAAGGAACTTTATCAGAAATTAATACAAAATTTTCTAAATATTGAACACAGGAATTTTGCTATTCCTCATTTTTTGTGCCATAAGAAATATCTGATGGTTTTACAAACAATAGGCGCTTAGAAATTCAGCATACAAAATTCATTTTCCCCCACCTATTATCAATTACAGATTTTACCCAAAAGAGGAAAAAAACTTAACCAAATGATTACAATAGTGTTGAGGATTTTTTATTGTGTTTTCCACATAGATAAAAAAATAAGGCTTTTTGATGAAAAGAATCCATTACAAAGTCAAAAATCCATTACAATTATAATTGAATCAGTAACAAAATTTAGCTTTAAATGAGTCAAGTATTCTGCATTTGAAATTTAATATCACAAACATTCAAGATTAGTGAATTTTGGTAAGAAAAAAATACTAGAAGAAAGGAAAAGGACACCTTTTCAACAGATAGTAATTTATAAAAATTTTTTTAAAAGTGCTTTGGGAAAACACACAGTATCATTACTTAAGAAAAGTCATTTAAGGAAGACTTAAGTGCTTCAAGTGGAGTGTATTACAGACTAAAAAATGTTTTAAAATTTGCCAAGAAATTTAAGTGTTAAAAATACTCTTCTCCTTATTCAGTTTCATGTTTAAGGAAACATTTGACAGACAAGTAAACCAAACGCAAAAAAAAGTTCACCTGCATTTTAAACTAATAAATTCTGGATCTGTAAAAGCTCTTGGTTTGTACACAGAGGCCAATGCTGACATTTATTGATCTATTTTTATGTAGTTAAAAAAATACAGTAACAAATCTTTCTTCCTATCCCCCCAAAAAACTAGGGGAAATATTTTAAATTGTGAGTGTGTGAATGTAGCTATATATATATATCCCTAAGTGTACAAAACACACAAACATCACTTTACTTGGAAAATTATTTTCATCATACTGTAAACATCTCTTCCCCTACATCTGGACATTTTGAAATAGTCTTTGGTATTACTAGTTATTGTGCTTTGAAACAGAAACTTGCAGAATTTCTGTAGTAGTGCTACATAAAGATATAAATAAGAAAAATGCACTTGGAATAAGTTACATTTAGCTGCTTTTGCATAATTTTCAAAAACTACAGTGTATGCCTAGTCACAGTTTTATGAGAAAGAATATTTCCTTTTTCAACTTAATTTTAAGGAACACTTAATCATTTTGGCTAAGTATCCATTTTTGGAGTGGATCTGATGGGTTGCATGACACTAAACTTGGATGCTCTCCATTTGCTGAAAGGCACATTTTTAAGAATGGATTGTATAGAAGTTGATCCTAGAATAAAAGGAAACAACAGACATTAAATTCCAAGACTCATAGTTAAGTGACAAATATGAAAAAGATTTTATGGTTTCATTGAAGCAAACCTAATAGCAAATCTTTCTAAGGTGAGCCATGTCTGATAAACTCTTTTTGGCTTCTAGTGTAAATGCCACCTTTTAAGCTACTACTCTTCAATTAGTAAGATATTACATAATGAAGAGAGGCAGACAGAACAAGGTTTGAATCACATTTTCAAACAAGAAGTATTCCCTTGATATATCCATAAGTGACAAACTCTTAAAAACATCATAAATTATAAAAGCCAGTGTTAACGTTTTCTAGTACTGCACAAAACAATGTTCAGGTAAGAATTGCTATGATACAGCTAAGCCTTAAACATGTTTAAAAACAGAAGAGACCTGTTATGTATTCTCTCAATTCTAGGTTTGTGAAAAAGTGCTAAAACAGGGTAGAAAAAAATTAATCACTTCAAGTGAGAAGATATAATAATTTTTCTTCTCTCTGACAGAAAAAAAATATGACTGTTGCTAAAAGCATTATAAGAAACCCTAAATAGTAAAAAACAAGCGACTAATATTAATAATTCACAGAAGTGCTCATCTGCATATATCACGGTTCAACCAAGCAACTTAATTTTTTGTTACTAAGAGTACTTAATTCATAGATATATTCTCTTATCACATGGGTAGAAACACATAATAACAAAGTTAATAAAGGGAGAGAAATTCTGATAGATAATATTAATGTACCATGTTCCACTCATTTTCCCAGATAAGCAAGTAGAGCTAAGAAAAATAGTTAAATAGATGAATTAATTGCACTGAGGTACCTTCTGGATCTCCCATATCTGCTCTCCAGTGACAACTGTCTTGTGACCTTTGTAGGTACATGCCTTCAGCTGAACGAGACCTTGAGCAGCATGAAGACATAATTCCTTCTGGATGTTGTGCCGAATTTCATGTTGAGCAGAGTATTCAAAGTACTATGGAAGGAATAGCACTGTTACTGACAAAAGCAACCCATGTGCTCAGTTGCAAAATAAATAAATAAATCAGCAACTCGTTAAATAATAAAGTCATTTCTATTTCAACAAAATAATACAATAAAAATAGTTATTAGAAACATAAGCTGAGTTTTTGTGATAGACGATACAATAGCCTTCCTTCATCAACAGGTGGTTACTTCATTAACAAGGTGCTGTCTTCCTCCCCATACCAGAAGTTGGAAGTTATCAAGGAGAGTGGAGGCTATCCCAGGCATTCCTCAGAAAAGGGAATGAAGAGTTATAACAAGAACATTAATTGCCTCTCTCCCACAAGTGTTCCATCTCTCTTCTTCATCTCAATCAAAGGTGTTTTCACTAAACTAGGGACTTCAGGGTGTTCACCATGCCTCAGTTTTCTCACTAGAAAATGGGTAATTTAATAGTTCCTACCCCACAGGGTTATGAAGATAAGTGGGTTAATACGCATAATACATTTAGAACAATGACTGGCACACGGTGAGTTTTCATACATTTTAGCTATTGTTACTACTGATGCTTCTCTTTCTCCACATATCCAAGTAATTCGTCCCTTAGCTGCACTATTCCTCTCAGATGTTAACATCCCATCCATTCTCACTTCCGTGTACTCACTTCTGTTACTCAGACTCTCAGAATTTTTACTGAAACACCTACAGCTACTTCCAATTTCTGTTCCTATCATCCAGCAATCCAATCTGCTGCCAGATAGTCTTTTAAAGCATTGGTTTGATCCCTGACTGCCCTTGCTTAAGTGAATCACTACTGTTGCTAAGATAAAGTCCACACTCCTTAATTGGTACATGAAATCTTTCTTTTTGATCTTGCATCAATCATTGCCCCAGTTATATATTATGCTTCTTTCACACAATTCTACCAATCAGAACATATGTATCTATAACTCTAAGACTTTGCTTTACAGTCTGTCCTCTGCCTGGAATACACTTTTGACCCTTTTCTGCCTGGCTAACTCCTTTTTAATCCTTCAAGAGCCAACTCAAATACTACCTTCCTTCTTTGGCTTTGCCTGAATTTGCCCTGCTGCACAAAATTACAATCTTTTCAAGGTTCCCATAGTACATCAGAGATAACTTTTCTAGCACTCTATTAGAATTGTGTGTGGTGTGTAGACCTGGCTTCCCCATAGACTGAAGTCAGGCAATTTATCGAGTCATAACACCCATCACAAATCCAATATTTCATAATATTGACATTATAAAGATAAAATAAGTTAACATAATTGATTTTCAATAATGAAATAATTAGTAGGAGCACTAATATTTGTTAAGTCCTTATTACATGTTAGGCAGGCACTGTGTTAAACTCTTTATGTGTATTACAGTAGGCACTCTACAAACATTCGCTGAATTCACAGAGCCATATATCTTGAGTTTCCCTACTCTTAGTCTCATGCTTAATTTATCTCCGCCCACAAGCAAAACATCAGTCATTTTTAGAACTAGTAGTTCTTCAGATGGAAACACAGGAAGAAACTGAGTTTAGATGATGAAAATAGCATTCTAGCTATACTTGGCTAAGAAAGATAAGCCTTAAGATCTCAAAAATGGTAACAAAGGCTGTCGAGTATTTTACCCATTATTAAAAAGTCATTAAAATAAAAATTACAAAAAATGGAAAATATTGAAAGTACTTTGGTAACAAAAAAGAGCACATAATTGGATAACTGTGAATGTTGGAGAGACCCATTACTTAGAACGAGTAGAGAAGAGGCAAAGCAGTAAATATAATCAAGTTATAATGACTCAAACTGCATTACACTAGTAATATTGGCCAGCTTAGTCACATAACCAAAATATTTATTTTTATTTGGCATACATGAAGTTTTATGCTATAAAAATATTATCTGATCAAAAGTAGAAGGAAACATGAAAAAATGATCAAGTTATATAATATCTAAAAATTTTAGCACTCAGGGAACTAAAATTTGCAAAACGGTTTAAGTGCAATGCTTGATTAAAAATAAAATGTCAAGGAAATAAAGCAAAATAAAATCAATAGCTGTGTTAGGGTAACAAAAGCTGAAGTTTCTATTTAGTATATACACCAGATAATATTTATTCTTCTGCTCAAAACTCTTCAATTGTTTCTGTCAAAGTCAGAATTAAGTCCAAGTTTCTTAATGGGGCCAGTTAAGCCCTACATGATCAGGTCCCTATCAATGCCCCGACCTCATTTCCTAGTCCTCTTTGCTAGACCACTCTGCTCTAGGTACACTGGCTATCTGCTTTCTCCATGTATCTGCCTCTGGGCCTCCACTCTTGGAAATCCTTCCTCCAAGATGAGCATCTTCTCCTGGAACACTCTCTCACAGTATTCAGGCCTCCCTCTAAGATCGCTTTTCCAAAAAGGTCTTCCCTCACCTCTTAAAATAACCACCCTACCCCGAAACACACTATTCCCTTACCTGCTATATTTTTCTTCATGCCCAAAACTACATATTTTTTTCTTTGTTCCTGTGGAACATAAGCTCCACAAGATCAGGAGCTTTGTCTTTTTACTACGGTAACAGTCAGTACAAGCTACTTTATAGGTTCTAAACAAACACTTATTGAAAGAATATGTGAATGTTTTCCCATCCCCCAATTTCTAAAAGATAGCTATATTCTATTTAAAATGTAAACATATTTTTGATACAGAGCTATCATAAAGCTGTTATTATCTTTATGAAAATGATAACAGAAAAATGGAAAAAAGCAATGTGTACAATATATCTTCAGCTTTTAAGATAAAATAAATGTAATGCTAGAAGAAGCCTAAGAGAAATTTATAGGGATTTACATTTACTAGTAAGATTTTAACAAATGCAGAAATATTTCCCTTTGCTCAAAATCTTAATTTTTACAAGCATAGATCAGTGTTATTTCCAAAGAATGCAATTATTTATGTAACTATTTTTCTTCTAATATATGGAGGGTAAGAAAATTCTTAAAAAGATGCATATAGATTTATGCACATACACATATATGTACAGATATATATGTATATAGATATAGGTATAGATGTATGTCTGTCTATATGCATCCATATATATCTCCATCCTATTTCAGAATTACACCTTAACCATCCAGCAATAGATCCAGTTCACCAGCTCTGGCTTCTGGGCATCTGTATCATCTGCCCTCAGTAGATTGATTGGTTTAGGTTAATAAGGATTAGAACTAGATTAAGCTGAGCCTAATGGGTAGGAAGAAATATAGAAGAGGATGGACCAGGAGATAAACTGGCTCTTTTTTCCTAAAACTGACATCTCAAAGTTTCGTCCCATTAAAATAGGACATCATGGATATTAATTATTGCAAAAATCCTCCACACACATCTTGGACTCTACACCAAAATACCTGCAATGCCCAGAAGAGATACTCCAGGCTCTTCTCTTCATTTCACTTTCCTTCACACTCTTCTTATTCTGTTGCCATTCCCCACAGCCACCTCACTAGCTCCTACCTACTTTTTTTTTTTTTAATGTTTTCAAATATCATCTTTCTCAGGAAAATGTGTGGACACCCAGTCTCATTCAATGCCCTTTTCTATACCCCCAGAACACTCTGAATGCTTTATCCTAAGGAACTGCTAGTTTATAGATTTCCTAAAGGAGTTAGAGTCTAAATAGCTTGAACTCATCAGAGTATCTGGCATGCAGGGCTCACTCAATGAATTTGTTGAATGAACAAATGAGGGAAATAGTCTAATCTTTCCAGGAGTTAAGCTGCAAAAGGTAAGGAAAGGAAGCTTAAAAAAACAGAAACTTTGTATATAACATGTTCTCTACCCATAGGCAAGTAAATAGTAATATTTGACATGTGAATCTTAATCAGTAAAATAGTCAAAAGGTAGTAAAGCAGGTATGTCACTAATCAAGGAGAATCTTCCTCTTTTGTTGGAGAAGGAGGAACATATTGAAATAATATTGTGGCCCACAAAATTAATTTATAATGCTCTATTTTGTTATTAACACTTGATGTAATTTGTGATTCAATCCAGTTATATGTGGCCTTTATGTGTAAACTTGCAAAATCACCATGCCAATAGTCATGCAAAAGTTAAAGCATCAAAGAGCTACATAGAAGTTTCTTTTTAAAAAAAATTTCAAATGGCATTATTCTATTATTTTCTCATTTTCCTTTTTTTTTTTTTAATTTGTTTGTTTGTTTTTGAGACAGAGTCTCACTCTGTCACCCAGGCTGGACCGCAATTGTGTGATCTCGGCTCACTGCAACCTCCACCTCCGTGGTTCAAGCAATTCTCCAGCCTCAGCCTCCCAAGTAGCTGGGAACACAGGCATGCACCACCACGCCCGACAAATTTTTGTATTTTTAGTAGAGATGAGGTTTCACCATATTCGCCAGGCTGGCCTTGAACTCCCGGCCTCAAGTGATCCACCCACCTCAGCCTCCCAAAGTGCTGGGATTACAGGCGTGAGCCACTCAGCTCGGCCTCCTTTTTTTTTTTTTTTTTTTTTTTTTAATGGTTAAGCTACTCAAATTGTTTTCAGAGCCAGAGTAAAAACCAAAAAAAAATACTCATCAATATCAATTGCCAAACTCAGTCTGAAAACATTTCACACACAGCTTACCCAAGTATAAAGCTGCTGTGGGACTTCTGAAAAATAGGCAACATCTCACTTGTGCTTGTAAATGCTTTACAAGTGAAGGATTTTTAATGCAGTGCTCACCTGGTTTCCCCCAAGTCCATGACATGTATACATAATTAATGGTTTGCCTCCTTGATTGTTTTCTCCAACATCCAGACATAGAGGCTGACCAACGCTTTTAATCTAAAGGAAAATTTTCAAGTTATGAAAAGTTTTTTAATCCATGTGATTTATATATTTTTAAAATAATTTAGAAAGTAATGTTAATGATTATAATGTAAAATCTCAAAAGCAATAAAGAAAGTATTTCAGCAATTTTCTTAGAACCACATAAAGGTTGGTGGCAAGGAGTATATTAATTAAAAAAGGAACAGGAAAATACTCACGTATCCAGATATAACAGGATTAAGGTCTGGCACATACACCTCTGGATAAATGTTGTTCAGATACCATGTAAAATTTTTACACTGAAGGCGGTGTTTTATTTCAAATCTTTTTGAAAGATCACCAAATGCTTTCTGTAGAAACATGAGAAATGAAGGGAATGCTTAATTAAAACAACATTGATAAAGCACTTAAAATACTCTTATTTGTATTTCTATTTAGGTATTTTTAAAAATCCATGCTAAAAATTCAAGAGGCAATTCAACAGCCTTCATCATTCATTCAAGTAAAAACCATGCCTGCCTGTTCATTTCTGGCTTTAAAAGAGAGTCAACACCACTTCAGTGCTGATTAAAATACTAAAATGATGCTATTTTATTCTTCATTTGTGCCACAAACATTCCCTACAAGACAAAGATTTCTAGTAAAATGCTGTGGGCAAAGGAATGGTGGTAGGAGCATCCAAAATTGGTCCCAACTTTATACCTAAAAATGATCTGCAAAGTGAGGTGTCAGAAATCAGGTATAGACAAACAGTGCCAATACACAATGCAACTTCTATCTCTTCTCCATCAAGATCACAGAAAACCACCAGCAAGAAATAACCCACTGGGAGTAATTTTTCTAGTTTCAGGATGTTGCTTGTTCTTAACAATATCCCCAACTGAACCTTTAGTAGAAAAAGGCAATTTTCAAGTTAAATGAATTTTGCTTTCCTTCATTTTAACGTACTAAGAAAATAACTTTTTTAAAAAACCATTATTAAACTTCAAGGTATTTGACCTACAGGCAAAATATTAGAGAAAAAGTACATGTAATATCTAAATGTATGCAAAAGTAAATACTCAATCTTATCAGTTCAACTAAAGAAAATATTTTCTTATGCCAACTTTGATGTCTTGAACCCAGGCGTTTTAGCAAAAAGTATGAGTCTTTAGGACTTCTGGCTAGCTTATTACATTTACCATGTAGATCTATGTGTCCTGTGGTAACCAACAGGTATTTGCTGATTTATGTGCCCCTTTGTGGGGGACAAGCAGAGCATAAGCTTCATTTAGTGCCCACTTGCCTGCTTAGCCAAGTACTATTGTACAGTACACAATCTGCCCAATTTGTCTTCATGGCCTTGGGTAAAAAGATAGCAATCTAACTCAGTAGTGCTCTTAATTTGCATCCTAACAGGGAGATACTGGAGACCAGAGAAAAAGGGAAAGAGGTAACCAAATCGTTCTTCACCGCAACAGCCAAAATATTGATACCCTTGACTCCCAATAAATACTCCACCTTCCCTCACCCTGCAAATTAGCACTATCTATTTCCTACAAAGAGATGAGTACTATACACTGAAGCATGGTCTTAAACTATCTAGTTAATTTACCTTATCTAATATTATTAAGACTATTGGAACTCACTTCTAATATATTAGGTTTCATGATTCTGCAGAGCAGAATCTATTTATGGCAGGTTAATAACAAGAGTACCATATATTTGTTAGCACTTATCACTTTCTTATTTCACAGCTACTCTGGGAGAGAGACAGCATGCGTATTTCATCTCTTAAAACAGGGAAGGAGAGAAAAGAAATATGTTAAGCATGCACTCCATGTCCAGCCACCTTGCAGCCACTCTATGAAGTGTCTTCCCTATTTTACATTCTCAAAGGCTTTGCCAAAGTAACATCTCCAGTAAGTAGTGAAACTAGAGCTTGAAAAAAAAAGGCTTGGCACTCCTGGTTTATTCTCATGCCACATTAAGACACTGTCTCTATCTCCAGTGCAAAAAGTCACTTAGAACCTTTATTTAGGTGTTATATCTCCTAAAACCAGTAAAAACAGTTCTACTTAATTTTCTTCGAGTAAAATATTGAACCAGGGCAGCAACAAAAATGAACTATCTTTCATATTAAAAACATCAAGTAGAATTCCTGATTTTTAAAAAGCAGTTTACTTAGTTTTTTTCTTAAAAAAGGAAACTTGGATTCATAAGTCATGTACTTTAAGAGTTAAAAACCTACTTTCAAATTTTTTGATGTTTTGTACTTGAGATGAATCGACGCAAAAGGACGTGTGAACTTGTTATAGATTTTATTGCAATTTAACTACTTAGCTTTAACTTACTTGTTTAACAATTTTTGCTGCATCTGTATTTCTCCTATAAAATATTTCCTTGTATTCATCCATCCAGACTTCTGCAAGGCGAACTTGGTTTCTAGCAATCACCTGAGTGCCTTTTGGAAAGCTATGAGGGCTTTTGCTGCGAAAAACATGTCCAACAACAGAGCAAGGCATAATCTCCAACTGCCCACCACATTGCCATACCTGATAATTAATGATATTTGTTTAAATTTACAGTATTTTAGAAAAATCAAAGTGTTGCTTTTAAGTTCACCTTTAAGGTATTATGAAAAACAAAATTAGAGAAGAGATTACAATATTACAAATAGTCTCTGTCCCCTGCCATTTCAACTTAAGTTCTTAAGTGTAAGGAATTATTTTATTAAATGGCATAGACACTAAAGACAACAGAAGTGCATTTTCAGTAAGTTAACAAAATGGTGATTTCAGATTTTTCATAAAAATGAATTCCAGGCTTTTGTTTTTGCAAATAATTATGTAAGTTCTCTAATATGCACAGAAAACTAAAGGCTCTTATGCATTTGACTTCTGTCTGAACTACTGACATAGTCACTTCACTTAAACTAGAGTTTCTCTTCAAAGTTTGGATATAAGTGGACTCAGACCCTATTTATCTCTTGTATATTCAATTTTGTAACCAAGAAAACAATTCCAGATGGCTATTATTACCAATGATCATTCTACTGAACTTGCAAAGTAGAGGATGATTATTTAAAAATTCATGCCAATTTAGAGAGAAAACGTCAAAAAAAATCCTTATTGGCATTAATGCTAAATAAAATGGCAAATCATGAAATCAATGCCTTTTCACTTAAATATCTTAATAATTGACTCTGCCATAGTTACCAAGCAAAGAATCAGAAAATAAGTCATATTTAATACTATGTGCTTGTAGTAGAGCAAGTGATTACAAATCTCTTTCTCTCCTTTCTTTCTTGAACAAATGAGAAGACTCAGTGATATGTTCAATTCAACAAACTGTGCTTGTGACCCAACACGTGCTAGGGGTTGGAAATACTGAAATGAATAAACAAGACCCCGCCATAAGCAGTTCAAACTTGGCTAAGATCATCACTGCCAGTATGTGATGGAGCCAGAGCCAAAACTTAAATCTTCTAACTCCTAGTTCAGTTCTTTTTCCACTACATTCCAGCCTAAGAGATGAAAAATGAATGATAAAGTTACTGCAGAAAATGAAACTCATGAAATCAAATACATAAGGTACATACGGAGTCTACCCAAAGCCTTTTTTTATATTAACTTATAATATGTATAGAAAAAATCAAGCTCATTCATTCCAAACAGTTAAGTCCAATGTCCTTTAAAATTATTCATAAATGTTTTTCCATTCTAACTCCCTTGATGATCAACTCATTTCCTGAAGCACTAGATTTAATTATATTTATCTTGGCTGGAATTCAGTAGCTACAAGTGCATTAATTGGTGTTACTGCCTGGACACAGGAGTTTAACTGATTCCTCTTGTTACACTGGCGACAATGAATAAATATATTAAGTTACATATTAAAAGAAAATATTCTTATTCCAAAATTTCCAGCAATTAAGTTTCAGAAAGCACAAAAAGTAGAGTGCACACATCTGTAATCATATGTACCAGCCGATTAGAACACAATATATTTCATTGTTTAATATATCTGCTATATTTAATTTCCATAAACTTACTCTGAAAGACATTTCTATATTTTCACCTCCCCAGATTTCCATTTCTTCATCATAGCTTCCAATATACTCAAAATATTCTTTTGATATGGAAAAAAGTCCTCCTGCAAAAGTGGGTGTTCTGAAAAATAATCCATTGTCAAATTTTGTTATAAAAACTAAACAAGATAAAACAGCATATTTTAAGAACTGAAGTTAAAAAATTAAAGCCATATCACATTTTCAAAGCTTTTATTCAGATTAATAAAAACTAGAAATGCTATCTTCAAAGTCAAGATTTTTGGGGTCGGGGGGAGTACTTCGTGTCCTCTCCCATTGGAGTAAACTTAAATGTCTTCTCCTAACCATGCTTTACGATTTTTAAGTAATGATTGATGAGGAAGACATAAGAGCTCACTCACTGCTACCTCTTACTCAGCAACATCATGTATAAGCAAGTACACAAATGAATGACTTTTAGATTCTCTTTATATAGAATATGTGTGTTCTTTATCAATTACCTCAGAGGCAATTGCTATAAAGCAAACAGTGTGTACATATTCAATGTATGGTATAGGGTGTAAATATAAGACTCTGAGAGCAATCATCTTACTTAATTGGGTAGGTTTCATCTTTCCTTCTTTGCTTCTCATGATCAGGAAGCGACTCCCAGCCAAATGAAAGACTCCAGTCAAAATTTCCACGGTTATGGTTACTTCCATAAGGAGAAGGTTTGTTGAATTCAAACGTGTTCAGATCTATGGATGCAATATCTGGACTTACGACAGCCGTGTAGTTCTCAGCTATTCTGGCCAACAGAGGTTCTAGCCAACCATAGAAACACTCACCTGGAGGGAACAGAATTTTAATTAATTCAATAAAAACATTGAAGTTTTTTTCTTTAGTTATTTAGGTGAAGGTTTACAGAGAAATGAGAATAACAGAGTCAATTTGTGTTTTGAACATGTATATAATGGAGATTTCTTTCTTCCTCAGATTTATTGAGATATAACAAATAAAAATTCTATACATTTGCAGTGTATATCATAGTGTTTATATATGTATACATTGTAAAATGATTATTGCAATCAAGCTAATTAACATATCCATCACCTTATCGGCTTATGGAGCGGGTGGTAAGAACATCTAAGATCTACTCTTAGCAATTTTTGAGTAGACAATATATTATTATTAATTACAGTCACCACGTTGTACAATAGATCTCCAGAAGGGGAGATTTTTTAAAGGTTTATTGTGATGAGATGAGGGTAGGATGAAAAAGGTGAAAAAAGATTCACTACAGTTAGAAAAATTCCCCTACAGATGATGACCTTCTTTCTTCTACAAAAGATGCAAAATAACACCAGTGTATTTAAAGTTTAGATGATGTGTTAAAATGGCCTATGAGTCAAAGGTAGCTTTTTGCTGTTCCACATTACCTGGCCCTAAAAGTGTTCTGATTTATTTAAACTCGTATCTCCCTGAATAAGGTACAGTAATTGAAATTTTCATTTATCTGACTGGGTCTTAGGAGAAAATAAGGAGTCAGTATAAATTCCGATTTTAGCAACTGGAGAAGAAGGACCATTCAAAGCTGCCCCAGACCTAATATAAAGGGAGGGCCAAGGAGTTTCATGTCATGATAGGTCTAAGCCCTGGTCACAGGCCAGGCTGTTTTATGTAACACACAGCAAGTTCAGCCAATGCATGTGCTGTCCTATTCTGGGCTCCCCACAAAGCAGTATTTGGCAGTCATGGTCCGGGAGGACCGTCAGACATATCCACCCAGTGGGTAGTGGGTAAGAATGTCCAGTATGATCTTATTGTAATTTTGAACAACGAGAAGAAATACCAGAGGATGGTATTTTCCTTTTTAAAGCACCTCTCTAGCATTACCTTTAGTGTTCTCTTCATTTTCTAAATGTCTGGTATTAAAAGAGAACTGAATGTGATGGCTCTAAGCAACACAAGCACATCCAAAAGCCCTTCTGTAATAATCGGTGTGTGCTCAAAACTAGTAATTGGGTGAAACATAACCTAAGCACTGGCCAATTCAAAGCTAGACACTCATACAAAGTATAGCCCACTAAACTCAGAGCTCAAGGGACAAAATGACAGTTTAGTAATAACTAGCATGCATATGACACATTGACTCTAAAAATGCTTTCTAAATACTTCAAAAACTTTGACTCTGAAAATAATTAAAGTACAAAGAAAAACCAACAGCAGCAAAGTCAAACAAAAATTGACAATGTTTATGTAAGGGATACCAAAGAAGATGGGATGGGGCACCCCTAACCTGGCATAAAAAGTATATATATAAACATATTTTGGTTTTGTGGTTTTTATTGAAAATTCGCAGACTCCTTTTTATGCCAAGGAGTCTGCAAATTTAAAAAAAAAAACACACACACAAACTAAAATATAAAAAAAGCAGCAGTACTAGGACGAAGTTTAATGATAGGGTGGATTATATTCACTCACTCATTCATTCATTCATTCATTTTGAAACGGAGTGTCACTCTGCTGCCCAGGCTAGAGTGCAGTGGCACAATCTCAGCTCACTGCAACCTCTGCCTCCCAGGTTCAAGCGATTCCCATTCCTCAGTCTCCCTAGTAGCTGGAATTATAGGCACATGTCACCATGCCTGGCTAATTTTTGTATTTTTAGTAGAGACAGGGTTTCACCTTGTTGGCCAGGCTGATCTTGAACTCCTGACCTCAAATGATTCACCAACGCCGGCCTCCCAAAGTGCTGGGATTACAGGAATGAGCCACCACGCCCGGCTACATTTAAATAGTAAATAAGCTTTCATTCACTTTAAAGTGTGGGAATCAAGAAAACAAACAAACAAACAAACAAACACTTTTTTTTTTAACAGAAAAGAAACATGGAAAAAAAAAAAAGAGGCAAGGATAACTGGCTGGAACAGCTAGTAACTGGAGAACACTGAAGTTGAGGAAACTTAAACACAAAAGGAGATAAGAATTCTGCATAAGTGAAAGGAATTTTCTCCACAGAGCTGTTACCTGCTTGGGCTGTCATTGCTATAATCGCCAGTTGAAAACGCTGTTAAAGAAAATGCAATTAGGCATTTAGAAAAGAAAAGACTTCCTTACCTTTTAAATTAGAGGGAGAGGGAGGGAAAATGTTACAACCATATCCATACATATATACTTACAGTGAGCATCTAAAAATGTGAGCGTTTCAGCTGTTGCGACTGTTGCTCCTAGCAACCGAGCAGTGATCAGACCTTTTCTTTCTCTTTGTCTGACTATTTTTACTATAGAAAATTGTTTTACATATTCATCTAGTTTATCATGTAAGTACTCTGTAAGGAAAAAAAATCAGGGTTAATTCTTTCTAAATGCATTTTCATATATAGCTTATGAAAGCTAATGAAACCACAGAGCAATGATCCTTCCAAATTCATAATCTTAACAGTTGCATGTGTCCTTCCAGCAAAATGAAAATTTTATCTTTAACTCCTTACTGGGGAAAAAGGCTAGCTATGCAAATTATCACTACTGTAACACAAAACACTGTAATGCATACTTATTCTGTACACTTCCTATCAATAAATATAATGTGTTTGGAGGGAAGTGAGAAACTTCAAATGGAGTCAACCCTAGCCGTTCAAAAGACTCATTTAGAGGTCTGAGAAGACTGACTACAAGAGTGAAAGATATGGAATTTGGCCAAAAAGATATTCAATGCTTTGAAATTGGTATTTAAATCTGGAAATCTTAAAGAAAAATGTCAAATATCTAAAGACCTCTGATATTTAAGCAAGGATCAAAATAATTTAACACCAAAATGTTGAGCCACGTCAGAAAGTCCACAGCTATAGCAGTTTGGGACGATTCCTACACAGAGTCAGCAGAAAAATTTGCGAAAGCTTTGGAGTCTCCTGACAGTTTTATTTAGTAAAATATGAAACAGGCAAATTTTAGTATTGGGTATATACTTTAAGATATTCAATATACCAAATTGGATAAGGTTTGTAATAAGCAAAATTTGAGATCATAGGTTTTAAAAAAGTTATTAACAAATGTCAATCCAGTGTTGTTTTTTTGTCTGGTTTTGTTTTGAGACAAGGTCTTGCTCTGTCGCCCAGGGTGGAGTGCAGTGGCACAACTCACTGCAACCTCCGCCTCTGGGCTGCAAGCAGTTTTCCTCAGCTTCCCAAGTAGCTGGGACCACAGGCATGCTCCAACAGGCCCAGCTAATTTTTCTTTTCTTTTCTTTTTTTTTTTTTTTAGAGACGGGGTTTCATCATGTTGCCCAGGCTGGTCTGGAACTCCTGAACTCAAGCTATTTGCAGGCCTCAGCCTCCCAAAATGCTGGGATTACAGGTTGAGCCACTGCGCCCAGCTGTTCATATTCTGAAACAACTTCTTAAGCCTGTTTTTCTCAATTAAATTTTTGATTTCTTATTGAGTACAAAATGCAGTTCTTCAAGCAGCCTTCTTGGGCCCAAAACATAGCCTCAAAAAAATTTGGGAATGTTAAGAAAATCAATAAATGTCCTGGGGCAAAAGTTTGCTTCTGCCAGATTTTAGAAGGAAATGCAGATGACTTTGACTTTATCTGTGATAATATAACCTTTTTTTCAATTCTCCAGTGGTTCAGTTAAGAGAGCTGCTTATTTAAAGCTTAAACATTCATAAGAGAGGAAAGTGCAGGAACAACCCTTGTAGAAAAATAAATCTATCTAAACACTGTTGTCTCAGAGTAATAGATTAACTTTTTAACACCTTCTAACTACCTCAAAATAATTCTCAGATTAAGCTTTTAACACCTTCTAACTACCTCAGAAATAATTCTCAGAAAGACAAGCAGAATTGTAACTCATCTTAAATATATAATCATAAACATTTTCTGTTTTAAGAGGCTTGTAAAAATTTCAACATTCTTGGTTAGAATTATTTTAAATGGAGTTACTACAGATTGCTTCAATATACCCTCTCACTGTTGGAATTTGTTAAAAAAAAATTTACTTACCCACAACATATGAACTTCCCGTAAATTTATATCTGCACCCTAAATTTAGCTCCCATGCACACCCTTTATTTGGGAGGTTAAGAACAGAAAGCTACATGAAATCAGATGCCCTGATTTCACTTTATGGCACAATTACTTTTAGCTGTGTGACCTTGGGCAAGGAATTTTACCTTTTCTGCGCCTCAGTTTCTTTAAGATGAGGATAATCGGACTCACCATCACAAGACATTGCTGGGAGGATAAAATGAGATATCTGACCTTCAGGAATCTAACTCCAAACTTGGATTTATTAAGGAATAAATTTTGTAATCATTGAAATAATATGTATCTGTTTGACACAATATTTAAAATACTTATGATGTTTGAAAATTTACAAGTTAGAGTATTTGTTAAATTAGCCTTGTGATTCCAATTTAAAATGTGTAATTTAGTATTTGACTTCCAATTTTAAGTGGAAATGTACTAAAGAATTTGACTAACATTGTAAGTAATATTGGAATATTTAAGAACACCGAAATAAAATAGAACATGGTGACTCTTTTTAACTATTCATTTATATTATTTATTGATATTTATATTAACTCATTCAGTCTTTAAAACAACTCTAGAAATTATGTACTAGTTCTGTATTTCCTCAATTTTAAGCTACACAATTGGATTCTTCTTATAATCAATTTCTTATAATCAATGGCATGTTAAGTTTAATTAGCTGTGGGTTTTCTCTAGTGATTTATAAATTAACAACACATAATATATTTAATGAAATATGGCATTATTCCCATTTTGCTGATAAATCACAGCAGAGAGGTTGAGTAACTTGCCCAAGTCATATAGTTGGTTAGGAAAAGAGCTGGGATTCAAATCAAGGCAGCCTGACTCAAAGGCTCAAGTCTGTGCTCTTAACCTCTATGCCTTACTGTAACAGTCTCACATTGAGGACTACATAGTTATGAATAATGGTGTTTCATACATTTCTGCATTTGAAAATATTTGAATATGTCCATCCTTGGATTCTAATTTCATTCACCATACCCACTATCCAAACTATTATATTCAAGCTCTGAGATGGCATACAGAGAGTACCACATAACCAAGTAGACTGTAGATACCACAATATGGATTTGGGAAACAATCTAATTTGCATGTGCTTTCTTACCATCTACACTAGCATCATCCACCAAAATGATTTCCTTCAGCAGTATTGCAGGTGAAGAATAGAGCACACTGTGGACAGTTCTAAGCAACGTGGACCACGCTTCATTATGAAAAACTATTATGACACTGGTGGTGGGCAGGGGAGGGCAGCGCTTAAATTTTTGTTCAATACATCTAGAAGAAGTCAGAGAAGTAGAAAAACAATTACAAATTTTATTATTTTATTTCACAGCTATACCATTGCTAACATTATCATTATTGAATCTTTATCACTGAAAAAGGATAGTTTTCTTGTATGTGATATAATCTCAATGCTATATAAAATGTAAATAAATCAAAACAATTTTTTTACAAGCAAATCACTCACCCAGAGATGATGTCTACCAACAGAGATGACAACATATCAAGGATTACAACATGTTATTATAGCTTTCTCAACAATGTAATTTTAAATGCAAATAACATTTTAAATAATGAAAATAACCTACAATGAGGCAGCATGTAAAAATGACAAACCCTTATAATTGCTCAAATAAAAACCAAATTTTTCTTATTTCATGCAGAAATCATTCATTTTTCATATTTGCAACTTTAAAAATTGTACCACTTTATTAATTTTTTTTTTTTTATGGAGTCTCTCTCTGTCGCCCAGGCTGGAGTGCAGTGGCACGATCTCGGCTCACTGCAAGCTTCACCTCCCAGGTTCACGCATTTCTCCTGCCTCAGCTCCCGAGTAGCTGGGACTACAGGCGCCCACCACCACACCCGGCTAATTTTTGGTATTTTTAGTAGAGACGGGGTTTTACCATGTTAGCCAGGATGGTCTCGATCACCTGACCTTGTGATCCACCCGCCTAGGCCTCCCAAAGTGCTGGGATTACACACGTGTGCCACTGCGCCCACAATATTAAATCATTTTTATAAAGATTATCTTTAATTAGATATTTACCTAAGTATGTAATATAGGTTTCTTAAGTATTTCCTAGGTTTATTGAATCAATTTACTTAATCTATACACAGAATCAAAAGGGAAAAAATAGCTTTATTGTAAAACCTATGTTCTTCTTATTTTTATTTAAAATAGAGACAGTCTGTGATGTTGCCCAGGCTGGTCTTGAACTCCTGACCTCAAGCAATCTTCCTGCCTAAGCCTCCCATAGTGGTGGGATTATAGGGGTGAGCCATCATGTCCAGCCTAAACCTATCTTTTTATGATGTTCATCATTCAGCAAATACTTATTAAGTACTGCCATTTGCCATGTGTTAAAGATTTTGCTCCAATAATTTGATCTACTATCAAATAAGACTAGCGTTTAAAAAAACCCTTTAAAAATACGTAGAAATAAAGATCTAAATAAAGACCTAAATCCATGTTAAAAGTCCTGTGCTCATGTCACCATCTAAAACATTGATTGGGCACAGGGAGAGAGACCCTAAGTGCCCTTGACTGATTAGTGGTACTACTATCCATTAGTTAAAAACATTACTTATAAATTGATCTCAAATTCATTTGTATAGGAATGTCTTTCCTCAATGAAAAATATCTTCATATTAAGCCACTGGGGTGCAGGAGAGTCTGCATAGTCTCCAGCCTTTGAGGCTAGAGATGTAGAGATAACCACAGTGCCAAGCCTGCTGAATGGAGGTGAGGATTAAATGAAAGAACATATAGGAGAGGGCTTCAAGTCACTGGGACATAAAATAAAACTGTGTGAGGTTTATGGGAAAGATAAGCAAATAAAGCAACTATATCTTTAAGGTCACTTAAAAACCATAAATTGGAGATAAAAGCCCATCACCCTTCAGTTCCTCTGCCAGGGCCAATGGGGAAACTGTAGCCTCCAGTGTGATATTAGGGGCCTGAGAAAACTGCCCTAAAAAAAGATACACAAATTATCCCATTAATTACTTTCATAGTCATACCTCAATAGGAATGTCTCTGATACCCTTTTTTAACAGCAAGTCTTTAGAATGGATTATTTGTAGTGATTAAAAAAAGGAGTTGGATTGGGGTAAAATATCAAGAGAAGATGTCAACAACAGATTAGAAAAAGGAGAGGATGGATTCTGAGTGAAAGTGGCATTGCTCTTCAGTTTCTTCATGATTTCAAAGCATGATACAGGTGCATGGGCGGAAAAAATAAGCACCTTCTTCATCATTCATAAATAAAAACAAATTATTTATTCTAAATTGAATTTTGGATAAACTACCAATTAATAAAAAAGCTCAAACACAAACTATTAATATACACACTTGAACCACAACTACACAGAAATAAATGACTAAATATAAGCTTATATTTTGAACCCATAAAAGTTTATAACCAACATAAACTAGAAGTAAAAATTATGAAAAATTCCATATTGTGGTATTTTATTTTTAAAGAAAAAAAAAAGAGGAAACCTATGATTTGTTATAAGCATTTTGAGGAGAAAGTGAAATTCTGAGTATAAGATTTTTTTCCTACCTTTATTTGCTATGTGGTTAATTAATATAGTATTAATCGATAATTATAAAATGGTTTTGAAGATTTAAAGTATAAAATTTCACAAAAATTCATACTAGTAAAATGTTATCACTTTAATCTTGCAAGATTTTCCGTCAGTTTAAACTAGGATTTATTTGCTTAACTGATAATTACCAATATCAAGTACAAATGTCATATCAATACAAGTAATAAAATTTCACAATATAATTTCATAAACCCCATTCATTTTGAAACAACATGTTAAATGTATGCTTTGAAAATTGTTTTACATATTTAAAATAGTGCAATTAAAATAACTTGCCAAAGTGACTGTATCATTCCAGTCAAACCATTTGAAAAACCTGGCACATAGAAACATGCTTAAATTATCAGTCACATGACCATCTGGCTTTGGGAGAAACTAGGTCTATATTTCTAATGAGCATGGAAAACATTAGCAGTTCTTCAGAAAATGTGTTATTTGCTGATACTGGTTACATTCAAAGTAAAAAACAAATCTTTTTTTTTTTTTTTTTTTTTTTGAGACAGAGTCTTGCTCTGTCACCAGGCTGGAGTGCAATGGTGCAATCTCGGCTCACTGCAACCTCCGCTTCCCGGGTTCAAGTGATTCTCCTGCCTCAGCCTCCCAAGTAGCTGGGACTACAGGCGCACATCACCATGCCCACCTAATTTATGTATTTTTAGTAGAAATGAGGTTTCACCATGTTGGCCAGGCCAGGCACAGTAGCTCATGCCTTTAATCCCAGCACTTTGGGAGGCCAAGGCGGGCAGATCACGAAGTCAAAAAACAAATCTTTACCACCTGTACAAAACCCTGTCCAAAGTAAGAAATAATTAAATCTTCACTCCAACCAAAAAATGTTGTTAATGTGCTTACTTGTTTTTCACTTACTTAGCGATTAACATTATTGAAAATTATTGCAGCTTCTTAATGCTATATTGGGAGAAAAAAGCTCATTTTGAGCTGTCACTGATTGTCATGTCAAAAGAATAAAAATCATGATTATTGATTTTTAATGTAGATTACTTTTCAATCAAAACCTCTCTTCAAGTCAGTAAAGTGCAATACTGCATTCTAATCTATTACTGTATGAAAGGAACTATAATGTGCCTTGTTATATCAGCTAGAATATTTTATAGATATTAGTTTCTTTACACATTCATTTAAAAATTATGAGCAACCTAAACTTGAATCAATCAGATTAGAATAGCTCAACAGAAATCTAAGCTACACAGTTTCAATGTTAAGGGACTCATATACTTGGATCCAGTATTGATAATCCTAAATCTAGAAAAACCTGAGTGAAACAATAGACCAAAAGTTATCTTCAAGTTCACTGCCAAATGTAATTCTCTAATATCCAGAAAGCAAAGCAAAATACACAGGCATTGTTTGCTTCCAGTTTGCTTATCTTGTACTCTTTTTTTTTTTTTTTTTTGGAGATGGAGTTTCGTTCTTGTCGCCCAGGCTGGAGTGCAACGGCACAGATCTCCGCTCACTTCAACCTCTGCCCCCAGGTTCAAGCAATTCTCCAGCGTCAGGCTCCCCAGTAGCTGGGACTACAGGCACACGGCACCCTGTCCGGCTAATTTTTGTATTTTTAATAGAGACGGGGTTTCACCATGTTGGCCAGGCTGCTCTCAAACTCCTGACCTCAGCTGATCTGCCCTCCTCGGCCTCCCAAAGTGCTGGGATTACAGGTGTGAGCCACCAAACCTGGCCTATCTTGTACACTTAAAAACTTACTGAGGGGCTGGGTGCAGTGGCTCACGCCTGTAATCCCAGCACTTTGGGAGGCTGAGGTGGGCGGATCACTTGAGGTCAGGAGTTCGAGACCAGCCTGGCCAACATGGTGAAACCCTGTCTCTATTAAAAATACAAAAATTAGCCGGACGTGGTGCCACATGCCTGTAGTCCCAGCTGCTCGGGAGCCTGACACTGGAGAATCGCTTGAACCCAGGAGGCAGAGGTTGCAGTGAGCCGAGATCACACTACTGCACTCCAGCCTCAGTGAAAGAGAAAGACTCCATCTCAAAATAATAATAATAATAATAATAATAATAATAATAAATAAATAAATAAATAATCTGTTGAGGGTGGGCCAGGTGCAATGGCTCATGCCTGTACTCCCAGCACTTTGGGAGGCCAAGGCAGATGGATCACCTGAGGTCAGGAGTTCAAGACCAGCCTGGGCAACATGGTGAAACCCCGTTTCTACTAAAAATACACAAAATTAGCCAGCTGTGGTGGCGGGCGCCTGTAATCCCAGCTACTTGGGATTGTTTACAAAAAATAGGGCATTCTGAAATATAATTAGGTACTCAAAAACTTTGAGTCAAAGTAATCACAAAGTCTGTGAATTGCTTTACACATATATAAAATATTATCCAACAGTTCCAAAATCTTGGCATGTTTTTAAACATTTTTATTCTAAAGAAATACAGAGAAATGGAAACAATTCCTCTACCTTCTACTTCCTATACAAATTGTCCAATAATTCCCCCTAAATAGATGAGAAAACCACAGTATTTAGGAATAAAGAATTTCCTTGTGGATAGCAGTCAGATCTAGAATTCAGTTTTCTAATTTCCAAGCTAATAACTTTTCATATCTGCACTGCCTCACCAAGCATAAATAGGGATATGTAGCCTCAATCATTATAAGCAAAAAATAAATACAACAGGTTAAATAAACAGTATTTGCTGATTTTCTGCCTTAGAGTAGCTAAAAAACAGATAACTTCCTTAGCTCACCCCTCTCTCCCCTGCAAAGCCTGGTGATAAAGAATAAACAATAAATATTCTTCAACATACTCAGGAGGTCGAGTGTCTGGTCCAAGATCTCGGTGCAAAGAAATCCTGTCACTTGCGAAAGCATTAAAGCAGTGTTTAGCTTCCCCACGTTCCTTTTCCTTTTGCTCTTCAACACTTAAATTGGTTGTCTTGAATGCTTTACCAGAAGCACCAGGTGCATTTGAATCCTGAGGTGGACGGTCAAGGACAGGCTTCAATTCTGCTGCTGTATAATATCCTTGCAAACAAGGTCTCTCACCAGCATCAATGTTTTGCCTGACAGGTGCTCCTATTTGCATTTTTGGCATGGCATCCTTAATATTGTTTACAGCTTCTAGCATTAAATCCAACATCTTGTTTTTGTTTTTCATGTTCCTTTCCATCCTTGATTCCTCTTTGGAATATTGAACACTTACTTCTCTTTGCATTAAAACCAAAACTATTATAAAGAAAAAAATTACTGCACCAAGCTTCCAGAACTTTTTATGGTAATGTCTTTTAATGTGTAATTTTACTAGTCGCTTTAGGTGAGCCATTCTGACATTAAAAGCTTGTCACTTGACAAATAACAGTTATTTCTTCTTCTGTTACTTATATTTTTTATCATAGATTTGCTGAGAAGAAGGTATCTTTAATGGTAGTACCTATAAACAGAAATGATCGATGGTATTAGTAGCTATTCAGTCCTACAGGCATGGCTCAATTCATTCATTTAACCAACAACTGAACATAAGCTACCAATGTACTCTTATGGTTAATGAGAATACAAAGATATCTTGTCCTCAAGAAAATTACACTTTTGGAAGAAAATAATTGTTACAATTTACTACAATTTATTGGGGTTGCAAAAATATTGATATTCCTCTCCATTAAAAAATACATTCTTTTTAAACTCTAATATCCACTATATACTATGTATAAAATTAATTTTATAAATATATTTTGAGTTAAAAAAGAATATCTTCACTTGATAACCAAGGAATCAAAGGACCTCATTAAATAAATTACAAAAAAGAGAGCTCCATAAGGAAGTAAGGGTATACTGATAAGTACTATTAGGCATCCATCTAAAATAGTGGCCTTCATTTTATGTAGTTTACCCTCAAACTGTGATCTGCTCCAGCTTAATGAATGATAATACAGCAGTTTCATCAGTAAGTAAACTATTATTCTCCCAGATTTTCCAACCCAATAGTACTTGTGACTCCTGAAGGAACCCCTAAAAACAAGAAAATCAACAGCATTTAATTTGTTGTTATATAACAGCTAGTTTTAATAGCTCACAGAAATACAAGATCTAATAGTAAAAAGAGAATTCATTAGCTTTACTTGAAGTGTCTGTAGGGAGCCTATAGAAGTCATAAAGTTAAAAAAGCAGAATTTGGTTTGATAAAATATTGCTTGCAATTGACCCTAAGAACAGGACAGCAAGTTTATTAAACCCTAATATGGGACAACAGGAGCAAAGGAAAAGAAAAATAGGACTTTTTAGGAAACGATTACATACTATGAGCCGCGATAGCCAGTCAAGAAATTTGCAGGGACGAAGGGGAGGGAAAATGCCTGTTCTTCCTAAGGTCTAAACATATTTTAAAGAAAATATCATTTATAGCAATGAAAATTAACTTTTGACACCTTCTTTAACTTCTCTTCCAAAGTTCTCCCTAAATTTAAAATAAGAAAACCAGGTTCTAAGATGGATTCTCTGGCTTTTGGCAGGAAATTTTAAGCTGAATAAACAAAATAGGCAGAACTTAGTTCTATATACTATTTCTAATTGGAGTGCTCTATATTCTTTTCAGTATGGAGTGGATACTTCTGCTCCAAAAGATAACCCCAATTCTGACATATATTGCTCATAAAAGTGAGATTCCAATCTTTCTGAGGTTTGGTTGCTTTAAGAACTTCAGGTAAAAAATGAAATGACCTCTTAAGCTTTTGAAAAGAATATAAGAAGTTATAGAACCACACTATGACAGTTGTGTAATTAATTATGTGTCAAATGTTGTGGTAGGCTATGGTTAAGAAATTAAAGATAGCCCTTACCTTCAAGAAGCAGAATTGAAATATAGGAAGCCAGAGGACAGTCACAAAGCAGTGTGATATGTGCTACGACAGGAGACTAAGAAAGCTACACAGGCTTGGAACAGTGGCTCATGCCTATAATCCCAACACTTTAGGAAGCTGAGGCCAGAGGATCACTTGAGACCAGGAGTTCGAGACCAGCCTGGGCAACATAGCAAGACCCCATCCTACAAAAAAATACAAAAATTAGTCAAATGTGGTGGTGCACGCCTGTAGTCCCAGCTACTCAGGTGGCTGAGGTGGGAGGATGGCTTGAGCTCAAGAGGTTAAGGCTGCATTGGGCTATGATTGTGCCACTGCACTCCAGCCTGGGTAGCAGGACAAGACTCTGTCTCAAAAAAAAAAAAAAAAAAAAAAAAAGGGAAAACAATGTAGAAGGTCAGGAGAAATGTTAAGGAAAGTTTCCTAGAGATGACACTGTTGAGCAAAATCTTGAAATACAAGTACATTTTAGGCAGTTAGACAGGAGGGAAAATAGGGAATGTCAGATGCAAAACCATAAAAGCAAGAAAAGGCATGGTCAGTCCTTGAGTACAGCATAAGTGGAAGGCACAGGGAGAGAATGACAACTGATGTGGCTTGAAGGTCAGTTAAAGATCAGTTCATAAAAACCCTTGTGCATCTTTCAGTGAATTTGGAAATTACCAATTTTTTCCAAAATAGATGGAATGGAGAGGACTGTTTTTAAGAAAAGACCACAATCAAATTTATGTTTTAGAAAAATCACAAGTTTTTCAGCCCCAGTAAAGGTGATAGATATTAATGAGATGAGGTGGGTCAAAGGATGGAGTGGAATGATTTCAAGAGAGTCCAGGAAGTGGAATCAAACAACAGGACTTGGTGAGAGAAAGGGAAGAATGGGAGATGAATGGTGATATGGTTTGGCTGTGTCCCCACCCAACTCTCACCTTAAATTGTAATAATCCCCATGTGTCAAGGGCAGGGGCAGATGGAGATAATGAATCATGGGGGTGGTTTCCCCCATACTATTTTTCATGGTCATGGATAAGTCTCACGAGACCTGATGGTTTTATAAATGGGAGTTCCCCTGCACATGTTCTCTTGCCTGCCATCATGTAAGACGTGCCTTTGCTCTTCTTTCACCTTCTGCCATTATTGTGAGGTCTCCCCAGCCATGTTAAATTGTGAGTCCATTAAACCTCTTTTTCTTTATAAATTATCCAGTCTCTGGTAAGTCTTTATTAGCAGCATGAGAACAAACTAATACAAATGAGTAAAGTGATAACATTAACAAAGGCAAGAAACACAGGAAGGATAGATTCAGGGTAGGAATTAAGGAGATAATTTGTTCAGTTTTGGACATAGCAAATGTAATATGCTAATGGAACTTCCAAAGTGAGTTTCCAAGAGCAAAAAGATATATGGGACTGGAAATTAGGAAAAAGTTCTGCAGTAGAGATGAAAATTTGAGTCAGTCTTGGGGTAAATGTAAAACAAAGAGGATAGAGAAATACCTACATTTAAGAGTAGAAAAAAAGAGACTGACTGGAAAGTCCAATTTTTCCAATCCTATGAAGGAGGGGTGGTAAAAAAAAAAAAAAGACAAATGAAAACACAGATAAATTATCCACGTCAAGTGGAAGTAATTTTACAATCTTATCTCACTCTTGAGAGATGTTAAATGTGCAACAGTTGGTTGACCTTTAAAACTGAACTTCATTAGACCTGGCCTAATGGGCTTTAGTGAAAAATGAGAAGAGAACCTTGGCAGAGAGAGTAGTTGTAGTCATGCCTTCAAGATCCTAAGGCTTAGGATTCAGGGCACTTCCAGAATAATAGGGCAGCAACCTCACCTATGGGGTTCCGGAAGATAAGAATGGTCAAAATGTTGGGGTCTCACAGGAAAGTGGTTCCCAGTTGATGAACTACAACCTCATCCCCTCTAACTGTATCTTGACAAAAGGTAGATATTCATCAACCTGTGTTCACCTCCTTTCTGTTCCTGAGGGGACTACCAAAAATCCCCTTCCCCAGGGCTATCGAGTGACAGTCAATTTTTCTGCAGCTAGAAGTAGGCTAAATTAGGAATTTGAGAAGAATTGAGCTGGACTCCCTATTTTGACAGAACATGGAAAAAGAGTTCAGAGAAAGCACAGAATAGGAAGATATGACAGAACTAGATTCTTCTACAGTAGTGATAGTTTTCCCAAAACATTTTATGTCAGAAATCATACTTGTGGATAGGGTGGGAATTGAAAAGAAGGATAGAATTAATGACGCAGATAGAAGATAGTTCTTTTTAGAATAAATCATAAACTAGAGGAATTGTTCATCAGAATGACAGTAATCCTATCATTGTGAGTGCATGTGTATCTATGTAAAGACCCATTCAATTAGTAGGTTTTAGTTTGGGATGCTTCTGATAAAGGAGTCAAGGAAAGCTCATGAGAGACATGGATAGCATCTTATTCATGGCTGTTTTTCTGGCCCTTACCACAATGTTGATAACATAGTAGGCACCCAGAAAAATTTATTGACTGGAAAAAGGAAGAAAGAGGACCAAGATTTCATCAGAAACAACAACAAAAACAAAACTTAACTTGTGTTAAATGTTGACTAGGTCTCTGGTATTAAATAACATTTAATACATAAGTTCTCATTCTCCCAGCAATATTGTGAAGTATTCTTCTTCTTCTCTCTTTTTTTTTTTTTTTTTTTTTTGTAGAGATGAGGTCTCACTATGCTGCCCAGCCAGGCTGATCTTGAACTCCCAAACTCAAGGGATCCTCCTGTCTCAGCCTCCCAACGTGCTGGGATTACAGCCATGAGCTACTGCGCCTAGCCTTTGTAATTCCAATTTTACTGACAGACAGGGAGAGTCAAAGAGATTAAGTGGCTTGGCCATGCCAGTTCAGTTTAAGACCAGCATTTTTCTAACTCTGTTCAAACTCAAGTTCAATGTAAAATCCTGAGCTTTTAACTGAAATTATCTAAAATAAAATGTTTAAGAGTCAAGAACTGATATCCTAAATAAAAGGCGATAAGAAAAAAAACTGAGGAAAAACCATAAAAACTACAAATAGCTTCCTATCATTGGGTAATATTTTACAAATAAATGATTTTTAAAAACTTTTCAAAGCACCATTTCAGTAATAAAGATTGAAAATAAGATTGTAGATCTTAAAATGGAAGATTAAGAGGTTGAGAACCTTACAGAGGCAGAGCCTAGAAGTAGGAAGATGATGTTTTGATCTTTTCAGACTATTTCTGAAGGGATTAATCTTCTCTTATCAACCCTGATCACTTAAAGATTCCAACATTGATGGGATTTTCATTATGACTTTTCTGTACTTTGCTGTTAATGTGCAATATTAGGCTTCCATTAATGCTGAATGACACTCAACACTAAGCATCTCCATCAGCTGTCTTCAATTCTGGATATACATTAGTGAAAAGCTCTTAAAAAAATAAAGTGCCTTAGGCTTCACCTCTGATTTAATTGATGTGGGGGCAGGGCATATACTCTGCTTTTGTTGTTACTTTAAGCTCTCCAGATAATTCTAACAAGCAGCAAGGGTTAAGAATTACTTGTCTAGATCACAATATTTTGGGCAAATCAAAACTAGCATCTGATAAGGGTTGTATCTGTCCAAAGGCAACCACATTACTAATTTCTAATAAGCCAAAGATGGGTGTTTCAAAATAGATTCTTGATGTAAATGAATAGAAGTTATTTAGACATGGAGATACACGATAAAATCCAAGGCAAGAATGACCCACAGTTTTCCAAAAAGACTCAGGGATTTACGCTGATATAAATGAGGCACTGAGGTTTTACTGCAAATTATGTTTCTGTAAAATAATTTTATAAATATTTTATTCCAATCATAAAAATGGGAAAATTGATACCTGAACAATAAAAGACATAAGCCAAAAGATACACAATAAATAAATGAGTAAAATGAAACCAGGATTTTTAATGCCTTTTTCCGGGAATAATGCCATGTTCCTTGTCAGTACTACCTGCCAAATTGGAAGCCCTACGTAAAAACAGCTCGTGAAACAAAACAAATCTCTCCTACAGTCAACTTCCAGTTGGACTCAGAAGTTTGAGAATTGATAAGAAAAAAATCAGCACAACAGCAAACTCAGGATATAACATGTCATATTTGCACATTAGAAATGATTAGCAGATAAAGGGTTTGTTCTTCTTGTACTCTTTCTAAAACCTTTAAACACACCTATCCAAGATGGCTATTTGCTAATTACCAAAGATCAGATTCACAGAGGAAGAGAAGTCAAAAATCATGAAATAGTTTTTAAAAACTAAAAAAAAAGAAAAAAAAGAAAAGAAAAATTCAGAGATCTTCTAAATTCTAAATTCTTATGAATTCCTAAGAGTGAAATTCAGAGACCTGGTTTTAAAAAGTTATTAATCTGTAACCTGGTATATATGTAGCCATTGCAAAAAGTCATTAATAAAAATATTCATAAAGTGAAAAGCTAAAGCAATATACACAATTTTAACTGGTTGTGACACTCGCTATGTTAAAATCAATGGATTATTCTCAGGGGTAAAAATATGCTTCCATCTGAAATCTTACAAATTTAAAATAATCTAACTAACAAGTGGTAGCTTCCAGTTATCTAGACTACAGCTTCTCAAACTTTAAAGTGACTATGAATCACCTGGGGATCTTGTTTAAACACAAATTGAGAAGGGAAAATATCAAGGTAAGATCCATCATGATTGTCCCTCTAGGTGAAGAAGCATAGGTTGCAGAAATATTAGTTGTTCATTTAACCTAAAAATTCCAACTGTAGCAATTTTCTGAAGTAGTGGAAAGCAGAACATTATAATTTTACATGAAAGTAACATTTAATGAAATAAGAAGATAGTGGTTCCTCTCACTTCTTGTTTCCATGTTTGTGACAATAAACCATTACAACTCCAGAAGTTTAAAGTCTGGTTCCTGATGAATTTAATTGCTGTGATGTCTAATTTGGTATACAAAACTTCCTTACTACTGAGTTAAGGCATGCTGTAAAGAGTTAGGGGTAACCACACTAAGCAGAAAAAAAACAAAATTACATCCCAATATCCTAATATAGATTATAGATTAAGAAAAGTACACTATTGTGAATTATTATAAAACTCATTGGATCTTTGCCACACATTATCTATCATCTGTATTTCCTAATTGAATTCAAAACAAAACAAAGAAAAACAAAATTTAAAGACCTTGCCCTGATAATAAACCTTTAAGTGCTTGGGTAGAAGTTTTATTATGTGCCCCTCATCTACTGGTTAAAGTGTTAGGGAACAGAGGAGTGGCAGAAAGTCATTTCTGCTTGCATTTATTGGTGGGTCAAATCTCATGGTGTTTTGCTGCTGTAGTTTGTTAGTTTTGATTATGTTTAAGTTCATGTTTACATTCTTGGCAGCATTTCTTCTGAGCAGGAAGTGGCATGTGGATGTATGACAAGAGACAAACACTGATGCAAAGCAAACTGCATGAAGACAGCCACATTCTGTCTCAGAGGGGGCAGCAGTAGACATACCTCAAAGATCTCAGCTAAAGGCAAAGTAGAGTTACTCTGGGTGGCTGGGCAATGCCACCAGTGGATGACTAAACTACTTGCAATTGTTATAAACTAAGAACAGCTTTCTGAACCAAGATATCTGCAGGCTGTGAGACAAAAAGCTCAGTGACAGAGTTAACCATCAGCAACCGTGAGGCACAGGTTTCAATACTGAGAAGGACAGGGTCAGACATCCAACTTCTCAGCTACCCCTGGTCAGGTAGACATCTCCCTCATCGTCATCTCTGAATGTGAAAGGTTGCTGATAGAATCTTGATTTGTGAGCTAGCCAACTCTATCTTGACAGTTTGACACAAACAAGTAATTATGATACTACATTATCTGTCAAGGGAGTCACAAACTCAGGGGCTCACATGCTCTTTCCTGCCACATCTACACCTGTGAATGACTTTTACATTACATATGAAAGATATGCATTGATTACTTATGGCATACTACAGAGTAGAGGAATTCTGAGGAGTGATTTAGGTGGATCCAGAGATTATTCATGTAACTGGTATTCCCTGCCCCCCAGGTAGAGGCACTGCATTTTAAAACATTTGTCCATCTATTTACCTTGTAAACATAGTTGTTGGCTTTTGGATTAGTAAGGAGATAGAAACCACATGCTAATTTGAACAGAGAAAGTTTAATACAATCTGGTATTAAAAGAGGATTGGAGTAACAGGAAATTGCCTAGTGGGAGTTAAGGAGAATTCTAAAGAATACAGGAGTTGTAAATACAGTATAAGGGGCAACCACTCCCCCTATGGCTGAAATAAGTGTTCAAGGAAGGGCTCTCCTCTCACCAGGGCTGAGATCCAGAGATGTCTATGGAGATGCCCTAGCTTTGACTACCTGGTAAAAAGTCATAGAAGTACTTCATTCATGGGACTTACCAGAAATCTGCCCCTGAAGTTCCAGAAGAGGCCATTCACAGCCGGGGGACAGAACCCTAGAACTAGCTAGGTGCTGAGGAAAACTGCTGGCTGCTGAGGGAATCTGGAATCACAGAGGTTGTCCCCTGCAGGAGTTTAGTGAACTTTCATGTGCCACACAGGTAACAACGGCTCTGGGCTGGCTGCCTGGGACAAAGGTTGGGCAGCTGGCTCCCTAGACACCCAGTCTTGTGGGGCCCCGAGTTTGGCATGTGTGGATCTGAGGAGAGAGTTTGGGGAGCAGTGACTTAGGTGACAGAGCAGGTCCATGGTGTCTGTGTCTCAAGGGTACACCACTGCTGCCTAAATCAAGCTCTAAAGAAAGTGCAGTGTGTGGGGAACACCAACTCTAGAAAAAGCTGTGTTCTGCAGATACCTAGTACTGGAGAAAATCATACTGGGGAGTGAGCAGTGGAGGAAAACTATGCTCAAAAGGAGCTTAGCCAGTGAGCATCACAGAAACCAGAAAGAGAAGCCTCAGCCACTTCAGTGTCCCTCCAGTGCCCTCTACTGACAAGGCTTAACATTGTACGAGCCAGCAAAAAAGAAATTTACAAGGCCCAGCTCCATTATTACAGAGCAGGCTAATACAGTAAATTTGGAACTAAGAGACAGTAAACTGATAAGCAGCAAAGTCTACACTTTTCACTACTCAGCTTCCACATGCACCCTCTCCCACACACTGAAACTCCTGTACAATAACAACACAATTCTATATTTCACCTAACAAAGTCTAACTGTCCTTCTTTATAAGTGAAGAAGTTCTATCTCCTCAAAAACGAGAGACATAGAGTCCTAACAGCTATTGTAGTCATTGCTGTGACTCTGAGTTACTCCTTAAATTCTGTCACAGTCCCACTAAATATTCTGTTACCTAAATTGGAAAGTTGATCTCCAACGGCTTCTATTTAACATTTTTAAAATGAAAATGAGAGAAGAAAATTGTTAACATATACAAAAAAAACCTAGATATAAGAGGCAAAGAAAAAATGTGCATTGAACCTGAGAAAGCTGATTGAAAAAAAATTTTTAAAGAAAAAATACGCAAACCTACAATAATCCTCACTTACATAATTGGCTGCGAGGCCATAATGAATATCTATGGCTTCTTTCTTACACTAACTACTACTCTGTATTCACCATGCCCTTAAGCATTCTAGGAGTCCACAGATGTTGGTGATGTCAAGGAAGGGCAAATCCATATGTAGAATACTTGTCTATTCTAGTGAGGAGAAGTCTCTGCCCCCTCAATGAAGGAAGAAATCCAGTATAATGAACCTGCCACCCAGAGGCTGGCTGATCCCCGCAGGGGCTCAATGCTGGATTCTGCAGATTAGGAACTCAGCAGCAGCGCTATCCCAGTCAACTTTACAAAGGGGAAGCCATGTTGCTGAGCCCATGCATACACAGCTCCAGTCTTGCCACCAAGACTCCTGTTTATGGGCCCACTGAGACAGCTGGAGAGATAGGCTGACTGACATGCAGAATGTGTCATTTTGTCCACTTGATTATTAAGAGCCTCCTCTGCAATGGATGTGCTTTTGTGGGCACTCAGAGGGGATACAAATTCTTTCAGGGTCTTTTCATTTTGAAAGGTTCATTCACATACCTCTTCCTCAAACTAACTACCTTGTCACCAATCTTCCAATCCTGTTCCTTCCAACTCTGACCATAAAAACCATTAACAACTACCCATCGATGACCAATATAGATCTGTATTTCTAGGCATGTCTCATTCCCAACATGGTGGACAACCATATTTACTGTTCAAATCTCTGCCTACAGAAAAGTTTTCCTTATCCAGTATTATTCACAGTTACTCACGAGTAGGGCTATAGTGCTACACAGTCATTAATCTTGGGTAGTACTAGTGTTTTGTTCAGATTCATCTGCAAATCAGGTTTGAGGGGTTTTTTTGTTGTTGTTGTTGTTGTTGTTGTTGTTGTTTTTTCTTCTAACAAATGGACTAAGGGAATCGCCAAGAAGCCACAGGCATGAGTTGAAAGAGACAAGGCAATGCCATTAGAGTTGCTACCAAAGAAGTCTGAGTCCCTGGTTCATGCAACTTATTTGTCCTATCCAGATCTGCTCTAGTTCTGTCTCATGTACTATTTCCACTCAATGATATATTGCTGTTGTACATCGCTAACCTTATGGAAAGATAGGTCAGATTTTACCCAGATAATGATGGGAAACTTGGTCCACATGATAACCTGACACTCCATAATTATGCATTCAATATCTACCTAGTAGCAAGTCAGAAGGTGTTTATCAAAAAGTAAACAGTTATCTGAAGAAAATATTTATTTCAAAACCCTAGATGTCTGTATTGTGATTCTGCTATTGGCACTTTCCAGAGGCTCCATAGAGCATTCCTCTTTGGCACAGATACCAAGAGAGTCGTTGAGTTTGCTAGATCATAAAGCTGAAGTGGTAGCATAGCCTGTACTGCTGGGCTTGCTGCAGAGCCTTCTTCTACTTTGATCATCATTAAAAACTGGCAGCCTTATGAGTTACTCTGTAAACAGGTTGAGGTAGCATATTCAAATGTTGTAAATGTTGCCCCCAAATTCAAAAATGACTATTGAGGCTGGGTGCAGTGGCTCATGCCTGTAATTACAGCACTACTGAGGTAGGCGAATTGCTTGAGCCCAGGAGTGCAAGACCAGCCTGGGTAATATGGCAAAACCCCATCTCCACAAAAAAAATACATAAATTAGCCGGGTGTGGTGGAGCTCACCTATGGTCCCAGTTACTCAAGAGGCTGAGGTAAGAACATTGCTTGAGCCCAGGAGGCAGAGGTTGCAGTGACCCCCAGATCCCACCACTGCGTTCCATCCTGGGCAACAGAATGATACTCCCTCTCAAAAAAGAAAAAAAAAAAAAGCCTATCGAGCATAGTGGCTACTGAATGCCCAGAAGTTTTGCTGAATTTTTGTGGGGCTGATTTATCACCTTCTAATTCTTATATGCTCTACAAGGATATCTAAAGTATTTGCTACTTTCTTCTCATCAGAGACAATCAGCATATTATCATCAATGTAGTGGATCAGTGTGATGACTTGTGAAATGTTACGATGATTAAGATTAAGAATTGATCTAGCCCTGAGGCAAGACTGTGAAGCCATATTGTTGGCTCTGCTAGATAAAAACAAATTGTTTTTGGTGGTCCTTGTAAATTGGCAGAAAAAGATATTAACTAAGTCAATAGCTACATACCAAATGCCAGGGGCCATGTGGTTTGATAAAGATATTACATCTGGGTCAGCAACTACATTTGGAGTCACCCAATAATTAAGTTTAGGGGAGTCTACAGCCATTCTCTAAGATCCATTTAACTTCTGCCGAGGCAAAATAAGTGAGCTAAGTGGGGATGTGATAGATATCACAAGTCTTATTTCAAATCTTTGATAGTGACATCAATCTTGAGAGTTTCCTCAGGGATATGTTATTACTTCTGATTTACTATCTTTGAAGAAAGGGGAAATTCTAAAGCCTTCTACTCAGCTCTCCTATCACATGGTCCTCTCTCTATGGGTTAGCAGGGGTGTCCAATCTTTGGGTTTCCCTGGGCCACATTAGAAGAAGAAGGATTGTCTTGGGCCACACATAAAACACACTAACACGATAGCTGATGAGCTGGGGGAAAAAAAAGAATTACAAAAAAAAAAAAAATCTCATAATGTTTTAAGACAGTTTACAAATTTGCGTTGGGCCACATTCAAAGCCATCCAGGGTCGCATGTGGCCCATGGGCCACAGGTTAAACAAGCTTGGTTTAGAGAGTCAATATAGAGATTCTGCCAGTTACCCAGTATGTCTATTCCAATTATTCATTAAAGAACTGGGGAAATAAGCACAGGCTAGATCTGCTGACCCCCTGGACCCACTATGAGTACAACTGGAGCTAAGACTCCATTTGTTACCTGAGCACTTTTAAGTCTCCACTTTGAACAGTTGGCCACAGTATTTTTGGGTCCCCCTAGGAATTAGTATGAAAGGTCTGATTATTTCCTTTTCCCCAAAGCATAGTCTCTGGTAAATGGCTACAGGTCCCTTTGGGGAAAAGCTCTGGGAGTGTGAATTGACTTAGGTCTGAAAACTGAGTGAGATGCTGTGACTCTTGATTGCAGCAACTAAAGTTAACTTTTTTGCTACCAGAGCTAGAGATTTTCCTATTATATAGATGAAGGGATGCTATAGTACTGCTTACGTATTTCATTCATTAGCTACCACTAGGCATATACCAAAGACATTATCTCAGCTGTCAGAAACATCTGCAAGCCAATGTTTTCTGATACCTCTATGGCCCAGCTTTTCATTGTGGGAGATGTATATACTTTGTATTTGGTGTATAAGGGCTTACTGCCACTTGGCTTTTGCTACTATGGAATTTCATCATCTCCAGTAAAATCAGAGAGCCAATTTCAATGGTCTACAAAGGAGAGCAGGCACAGATTTTTTCATGGATGCAGGGAATCCCTTCACTAATGTACTTCTTAATACTTTAGTGAAAGGAGTGTCTACTGGGCCTTTTCATGGCATGTATTTGGAGGATGGGCAGGTTGCATTCAATTAATTCAACCAACCATTCCTTTTTTGAAGGAGTCCAAACACACACAAGCAGTAGGCAATTTCTCTCCATTCATTCTTCCTTTGAGGCCCCAAAAATATTAAGGAATAGGGGGTGAAGGAATAAAGAAGATTGCTTGCTCAATTGTTATCATTTTGCATTCACCTTTCTACAGGTTTACCAATGCTGATGTGATAGACACTCCTCCTCCATCTCTCAGCTTCCATTACCCTCTAGAAAAAGTGTCAACAAACTTTTTATAAAGGACTAGATAACAAATTTTTTTTTGCTTTGCTGGCCATATGGTCTCTACTGCAACTATTCAATTCTGTTGTAGTACAAAAAAGACAATTTGTAAATGAATAATCATAGCTGCATTCCAATTAAACTTTGTTTTCAAAAACAGGTAGTGGATCAAATTTGGTCTAAGAACTATAGTTTACTAACCCCTGCTCTAGAAATTCTAAAAGACTTCAATCTCAATATTTGTAAGTCTCCCCATATTTACCCCTTCCCCATTAGCTGCCACCTCCCCAGATATAAAACAGAATTTTTTTCAAGTCTTCCATAACATCATTTTTTATTATACATAAAATCTGTGTCTACCTTTAAGATTAGGCTATATATGTGCCTAATTTGAAGCGAACAATATCCCTCCACTTCTCCAACTACCATCTGAAATTCCTGCATTATCCACTCTTCATGGTTAAGGCACAAGAAAAGCTCCTTTAATGTAAAATTTGGGTTGGAAATAAACCGGTCTCAGCCTAAACTTTAATTCTTCTATCAACAGCTGGCCTCAAGTAGGGTAATTTTACCCAGAACCATGCATAGTCAATTACCATACACAGTGAGGCCTACTAAACACACACTGGATGCCAAGCTCCAAATAGGGGAGGGTGGGGTGCTTAATTCAGTGGGATTTATATTTAATTCTTTAGGCAAAGGGAGAGGCCCTGATGAGTTTTCAGCAAGGTGATGACCTAATGAGAACGGAAGTTTAGAATGATTGTCGTTGAAGTTGTGCTGAATATGGAATTTTTGGGGAGGTAGAAAAACCTGATAGGAGGCTAAAGGCAATTAGGATACCCTTAAAAGTAGTCCAGGCAAGAGATAAATATAAGGGGCATGGAAGCTTAGAAACAGATTTTGGAAGTAGAGTTAGCTGAACTCAGCAAATGAGTCAATGTGGAGGCTACAGAGGTTGTTAAGTTGTGACGGGTGTTAAGGATGTGTTCTGGACTTGTTGAAAGGTGCTAGCTAGCTAGGTGCTTGTAATCCCAGCTACTCGGGAGGCTGAGGCAAGAGGATTGCTTGAGCCCAGGAGTTCAAGACCAGCCTAGGAAACACATCAAGACCCCATCCTGAAAAAGAAAGGTGCTAGCAGATGGAATGCTCTCTCTTCTGCATTATCTTCAGTGGTAGACCTAGAACTCAAAAATATGAGACAAGAGGCCAGTGAAACTAACAGAGGCAATGATAGAGGGTAGAGTACAAGAAGGAGACTGAGGTAACAACAGAAACAAGTTTTATCCAGTTCAAAATGATGGGTCACATCTGAAAAAACAAAGGTCATGTTCAAAAAGCTCAAAGAAAACAATAATTTCTATGAGAAACCCTGTCTGCTTTATTAATTGTCCTCTAGAAATGAGCCCCCTCTGCCATTAAGTATTTACTATCAGGTGTTTTTCCCCCTTTCTCCTTATCTCATTTGACTCAGAATTATCAAACTTGCAGGGCTGCTTACTACTGTAGTCTCTATAAAAGCATCAATCAGATGTGGGGATGACTTCTAGAAATCCCATAGATACGCTAATGCACTAGTGAAATGGCACACCTGTAACTTGCACATTAAAGCATTGTTCTAATATCAAAGGGTTGAAACAACCGAGAACTCTACCAATAGGGAAAGAGATAAATTATGATGGAGTAATATGATTAAATATTATGCAAAGTAAAAAACAAGGCCAATTTATATGCTGATATGAAATGATCCCAATATAGTTAAATGGGAACAAAAAAAGCAAGAATTATTTGTATTTTAAAAAGAGGGAAAAAACATACATATTGTTTTTATATTTTTAAAAAATAGCATCGGTTACCTCTGGGGAAGAAAACTGGTGTCAGAGGGCAACAGTGAAAGGAAGATTTATCATATACCTCTCCTAACTTTTGAAAATTGTGAACTTCAAACAACTGGAGTTCACAAACAACTGCAACTACTAACACATTTTTAAGAATTAAATAAAACAGAAAGGAAAATGTATGAAGGTAGAATAAAGAGTTTTAGACATTCAATATCTCACATTTCTTCATTCCATGCACCATTTTCCAGCAAGCTAGTGGTGGATATGTGTTTCATCCAAATGAGGGGGTGAATAAAAAACAAAAGTCATAGTATCTAAGGAACAGAGGCTCTATCAGAGATGTCAGCAAAAAGAAATTCCGAACAACCACCACGGAACAGGCCTAGAGAGCAACAGTCCGAACAGGGGCAAGAGGACAGATTGCTCCAGTAAGGGACAAATAAATCTGTTATGTTAGACTACATGGAAAACCAAGCTGAAAAGATGTTAGAGTACATAGAAATTGTACTCCAATAGATATATGGAAACACTAAGCCAAGTGTTTTCTTAAATGAGTTCATTATTACTTCTAGGATTAAAAAAAAATTCTACAAGTAAGGAATCCTACTCGTAATATGCTTGCTTGACTCTGTAGTAAACAATATCTATGTAATCACAGTAAATAAATACTAAAATGCAAACAAACAATGTGAGAATTATGTTGGGAGGTCAAGGAGGGAGAGTAGAGGTGGCTGTGTATGAAAGAGCTAAATATTTATCTACCATAATAGGAAGTCAGTAGATATTGCCAAATATTGATACATTAAGAAACAGCAGTATAAGCATATTATTTGAAAAGGTAAGGGCTAGAAGAAACATTTAAATAAATGAAAGTAGTTGCTTTTAGGCAACAGGACTGGGGAGACGAGAAAGGAGGGGCAGAGTTGACTGGATTTTTATTGTTGTTGGAAGTCTTTTAATAACCCTATTTTACTTTATTTACATGTAAGTAGGATAAATGTACAGTCATGTCCTGGTATCTGCAGGAGATTGGTTCCACAACCCCTGTGGACACCAGCATCTGCAGATGTTCATGTCGCTTTTATAAAATGATGCAGTACTTGGATTTAACCTATGCACATCATCCCAATTACTTTAAATCATCTCTAGATTACTTTTAATGCCTAATTCAATGTAAATATTGTGTAAATAGTTGTTATACTGTGCTTTTTTATATTATTTTTTATTGTTGTGTTACTTTTTTCCTGAATATTTTCAATCTAAGGTTGTTTGAATCTATGGACACAGAACTCATGGAAACAGAAGGCGAACTGTGCAGGATTTGGAATTGTACTGCTTCGACTTGAGTCTTGGCTCTAATCTTTCACTAACCTTGTAAATAGAGGCAAAATACTTAATCTCTCAATTTTCCTATCTTTAAAATAGGGAGGAAAATAGTATGCACCTCATAGGGTTGCTTTGAAGACTAAATAAGTAAACTCATGTAAATTGCTTAAAATATGCCTGCCATGTAAGTGTTCAATAGTAAATAAGGACCAGTACTTATTATGAGAATAAATATAAACTATTATTACTTGATAAAAATATAAAGGCATTAATAACTAAAATCTATTTTTAAAAATATGGGCCATATATTAATGTCTGCCTCCTTCGTGGGGAAACTTTTGTTTTTATAAGTTAATGCTCCCAGGTACTAAATAGGACTTTATTTCTTTAGCCTACAGCCTTCACTCTAACCCATAGTTAGGGGGAAGGATGTGGTGAGACTGTTGAAAAATTCCAAGTTACAGTTAGTGATGAAAAAGTGGGAGCTCAAACTGGAATTTGAAGACTGCATGTTAAGTAGTTATGCCAAAATGGGAGGGAAGAGCCTTCCAGGCCAGGAAGCCCACTTGCAAAGACCTAGAGGCAGAAGGAACAGAGCAATATAAAAAGATTGGTGGAGCTGGAGCAATGATGAGTGTGCTATATGTTTGATGGGAGCCAAATCATGCCAGGCCTTTGGGCATGTTAAGGAGTTTGCCTTATCTTAAGGGCCATGAAGGGCTTTATGCAGGGTATAACATAACCACATATTTTGAAAAGATCACTCTGGGTGCAGGGTGAGGAACTAACAAGCAAGAAGCCAGAATGAGCTCAGATAGACAAACAGCGAGGCCATGGCAAAAGTCCAGGCAAGAGATGATGATAGAGATAGGAATGAATAAAAGTAGATGGATTTGAGGAATATTTAGAAGGTAAAACTTACAGAACTTGGCATAGGACTAGCCAAAAAGAGATGAAAGGACTGCTAATTCCAAGAAATCTTTTGCCTCATTTTATTTTTGTTTTTCTTTGTTTGGTCTAGTCTAACTCAATTATATTTTTTAAGTAAAGGCTGCTCCCTTTAAGCTCCTCAACAATAATAATATACTCAATTGTGGAATATGTATAAGCAAAAGCTGCAAGACATTTCAATTACAAAGTTAACTTTTCACTTTTAAATGATAAAACCCCAAGATCTTGGAACAGAACCAAAAGGTCCCAAAATAAAATAGAATTCAAAGTAAAAAGATAGAAGTAACAGCAATCCAAATTAAATAGACTAATTAAGTCAGTGAAACAAGTTCGCTACTCCCCAGTTTCTTTGGTTACTTCCCATTAAAAAGGCAGATTGGGCCAGGCGCGGTGGCTCACACCTATAATCCCAGCACTTTGGGAGGCCGAGGCGGGAGATTCACAAGGTCAGGAGATCAAGACCAACCTGGCTAACACGGTGAAACCCCGTCTCTATTAAAAATACAAAAAAATTAGCCAGGCACCTGTAGTCCCGGCTACTTGGGAGGCTGAGGCAGGAGAATGGCATGAACCTAGGAGGCAGAGCTTGCAGTGAGCCAAGATCACGCCACTGCACTCCAGCCTGGGCGATAGAGCAAGACATCACCTCAAAAAAAAAAAAAAAAAAAAAAGGCAGATTGACTTATATTGCCTGCCGATGCCTCTCCCCTTTCTGTGACATTTCTACCCCAAAATTTTTATTCCACAAAAGGCTTAATGGAAAGAGAAATTTTGCATGTTTTGCAAATAATCCAAAAGGGTGTGTGTGTGTGTGTGTGTGTGTGTGTGTGTGTGTGTGTATACAGACAAGAGCAAAAGCAGACTATATTTATATCGTATCAAGCAAATAATAGAAGTATACACAGGACACCTCACCCTGCTCAGGTATATGTGGAGGTGTGGGTGAGGGGACACAGTTTCCCAAATGAAGCAAGACCTTCTTTGAGTTTTAAGAGCCATTAAGAGCTATAGATAGATGTAAAGATAGAAGGAAAGGCACTCTCTGCAGTGGGAAGTGCAAAAGAAAAGCACACAAGAAAAAAAAAACAATAAGAAGTCTATTGCTGGGAAATAAAATTTCGGCTTATGGAGTATCACTCCAGAGTTAAGCAAGTCTCAGATCCCATGGGACCATTTTAAGGGCTGTGGGTTCTATCCGGTAAGCAACAGAAAATTGTTGAAGGATTTTAAGTGAGAGAGAGAATTTGCATTTCTAAAAAGATCATCCTCATCCTCCAGATGGTGGACTTGAGGTTGACAACACTATCTGCTGAGATACCAGGTAGGAGGCAGCTATGATACCTTGGTTGAGAGATGTTAAGACCTTAAACTAGATCAGTAGAAGTGAAAGAATTTATGGCTGGGAGAAAGGTATAAAATGTTAAGTGGATTCAGTGTTCTAATGGTTGTTGTCTTAGTTCATGCTATAACAAAATACCTTAGACTGGGTAATTTAAACAACACAAATATACCACTCACAGCCAGAAAGCTGGGAAGTCCAATATCAAGCTGCTGGCAGATTCAATGTCTGGCGAGGGCACATCCCTCATAGATGGCCTCCTAGGTATCCTCACATGGAGGAAGGGCAAAAGGCTAACAAGCTTTCTCAGTCCTCTTTTATAAGGACATTATCTTTTACAAAAACACACGAGGCCAAGGCCCTCGTGACCTGATGACCTCCCAAAGACCCTACTCCTAATACCAATACATTGGATTTGATTTCAACATATGAATTTTGGAAAAACACAAACATTCAGACCATAGCAGTTGTAGAGGCTAAGAAAAAGAGTTTAAAATTACCTCTGGATTTCTGGTATGGCACCTGGATGGTAGTACACATTTATGATTCACTCTCCCAAATCTCTGCAGCAAAATATATTTCAAAATTCAGGATTTGACAGCCTGTAGTCTCAGCTACTTGGAAGGCTGACATGGAAGGATCACTTGAGTCCAGGAGTTCAAGATCAGCCTGGGCAACATAGTGAGACCTTGTCTCATAAAAAAAAAAAAAAATCTGATTTTTTTGGATGTTAGAAAGGTGATATGGTTTACATAATCAATGTAAAAGTGTACCCCAGCAGGGCCTGGGCAGTATTATGTAATCAAACAGCACTATTTCTGCAGCTGGACATAATCCACTAAGTTGAATACACAATCACAATAGCCTCCTGACAGTTCACTCAGGCTTTGCTCCAACTGAGTTCAAGTTTTGCTAACAAATGAGTTAAATTTTGTTTTGCTTTGTTTTCAGAGGATGATTTTTGAATTATAGATAAGAAATGGTACAATGTACTACTATCTATAAATAGAATACAGAGAGTGAGCAGGTTGTTTGTTCATTTGTTTTTTGATGAGATGAAGGTTCTGGTTTGAACATATATAATCTCCAGTGATGAACAAATGTTAAAGATGTCCAATAGGCAATCATATAGAAAAGAAAATTAGTTTGGACAGTTTGAAACTGAAACAATTATAGGGAAAAGGTGTACTTGGGGGAATATTCTCTCTTTAGTGCCAAAAATAAGAGCCCAACTCTGAGAATGACCCAAGGAAGTGTCATATAATTGTCAGTAGTCTCTAATGACCTAGAATTCAGAGTCCTACTTGTCTTTGCTTTGCAATAAGTGAATGTACTTTTGTCTCTTGCCACTGCTGGAATTGATTTGAATTCAGTTTTCCCCCTTAGTGTACATGAGTTGTGTTAAATTTCACCCAAATTACATAGTATGAATTATTTTGATACTAACTAAATGCATAATTGAACAGCTAACTGAAAACACCTTCCTTTTCAATAGGATTTTATATCTATAAAGTATCTATCATTCCAAATGTATTTTTGCACTTGATGGACTAAAGAACTGAATACATGTGAAGATGATTCAGGCACTGATCATTTCTAAAATCCTAAATATGATAATATTTTCCTTAGGAGAAATATTTCACCCACCAAGAATGTAAAGGCAGGTTAAAATTGAAAGTGTCTACGGAAGGCTTAATTATCCAATCAGAGCTTCCAAGACTACATTCCTACAAATCATTGAGGGATCTATTTTAATCTCTCAATGTAGTCTTTTTGTGGAGAGGGGGAGTGTAATTCCTACAATTTGTCTCATACTTGTTTCATAGTAAAAAAGAAAAGCATTAAATATTAACAGAATATAAACCAAATAATAAACTGGCTATGTTTTCTCTAATAAATTTTCAGACTCCACCCAGAACTCTAACTCAGTCATAAAACTTTAAGAGTTCAGAATAGAGCTGGACAGAAGGTTTCTCCCTCAAAATTTCACTGAATTCTTATCATCAAAATCCCCTCAGAAAAAAATATTTCTAGTTTTTCCTGTTCCCAAATACACTACAGCATGATGAGAACCCATTTAACACAAAATATGTATAATGAACAAGGTTTCATGTAGTTCTTAATATTTGAAAGATTTAATCTAGCACCAAGGTCCTGGAGCCTCAAGCCCTACAATACATGTTTAATTAGGATTACAGTAAAGTTTTTAAGAAATAATTTATTTTCTTTCATGTGAGTGGGTGTGTGCCTGTGTGTGTGTGTGTGTGTGTGTGTATACGCATGTATGAGACAGAGAAAAAGAAAGCTGGTAGAAAAATCAGCCTTTAAAAGAACAAAAATTCAACAGAATAGTGCTATTTTCACATTGAGGGCTCCAGCACTTTCGTGGTCATAAAGCAGTCTAATTGTTTAGACCAACGTTTTTAAAAATAAAATAATAAAGAACATACATGTTGTAAGGTTAAGCACTGTTTTATATTAATAAAACTTGTTTCATTTATATACACTCACATTGGAGTTTACAGAGTTGAGGCAGAGAATAAATTAGTTATTGAGGATTGCAGTAAAAGGAAAAAAAAGTTTAAAGAAACTTAGTGTTAAGGAAGTGTGCTTGAAATAAAAAATCTGGAGTGTTGCAAATGGATGAAAGGCACTGGGTAGCTGCCTCATAAAATATATTTTAAGCCAATATAATAAAAAGATCAGAAGACTAAATAATGTTATCCACATTGACTTAAAAAATTAACTGTGGCTTGGAAATACCAAGAAGGAACTAAAAGTCTCAACTGACATGGCATCATCAATATGCATGCTATTCCACAATGAGAGGAGCATGATGCCTTCACTGGGTAGTTTCCACGAAGTCAGGCAATATTTGGACAAGTAGAAATGAGGGTAAATCAGAGTGAAGAAAGAGCAATGGACAATTCTGTAATTACAAAGGCCTTACAAATTATATGAAAGAAAAAAGATAAACATCTTATGGTAAGTGAGGATGTGGGTGGTGAAAAGTAAGATACAGGAGTCATGAGTCAAGCCACTGGAATGATCATGCCATCTCTGAGTGAAATGAAGTTAGAATACCTCTCTTGGCTTCAATTTTTCATAAATGGATGGTTTGAGTATTGAATCTCCAAAGTGAGAAAGGGATCTCGAGAATGCTAGGGCTGGAAGATACTCCTGATTGTTTTTAAGGTTTTGTTATCTTAATCTAGGAAAGTATTATTTTTCCTATTTAACAGATAGATTAAGTTACACTGTTACTCTAGCTAATGAAAACATGTTACATTTCTCACTAGAGGTTAAGAGGAAAGACAGTCTGGTAACATCTGCCTAGTAAGTAATGAAGACTAATATTCAAAATTCAGGGAACAACTCCTATATCTCATATTTAAACAGTATTTAGCACATTTGTTTCTCTGTATGGAGACAAGATTAAGAGGTCAGGTGAGATCCTTTTAAGAAATGTAGAAAAGTGGTGATTGAATTAATAATTACATCATGTTATGCTGTGGTTGGCTTTTAGATTTCCATCTAATCTTAAAAAGAAGAAGAAAAATAACCCCACTACATGTTGCATCAGGCATTTTAAGTAAAACGTGCAATTTAAAAAATATTTTTAAAATGTGTGGAGATAGAACAAAACAATGGAATTGTTATTATTATCAGAAACTTCTACGTAAAAATGTTGGTTAAAGCAATATATAAAGATTGATTCTCGGTACAAATTGCTTGGAAAGTTTAACATGTGCACTAGATTTCAGATATTAAAAGTTAAATTAAAAAAAAGAATCTAATGGCAGCGTGTGACTTTAACCTCATGGATTTTAGCCACAAACGCAAAGAAAAATATATACAATAAAAGAAGCAACAGATTTTCCCACAAGCAGAGATTTTCTAATTAAAATGCTGTCACTTTAATATTTTTTAGCTATAGAATTTGACTGTAAATGTCTTCATTATGTAGTGTAACTTCTATAGCAAGTTATGTTAACGTTTTCAAGAATCGGAAATATTGGTAACTCGATGGGGTTCTTAAAACAGAAATAGTTTCTTTGATGAGTTGGAAAGAGAAGGAAATAAAAGTCTAAGGTAAGCGCCAGTTTCACCCTCAATTCTTAGGCTTCAGAAAAGCCTAATTAGGCAGGGAAAGGAATCTGGGCCTGGCACACCCAAGCTTAGACGTGGCAGGATCCTGAAACAATGTTTTTTTGAACCTTTGAGTCATATGCCACAGGCAAACCATAGCCGCGATATGCAGGTCCTTAAGTCAACAGGTCCTCTAACGAGATGGTGAGTGGTTGGTGCGTGGCAGTTGGATTTCTTCCCGCCACGGAAGAAAAGAACTCTTCTCCATTGATCAGGAAAGTGGGCCCAACTCTGGCCTGGAGAGCGCACCCGGAAAAGTGCAGAGTCGAAACAGAGAGAGAGGGGTGTCCGCGTCCCGGCCACAGAGCCCTTTCCAAACCACTCGGAAACCATTTAAATGGCTCGGCGGCCGCGGTTTGCAGCCTAGAACTGTTTGGGGTCCCCGGCTAGGAAAGTTGCCTGGCAAAGCCATGTCTTTCGCTGTCGCGGGATGTCCTCTCGGGCAGAGAGGCTGGAGGAGACAGGCAACCTGCTAGCCGGAGTGGAAGCGCGCCCGCCTCCCGCCGGGCCCTCCCTCTCAGGGTCCCCACGCTGCGACCCTCCCAAGGGCAAGTCCGGGGCCACCAGGTCTTTGGTCTCCGTCCAGCTCCTCAGGGGCCGCCCCATAGGGACTGGCGGGGGCACCGTGGGCGAGAGGGTGTGACCGGGCTCCCCCCCGAGGCGCCACCTGCCCCTTGGCCCAGGGCGCCCCTTTCGGGATCTCTCCAGGGGCAACCGACACACTGCTCTCGAGACCGTCTCCAACCGGCCACCTGGACCGTAGCCCTGTCCCCAACACGTGAACCCCTGCGGCCGTCCTCCCGCCTGCTCTAACGCAGCCCAGGGGTACCGCGTCTCCCTCCGCCTGCCGCCGGCTTACCTGGCGGGTGGGCAGGGCAGGGTGGCGGGAAGCGGCGGCCGGGCAGGCGCTGGACGTGGGCTAGGCGCCAGGTGCAGGTGGCGGCGGCTGCGACTCCGGTTGCTGTCGCCACAGTTGCGGCTCAGTAGAGCTCCTCCTCCGCCGCCGCCTCCTGCCTTCCCGCTGGGCCTCCCGCGTTGCCTGGAGAGGCAGAACCGAGGCTCGGCTTCCACTTGGAGTCTCCCAGGTGAGCTCCAGCCTGCGACGTCGGCAGGGGCGAGGCCCCACTTCCGCGCCTGCGCGCCAGCCTCCCGCCCCGCCCCAGCCCTACCTGAGCGCTCCAGGTGAGAACCTTGGATCGCGCGCGCAGGGTGGGGGCGCCGTCCGGGCCAAGCCTGGCTGTCGCGCGGCTTCTCTCTGAGTGGTCGGCGAGGCTGCTGCTCCGCGCAAGTTGTGGCTCCCGGCCCATCTACATTGGAGGAATCCTGCACTGACCTGGTGGCAGTGATCACCTTGTAGCCAGAACACAGTCTGCTGGGTCCTTGGGGAACCAGAAGTTCTAGATTTCCCCCACACGGTTCCTCCCTTCCTCCTCGGTTCGCCAAAATGAAGGGGTGCGCTGCCTCCGAGGACCACTTCGGGAGGGCAGCAACTGCTGGCTCATGTGGTTTCTTCGGGCAGGGTTCAGCAGCTTCTGTCACCAGTTAGGTTTCGTGAGCTTCCTTCCCGTGTAGTCTTGATTTCATCACTTGACTCACTTCAGCGCAGCTAGTGGTTTCCGTTTCTGTACGCGGGCGCTCTGGTAGGGGCGCCTCACGTCCAAAGGAGGAGTCTTCTTCCAAAGAAGAGCCTTTGGTATTTGGCAGAGCCTCGCCAATTTGGGGCGCACCTCCCCTTCCTGGGATGCTCTCAGAAGGCAAACCAATTCCCAGAAGAGAGGGAAAAACAGCCACAACAGAGAGAACCTTTGCTGTCCCTGTTTGGAAAGAGATTGGGATTTCCTGGAGAGGGCTTGCTTCTACTGCAGGTTTGTTTAAAAGCTCAACATCTATTCTGGAAGAGAACAACGCAGACTCCAGGAAGATGGTGGGTTTTGCTGTTTTTAAGACAAAAAAAAATTGTTAAACAGTATTTGTTCCATTTATGACACAACTTTCTGTTTCAGCCTTCCTTCTGCTGCTGCAACAAACATTGACACACCCAAAACCAGGACTTAAAATGGCCTTTATACCTTTCTATGAACTCATTTCTTTGGCCCTATCCCAAAGATATCTAGGGATATAAATAGAAAACTAGCTAAAAACTTTTTGGTGTCGTGTTTAATCACATGGTGGTAGGTTTTACTATGAAGTTTAGTTGTGGCCTTCCTCCTACATTTTGACATGCTCTTATGGTGCTTATTCACTGTTTTATTAGTGCTATGCGTGACCTAAAAATAAGGTTTAAAATACAGTTTAGTATAGTATCAACAAGTGTATCTTTAGTATTTGACTACTCTAAGACATTGGTTTTAGCATCCATAGTGCTATTTTATACTAGGACATCTATGAGTTAGGGTTTAAGACTTTAGTAAACTAGGTAGTTCTTTGCTTGTTTTACATGTCATGGTTATTTTGCGAGCACCAAGGAACCTCCATGTATTTGCAACATTTTAATATCAGTACCTACAAGCAATTGCCAAGCTCCCTTTCCCTCCAAAAACAAACAAACAAAAAAATAGTTCAGGAGATACTTGTGTGTATTGATATACTAACTTGGCAGTGTTTTTCCTTAGGTCCAGGTCCAGAACTGAAAATACTAACTACTGAAATTCTCTTCTCCTTCTCCTTCTTCTTCGTTGTGCCACTTTGTCGTTTACCCCTAACCAGAGGTTAATGTTAGTCTTTGGAAAATTTGTAAGGTATCCTAAATGTATAACCAAGAAACCTGTACCCTTTTGCACGCACCACCCATCTCTGAATGAAGAGCCAAAGATTGTCAGAGTTTTGATGTCCCACCAGGCGAAGAGCAACACTTTTCACTGACAATCAGGACAGAGCAGATGGATATAGAATAACAATCTGGAATCCAAGGACTGAGATGCATTGACAGCAAGACTAGTAACGTCAAATAACAACTGAAAAGAGAAGCTAGGGTAGACCTATTAAAAGAGAGAGCCAGCAAACAGGACCAAAATGCTGGATGAGGAGTCTAAAAAGAACAGAAGAAACAAAAAAGATCAGGAGTTACTAAAATTTGACTGTCAGTTTTACAATGGAGACAGACAATTTAAAGAAGGAAGCAGTTTTTCTGAGTGTGGCATTACTTGTGCACGTTGAGTGTCATATATATAGAGAGAGAGAAAGAGAGAGAGTGAGAGAGAGTGAGAGAGAGAGAGAGAGAGATATCTTGGGGATGAGACCTGTCTAAACACAAAATTCATTTATGTTTCATATACACCTTATACACATAGCCTTAAGGTAATTTTATAAAACATTGTAAATAATTTTATGCATGAAACAAAGTTTGTGTAAAGTACTTATGTGTGGAATTTTCAACTTGTGGTGTCATGTTGGTGCTCAAAAAGTTTTGAATTTTGGAACATTTCAGATTTTGGATCTGTGGATTAGGGATGCTCCACCTGTACTATTTTACACAACGTTGCTTGTACTATTTCAAAGCATTCTGAAAGCAAAGTCTTAATATTAATAAAAAATTTTCTATGTGACAATAAAATTAAAATGCTGCAGGCCCAAGAAAAAAATATTATCATATTGAAATATTTAATGCCCCAAATCTAATCAGATGCAGGTTTTTGAAAGTACCATCCTATTCAAAATTATGAAATAAAGAATTTGTTTCATAAAGAGAAATTAGCATTTCATCATAAATAAAATCCAGGAACCTTAGTGTAGACATGCTTCAGAAATAAGCTAATTTTAATAGTATATGTTTGACATATAATGACAGTTAAGATAGAAAACTGGGCAGATTTTACACAGGAAGGAAACAAACATTCTCTCTCTCTCTCTCTCACACACACACACGTACTTATTACACACACACACACACACACACACACACACACACGACTAGCCACAAAATGCTCATTTGCATGGATTTGAAACAATACTCACTCCTTAATACTTTCTGTTAACATTTAAATTAATGCCAAGACCAGCACCTGGCACTTAGTAGGTACTTAATAAATATGTGTTAAATGAATAAATTGACCCATCAAGTACCATAAAAAAAATGCCTAGTGTCTTGAGCAATTTACAGGTCTAAAGAATGGTTTTACCCAACAGTAATGACAAATAATCCAAGGCAGATAAGAACACTAGACTGGTAATCTGAATTGCAAAGTTCTAAGAACAATAGCTACCAGCTTTCACATACCTACATTTCAAAAGACACTACGCAAAACAACTTACACTCCTACAAATTACTTTACATCTGGCTTAAATATTCTCTTCCACAAAACAAAATAGTGGTACAAGATGATCTACAGGCTTCTTTACATTCTGATTCATATAAACTCTATGCCAAGAGAATTGGGCAAATAAATAAATAAATAAATGAAACCTTCTGGATATAGCAATAATAATTAATGGGACAGCAAAGATGAAGAAACTGAAATTATTTAGCTGAGATCGAAATTTTAATTCATAAAAAATAGTTGTAATATATAATGTAACAAGTAAATGTGTAAAGTTACTAAGCCTAACTTTAAACTATTTTAGTTTGTTAATTGTTTAATTGTTGGTTACACAACTTTGCTTTGAAACATACTCTAGAAACAGTTTTGCCTCATGAGGGAACTAGAGCTTTTAGTGAGGATCTCAAAGTCAGACTGAGAGATTTGGCTCAAAGACTGAACAGACTGGAATAATTTCTTCTCAAAGCAGTAAAAGTGTTGAAATGCTATTGATTCAAGCAGAGAATAGAGGTGGTATCACAGTGAAGAGCCACAAACACGTGGGTATTTTTTAAATAATGATCCAACATAATTCTACATTGTGTTTAAAATATAGCAAGTTAAAACAGGGAAAATATAAATAGGTTATTTTAGTATGAACTTTTTTGGACATTGTTTTATATGATTCTTCCCCCTGTAGAATCTCAGAACAATCATCTCAGATTTTCAAAGTGGTTCACATACTATGAGGGGTTGACTTAGATTACAACAAAACTATGTCTTGCTAATCTTGTATTCTTAGTACTTGGCACATAGTAGGCACTCAATAAATATTTGATGAAATGTATTGAATAGAGTGCATTGTTTCAAGCTTTTAAGCATTAGCATAAGAGCAAAAAGAAATGTCATGCTGAGTCAGAATAATATTCAATCTAACTGGCTCTAAATTCTGACAGTGGCACCAAAGAATATTTTGTGGAAAACTATGGTGATAGTCTTGCATGATGTTGACCTCAGTGATGTACTCGAGTATCCCTCACTCACTCTTTTCCTAAATTGATTTCTCTTTTTCTGTAACATGTTTCTTTAAATTGAAAAGAAATTAATATTCATTACAGAGAAATCAGAAAATACACATAACTGCAAAGAAACTAGCTTTGAAATACTCAGAATTCCTTATACCAAGATGAATCAGTGCTATCAGACCCTTTCTATCATGTATCTTTGCAGATTTTTTTTATTGAAAAAGTTGGCAGGAGGCACGGCATGGAATGGGGAACATAGAGGGATACAGAGACAGGTTTGTAAAATAAAAACTAGATCATTCTGGGGACTTGTTTTGTAGCCAGAGTTTTCTACTTGACATATAATTAAATGTCAATAAATTTATTTTACAGTATTATTTTAATGGCTGCCTGATATCCCTTTGTAAGGATTTAATCTGTCAATTACTGTTGGACAATGAAGATTGCTCCCAAATTTTGCTATTGCAACCAGTGCTATAATGATCATACTCTTCATCTGTTGAAACATTTATTACGATTTTCTTCTAATTGACTTTTATTTTGTTTTTGTTTTATATAGAGATGGGGGTTTCACTATGTTGCCTAGGCTGCAATTGAACTCCTGAACTCAAGCAATCCTCCTGTCTCGGCCTCCCAAAGTGCTGGGATTACACGCATGAGCCACCAGGCCAGGGATATTTTTGTCTTTTGAGACAGGGTCTTGTTCTGTTGTCCAGGCTGGATCACAGTGGTGCAATCATGGCTCACTGCAGCCTCAACCTCCCAGGCTCAAGTGATCCTTCCACCTCAGCCTCCTGAATATCTCGGACTACAGGCATGTTTCATCATGTCTGGCTTTTATTTTATTTTATTTTATTTTTTGGAGAGATGAGGTCTTACTATGTTGCCTAGGCTGTTCTCGAACTCCTAGACTCAAGCAATCCTCCTTCTTCAGCCTACTGTAGTGCTGGGCTTATAGGCAGGAACCACCATGCCCAGCCCTGACTTTTATTAAGCCACATTGTGTCAATTATCCAGATCCTAAACTATGACAATGTCATTAGAGGCATCATATCACAAAAACAAGAGGTAGAATACCTATTAACAATTTACAATTTTCTATTGGTAAGAAAAATAATAAGAATATTAATTCTAGCTACCAGACCTTCATACAAAGAACGTTCTATTCAATGAACACCTTATAATTTTAGAAATATGGAAATAGAATACGTCACTTATTTTAAAAAAAAACTCAGATCTCTTATTTTCCTCTGATCATACCACAGTCAGTTTCCCACCTGTGAAAGTCTTTGTATCTTCTAATATGATTTTCTTCCCCCTCTCCAAATCCCCTCCAGCCCAACTGAAGACCCTAGTCTCCCATGGAGTCTTGATATGGTTTGGCGGTGTCCCCACCCAAATCTCACCTTGAATTATAATAATCCCCACATGTCAAGGATTGGACCAGGTGGAGATAATTGAATCATGGTGGTGGTTTTCCTCATACTGCTCTTGTGGTAGTGAATACGTCTCATGAGATCTGATGGTTTTATAAATTGGAGTTCCCCTACACAAGTTCTTCTTACCTGCCACCATGTAAGACGTGACTTTGCTCCTCATTCGCCTTCTGCTATAATTGTGAGGCCTCCCCAGCCATGTGGAACTGTGAGTCAATTAAACCTTTTTCCTTTATAAGTTACCCAGTCTTGGGTATGTCTTTATTAGCAGCATAAGAACAAGACTAATACAAGCCTCCTGGATCAGTTCAAATCACCTTGATATTTCTTAATTCCAATGCATTGGCATAAAGTAAATTTCCTTCCTCCCTTGGCCCTCACCTCTCTCTTGACTCCAATAAGGGAGAGTTGTGGAGAGATGGTACCTGGGTTTGATATAATTTGTTGCCAGATAAGTTATAATAATTTGTTAAGGAATTCAAGCCGTAGAGGATGAGGATGCTCTTTTAGCATATTAGGTTTGAGGTAACAGGCCAAAAGGAATAGCATTTGGTTATTAAGGTAAAAAGAGAAATAATTTTTATGCATGTTAGAAGGGGAATTTTGAAGGAAATTACACTTTTTCTGTATATTTATATATTTTACTTTTTATTTACCAGGAGAAAAGGCATTTGCTGCCCAAGGTAGAATCCCATCACCATACTCCTTTCCTACATCCAATCACAAAATCAGAATATGCCAATTCTCTATTCCCAAGTAAGTCAACAGACCCTAAGATTACATTCCCTTTCTCCCCTCTGCAAAGCTTCAGGGACAGGAGTCCCTGACAGGCAGCTGACATTTGGGGTTGCATACAAAAAGTCAAGTCATTGCAAGAGAAGGAAGTTTGTTTCTATTGGAAGAGTTAGTGTACAACATATAAAAACGGAGTGAGGATGGGGATATTGTAGTAGGGAGGGGGTTAAAGGGCTTAGAAAATGATTTTTTTAAAGGTGGACAGGGGAAGAGTAGAAGGCAAAAAAATGTCATCCATGTGGGACATCTTCTGAACGCCCAAGGAGAATCTTTGGGGATACATTCCCCCCAAGATTTAAAGAAGTGGCTTCACTCCTGAGAATGTACAGGGAGCGGAGAAGCTAAACCAGGAGCAACATCCAATTTCTTTGTCTCTCCTTCTCTTCTCACTGCAAACTCTGTACAGGTTTGGCATAACTATCTAAACTTTCTAGTAAAAATCATAGCCTTCATGAAGATCCATTGTGTATTTGATTCACAGAAAGTTGGTATTGAATTGTAAAACACGGCTACAAATTTCTCCCTCTCCAACAGGCGTGTCATTTTGGAATGTGTCTTGCTGCTCTTCTCATCAAAGGTAAAGTCCTCTTCTTCACCTTTTAACCTAGAGTAGCTGTGCAACTTTCTTTGACCAATCAAATATGGTGGAAGTGATGTTGCGTGACTTCCAGATATAAGTCTTAAAGAGATTTTTCACTTTCTGCTTTCACTCTCTTGGAATGTTGCCCTGAGATCACCACACCATGAAGAAGTCTGGGGCGAAAGGCCATGTGGAGTGAGAGGCTCAGCTTCCCAGATGATCTCACTGAGCACAGCCCCCAGCCACCTGCCAGCTCAATGCAACCTGGTGATGGACCCAAGCAAATACCAGCAGAAGAATCACCTGGTCAACCCACAGAATCATGAGAAATACTAATTTGTTGTTGTCTTAAGCCAGTAAGTTTTGAGAGAGTGTTTTAACTGTTTCACCTAAGTTTGGTCTCTTAACATGAACATAAGCACTTTTTTGCATTTGTACATCCTTTGTACTCTTCCTGTTCATACCGAGAAAGCTTTTGCAATGCAAAAGCTCAAATGTATTGGAATTTTAGAAGTTTAAGCCTTGAAGGACTCTGTACAAAACCATGCCAAAAACCATATATTTTGAAGAATATGTTCTCAGTCTGAGCCAGTTTTCTATTTCCACCTCAAATCTTGATTGGTGCAGACTGGAGAAAGGAGAAGAGAGTCAGGGGTAAGACCGTGGGTCGGAGGTGGATATCGACAATGTACCTGAGTAAAAGCCCTGTAGCCTCTCACCATGTTGGAATACCATATGGCACAACTACATGGACCGCCATTTACATAGAGTAGGATGTTTAGTACTGCGTCTTGACCTTTGAAACCAGACTGGTGAGAGGACTCACCAACAAAAGTGAAGCTAGGGTCATAGGCCCTACCTTGGAGATTGGTAAGACCCCAGAGTTATTCCTTGCCCAATGTTAAGTAAGAACAGAAAACATTTCTAAAGAGGGTCCTGAGGCAGACAGGTCTTAAGCAGTCCCACAGCCCTCATGTGCCCTAGAAAGATGCAGAGCGCCCAGAAGCGGTTTTTCAGTGCAGGTGAGAATGGTTTAGATCCACATGTTTTTGTAAATTAGTTTTTATTGGAAGAGAGGCAAACCCATACATTTACCTGTTGTCTATGGCTGCTTTGACACTACAATAGCAGAGTTGGGTAGTTGTGACAGAGATCATATGGTACACAAAGCCTAAAACATTTACTATCTGGTCCTTTATTTTTAAAAAGTCCTTATATTAGATGAAACACAAAGAACTGGTAAAACTTAAGCCTTGTGTAATAATACAAAACAAAAATATACCATGTAGACCATAATCAAAGGGCCCATTGTCTTCAGCCGCTGACATTGGGACCAGGGTGTAGTGTCAGAACATGAAAGCCTGGATACCTACAATGGCCTAATTTTCTCATACAAATGCATCCTACCACTCCCATCCCATACCTTATGCTAGATAGGATCCATGGAATTAGCTGCATCTCCAGTGAAACAGGAAAAGTCCCTGATTTTACTGAGATTTAGCTATTGTCACATGGTGTAACAGGGATTTAAGAGAAAAAATAACCTCAGGTATAGACATAGGAAAATAATGTTAGATTAAGTTTCTTATACACCTGGTTCTGTCTTCAGAAACTGGCACCCACTATAAAGCCTTCCATAGTGATAATTATCGCACAAAATCGATACAAAGGAAATACCTGCTGAATGTTCTGCCTCAGTAGGTTTTCCTTTGGTCTTTTACCTTAGAAAACTGCATGATAGCATTTTTCTATTATTTTGACATTTCATGTAGGAAGCATGTTATTCACAACTTATGTTTTATAAAATCTTTTTCTGATGATGATGATGATGACACTTGTTAATTTCCATCTCCTTCCTTCACTGTAAGTTTTTCTATTCCCTGAGACAACTATTTCTCTCACTTGTCCTAAACCCCAAGGATACAAGAGATGCATAGGAAAATATCTATGAAGTGTGTGGGAGGAGACAACAGGGCAGGGTTCCAGAGGTCTGTGGTTTATTGCACGTAAAACACTGGAAAGTGCTTTGGATGATAAGGAAGTAGCTTGTTGTCCTTTGCAATGGCCTGACATTCTTACACTGAGAAAATCTTACTCCCCACTTTGAGCTGGGATGTGGGAGCTGGGAGGACATTTACTGAGTATTAACTCTGTGCCAGGAATTATTCCTACATTATCTCATTTAGTCTCCGGAAAACCCTACGTAACAGGTGAGAAGACCTCAGTGACAAGCTCAAAGATGCATAGCTAAAGAGCTGAAATGTAAAAGCAGGTCTGCCAGACTCAAAAACCCATGCTCTATAAACTACATCATAGAAGTTGTAAAATAATTTTACCTTGAATCCAAGGGTGAATAATTTGTCATGGTTAGCTTGCCCTTTGGCATTCATAAACAATTTCTACTGTCCCAGTTTTTGTTCCATTCATATAGGAGTAACATGTGGAAGTATTAAGCAATAGAAGGCTTTGTTTTCATGTATAAATTTTTACGATATTTTCAAATATAATAAAGCCAAAATTGTTAATTTCACTTCATGTAGAGATTCCTTCAAATATAAGATGCTATGAAACAGTGTCATACCAAAAAGCAAACACACTGATTTCTATAATCAAAACATTGAGGAACACAGGAAACTCTAGATAACTCAGAGGAAAAAGGGAGTACAAAATCGGGTTGACACAATGCTTCATTTAAGAATAGGAACATTGTTTGTTCATTTGGGTACTTTATAACTTTAAGTATAATGAGGTTTCTTTAAAAAATTGTAACAATTTTGGTATAATTGTATAATAACTTGGTATGTGGTATTTTTATTTCTATTTATTTATTTATTTATTTTGAGACAGAGTCTCACTCTGTTGCCCAGGCTGGAGTGCAGTGATGTGATCTTGGCTCACAGCAACCTCTGCCTTCTGGGTTCAAGCAATTCTCCTGCCTCCCAAGTGGCCTCCACGCCCAGCTAATTTTTGTATTTTTAGTACAGACAGTGTTTCTACTAAATGTTGCCCAGGCTAGTCTCGAACTCCTGGACTCAAGCAATCTGCTGGCCTCGGCCTCCCAAAGTGCTGGAATTACATGCATGAGCCTATCACACTCAGCCGTAGGTGTTATTTTTAAAACATATCCAAAATGATTTGGATCATTTTTAAAATGATCCTAAGTAATTCTTTATAATATTAATAGTATAATTTGGTCCATTAAATTATAACTAGAAAAAAATAAATAAAATTCTTCCAAATTGATATATTGATGTAAAAATAAGGGTCTCTCCTTTAAGTCTCTCCATAAACTTTAGTTGAGAGTGAAAGACTTTTGGACCAATGATTCTTAACTAAAGCAATTTCTTGACAGAAGCAAAAGTGTGAAATGAGAAGATACAATAAATTTAACATCAAAACAAGAACTGTAAGTTTTATCATTTAATTGTATTGAAATACATACAAACCACTAGATATGTGGAATTTCAGAGGCATTTAAAGAGTCATTCTAAAAGTATATGAAATTATTTCATGAAAAGGTCGATCAAAATAAGAAGAGGATCCTCATAAATAAAAATGTTTTATAATATCTCGATTATAAAAGTAATTTCACAGTAACTTTTCCTTTCTGCATCTTGTGAAACACAATAGACCTGAGACAGCCTGTCAGTTTGCTTTATGGAATTTGACTTTTTGCAGCCTCACAGACCACGATGAACTGGTATTACCAGTTTTGCCATCTTATCTTTTTATTTAAACAGCAATTAAACACTGCCATAATATCATATAAATCATTAAATAATGTTCCAGACCACACACAAGTGGATGAGTTATGAAAGACTGAAGGATTATATTACTTTTAAAATATTTTGCTTAGATAGAATAATGGCAATAAATATTAGCACCCTTTGTTTTATACTTTTACCAAATATTGAGTAGTTTCAAAGGAACACTTACTAAATACATGCAATACATAAGGAATCATAATACAATAAACAACTATGTACCTACTACTTACTTAAAGAAAAATAATATTTTTGTATCTGTCATGGAACCCTCTCAGATCCTGTCCCCTCCTAATTTTGAATTTTGTGTTCAATCATTTCCTTGTTTTTCTTTAGAGGTTTACTGCATATGCCTAAACAAAACACTGGTTAATTTCATGGTTTTTACAGCTTTGAACATTAATGAAGTGTATCGATATTATTTTGCTACTTGATTTTTTTGCCCAAAATTGGATACATGAGATTCGTACATGTTGTTGCATGTAGCTGTAATCAATTAACTTTCACACCGTATTATGTTAATCCATTCTGCTCTTGATGAACATTTGAAAAATCTCCAGGTGCATGTTTATGTGTGAGAGAGATTACAAATAGTGCTGCTAAGAACATTTTTATACTACCCTGGTTAAAGAGCATGTGAAAGATCTTCTCTTGGAAAAATAACTAACAGTGAAATTGCTGGGTAGTAGCAAATTTACCAGATAATGCCAATTATTTTCCGAAGTGCTTATATAACACACCCTTATGGTTTTAATGGCATGCTTCTTTACTAATTTATCTCTCTCTCACACACACACAGGCACACACACATACACGATATAGAGATATATCCTTTTAATATACATTACTCCTTTTCTGAAAATGATTTTATATACTAAAAATCTAAATAATAGTATTAGTGCTGGCTTTTCAGAAAACCTAGAATTGTGAAAGATGTGGTTGATTGGGAATTTTTGTCATTTGTTGCCAGGAAACAAAATATTAAGGAAAAAATGGGAAGAATGTTTTAGTTGTATTTTTTTTTTTTTTTTTTTTTTTTTTTGGGACAGAGTCTCGCTCTGTAGCCCAGGCTGGAGTGCAGTGGCGTGATATCGGCTCACTGCAGGCTCCTCCTCCCGGGTTCACGCCATTCTCCTGCCTCAGCCTCCCGAGTAGCTGGGACTACAGGCGCCTGCCACCACGCCCGGCTAATTTTTTTGTATTTTTAGTACAGACGGGGTTTCACCGTGTTAGCCAGGATGGTCTCAATCTCCTGACCTCGTGATCCGCCCGTCTTGGCCTCCCAAAGTGCTGGGATTACAGGCGTGAGCCACCGCGCCTGGCCAGTTTTATCTTAACAGATGGAAAAACAAATGTATTTATCTTTCATATGCCTTCTATTACACTTCTGATGTCTTCATTTATAGGGCTAAAATATGCATTCACTCTATTTTCAATCTTGGTCTTTGGTCTTTTAAAGAAGCCCAAGGGCTGACTGGTGACATTCAAAATAATGTGTTATGCAAGAAACCAATTTTAGGGATGAACGATACTTCTTCAGCTATAACTCCTAAAAATCATCAGAATTGGAACACTGGAAAAGAATTTAAGATATTTTTGTCTACTCTGTAACTCTTTTTGTACATTTTTTCTCTTATAACAAGCATCTACTTTAAGTTGAAGAGGATCCGTTAACTATCCAACTAAGTATATTTCAAATGCTCTAAAAGTTCAGACTTGACTTAACTAAAATCCTCTAGGTACAATACTACCAGAAGCACATGCTTCTCATTTTTATCTAATAAAGTTTCTTTAATCAGTGAAGGCCTATAAGAATGTGATGTCCCTTAAAAGAAATGCATTGCAAAATTCCAAAAAATTATTTCTTTTATACTCTCTTTGTGTAAATATCCTACTTTTCAAAATTTACCAATGTTATAAGAACTCCAAATTATTTAAATTAGAATCAAGCAAATGGTAATATTATTTTAAAATGTTCCTAGAGTGGTACCCTCCCAGCTCTTGCACTCTGCTGTTTTTAATGTGTGGGCCCCTGATGGTCTTCCATGAGAACCAGAAATCTGTAAGACTCTATCTTGCATTTAAGATAAAGTGGTTTAGGTACTTCATTACGTGTTCATTTTAATGGTGCAGTGCACTCATTAATATGCTTTATCAACACTAAATAAGTAACCTAGTGTATGTATGAGCAATCATTGATATTAGCCTAATGAGAAATTACTGGGCAGTAAGTACTATGATAAGAAACATATCATAGGTTTATATTACAAATTAAATAGAGAATTGCAAAAATTTTCTGAGTTTTCTAAGCAAAATATATTGGGCCCTAAATTATTTGGCTATTGTTATTGCTTTGTTGATGGAGAAATACTCAGCACAGAGATGCTTTTCTAATCTATAATCCAGTATCACAAAGGAAGCATCCACCATTAAAAAAATCAAAAATCATACCTCAAATAATAATAAAAATATCAATGGAATATTAATGATTGCTTATTATATGTACCAATAATTTTACATACTCTAATTTGTACAAAAGCTTTTCAGGTAGGTAATATTATTATCATGTTGCAGATGAGGAGATTGAGTTTTAGAAGATTTGTGTGAATTACCCAAGGCAACAAAGCTAGTGAGCAGCAGAGTGAGGATTCAGTTCATGCCAGCTGATGTAGAAGCTATGTGCTTACTATACTATTCAACTCTAATAAGATATGTCTTTCATTAGTACCTTTCTTCTCATATGTATGAACTCTGATGGTCCAAACATATATAAGCACCAGGTACATACACTCATGCCTGAATGAAATGCCTGCTGTATACACTATGCCATGGGAAGTAAAGTAAGGACTCATTCACCCTTTCCTCAAGGAGCTTACAATGTAGATCGAGGGGATAAGACGTTAACAAAGATACGTATAATCACAAGCAAAATATGTCAATAGCCATAAGAAACATATTCTGGCAATGCACGGAAGAAAGAAATCCTGTTGGCTAAGTGGGACAAAAAGAGTCTTTATAAAGAAGGTAAGGTGAATCTTTTGGGGAACAGTGAAGTGGAAAATCAGGATTTTGCACAAAGCATGCTTTATGCCAAAAAGCTTAAGGTACGTTGTAGGCATGACTTGTTTTATTCTGGCTGGGCTGGGACAGGGCATGTATAAAAACTGCCTAGAGACTGGGCACTCTTTATACTCTTTGATGAATTTGTACCAAATTATTAAACAGTGGGAAACTATTGAAGTTTTTTTTTTTTTTTTTTTTTTTTTTTTTTTTTTTTTTTGAGACGGAGTCTCGCTCTGTCGCCCAGGCCGGACTGCGGACTGCAGTGGCGCAATCTCGGCTCACTGCAAGCTCCGCTTCCCGGCTTCACGCCATTCTCCTGCCTCAGCCTCCCGAGTAGCTGGGACTACAGGCGCCCGCCACCGCGCCTGGCTAATTTTTTGTATTTTTAGTAGAGACGGGGTTTCACCTTGTTAGCCAGGATGGTCTCGATCTCCTGACCTCATGATCCACCCGCCTCCGCCTCCCAAAGTGCTGGGATTACAGGCGTGAGCCACCGCGCCCGGCCACTATTGAAGTTTTGAAGTAAGGAATGATATCATTCATTCAAAAACTATTTGTGGGGTGTCAGTATGTGCCTGGCACTGTGACAGATGATGGGAATATTGAGGTGAACAAGACCAGTCCATTTCCTGCCCTCATAGATCCTACAAGTTGATGGGGAGAAAGAGGCTAATTTTCACTATGACTAAGAATGTGATGGCCCTGCATGAAACAGAAGCAAAGCCTCTGAGTAGAAAAAACTTTGATGGTTTGGTTTACATTTCCTCTACTACCTTTTCTTAAAGTAAATATTTTATTTTAGAATAATTTTAGATTCTATTACTATTAGAGTCTAATATCATTTAAAGGTAATTTAGAAAATTTATTTCAATTACTATTAAGGTTGCTATTTGATCATTTAATGCGTATCCTTCTATGTCATAACTCTGTGGGACAAATTTCAGAAAGACTAACACATTTAAACATCAGTTAGTTGCACAATCTAAACTGCTACTGCAACTAGGTAGATAAACATGTTAAAGAAATGTCTTTGGTACATCTGTACTTGGCTCTGATCCCTCTGAGCATAGCAAGTTACAAAGTGTTGAGTTGGAAAACTTTGTAATGACCAAAGAGGTATTACAAATACAGAAAGGCCAATTTTAAAAGAAGTCAACGAGAAAGGTATACAAACTGCCCAACTATAATCAAACACTTGCATGAAAAAAAAATTGTAGGTAAGACCTGCTTGTATTAAAGGTTTTTCACAGAAACATAAAACTCAGAGATTTATGAAACTAAAAAGTATGGAAGATTACTGAATTAATCCTGAGGTAAATAATGTCCCAGTAGAAATTAGCAGTAAGGTAAGCACTCCAAAACAATCAAATTAGCAGGGGGACATAAACTGATATGAGGGTAAAGGGACGACTAGTGAGAAATAAGAAATCAGACTACAGCCAAATTAAAAAAAAATTTAAATATATTGATGCTTAGTTTCCTTTAAGCATTGCAACATATGATATTGACAAATGTGGTGACAGCTGGTAAAAACTGTATATGTTAATTGCCAACATCACATAACTAATATTTACTATAAAAAGTGTCCCTAAAATAACTTTCTTTCATCATCAGATAGCCATATCCATCTAGCATTCCCTGTTTATGTTTTGAAATGTATGTATTACATTTTTTCTTCTCCTTTTAGGATTAAAATATAAAGTTTTATGTTCCCTAATATATCTACTTTAAGAATATTCTAAATATTGAAAATAAAAAATTTTTTAATAAAATACCACTGACAGCTGTTCTCTACTTATCATTTCTTAGCAGGGTGAAGACTATATTTGCTCACATAAATTGTGTCCTTATAACAGAAAAAGCTTCTTAGGGCTGGTGCGGTGGCTTATTCCTGTAATCCCAGCACTTTGGGAGGCGGACGCAAGCAGATCACTTGAGTTCAGGAGTTCTAGACCAGCCTGGCCTACATGGTGAAACCCCGTCTCCACTAAAAATACAAAAATTAGACAGGCATGGTGGTGCATGCCTGTAATCCCAGCTACCTGGAAGGCTGAGGCAGGAAAATTGCTTGAACTTGGGAGGCAGAGGCTGCAGCGAACCAAGATGGGACCACTACACTCCAAACTGGGTGACACAGTGAGACTCCATCTAAAAAACAAACAACAACAACAAAAGAAAAAGCATCTCAGAAAAACGTTCCCCTTTTTCATTGATTCCATGCAAATGATACTTCACCCTATTGTTTACTTGTCCTGAAATTTCAAAGCAGCAGAAATTCTGCTATACATTATCCTTTTATCTGGTATTTATTGAAAATGTATTTGGCTATGATTTGAAATATATAACATAGTGTCAGGTTTATTTTCTCATGTAACGAGTCAAGAAGTAGGTGGTTGCTGCCTTTCTTTCAGTTATTCAACACTATAATCAATCACTGTCTTGTCTTTTTATATTTCTGTTCGCTATCTTCTATGTGTTGGGTTTCCTTCCCGGTGGGTGTCATATCAGGGTCACAAAATGGCTGCTATTGCCCAGTAATACTCGAATGCTCGAGCGAGGGCAGGATGGAGGGAGGGGCTGCTAGCTGTATCTGTCTCCTTTTGTCAGAAAAGCAAAAGCTTTCCGGGAAGCTCTCCTAGCGGCGACTCCTTACATCTCAAGGCCACAAATTTCAAAGAGTGGAAAAGCAGAAAACAAGATTCTCATTTTTGGCACCATTGTGAGACATTGCCTAGGAAAGGCATATTGACAATTCAAACAAAATCTTAAATTCTAGTAGCAAAGGACACAGAGGAATGAATATTTGGTACGGGACAGAAAGGATCTGCCTAAATGCCCTAGTTCATTTGAATGTAAAATTCTTAAAGGCTGGGATTGTGCCTGTTCTCTTCTTTGTGTATAGGACTCAGATCATAAGAAAAATCTTTGACACTACAAATTCTATACACTAAGGCAGTATCCCCAAATTTCATTCAATTTTTCTAATATGGGGGTGCTACTGAGCACAAAACTAGAAAGAGATTATAAATATACATATTCTTGGTCAGTTTAGACTACTATAGCAAAATATGATGCACTAGGTGGTTTAAATGATCTCCTCTTAGGGCCCTTGCTGTGTCCTTGTATGGTGGAGAGACAGTTCTCTGGCCTCTCTTCTCTTCTTATAAGGCCACTAATTCCATCATGGGGACTTCACCCTCACGTCCTGATCTAAACCTGAGCACCCCCCAAAGGTTCCACATTCAAATACCATCACACTAGAGGTTAGGGCTTCAACATATAAATTTGGGGGAAGATAAGCGTTTAGACCATTATTTATTTATATGTTAAAAATAATATAGAATATTCCCAGAAGTCAATTTTTGCTCCATGTATTAGAATACTTATTAAACCTTCCTATGCCCAGCAAAATTGTAGACACTGAAAAAATACCAACAGAAAATGGTCCAGCTTTTAATGCATTTAAGCTGAAATAAGAAGTGGTGAACACAGATCCAAATTGAACTAAAATGTTATGTAATCTATAATAGCAACCTTTTATCTGGTGTCTATTATGTGATAATGGTATAACGTACTTTATCTAATCTTCACAACAACACTGCTAGGTAGTTATTAGCCTCATCTTAAGTGTTAGAAAACAGAGAACACTGAGAGGCTAAGAAATTCATTCAAGGCCACCCAGGGCATAAGCAGTGGAGCTGAAGTTTGGACAAGATTTCTTTTTCTCCCCAAGCCATGCTTGCACATAATGCACATACCACTACATGCTGATTAATTCATTTTATGAATAAAATCTTCCCTCTTATAATTCTGCTTTGTTTTTATGCTTTTTCATTCCTAGCTTTCTCACTGGTGACTTATGTGGATGAATCAATGGGAACAAGGTCAGATCATGGACAGATGAGAAAATAATGAGACATTAGATTATTAAGAGAGATGAAGTTAAGAGTGAGAGGTGAATGAAAGGGAAGAAGGGGTGAAAGCTCAGGATTATGAAGGGAATAAACAGGAAAGAGGAGAGAGAAGAAGAGAATGAATACTACCCAGATATTTCTCTGGGCACTGTGGATCTGATGGAATGGTGGTATCCCACCCTGTAACCCTGTCTTCTCTGATCTCTGGCCAAGTGTGTGGCTTGGCACTGCACAACTAACAGTTAGCAGCATTCTGGGGAGAGGCTCATGGTAGTGACCAAATTGCACTTTCCCTAGCTATTCTTGTGTTCTAATCCTCCCCTGAAGGTCTTTTATGGTTAATCTCAAACCATATAAATATTTAACTCTCCTTTTAGTTACATTGCAGAAGCCTGTTCTCAAACAAGTATAAGTTTCAGTAACCACAAATTGATACTAATCTACCCTAATGTCACTGTGTTCCTCTTCTTCAAGTGAGTTGAAAGCATGGATCCATACAATTTGTCTTGTTCAGTTTGTACCTACTTGTATCTTCCATTAACAGAGCATAGACTCTCAGGTATGGAGAACAGATTAAGATCCAATTACTCAGCCAAAATTTCAATCCACCTCTCTCCAGGACATTTTTTTGTTTTTGTTTTTGTTTTTCTTTAACATCCTCCAAACTGGTAGTATAGCTATATCGAGTACTTCCAGTCCATGGAACCTAACACTTCCTCAAGTAGTCCTTTCCATGCTTAGACAACTTCGACTTTAGAGTGTGGTTTCTTATTTCACCAGTCAGGATAGCTAAGCTGTTCTGCAGTAACAAACAGCCCTAAAGTGTCAGCTCTAATACAACAGAGGCTTTCTTTTTTTTTTTTTTTTTTTGGCTAACATTATGTGCCTATCAAATCAGCTTGGCTCTGGTATATATTGATATCCATCTGGGATCCTGGCTGAGGGAGAAGCCCCTCTCTGGGACATTTCTGATCTCATGGCAGAGGAAAAGAGGTCCTGGAGGATCGTATACTGGCCATTAGAGCTTCCACATGTCATTAGCCAACATGCATCACATGGAGTCATCCCACAGAGAAGGACAGGGCCAGGAGCAAGACAACCCAGAGAACAGCCGTAAATATCTGGAATAACAGTGCAATGTACCACATAGTTATTGAGTCAAATCCTTTTCCAAGTCATATCCCTCCTTCCCCATTGCCTTTTCTCTTTACCAGCTCTACAAATGTTAGGAATCCTTAGCCATGTTTTCTTCGAGCTGTCTTTCTTCTAGTCTAATTGGCTCCAATTCCTCCACTGACCTGTTCCCTGTATCTAGTGGTCTTATCTGACATTCTCTTGAGCCTTTTCAGCTGTCTCAAGTCAACTGGTGAGAGAATTGTTGGTCTATTCTCCAAAGGAAGTGGTCCCTTGACATACTTTCCTTTAGGATGATGGGTTTGGCGATGTGGCTGAGCCTTCTAGACAAAAAAAGCTTTCCTTAAACAATATCTCAACTAATCAGTCTCCAAATATTTTAGTAGCTTAAATCTTTAGGCTTTTCACAAATGCCCAGACACTTTGCCTGTTATATATTAGAATGTAGAGATGTTTGAGCACTTCCAGAGGGCAAATGTCACATCCCTGACTATACTTTAGGTAACTTAGCAATATATATACATGGTTGTATTGACAAAACTCCTCAAGCCTACTATTTTTTCATAGGACTGGCTCAGAATGTGGACTTTGGAAATAACCAGTCTTGGATCAAACCCTGATTCCACTCAGTACTACCTATACGACCTTTGACAAGTTAATTAATCCTGAGCTCTTATTTCCTCATCTAATGAGATACAGACAATAAGAGTTATCTTTCTCATGTGGCTGTTGAGAGGATTAAATGACAACAGTGGGGCTCAATCAGTGTCTTCTTTTGTTACCATACTGGGGTCCTAGCACTCAGAGCTATTTCTGGTCTTACTCAAGGACCAGGTCCTCTAGCATCCCTGGGTTTACCATGGTTATGCATAGCTCCCTCCTCTCTCCCAGGTGTCCTTCTCTCCTCCTGAAATGTTTCAGCCTCAAGTCAGCATCATCCGAGCTTGACCAGTATCTCTCAAGGTGTTGTCCAAGAACAAGCTGCACTGGAATCACCTGGAGGCCCACGTGGCTCCATTTCAGACTAACTGACAGAGTTAGAAGATGAAACTAGTAAATCTGTATTTTAACAAGCTTCCCCCAGCTAGAGGTGCCAGATAAATTATAGGACATCCAGTTAAATTTGAATTTCAGATAAACAATGAACAATTTTCAGTATAAGTATGTCTGTCCCATGCAATATTTGGAACATACTTATACTAAAAAAAAATTTATTATTTATCTGAAATTCAAATTAAATGGAGTATCCTGTACTTTTAATTGCTAAATCTGGCAAACAAATCTCAGGGATTCCAATTCTTACTAAATTTGAAGACCACTGGTTTAAGATATTTGGCAAAAATCTCAAATTCAACTTCATGAGCTTCCAAGGAGGGAGGGAGGGAAAGAACGAAGGAAGGAAGGAAGGAAACGAAAGGAAAGGGAAGGGAAGGAAGGAAGGAAGGAAGGAAATGAAAGGAAAGGGAAGGGAAGGGAAGGGAGGGAAGGGAGGGAAGGAAGGGAAGGGAGGGAAGGGAAGGAAGGGAAGGAAGGGAAGGAAGGGAAGGAAGGGAAGGAAGGGAAGGAGAGAAGGAGGGAGGAAGGAGAAGAGAGGAAAGAAAGAAAGGAAGAAAGAGACAAAGAGAGGAAAGAAAAGCAAAGCAAGCGAAGCTTATAGACGGAACACAGATGGCCCATGCATCCACAAAACAAATATGCACAAGACCAAGTAGGTTAGCATTTGTTTCAGCAGCCACAGTGGCAAACATAGACAATCCAGCAGCCAGAGAAAAATCCACTTCCTTGTTTCTCTAGTTTGGAATTGGGCTTTAGGTGTCTCTGTCTCCTTCTGCTGCTTTCTCCTTTTTTTTTTTTTTTTTTTTTTTTTTTTTTGTCTAAACATCTCCATGCTATGCTAGCCAACACCTACTCATCCTCATTTGGTATTTCCTCTTTTGCTTTTTTGCTTTCCTACAAAGCATCTTGGGCCCATCCTCCTCTGTCTGCCCCAAACATCAGAATACCTAATCAAATAGTCATATAGCCATCTTTCTCCCTCTAATATTAAGTGTGGACTCCCTCAATTTTAGTTTTCTGATGGGATTTTCCTAATTCTCAAACCATTCTGTCTTATGTGTACTAGAGTAATGCATTGTGTTTTTGGTTCGTGTACATTTACAGAGGCCTTAAAAGAGACATTAGCTGATTTTTCACAATAACCCCATAATCGAGGCAGATGAAAAACGGAGCCCTTTTATTCCTAGGCCAAGACCCTTCTTACTCAGCCATTGTCTCATCTCAGGTTATTATACTCACATCATTCATTTGTCATTTTAGAATAGTGATTAAAGCACAGCTGTGTGCCTTGGTTAGTTTTATTTTTTTCTTAACCAATCTAAGCTTCCATTTCCTCATTTGTAAACTTAGGTTAACAATAGTGCCTACATCATGAGCACTGGGTTTAGTCAGATGATCAAAGTCTTAGCACTGTGACTGCAAATTGTAAGCACTCAAAATATTAGCCATTATTAAAACTATCTTGTGGGCCAATTCTTTTCCAGGCCCAGCTTTTCTCTTGTTGTCTTTCAGCAAATAGAGATATAAAATGGAAAACTTAGACTAAAACCAGCAGAACAAGAAGTATCAATGGCTGCACAAGGAAGTAATGCAGACCTATGCTAAATTTTCTCTTGGTAAACACTTCCTTTTTCATACCCCTCTCCCTTGAACTTTTTCACCTCCACTCCTACAATTTTATGTTATGCAGAGTCAAAAATATAATCATCCTAAACTAGGCTCAGCAGTGTGGACAGTAACTGATTGAAATATGAGGTTCTTTAATTAGAAGCAGGAACTAGAGTATAGTACTAAGAATAATGGTAATATAATTATTTGCATCTTGTCTAACTTCCTCATTTACACTGGCCTTCTTCATTTCTATCTCATTCCCTGATAAATATGGTATCTCAAAGCCAAATGTTTGGGACTCCAATATTATCATTGTGTTCACCTTCTTTACCCATTAGGGCCTTTATATGATAATAAGTGTAATATGATATCCCCAATGAATGAGATAGAGTGGCCCATACAGGAGCGACCTCAAAGCACTTTTTCTGTACTGCAGATGCAGTGCAAAATTAGGAATATTAGGAAAATTACGACTGCTTTCTTCAGAAAATACTCAGGGCAATATTGTTGTGGATAATGGGAAATAACTGGTGGTTTTTGAACAAGGAAAGTGAATGTCGGTTATAGTATTGAATAGAATAGTGTTCTAGAAATAGACAATCTATGTAGACCAGTAAGTCTGAAGTCAGGGTCACTGTGCAGCAACAGAGGACATAATCTGAGAGGCTACCTTTTCATGACTGTGTCAGCAAATACACCACCATTGCTTTTCATCTTAGAGGCAGCACAAAACTATGCAAAAGAAAAATCAATCAAGAACATATTTAGGACACAGCAGGGAAGGCTCCTATAAACATTTTTTTGGGAAGAACATAGATATATGATGCTTTTTTAAAAAGTTATCAGTGGAAAAAATTGGAATTTCACAGGACTTTGTTATATTTGTTTTTGGCTTAGAGTTTGTTTTGTTTGGTTTCTTTGTTTAACTATATTTTTGGAAGGGTAGAAGGTGGATGGACATTGTAATCTTCTTTACTATTTAGAAACTCTAAATGTCTTAATCTGATTCAGTCCAGGACTGCATAGGAATTACTTGATTTTTGCCATCGACACAGGTATCATAATCCCTTTACTGCTCTATCCGGAGAATGTTGTGTTTTTTCCCCCCTTTAAGATGAGGAATCTGTCAGTATGGTTGCTCCCTTATGACTAACAGGTTAGATTATGCTTAAGTATTCTACGTGGTCCCTCCCATAAAAACTGCCTCAGAAACCTCCAGTGCCTCAAATACTCTTGTCCTTGAATGGTACAAGGAAGTAGAGGATTCCTGGGGCATATATGATACTTAATCTCTCTCTCTGCCTACTGACATTCTAACATTTTGGTGAGCCCCATTTTATTTGCTATGGAATTTGACAAACAGTTCAATCCCACAAACATCGAGTGAGCAAGTACCATGTGCAAGCAATTCATTCAATGAATATTTTCAACTCCTACTACGTATCATGCATAAGATTCACCCTAATGAAGGAGAAGAAGGAGGAGAAGAAGGAAGGAAGGAGGACAAGGAGGAAGTTGGGAGGAATCCCTGTTCTCAGGAGCTTCAAATCCTGCTGGCTAGAAGATATGTAAACATAAGGGCAATAGAAATCTTATGCTGCCTCTGTGGACTGAGAGTGACAGGGGATAGATCCTTGAAGAAATAGCAGTGTGCTTGGGGGAAACAGATGCTGGGCAGGCAAAAACTTCTCCTGAAAAATACAAACTGTGACTTGAGCCATGCCTGAGGGAGAAGTAGAACTTTGATTCCAGTTGAAGCATAGGCAGTAGAAAATGTATGGATTTGAGAGTTAAAAATAATTTTGAACCCATCTTCACCAATGAGCTGTGGTGACTGTGAATAAGTTATTTTGCTTCTCTAAGCCTCCACTCTAAAATAGGAATTGTGATGTTTAGCCCAAAGTGTTGAGGTATACATCTCCTCAGGCCTCAATGCAGTCTTGTATAATGACTTAGAGCATGGACTCTGAAGCCAAACTGCCTCAGTTTGAAGTCTGGTGCTAACACTTAGCTATTAAACTTGGGCAAATTATTGAATTTATCAGTACCTCAGTTTCCACATCTGAAAATAGAAATGATAATAGCAAACTGACCTCTCAGTAGTTGTAAATTAAACAGACAGGTTAATGATATAAAGTACTTTAATAAGTGACTACACATGGTAAGCCCTATAACCATTTGCTATTATTACCAAGTGTTTAGTGATACAATATAAGCCATTAAATTACCATATTACCTGGTTAGTAGATGCTATTTTTTATTATAGTGCACTGTGATAAACATTGTAAGAAATATAAATGTTCCTTGTATTTTTAGGGAAGACATGAAAGAAATTATAGCCTAGTCATAAGTGACACTCACAAGTAATCATAATAAAGATGGTATGTAATAAATATTGCAAGAAAGATCAGATATGTCCAACTGATAGTTCAGAAGAATAAGGGATCAGGAAGAAAAAAAAACTATAATAGAGACATGGCCTTCTCATCATGGCCTGGGCATGATAGCAAGACCCCATCTCTTCAAAAAATGAAGAGATATCCCCTAGGAGCATGCAATCCTAGAGGAAGGCATGGGTGTACCTTCCAGATTGGAAGGAGAGGTAATGATTGTTGAGTCAGCAATGCAAGATTAGGTAGACTATTGCTGGGTGGATTAGTGCAGGGAATGCCTTCCCTGATGAAACCAACAATGGTTGCAAAGGCATAGAAGCATGAAAGGGCAAAAAGTGTGTGTGTGTGTGCATGTTACAGAAAAAGCAAAGCAGTCAAGAGAGATGGAAGATGTGTACTTGGGGACATCACATGAGCGATGGAGACACAAAGATGAATAAGACATGAAGGAAATATTTTTGGATGATGCATGCTGGAGACTGTTTTTGTTTTTTGTGTCCTTTTGTCCTTAACTTCCTCCTTCCTTTTTTCCTTCAAAATACATTTACTGATACCTACAATGTGCTAGAGAAATATGACTTTCCTTATATCACCTGTTATATAACAGAGTTTTGTCCCATGATAAGTGATATAATAGAAATCGCCTCATATGAAACAAAGTTATGTTATATCAGAAATGTGATAAATAATTTTCCAAGTTACACCGAAACTAGGCCCCAAATAGGGCTCTTTCATTAAACTCTTTGTTCAGTTGCTTTCTCTCACTCCCATGTCCCTAAAGTACATGGATAGTAGAGAATCCTTTTTTTTTTTTTCAGTTTATGTGGGCTTAGCAAAGAGTGGGCAGGCAATAGAGACTTGCAGATCTCAACTGAATTACTGGAGAATTTAATTTTAAATGCTCTAGAAGGTTATCTTCTTCACAACTTGGTGGCAAATTCTTTCAGGAACTGAAAGTTGCATGTGTTTTAAAGGGGCATAAGCTTGTGGAGAACCTTTCTCTTTGGTTTAGCTGCATCGATATGCTGATTTTTTAAAATGCACTGAACATGCAAAAATGAGTATATTATTGACCTCAAATCAATGCCCATCACTGTTTCTATCTTATACAGTGAGCTTCTTGGCTTTTTAATATTTTCATTGTGAAGTTATTCCAATGAAGACAAAATTTTGTCAAATTTATTACCCAGGGAGCTTTCAAAATGAAGCAGAGAGACTTTGACCGAGCAATTTCACTTCTGGAATTTTATTCTACTTATGCATACTTATACATATGTGCAAAGACATATATATCTGAAAGTTTATTATTTTTTCGAAGCATTGTTTATAGGGAGAAAAAGCAGGTAACAGCCCAACTGTCCTTCAAAAGAGAACTAGTTAATTTATGATATATCCATATAATTAATATTATTCAGTCATTAAAAAGAATAATATAGATCTATGTGAGCTTATTTGGAATGATCTCCAGGACATGTTTTTAAATTAAATCACAAATACAAACAAAAGAAAGAGAGAAAGAAAAGTACAGAATAGGTATAAGGAAGATTTCCATTTGTGAGACATAAATATTTATCTGTGCTTTGTATATTTATTTAGTACACATGAATGCTATGTAGGCATGGAACATTTCTGAAAAGATCAGCAAGAAAGTACAAATAGTGATTATTTCTGGATGGGAATCTGGACTACGCAGCAGGCACACTTTTCATTGCCTGTCCTTTGTATTATGTGATTTTTACCATGCTAATATATTTTTATTAAAAATTAATTAAAGAAAGAATAACTACTGGAGATAAGCCATTTTTGGTCAATTCCATAGTGGCTAGTTAGAGGCTAAGTAATATGCAATCATGAAATTAATGCTCAAATTAATAAAACAGTATTTCCCAATCTTGATTTTATTACAAGTTCATTTCTGAGTAGTTCAAGAACTTGTAGAATTATTTTAAAGATCTCAAAATAAAAGAAAGTGGTAATCTAATTTTGAAAGGAAATATGTTTCACACAGTTTGGGAAAGAGAGAAGTATTGTTTTCAAATAGGGAGCAGTGCCTTAGTGAGTAATTTCATTTGCATTCCTGTGTATCTTTAAGCTGAGTACAAACTAAGAAAAACTGTTCTTGCAGAATACACTGTAAAATTACTTTAATCAGTAATTACTTTGACCTTTCCCTATCAAAGGTCAAAACACCGGACAGCCTGTTGCTCTTAACATCAGCTCTTCTGCGTAATATTTCTCTTTGCTCTGGAACACAATTAGCTCTTGGGAAAAGAGGCCAACTTTTCAGTTTCTGCCTTTCATGGTTTCTGTCTTCCCCTCTGCTTCAGTGCAGGTCAGTCACACAGATAAGCATTATGCCCAGAATAAAACTGGCTCTGTTTATCTGGACTAATAAATGAATGGAACCAGTTATTTTCATTGGCTTGGTCTGGAAGGAAACCAAACTAATTTCCACAGACCTTAAATTGGACCTAATCCAAGCTACTTGTCCTCACTAATAAGAGCAATAACAATTAGTATAAAAGCAAAAATTTTTACAAAAGCAATCCATATTTACTGCTGGGCAAGAAAATTGGATAAAACTAGGAACTAACATGAGGGACTCTGAAAGCTCTGAGAAATCCACTTCATTTGTATTTCAATGAGTCTGAGCTTTGCAGGTGAATACAACCTTTCTTTAGGTTCTAGATACTCCAGTTTCTCTCTGGTCAATTTTTCTAATCAAGTTGTGCTAACTTCCGCTGATGAGCAGAAAGTATGTGTATGGTACAGTCAAAACTTTTGCACTTTTGTCTTACTTAAGAAACTTAAAACTCACATTTGTATTCCTAGGGTTTCTGACAAGTCGGCATACTTTATTTCACAATGTGTTCATGGAACAGTGAGATTTTGACTTCCATTGTGCACATGTAATAAAATGTTCTCATTAGTGATATTCACTCAGTGTATGAAAGCAGTTACTGCCTCTGCCCAAAAGGCATTGCTGTTTCCATTTAAGATTTATGGTTGGCCTTTTAATTATACTCCCAACACTGCCCCTAAATATATCCCCATGGAAAAATATATAAAAGTATTTCACTTAATTATTATCTTGCTCAAAGATCAGGGCAATATCTTGGAGCTGCTTCCAAGACTATTGCTTTATGATTTGAAAGCTGTTTAGCTATTTTTACCAAATAATTAATTCAGATATATCAAGAATAGGGTAAACTCTTTATTGAAACGATTTGTAGGGAACTTAAAGAGTAATTAATTTTCCATATGTATTTTTAAATGAAAATAACTTATTCTTTCTTTCTGATTTAAAAAAATGCCTACTTGTAGCAAAACAAAATAGGGGAATTCATTAAAAAATTGTTTAAACCCAATGCAACCCACCTATATTTCTAGGTACCAAGAATACCACTATGAAAATGTTCATGAACATCCTTTCAGACATTTATATGGATAGACATTAGGCATACACATTTTTTAAAACAAATGAGATAATACTGAAGGAGTTCAGGACATTCCACCCCAAAATATGTCCCTTTGGCGTATTGATTATTTTGATTTAAAGACACCTGGGGCTGGGCATGGTGGTTCACACCTTTAATCCCAGCACTCTGGGAGGCCAAGATAGGCGATGACTTGAGGTCAGGAGTTCAGATCAGCCTGACTAACATGGTGAAACCCCATCTCTACCAAAAAAATACAAAAATTGGCCAGGAGTGGTGGCACTCACCTGTAGTCCCAGCTACTTGGGAGGCTGAGGCTGGAGAATTGCTTGAACCCAGGAGGTGGAGGCTCCAGTGAACTAAGATTACACCTCTGCACTCCAGCCTGGGTGACAGAGTGAGATCCTGTCTCAAAAAAAAAAAAAAAAAAGACACTTAGAAGACAATAGGTATTAGAAGGGCTTTCTGACCACCCCTTTTCTATTTAAAAACAGTCCATAAAATTTCCTATGAAAAAGCTGCCTTCCTTGTATCAAAAAGTGAAGAACATCCTTATCAGCAGAGACTGGGAATCAACACTAAAATGAATCCATATACACAAATTTACTAAAATAACTCTTATTGTCCACCAGTTTTCCCCACTTAATGTTTTATCACTTCCCCGCAATTAACTGCCCCTAGCCCAAACCACTTTGTCTTGTCATTTCTTCACAAATTCATCACTTCTTTGTCCAAAAGGTACATATGCTTTCTGCTCTGGTCCTTTCTTCATGGTTTCATTTTCCTGTGAGGATTCCCATGCACATGTGCCATTCTAATAAAACATATGTGCTTTTCTCCTGTTCATCTATCTATGTCAATTTGACTTTTAGGTCCAGTCAGAGACCACAAGAACGCAGAAGACACATTTTATTTCCTCTATAATACCATACTGTTTTAAAATTAACAATATATTCTTTAAAATATGTAAATATAAGTAGATGATTAGATAGAGAGATCTCCAACTCACCACTTAAAGTGCTGCATCATATTAGATTCTGTTTTCATATTTTACCAATCCACTATTGATGAACATTTAAGTAATTTCAATTCAATTTTAAATAACACTATAGCAAATACCAATGTGTGTTTTTCTGATTATCTTTCTAGGTTTTATTCCCAAAGGTTACTGACTATGGATATTTAAAATGTTTGAAATGTATTCTTAACTTCCCCTTCAACAATGTTAAAACCAATGGTTTTAATATCCTTAAAGGTAGTTTCTACTTTACACAAAAGTTATTTGGAAGGAGATTTGGGGTAAAGGAAGTGATTAGGAGGAATAGAGGATTAAGAGATGAGGATGATACTGGATATATTTCTTAAAAAAGTCTATGAGAAGATAGAAAAATGAGTACAGCTTAGAGATGCTGAAATATCATAACAGTAAAAAAGGTATGTGTTACATGAAGTTAGGCACCAATCCAAAGAAGTTGCTGAGAGAACAATCTTGTGAACCTACAAGTTAATTGTAGGAGAGAAACTCAGAAGTTTTAGTATGAATGAGCTGGAAGGTTACTGTTTCACTCAGGAGATTAGAAAGATAACAAGAGACATTGCTTAAATCTATTTTCAAATATAATGCTAATAATTTTTTCAGTAGGCTATAAAAACAAGTCTTCCCTTTCCTACTGCAGTTAAAAAAAATGCATTGTCCTTTTCCCCCCTCACACTTTGTTTGTATCAGGACCTTCTTGTTTAGATCAGGTTACTAAATATCTTTAGAAGACACTACATTTAGAAAAAGAAATTATTGTTTTGAAGTTTTTCCAAAGCAAATAAAGATAATTCTTATACTTCTATAGATATTTAAATCCAAATGTGTCTGTTCAATGGATAAAACCATAGAGGTCTTTAATTTTGCAAAACAAGCCCATGGCAAACCCATGAAATAGAAAAATGTATTATTTTGAATACTACTATCCAATCTTCCCCCACGCTTTCTCTGGTGCCCAGTTTTTCCAGGTGACACTGCTATACCTCAGCCTGAAGCCTCTACCCCTCTTGTTCAGCTCTGTCCCTGCAGACAGAACTTCTAGGTGGGTCCCCAAGGACCAGATTTGCCTCACTCTATACCCTCTGAATGCTTTAGCCTTTGACTTGTTTCCTCAAGGCACTCCTAAATGATGCTCTTTTAACTGATGAACTATTTTGAAAATTAGTGACTGAGGGTAGACCAGTGTGTTACTACTCCAAGTAACAAGAGCAATTTAAAAGTGTCCTTCAGTGCTTCAGTGGAAAGAAATCTGTTCCATAAAGGGAATTCAGGCTTCCTGCAACAGGATGTTTTCTGTTCAATCCATAGTCATACCAAGCAGGGCAACAGCTCTTAGTTTCTAGTCACAATCATAGATACAGGTAGGAGATACTGATAAATATTTGATAAATATTATTTCATTGGAGCTTCAATTCTATTTAATTTTTAATTTTATCAGAGTAATGCACAGATACATGCTTTTATAAAGTAAAATAGCACTTAGAGAGCTTTTAATAAAATTAGCTTGCCTGCCGCATTGCCCCACTTCAAAAGCAGGATCTTCCACACTTGATTTGTTTATGTGTACTTCTGAATTTCTAAACTACCTGCCCACTTTATTGACTTTTCAATTTTAGATATCATTATTGAATGATATCCCTGTAAGAGAAATGAAGATTAAGCAGTCTGATGCACGCTTCTCACCACACACCACAAATACATGTCCCTCCTTCCATCTTCTTATTCTGTAACAGACTTTGGGGTTAAATTAATATTTAATATTTCCATTGATGTCACTGTGTCTATCACTCACATCTGAAAGATGCCATGTTTTGTAATTTACATTTCTTTTCTCATATTAATTTTCATTATTCCTAAACTTTAAAATAGCCATGCACTGTTTTGTTTTCTTCATTTCCTATGTGCCTATCATTTACGCAATCTCAAATTTTCTGATACTGCTGCTAAACTCTCAGTAAAATCAGACACATTAGGTGAACTATCAGTAGTACTTCTCCTTTCATGGAGACATTACTCCTGGGGCTGTCTGTCCTTTTGCTTCTCTGGTCTATTGCAGATAATCTGTTATTCCTAACTGTATCTCTTCATTCAAATGACAATAAAGCTCAATATTTAGTGAAGAGCAATCTTGACATGTGATTCGAAGACATAACTTTATTTTCATTTTGATTATTTTTCCTATGTCTCAAATAAGGTTTCTTGTGTGAGTGAGGGATAACCAGGAATGAGCAAATGTTTCTGTGTTTTGCCTATAAAACAGACACAGAGTCCCAAGACTGTCTCTCTAGAAGAATTTTTCCAGAGATTCCTTAGTTCATCCTACTCTCAAATGGCTAATTTTATTCCCCTTGCAAGTCTTTACCAAAAATGATTTTGTAGCCTGAACTGCTGTGGTACTAGAAATTTCATCTGCTTTTTTCTGAGTATTCCCATTCCTTCTCATTTTTAATCAGCCCTGTATAGTTTAGATTTCATGTCCTCCTCTTTTTTATTTACCCTCTCATTTTGAAGAAGCAAATAGTTCAACAGCCTCTTGAGAAGGAGGACTTGAGAGGTAAATATATTGAGGTATTGCATGTCAACAATATCTTTATTCTGTTCTCATGCTTGATTGTGGCTTGGCACAGTGCCAAACTCAAGGTTGGAAATCATTTTCCCTCAGAATGTTGAAGGCAGTGCTCCGACTGGAATGGAGCCCATGCTGCTGTTGAGAGGTTCAGTGGAATCTGATCCGGATTCTGAATCCTTGTAATGAGAACTGATTTTTCTCTCTGGGAGACTTTTAAGGTCTTTTCTTTATCTCTGGCTTCCTGATGATAAGCCTTGCTTCATGTGGGTCTTTCTTCATTCATTGTGTTAGGTTCTTAATCAGACTTTTCAATCTGAGAATGTGTCCTTCAGTACCAAAAATGTTTATTCTATGATTTCCTTGATAATGCTATCCCCTCTGTTATATCTCTTTCCTGTTTGTGAAACTCCTATTAATCCATTTATGCCTAGTGTTCCATTATTGGAACACTAAGCTTGTGAGAGTTATTTATATCTTACTGCCCAAGGTCATCACCAAGGTCTGATTTTTCACACAAAAAAATTTGCAACCTCCTGCATAAATGGGTTAATTGGATGTGAAACCTCTGATTCTTGTCTTTTCTATACTGTTTTTCATCTCTTTGATTTTTATTTCAGTTTCTGATTTTCTCAAATTTTGTGTTTAAATTCTTCTGTTTTTATTTGTGCTACTGTATTTTTTTTTAATTTAAAGAGCTTTTAAAAAATTTATTTCTTTTAGATAGCATTCTGTTCTTTTTCATGGGTGCAAAATCTACTTTTGTTTCTGGGGATATTGCTTACAGAAACTTTTCCTGTTACTCCATGAATGGTTTCCAGTATATGGTGTACTGGCTGGAAATTTAGACTCTGCATCCAGCTTAAATGTCAATCAACACCACCATTGACTGTGCCTATGACCTTGGGCAAGTTATCTAAACTCTGCTCATCAGTTGTCTCAGTAAAATAGAAACAATAAGAGTATACAGTAACGCATGGCATTATTGTGAGGTACAAATGAGAGCAAAATGTATTCGGCACTCAGAACAGTAACTGGAAAAGAGGAAGCCCATATGATATGTTATTATATCCATTTCCTCCAAGTTCCTTTTTTTCCTGTTTTATTTTACTCTTTATCATTTGTGTTAGACATTTTTCTCAAATGCCTGATGATCCTTGGCTGTGTGTTCATATTTAATAATGAGGAACTAAGAAGTAAATTGGAAACCTTCTGTGTGCCTTTGAACTCCTGAAGAGCCATGTGGGAATATAACACCCCACAGCTTCAGTGCTGGAAAGACCTCATGATAGAGAGTGGTGATCAAGGAGCACCAGATGTTGCAATCACTGCCTGCAGCCATATCAGATACCCCAATAAGAACCGCCTCGCTGAGTCCAGTCAGCACCCAAAACCATGAGAAGTCATAATAACAACAAGTGATTGCTGTTGATTTGTTCCACCAAGTCATGTAACAATAGACAAATGATGCAGAGAAGAATAGGCCCTAGAATGAGCAAGAGCCCCACCTAGTATCAGATCTTGTGACTTGAAAGTTTCCCTTCCCATCTAGGAACAGCCTCTCAATCTCTATTCCTCTAAAATCTACTAGACAATATCCTTGTTTGATTCTCTATAGATATTTTAGTGTTAATCTTTCCTTGAAGTTTAAGACAGGTCATCCAAACACAGCTGAAGGTAAATCGGAGTGTTGGAGATGATGCCACTCTAAGGCATAGTAAGCCAGTTTTCTAAGAGTTGAGATAACACATAATGATAAATTACCTACGACAAACACAATATAACTGTTACTTGGATTAATAACCCTCTTTTTCTCTTCACATCTCATCAGTTCCCTCTGTCATCTAAATACATTCCTATGCCAGGAATAGAATTTCAGAAAACAGTTTACTTTGCAAATTCAAAAGTATCTCAAATTTAGGGAAAAGAAAGTGAGATGAAAGTTTCAGTGAAGTCTTCTCCAAAGCTAAAACAATCATTTGAAAATAGATGCCCACAAATGTTGCAGCTTGATTTATAGAGGCAAATAATTCAGCATTAAATGAGGAGCAACATGATTGCTAAGAGTATATATGTTTAAACTGTGTCAACAGCTATTACACTGTGAAGAGGGATTTGGATTTTGAACATCTTGTCAAGTCAAGAGACGTTGTTTACATTTCACTGCTCACTTTATTTCTGCTACCGAGAATGAGATTTGACTTCTTCCAAAGAACTCATTGCTACAAGGAAGGGTAAATACAGAGAGTAGTCAAGGTGATCTCACAGGGGAGAAGGTAACTAAGCATCCAAATTGAAACACTTAAATTTAAACAGCTGTAAAACATGTAATCAGCCATTCAAAATGTAATTGTCAAAACTGGCTACACTTACCGAACATTTCACTCTGCATTTGTTTGAAATGTTTTGAAACTCTAAGTTTAGGTTGAACATTATATTTGGTTAGCAGGGAAAATTTTGCCTATTCTGATTTACAGTGAACTACAGGAAGCTAATAAGTTGCCTGGGAGATACTGACTGAAACTATGATCTGCATAGGTCACTTAGTTACTAATTGGTTATGGGAAAGGCATGGCTAAGCCTACTGCACTGAAGATTTGAAACTATGAACACCACACACAGGAGGAACCTTAACCCTTAGCAGTCAAATGCTGCATGTAATAATATGCAGAAGAGGAAAATCTATCCTTTAAGTTTGTTAAGAACCAGCAGTTTTAGGAGGAATCATTTGCCATTCTCTGACAGTTTACATGTGTTTCCCTGAAAAATGAGATAAAGTAAAATAAAACAAAAATAAGCACAAGTTTACTCAGAGATGATGAAACCCCAAACTAGATTGGTGGTTGAGAAACATGATATTCATGGCCTTCATAGTAAAAGCATTGTTGTTAAGCACTCTACTCTCATTACCTCTTTTAGCCCTTGTAACTGCTGTGATGGATATGTCTATATCTCCCCCTCTATATTTGAGGAAACTGATGCTTAAAGAGACTAAGAAATAGGTTCAGCAACCATCCTGATTTGCCCGAGACTGAGAGGTTTCCCAGGTTGCAGAATTTTCACTCTTAACACCAGGAGACTCCTGGGCAAACCAGAATGGTTGGTCACCTTATGCAGCAGCAGGTCACTTACTTACTAACTGGTTATGGAAAAGGCATGGCTAGGCCTACTGCACTAAAGCTTTGAAAGCAACTCCACATGGCAGCAAGCATTTCTTTCTGTGTTATAGGGTATCTTACTTTTTTGGAGACAGGGTCTTGCTCTGTCACCCAGGCTGGAGTGCAGTGATACAACTATAGCTCACTGCAGCTTCGAACTCCCGGGCTCAAAGGAGCCTCCCACCTTAGCCTCCCAAGTAGCTAGGATGACAGGTGCCTGCCACCATGTCTGGCTAATTTTTTAATTTAAAAAATTTTAAATTTTGGGGTCTCACTATGTTTCCAGGGTGATCTCAAACTCCTGGACTCAGGCGACCCTCCTTCCTCACCTTCCCAAAGTGCTGGGATTACAGGCATGAGTTGCCATGTCCAGCCTTATAGGGTATTTTTCATTGTACTGATTTAGATATTCAACCCTCTCCACTCATCCTTAGACCTGAGAGATACTCACTCCATATGATCTGCTAAACCATCCAAATGTGAACATCCTCCCGTGCCCCTGAGGCTGAAATGGCAGCATTCACATGTATCTGATACAAAATCTTATTTTTATGATAGAGAAAACTAAAGCTCAGAGAGGTTTAAGTAGTTAACCAAGGTGCCATTTAACTTGACTTCTGTAAATCACCTTGAGACTTAAAGGAACAAATTGTTTTTCCTTTAAATTAGAAATCTTTAATACCTGGATTAGGTTCAAAGGGTAAACTGTCAAGGGTAAATTTCAAGAGAGATAATATTTCAAATTGGTGGTATCGAATGATAAAAATACATAATCTGTAATGTGTATTTGCAAGTAATTAATTCGGCTGTAGAAGGCAAGAAAACAAACAGGATGGGTGAAGCTCAGAAGATGCATTAAGCATAGATAAGTAAATTAGTAATCTGTAAGACGTGTTCAATATAAATAAGGTAAGTGGAGCATATGCGTGTGAAAATAGAAATGGTTGAAAGGACGAAGTGACTTTAACTATTCATGATATACTAATTATATATCAAGCATGTGTGTTCCCAACTAGTCACATTACATGAAGTATGTAATGTAACGTGTAAGTACTCAGAAGAGGAACTCTTGAACTATATATGAAAGGTAAGTTTTCTAGAAGAGGTGATACCTAAACCAAATTCTTAAGGCTCTGAGAAGGTAAGGGTGGGCTGGGGAGGGGCATTCAGATGGAGACAACCATAGGTAGTTGGGTATATGGATGGATACAGGGTAAGGAATCACTGTAGGTTAATTCTATGAAAATGATTGAAGTCAAAACGGAAGCACAGTCTAAAAAGTATGCAGGATGGAACTCAAGGAGCTCACAGACTGTCAAGGAAAGAGGACGATATGTAGCATCTGACTTACTTATATTGCAAATAACTCAAAGCATGTATTAATATCTTTAGTAATAATAGATCCAGGTTGGGCCTTGGGAATAGGTATAGATTTGGACTTATCATGTCAAAAGACATTAATGTTCAAAAATTTTATTACCATGTCATCAAAAATGTCTTTACTTAGGAACCTAAGAGGTTTTCTTTTAATACTAATACAGCAACTGAAAAGAGTAAAACCTTGACATGCATCTGTTAAAGTCCCATCTATAGTCATCATTATCATCATTGTTACCTTTATTATTTAAGTAAATCTAGACTGTGTTAAATAACCACCACACATTATCTTACTTAATATGTAATACTATAAAGTACTATACAATATGCTATACTAATATTATAAAATAGGTACAATAGTCCCCCACTTATCCATGGGGGATAAGTTCCAAGACCCCAGTGGATACCTGAAACCTAGAAGAGTACCACACCTGATGGCCATCAATTGGAATACACTTCTGTTCATGTCTTCCATTCACAAGTTTAATGCCTTTTCCATTTAACCAAGCACTTAGCATGCACTGTGGCTGTAATTTCTGCAATTTGCGATGTGACAACCAAACTGGCAGAAATTTCTTTTCCTTCTTCACAATTTCACAGATAGAACATCTTAGCAATCTCAGCATATGATTCTTTTCCTTCCTAAAGTTGACAACTTTTATCTTTCACTTAAAGGAAGCAACTGACAGCTTCTTTTTGGCATATTCAAATTGCTAGTATCCTTCCTCTTGCACTTTGGAGCCATTATTAAGTAAAATAAAGGTTACATGAGTCCAAGCGCTGGGCTGCCAGGACAGTCAATCTGATAACCAAGACAGATACTAAGTGACTAATAGGTGAGTAGTGTGTACAGCGTGCAGGCTCTGGACAAAGGGAGGATTCATGTCTCAGGGAGGACAGAGCAGGACAGCACGAGATTTCATCATGCTACTCAGAAGGGTACAAAATTTAAAACTTAAGAATTGTTTATTTCTGGAATTTTCCATTTAATATTATCAGGTTGACCAGGGCTAACTGAAACTGCAGATTGTGAAACTGTGGATAATGGGAGACTACTCTTGACTTAAATAGACTTTAACTGAAAATGAGGCTCTGAGAGTTGAAGTTTATACAATCAAGAAGTGGCAAAGTTGGCCTAAAAAGCCTAATGTATATGATTCCAAAACAATAAGGTTTGTATCTAGAATCAGATACATTAGGCTTCTTAGGCCAACTTTGCCACTTCTTGATTGCATAAACATTATCAGAAATACATTCTGATAATAAATATTTTAACAATTAGACTTTAGTTAACATAACTCAAGTCAGTACAAATTTCAACAAAGCTGATAGTACCAGGAGTCGTTCCAAGTGCTTTTCATGATTATATAACACTTTTCTATTCTTCCATAGCCATGAGCAAAAAGCAAGAAGCACAATCTGAGTGCCAACCCTGCCCACAATGTTCAGTAGACAAAAATTTCCCATGATACTCAAAATTGCCTGGTGCAGTCTCACCTACCACCAATACCACTGTGAGGATTTATTTAGCAGATTCATGATCTATGCATTCTTCACCATCAACATGAAAGGCTAAATAGCATCACAACATTAACCTTTCTCCAGAGTAATTTATATACCATTAAGAGATGCAGTCTGTCAAAGGAAAAATGCCACTGATGGTAGAATTTTAATCATTGACAAACATCTTTAGGAGACATTTTGTGGTTTTCTTTTTTTTAGATTAGGGAAGGGAGATAGAGATAGGATGTCAGGGGGTATGATAGAGAGTAGTTTGGGGAAAAGCAAACCCTCTCTTGCCATAGGTCCCTCACTTTATTTGTAATGACTCTACCTCTGGATCATAAATATTGGGAAAAAAATCATTAATGAGTGCAAATTGTTGTAAATGACAAAATAGAAAGTTATTAGTCTTTAGCTACACATATGTATGTGTGTGTTATCAATACACTGCTCTAAACACTACATGGTGTGTTATGAATTTACCACTAAAAACATTATGCATAAATTGGAACAATTATCTGTATCACGAGGTAAGATCTACCTGTCAAAACAAGGGGCTTATAGTGCCAGGAAATGGAGTGGGAGGATTTTATGGCATACCCCAGGAGAGGCACTCGTGATTAGCGGTCCACTTCCCATAAGACAACCAAAGTCAGTTGACTGGTGAAAACCAAAATTCAGTGGCTTCCAGGGCCACTTCTACTTAGAATACCAAGAAAAATGCTTCTGCTGTCCACTCACCTGCAAAGAATGGAAGGACCTTCTCCAACTCACAGGAAATGCATTTCTTTCCAACCTGAAGAATTAAGAGTTCGCTAGTCATTCTCCCTACTTTTTGTTTTCTTTCCTGTATCTTGGTCAAAAGTGTGGGAAAATCGAGGCATGCTAAAGATATTTTGAGCTCTCCTAATCCTCAGTTAAAATTGTCTGCTCTGCTGAGGCAGGAGAATGGCGTGAACCCGGCAGGCAGAGCTTGCAGTGAGCCGAGATCGCGCCACTCTTGGACGACTGAGTGAGACTCTGTCTCAAAAAAAAAAAAAAAAAAAAAAGAAGTCTGCTCTGGAGAATGGTAATGAAATGTAATAAGAGCTCTAGAATGAAACCCCATACGTAAAAACTTTTCATCACACCAACTGGTTATTCTTTCTGAGATGGGCCTGAAATTAAACCAATCTTTAAAGACAGAAGTTCATAGCAATCTCTAGGATGAGAAAACCTGGGCTCATTCATTCATTCATGCATCCATTCATTCTTTCTTTCAACAATATTTACCAAGTGAATTCTAGGTGATGCTGCACTTCCATGTCTTCTTGTTGAGCGTTGAAGCAGAAAACGAGTGGGAGCCAAACCATGACAATTCAATGCCTGACACTGAGAAACTAGAAAATTCAAATGCAGATGGGGCTTCATTTTTGTCTACTGATAATGTTTTTGAAAGCCTTGATTTCCTCCCCACAACTGAATTCCCAATAAAGGTATGGAAAGTTCATTGTGCAATGGCCGGGGAATTCCTGGGTCACTTGCACCGCTTGAAGAAGCGATTAGGGATGGGGTCACTGTGTTCCCCAGTGACTGTAGTAAAGAGCTGGGAAGTCAAGGACCCAGTCACTTTCTGAGCTTTTGTTTCCTCAGATTTCAAATAGGCATTAAAAAAACAAAACAAAACAAACCTATTTCAAGAAGAATTAAAGAGAGAACTTCCACAAAGAACCTGATCATGGTATGTGAGATAACATACAAAATTGCTAAGTCAGGAACTTGAACCAAAGACCTTCTGGTTCAATTTGCAAGAGATCTACATAGCCACTTGAGAGGGTCAGACAAAAATTTTACTATTAAAGGAGGGCTTGACTGTTTTTCTCTGGACTCCTGACCACTCAGGGGCCATGTGATGTGTTCTGAGAAATGGTGTCACGGCAGTAAAAGATAGTGGCCTTCTTCAGAGTCATGCCTTACAGAGCCTCCTTAGTGTTTCACCTGGACAAAAAGAAAAACAGAATTTCACAGAAAATTAAAGCCTTACTCTCTTTCTTTGACAAAGATATTTGGCAAGATTCATCATACAATTCCACAAGCATTAGTCATTGAAGGATCCAAAGCACGGACTGAAGAACAGAAAAACCTGCTGATACAAGTCCCTTCTCAGGAATGGCTTGGACTGACCAGGCTGGTTCTTCCACCCAATTTGGCCAATGGATTTCAAAGACAAAGTTTTGGACTTGAATTTCGGTAACTTTAAGTCTACGGAAGAAACTTATCGTTTTGACAAACTTGAAATATGATTTGTGTGTACTTGTCTATTCTATCTAATGAGAGATGGCAAACTCCTTAAGAACAAGAATTGTGTTATGTCTGGCACATTGTAGGTGCTCAAGAAATATATTCACTACATGAATAAATAAATAAAGGTCAACAAAAGCCTGCAAAATAGTTTGTGTGATTATTTTTTGGAAAGTTTTAATGATAAAGAGTGTGGTAAAAATTAAATAGAATAATAAGAAGAAATGAATCCACGAATTCATGTTATTTAAAAAAATTTGAAATTTTAAAAATAACAAATAAAAATAAAAATAAAAAAATAAAAAATAACTTGAAAAGAAAGCCAATATATCCAGAAAAGCAGAGCCTGAGAAACTGCAGAAAAATGGAGCAGAAGCCTACTTTATCTCTGGACTTAGTGTTGAGACAATATGTTTCCTCATTGCTTAAGCCAGTTTTTCTATTATTTGCAGTGAAAAAGTGCTATAATTGATTCAAAATCAATGCATTTGCTTCCAGTGGGGCATATTCTTTCCAATAACCACAAGGCATTGGTTGCTTCCCCTAGACACTCCTTCCTCTATTGGAAGATCTGGGAAACCAAATTAGTTATTGGAAATTTCTCTGCCTCAACTCCTCCCTTCCCTCCTGAGGGTGAGTTCTTTAAAAGAGAATGGGATGAATTTTCAGAGAGCCTGAAATACATTTTTAGAAATCCTGTTGAAGTACTGTGACCCAGAAACAAGGTCCCCTCTCCAGTGACTGAGAGATTCAAGACACTCCACAGTGAGAACTTTTTTTTTCTTCTTGAACAATGGTGAAGACCCTCTGTCCTTGTCTTCTCCTTTGCTTCTCTTTGTGTAGACCATCATTGTTCAAAAAGTGTACATCACATGAGCTTCTCATGCAAACTACATATATGTAATTTAAATTTTTCTAGTAGTTACATTTAAAAAGTAAAAAGAAATAGGTGAAAATAAAGTTAAATTTATTATGTTTTATTTAACCCAATATATCTAAAATATCACTTCAACGTGTAATTAACATAAAAACTATAGAGTTATTTTACATTTTTTTATACTAAGTCTTCAAAATCCTGTGTGTATTTTACACTTAGAGCACACTGCAATTTGGACCAGCCACATTTCAAGTGCTCAATAGACAGCACAGTTGTAGCCACACACAAATCTCCTTTACTTCTGTTACAGCATAAAACTCTTAGACACACAGCGTTTAGCATCTAATTAATTATGTAACTGTATTACACTGTTATTGCAATAATCATTAAACAAGTGTCATTCCAACCCCCTATCTGTTTTAATGCAATCTTACATGAAACAGTTTCTTATATTGAGATATAGGCCAGTCTTGATGGGTATAGAGATGTCATTCCTCTTTATCCAAAGATTTCCTTATTATTCTTTACTGAATGTCACATTTACAGCTATTAGATGGGAAGATTATAATTTATTCTAGAAACTTCTATTTTTAAACTATGTATTAACCAAAATTACACATGTATGGGGTACCTGCTTATTTCTAGTAAGCCCACTAGCTGATGTAGCAAATAGGTAGCCAGGCCAAAAGCAAAATTTTGATAGTTGGCCTTTTGTTTAAAAAGTGTTTTATATCTGATTAGCTGAATTCTAACTATCTTAGGAAATAAATCAACTAACAGTGTAAGAGACAGTCTACTATGGTGGAAAGAGATAAACTTCAGAGTCAAACAAACTTAACCCTATCACTTACTAGCTTTGTAATGGTGGATATATTCATTAGCTTCTCACTTGTAGAATGAGAATAATAATATATTATGTCTGAGACTGCTAGTTTTATCCCAATATCCATTCTCCCCTTCTTCATCAGTAAATAACCACCAAAAGTTAGCTAGACACAGATGCCCAGAAAAAAGTCCATGTTTTCAGCCCTTTCTTGCAGCTAGATGTGTTTATGTGGTTAAATACTGGACACTGAGGTCAAAATAAAAGCGGTGTCTGTAACTTCCAGGAAGTATCCTTTTAAAAAGCAGGGAGAATGCTATTTTCTTCCTTATGGCTAGAATTCAGACATGATGGGTGGAGCTAGAGAAGTCATCATGAACCATGAAATGTAAACTGTGTTGAGAACAGTAGAACAAGAGCAGAGCCCTGGGTCTCTCCTGATCATGGAATCGCCACCAAAGCCCAGGGTTTTAGAAAAGAAAGAAATGCATTTCTATTTTTTTGAGCCATTGTTGTTACTTATTTTCTCTAACTTGCTGCTGAACCTAACACATGCTTAATCCGTAGCATCTTTTTGAGGATTAAATGGGATGGCATATGTAGTCCACTTTGTACAGGGCTTGGCACCTGGGAATGCAGGTGCTTAATATAGGACTGTTTTTATTACTAGCATAAAATATCTCCTTAAAAGGGTCACTATAAGGGTCAGATGAAACCTATAAGTGAGCTTGCTTTTCAATCTGTAAATCTGAGAATCACTGTATAAATGTTGGTCATAATTATCATCATCACCATTAAATTATTACAAGGAACTGGCTAACTGCCAGCATGCTCTACTATGATCAATCTATATTTAGGTCAATTAAAAATAGATAGATACAGACTTCTTTGCTTTTGTTAGGTTTACTTAACTTTAGTCAACTGTGAATGATTGATTATAGGCTTGCCATTACATTGTTGCTTCAGAGCTTAGATGAAACACTCATTTGGGTAGTATAAAGAAAGCTTAGAACTTGATGAGGCTATGACATCTTTTATTCATTTACTTTTACCTTAAAAAGTTCTCTATTACAAAAATCAATATAGTGTTTGTTGTTAAAATAAATTATAGAGACATGAGTAAAGTGAAAGAAGAGAGTTCACCCCCTTCCTTCTTTTCCATCCCATTCTTTAGAATTAACCATATTACAATGTAACCAATTATTCCTTGTATGTAAATATCATTTTTATATAATGGGATATACACATGTATAATATACATTTTCTATTTCCAAATGAAAAACAAAATCTTTTTTTTGCAGAAAGTTCAAAGTTGTTGAAAAGAAAATCTTTTGCAACAGCTTTTTTGATTTGTTCGTTTCCCAATTTAAAATGTCTCCTGGGCATCTTTCCATGTAAATACATATTCATCAATCCCATTTTAAAAACCATATACAGAGTCATTTAAACATTTTTACTAATTAATTATTGGAAAATTGTTTGTAAAATAAAGGAGACTGCCCTTAAAATAAAATAGCAACTTAGCTAGGATTAAATTAGGCAATTCAGAAAAATGCTTAGCAAATGTTTGGCAGATTGTAAATGATTGATAAATAAATATTAGCCATTATGATATTGATGATAGTGATGATTAAAGATGACTATCTCTCTAAGCTCACTCTCAATAAATTTCTGTTGTCAGAGAGGTGGTTTATTTTATTTAATTGCCCAATATGTACATTTATATATAATATTCCCATTTTATATTTTCATTTTAAGGACGTACTTGGCTGTGTTATATGGTGGAGGTGGGTGCCGTGTTCTGGAAGGACTGTCAGACTCAAGTTGGTTCTCTTCAGGATCTGCCCAACCCATGGCGACCTAGTACAGTGCCAAAATTGAACAAAAAAAATACAATCCATCCATCTGTCAGTTAGTGAGGCAGCAAAGAAGGTATTTAGCTTCTAGGACATTTAAAAACCTAAGTTAATTCTATCTAAAAGAAAGACATCTGTGGGGTGGGACTCGCCTCCTCTGAGCCTTTGAGACCAGTGGGGATTTAAACAGGTATAAATAATGACTCTTGAATAGCCACCAGACAGCCAGTGGTGCAACCTACTCTAGGGAGATGAGTCACAGGCTGAGCCGTGGGTAGTAAGTCCCTAGGAGAAGGGAAGAGGGGTGTCTGGGATCCCAGGAAGAGCAATAAATGCAGTCTGTCAGCTCCGCAGCAGAGGAGGGGCTGTGACAGCAGCCCTCACCCAGAAGGGGTGAATGGTAAATCTACCTCAATAGACAGTGGCCTGTGCATTGTAAATCTGATCATTTTGCTGTGCCCAAAACATCTTAAGTATAATTATACCAAAGCCTGAAAAAAGACTGGCTAAAGAGAAAACTAAAATAGATTTTTTAAAATGCAAACACACAATTCTGCCTACAAAAATGTTAAGTGCCAAGGAAAATATTGTTAAAATCCAAGAGGACCTCCTTTCCTAAGCTGCAGTGTTCAGGAATTTATATGTATATAAGGTTGGTAGTGACCATGGACAAATCATTGCCTACACCTCTGCCAGAACATCTGTCATTTCTCATGAAGCCGGAACTTTAAATGTCACAACTAGATCAGAAATAACATTGATATCAGAACCATCATGTACTTTTTTTCTGCTCTGCATGTGAGCATCTGGGGTGCCTAAAATCCAACCCTCACAGCTCTTGAAAAGTCCTGTGTCTTGCAGAAGGGATGCCTTTCAGTGATGCATCCGTGAGGAGGCGGCGCCTTTTGATAATTCACACAAAGGTCTTGCTAGTAGAGGGAGGCCTTACCTTGACTGGAGGAGAGACCTACGTTTGGATCTCGGCTAAAGTATCTTCCAAGAGCAACATTCTTGTTAGCATAACATGCCATTTTCATGTCCTACAGATTCATAGATTTATGGAGTTTTGAACTAGTTAAATGCCTTAGAAATGACCAATACCCACCCATTTTGTTGATAAGGGACCTGAAGCATAGAGAAGTCAGATAGTTTGAATATTTGTCCCTACCCAAATCTCATGTTGAATTGTAATCTCCAGTGTTAGAGGTGGAGCCTGGTGGGAGGTGTTTGGATCATGGGGGCAAATTCCTCATGAATGGCTTGGGCCATCCCCTTGGTGATAAGTGAGCTCTGAGTTAACACTGAGATCACATAGTTTAAAAGTGTGTGGCACCTCCCTCACACCTCAACTCTCTTTCTTTTGCTTCTGTTTTTGCCTCATGATGTGCCTACTCTCCCTTGACTTCTTTTTGAGACAGGGTCTCACTCTGTCACTCAGGCTGGAATGCAATAGTGCAATCATAGCCCACTGTAGCCTTGAGCTGCCAGGCTTAAGCAATTCTCTCACCTTAGCCTCCCAAGTACATGAGACCATACGCATGCACCACCATGCCCAGGTGATTTTTGTATTATTTTTGTAGAGATGGGGTTTTGCCTTGTTTCCCAGGCTGGTCTCTAAATTTTGTGCCATGCACCACCATACTCAGATGATTTTTGTATTTTTTTGTAGAGATGGGGTTTTGCCATGTTTCCCAGGCTAGTCTCTAAATTTTGTGCCAAGCGATCTGCCCCCATTTGGCCTCTCGATGGGCTGGGATTACAGGCATGAGCCATCACCACACCTGGCTTTGCTTTCTGCCATGATTGGAAGCTTCCTGAGGCTGCTATTCTTCTTGCACAGCTTGCAGAACTGTGAGCCAAACTTCTTATTTTATAAATTATCCAGTCTCGGATATTTCTTCATAGCAGCACAAGAATGGCCTAATACAAAAAGTGAAGAGTTTGCCCAAGTTTAGATAGCTAATAATAATTTTTATTAAATGATATTACAATATAATCTTCACTGGGTTTGTTTATAGATTTTTTTTACTAATGCATCAGTAGAACTACATGTACTTATTGATTGAGGTTTAAGCTACAATTTCAAGCAAACATGTGAAAATAAAGGCAATTCTTCTTGCTCTTTAGATCATTAATGTTTAGTCCTCAATACAGATTTCCACATTCCACTACTTCATTACTATACTACGTTTTTAACTAGAATTTTGAGGTCATATCCGCTGAGAAGTCTTTTTTCCCCTCTAGAATGGGTTGGGTTCCCTCCCAGGTGGGGTAGCCCTATCATCACTTTGGGCTTGCTCTGTGATCCTGTTTGTGACAATATCTTGGGATTGTCTATATAATTTTGATTCCCTAGTTAATTATAAGCTCTGTGAAGATTAAGACTGACTGGGCATTTTTTTCATCATTGTATCCCCAGTATTTAAAATAGTGTTTGCAAATATAAACAGGGATAAATAAGCATTTGCAGAAAAAGGAAGAAGGAAGGAAGCAGAGATGGAGGGAGGGACTCATATAGAAATTGATATGAAAAATGGAATAGCAAATGAATGATAAGGAATAAGAGATAGAAGCAGAACTAAATGTGAAGAATTGAAGAGTTACCTAATTCACAAATTTTAAAATTTCTAAATAAGTATGACAGAGCATAACACTATTCAGCAGAGTCTCCTGTCTTTGTCTTTGTTTGTCTACTTGCAGATGGTGGTGTTTGAGTCATGTGGCAGAAATGCTCCAAGATTTCTGCCTCCTGGTGTTCGCATCTTTGGGTAATTCCTTCCCATTGAGTGTGGCCAGAAGCTCCTGTGACTTGCTTCTAACCAATGAAATATGGCAAAGGTCATCAGGTGTCACTCTGTGATTATGTTACATTTATATAAGATTCTGTCTTGCTAGCAGACTGCTCTAGAGACTCCTTACCGGCTTGATGAAGTTACAATAGCAGCTGTGTTAGGAAAGCCTGTGTGATGAGTAACTGCAGGTGGCCTTTGGGCACTGAGGGTGGCCTCTAGGAGCTGAGGGTAACCTCCAGTCAACACCCAGCAAGAAGCCAGAGCCCTCAGTCCTACAATTGCAAGGAAGTGAATTCTGCCAATAATCTGAATGAGATTATTATTCGAAGCAGATTCCTCCTTAGTTAAGCCTCCAGATGAGAACTCAGCCCAGTTGACATCTGGTTTAAAGACTGGTGAGACAATAAGTAAAGGACTCAACTAAGCCATGCCCAGTCTCCTGACTCACAGAAAGTGTGAGATAATAAAAGTGTTTGGTTTTAAGATAATAAGTTTGGGGGTAATTTATTAAACAGCAAAGGTAAGTAATACAAGGTGTTTGGTTATAAATAAGCTATAAAACTAGCTGAGAGAAAGAGAGAAGGAAGGAAGGAAGCAAGGAAGGAAGGAAGAAAGGAAGGAAGGAAGGAGAAAGAAAGAAAGAGAAAGAAGGAAGGAAGGAAGGAAGGAAAGAAAGAAAGAAAAGAAAGGAGAAAGAAAGAAAGGAGAAAGAAAGAGAAAGAAAAGAAAAGAAATGAAGAAAGGAAGAGAGAGAAAGAAGGAAGGAGAAAGACAAGATGGAAGGAATATGGCCTTAGTTAAATTGTATGGATTTTTTTTTTAGGTTTAATTTGGTGATTTTCAAATCAGTACAGAAAACATCTGAAGAAATTACAAGATTTTAAGAAAATGACAAACATCAGCAATTTACCAAGGCTTCAAGGGAATATAAGAAATCTGATAACTCATCACCACTAAGGCAAATTTGTGTGAGTGAATTCTATGAATACATAGGACTGGACAAGATCTTAAGAAGACAGATGGTCTATACTCATCTTCAGGTAAGGCTTTTCCTAAATACTTCCAAACAATGATGATGATGATGGTGACATCAATACTGTGAGCTTTTATTTACTGAGTTCCTCATATATGCATATCATACAGAATAGGAAGAAACTAATTTTTATGGAACACCTGCAGTTGTCCATGTGCTATACTGCAAACTTTATATAAGTCATCTTATAGAAAATAGCAAGCCCTTACAATAAGTCCCAATTATTTCCCCCATTTTACACACACACACACACACACACACACACACAGCCAGCCAGAGACACACAAAGAAAAAGTATCTTGCTCTAATTCACCCAACAATTAAGTTGTAAAACTATGATTCAAACCCATATTTAATAGTCCTCACGATCTGAAAAATTTCCCAAGTAATCTAATTTCCAACTTCTAGGCCATCTTCTAAGCCAAAAGATGCTAGATAGGTAACCATCCTAATTTTTTCCAATCACTTTACATTAAAAAAAATGTGAATAGGCTATAAGGTAAAACAAATTTAAATATTTGGAAAAGATTTGAAAACACAATTAATAAAAGAGAACTTCAAATGGCTAACAATGTTTGGTAAAATGGTCACCCTCACTAATAACCAGAAAAACACAAATTTAAATGAGATATCCCTTTATACCCATGAGGTTTGTAAAAATTATAATTTTCAATAATACTAGGTGTTGGGGGGACAGTGAGACTTGGAGCCTTTGTACAAGGTTAGTGGGAATCTGGGACTGATGCAGTCAGTTAGCAATGTTTGGAGAAATTGGTGGGTGTACCCTAGATCCAATGATAGGGTCTCCCACGTATTTTGTGGGAGCTAGGAGCTGGTGTCAAACAAGTTCTATTATTAGGGAACAAATAAATAAAATGTATTCAATGCACACTATGGAATAACATGCAATGGTCAGTAGCAGTGAATTAGCACGTATAGCATCATCTTAAAAATAGCATGTTGAGCCAGGTGAGGTGGCTCACGCCTATAATCCCAGCACTTTGGGAGGCCAAGGCGGGCAGATCATGAGGTCAGGAGTTCGAGACCAGCCTGGCCAATATAGTGAAACCCAGTCTCTACTAAAAATGCAAAAAATTAGCCTGGTCTGGTGGCGGCGCCTGTAATCCCAGCTACTCGGGAGGCTGAGGTAGGAGAATGGCTTGAACCTGGGAGGCAGAGGTTGCAGTGAGCCGAGATCACGCCATTGCTCTCCACCTGGGCGACAGAGTGAGACTCCATCTCAGAAAAGAAAAAGAAAAAAAGCATGTTAAGTGAATAAAAAGTATGGCAGAGAATGAAATCTATTGCACAATATCATTTATCTAAATTAAAACATGCATGCATGTAATGAGTTTATGTATTTTTCAAAGATATTTATATATTCAATAACATATATCAAGCTCATTAGAATGGCTGCTTGTGGGGTAATGCGAAATGGAAATGAGGTCAAGAATGAACTGAAAAAACATTATGAAGGAAAAGAAGAGAGAGGCCTGACCAGACAGCTAATGACTGAACATTATTAACTACAGAATGTGACTAACTCATCTCTCAGCACTTGAGGTATCCCCAAAGACAACTAAAAATGTTGTGGAATGAAGCTCTATTGTTACTGGCTAAAGAGCTTATGCTGACCTTGGATATTTGAATTTACAAAAGTATGTACCCAACATTTTATTGGGAAAGGAAGCCACACCAGGAAAATGTGGTCTGAAATTCTGTAGGGAGCAGAGGAAAATTTTTTCTAAAGATAAAGTAATTAATTTCTTAGATTTGTACTTGGAGAAAACATGATGGCAAATATTTTGGCCAGTGTTAGAATTTGTTCATTAGTCTTATCTTAATGGAAGAGAATCTGTTTGCCTTTGAGCAGAACAGTCTTGTGGTAGATTGTTACTCTATGTATAAATAGCAAAAAGAGTCCTTCAGCCTGAGTTCCACTGTCAATCCCGCTCATTCACTCACCAATCAAGGGCTTTGTGACCTGCACACACAGGTTCCTGTGAACACCTTGCTCTGCAAGGCAGAATGCATCAATAGGATTGTTCTTTTGTCCTGGTCAACCTGATTTCATAAGGAAGAAAATACTAGGAAAAGCTAATATAATCCTCCTCCAAATAATCACACAACTTTAACATTTTTAGACATAGGGTCCAGAACACATTTTCAATCCAGTGTTTCAGGAAGTTAGAAATGATACATTAATAAATGAGTAAATAAGTAAACCAAAAAATGAAAACAAGCAAAACAAAACAGAAAACCTAAGATACACGTCTTTACCTTAAATACAATATTTACCCTTGGCTACAAATTTGAGGTAATATGTCCTACAATAAATGTTATAATTTGGCTGAAAGTGATTTTATCCATTTTGATAAGATAGATGAAAGATAAAGAAAAAATAGGCTAAATAAGAAATAACTTCATTTATCTACACTTTTTAAGAATTACGGTTTATCTTATGTGATTCATCACTTAACCTGATGACTACTTTTTGTTAGTTAATTTCCCATTTTAAAAAAACCTAAATGTTTTCAGTAGAATTATTTATTGTTTGCAGTGATTAGAAACTAACTATATAGTTTTGGCACAGAATATCCAAGTATCCATAACAATTAATGTGCTATAACAGTAATGTCTGCAAGGGTCACTGGAATGCGAGGACTTGGCATGATGCAAATAGCCCTGAACTTCCACATGTTTACAAATTCTATTTGCCTCTTCTTGGTACATTTTCTCTCTGTTTTCTTTTACTTCTTTTTACCATGATTTTTTTTAGATGTTACACCCTCCCTTGGCCATCCTCATGCCTACCATGGTCATATCTTTTCCTGTGTGTGTGTGTGTGTGTGTGTGTGTGTGTGTGTGTGTGTGTGCATATATCTATCTATATATATGTAAAATGTATGCTTTTATATATATATATAATATGAATGCATATATCTATCTATATATGTATATATCCATATATAAAAGTCCATGGGTTTTGTGACAACCATGTAGAGAAGTTACTTGCTGTTTACTTTAGGGTATGTGTACCAACCTCAATTATCCAGGGGAAGTTCTAAAAACTTTGTGGTACCCAGAGTAGGGAATCCTTTCTGTTCAAAATTATTTTAAATACATTGTCACGGTTTTTATTTGGATTTATCTGCCTACTAATAGATATATGTGTTCCATCTGGGGTTGATAGTTCATTTCTTTCTATAAGGTGATCAACCAAAAGCAACAGATAGAATTTTAGTAGTACCTGTTTTATTTTGCAGCTCCTGAATTTTACCAATGAGTTAAAAAAAAGGTGTTTTTTTTTCCCTTTGGCTAACTCCAAAATATTCAGAGGCTGACAAAATCTGAATCTTATTTAGTTCTTGTTATAGCAACAGCAAAATTTAGCATTGGAATGCACAAACATTTCTTCATCTGAAGAGGTATGAATAACTTCTCAGCCTCTTTTGTCATTAGAATGCTACTCTCCAGTTGCAAAGAGTAAACCTCGTGAATGGGGCTATGTCTCCACACTTAGCAGTGGAATTGTAATAAAATTACAGTAACCACCTTTTTGTTAGAAGTTCTCTGAAGTTGAGCTATTAACATAACCAACAGTACCTAAAGTGTGACCTGCAAACAGAGCTTTTCAAACACCAAATACAATGCCCTATTCATGGTCGATACTCTATAAATAGCAGATCATCATTTCCCTTCCCTTAATCCTTAGAATAGCCTTAACTAGTAAATACTGTTATCTGATTTTTAAGAATAATAATAAAAAAAAGAAGATGTATCTGGCTATCCAAGCTGGTTACACAAACTCAGTGGCAAAACTATTTCTGAATTGGTCTATATTCTCTCAATTTAAGAGCCTCCCAGCATCGACCATCATGCCTCTTTGCAAAAGTGCAATTGTTAAAGAAAGATTGGGTGGTTTGGGCCCTGCACCATGGGATGCACCAACAATTTCATCAAATGACCCTCAGAACAGCCTGAATGTCACATGAATAATTTTCAACATGTAAGCACAGAGGGCACACAAGGATAGCAACACTTAAAAGCTCAAAAAAGCATGAATTGCAATATGCTGGGCTCCTATAATCACACATAATCCAATAATGTCTTAAATCAGTATTAAAACAAATATTTTTTTCAAGGGTTCACAGGTTATTTTCATGAAAAGAATTTTAAAAATGAGAAAATTATCTTCTAATTTGTGCCTTTATTTCTTTAATATTATTAAGTAATAATATACTGTCAACCCTGATGTCATACTGAGAAAATATTTCTGTGTAAATCTAACATCTTCATTATACTCTCAAGCCACAAATAACATTATATCACAAATTTACATGTAATAGATAGTTTCCCCAAAAAGAATTTCATTCCTTAAAAAGTGACAAAGTTTTAGTTGTATTTCTGAATAGTAACATTCAGATAAAGATCACCAACAAGTGATAGGTGGCAATTTTCAATGAAGAAAACTATTGAAAATAATCAAGTTTACCAGTGGAAGAAATAAAATAATCTACTCTTGATGTATTCTGTGATATTATAAAAACTTTTCAGTGATGGCAAATGTAAAAAGAAATATAAACATACATATATTTTTTTTCTGATATACATATAAATGAGAAGAAATATAATGGCAACTACAATTTTAATGTAGTTTTTACCTTGATTTAAGAATGTCCAGTGGAAAGATACTTTTAAAGCATAATGCAACAATAATTAAAACATGTACAATTCATGAAACTTAATATCATTCTTATACTTTCCACCTTAAAGGTCAGAAGTGAATCCATGTTATAATAATTCCTTTTGTAATTTATCTCAATTTAGTAGCACACGTGTGAGGTTAACTTATCTGCAACTTTCCTTTAATATTCTAGGACTTAAAAGTTCTTCCAGGGTTTTAAAAATATTTCTATTTTCTTCCCCTTTATGTATAGGAGGAGTTAGTTGTTTTAAAAAAAACAAAACAAATACCTGTGAAATGTGAATGGGCATTGGTTAAGCATTATATTGGTTTAAATTAGGAGGAGATCAAGGAGAAAATACTCACAAACAGATAATTGTCATCCAGACTCTTCAATTAGTTACATTTTCTTTCTTTTTTCTTCTTAATGAATGAGAGGCAAATAAATCTTTGGCATTCCCAGTGCCTCTGAAGTGTAAACTCCACCAGATCATCTAGATGCACAACTGTCCGACAACATTATAATAAAGGCAGTAAATAAATTTGTTCAAAATACCAGCCGAAATGCCTGAGGTTTCGTCAGTGGCCATGGTTGAAGCTCATCATGATTTGGACAGTGCAGCCGAAACCTCGAAGACTTATACACCGAGCAACAATGAAGATACTGTATAATCAACTAGGATTACAGAGGAAAAAGCACAAAGTGCTTTCAGTCCATAAAAGAAGTGATTATCACGAGGAAAGAGAAGTGACTGTTGGATTTAAAAGGCATACAGAGAGAGAGAGAGAGGAAAAAAAATATATATTATATATATAAAATGTCACCACCCTACCCCCAGAAGATGTTGAAATCACAAAGAACAATTTTCAAAGGAAATATAATAAGCTTACAGATGAAAAACCACTTACACAAACCATTTTCAGCTGTACACTTTGTTAAATGATCTGCAAAATTAGAAAAAGAAACTGAATCGTTGTTGAGGTACATTATCTAAAGGGTACACGGTATCCAGAAATTCTGTTGCCTCTTTCATCTGAGTCAATGTGAGGTTTGCATTAGTAAAAATTGTGTATTTAAAAAAAAGAAAACAAAAAAAGAAGAAAGCTAGAGAACTAGTATCAAGCCAAGAAACAAAAGGTAGTCAACAATGTTCTTTTCTCAATGCAGAGAGGGCTTATTGAAATATAAGCAAGAACCTTTTTTTCCTTCAGCTAGTATATATGAGTTAAAATTTTCCAGTTCTTCTGAAAAAGGTCATTTCTATAAATGATGCATTTTAAATACCATTTAATAGCTGTTATTGAAATTTGGCTCATGAAAAAACTACAGTTATATTTTTTTGTGTGTAATCTGGCAAAAATGTCACTATACATGTCAGCTAATTGTGTAATATCTTGCTGCTGTTTTGTTTCCTGTGCACTTCCATCAACAATTTCAGCTTATAACAGTGATTCTTTTCCTTTTGCATCTCAATATACCTGATATAAACTTTTTCTCCCATCAATAATAGTGATTCATGACAGTAATCATGAAATCTTTCATAGGAGACAATGTTGTTAGAATCTGTCTCTAGGGGAAAGTTGAGAAGGGATTGCATAGTTCAGCATTTTCCTCAGGAGATTCGGATGTGACCCCTAGAGGTTATAAACCGTACCACCTTTTGAGAATCACTGATCTTCCTAGGGGTTATAAACTACCTTCCCTTTTGAGAATTACTGATTTCTGAATGAAGACAAAGAATTTATAGTTTTTCTTTAAGCCAAATTAACATACTTCTAGAACACAGTGTATAGATGCTAGACACATCATGGGCATTCACTTACATTTGATAGAGCTTGCACTTTGATTTTTTTTTTTTCTGGTAGCAATAAAAGATTTATGCCCATTCACCAGCTTAGTTGTGATCACCATGTAAGAAGGTTGTCTGGGGTTAAGGTACTAGATAGGCCATTGGATAGAACAAAATTTCACTTTGGCTTATTTGCTTAGCAATTCCAACCAAAGCTAATGAGCTGTAGATCAAAGCAATTTGTTGACAATATTAATGGCAGTCTCAGGTCTAAGTAAATTATCTGACCTTTCACTCCGTTACTTGGCTGTCAGGAAGCTGAAAGGAAGAGTTCAAGCCTAGTCTTGGTTGTGACTACATTTGCTAGCACCTGAAATAATGAGTTTTGGTAGCCACACGATTTTTTTTTGTAATTAATATATACTATTTGTACACTTTTATGCAGTACATGTGGTATTTTGTTACATGCATAGAATGTGTGATGATCAAGTCAGAGTATTTAGGGTGTCCAGCACCTTGAGTATTTGTCATTTTTATGTGTTGAGAACATTTCTAGCCCTCTCTTCTAGTTATTTTGATATATATACAATACACTGCTGCTAACTATAGACATCCTACTCTGCTATCAAACATTAGAACTTATTCCTTCTACTTAACTGTATGTTTGTACCAATTTATGCCCATCCATTCCTCTACCCACCCACACACACACATTCTTGCCAATTGGTAACTATTACTTTTAACATTACTTTTAAATGGCAAAAACTGCAATTACTTTTGTACCAACCTAATATTTCACTCTGTACTTCTATGAGATCCACTTTTTTAGCTCCGACATACAAGTGAGAACATGCAATATTTGTTTTCTGTGCTTGGCTTATTTCACTTAATATGGTGACCTCCAGTTCCATCCATGTTGCTGCAAATGACCAGATTTCATTCTTTCTTAATGAAAGGTGAATAGTATTACATTGTGTGTATATACAAATTTTCTTTATCCAATCATCCAATAGTGGACACTCAGGTTGATTCTATATCTTTGCTTTTGTGAATAGTGCTGCAATAAACATGTGAGTGCAGGTATCCCTTTGATATGATTTCCTTTCTTATGGATAAATACACAGCAATGGGATTGCTGGATAGTATGATTTTTGAGAAATCTCCATGTTATTTTTCATAGTGGCTATACTAATTTACATTCCCATCAACAGTGTATAAGAGCTCCTTTTTCTCTGCATCCTCACCAACATCTGTTTTTTTTTAATTCTTATTAATAGTCCATCTAACTGGGGTAAGATGATATCTCATTGTGGTTTTGATTTGCATTTCGCTGATGATTAGAAATACTGAGCATTTTAAAAATATAACTGTTGGCCATTTGTATGTCTTCTTTAGAGAAATGTCTATTTATGTACTTTGCCCATATTTTAGTAGGATTATTAAGTTTTTTTTGGCTGTTGAACTGTTTGAGTTCCTTGCATATTCTGGATATTAGTTTCTATCAGATGAATAATTTGCAAATATTTTATCCTATTCAACAGGTTGTCTCTTCACTCTATTGATGATCTCCTTTGCTGTGCAGAAGATTTTTAGTTTAACATAGTCCCATCTCCATTCTTGTATTTGTTGCCTGCACTTTTGAGATCTTAGCCATAAAATCTATGCCTAGGCCAATATCCTGTGGTGTTTCCTCTATGTTTTCTCCTAGCAGTTTTATAGTTTTGGGTCTTATGTTTAGGACTTTAATCCATTTTGAATTGATATTTTTATATGATGAGAGATAGCTGTCTAGTTTTATTCTTCTGCATATGAAGATCCAGTTTTACCAGCACCACGTATTGGAGTGGATATCCTTTCCCCAATGTGTGTTCTTGGAGCCTTTGTTGAAAATCAGTTGGCTATAAAAATGTGGGTTTATTTCTGGGTTCTCTATTTTTTGTTTTTTTGTTTGTTTTTGTTTTTGAGACAAAGTTTTGCTCTGTCGCACAATCACGTTTCACTGCAGCCTCAACCTCCTGGGCCCAAGCAATCCTCCTGCCCCAACCTCCCAAGTAGCTGAGATTACAGAAGCAGACTACATGCCTGGCTATTTTTTTTTTTTTTTTTTAGACCTGGGGTCTTGCCATGTTGCCCAGACTGTTTTTGAGCTCCTGGCCTCAAGCAATCCTCCCACCTTGGCCTCCCAAAATGCTGGGATTACAGGTGTGAGCTACCATGCCTAACCTTGGGTTCTCTATTTGTTCCATTGGCCTGTGTCTGTTTTTGTACCAATACCATGCTGTTTTGATTACTATAGCCTTGTAATATATTTTGAAGTCAGGTAGTGTGATACGTCCAGCTTTGCTTTTTTTTCTCAGTATTGCTTTGGCCATTAGAGCTGTTTTTTTGATCTGTAACAATTTTAGAGTTGTTTTTTTCTATTCTAGTGAAAAATAACATTGATATCTTAATAGGGATTGCATTGAATCTGTAAATTGATTTGGGTTGCATGGTCATTTTAACAATATTAATTCTTCCAATCCATGAGCATGAGGTGACTTTCCATTTGTTTTGTGTCCTCTCTAATTTCTTTCACCAGTATTTTGTAGTTTTTCTTATAGAGATCTTTCACATCTTTGATTAAATTTATTCCTGGATTTAGTTTATTGTAAATGGGATTTATTGTAACTGGGATTGCCTGCTTGATTTCTTTTTCGGCTGTATCATTACTGATATGTAAAGATGCTACTGATTTTTTTTATGTTGACTTTGTATCTTGCAACTTTACTAAATTTACTTATCATATCTAACAGTTTTATGTTATCAGCAAAGAGGATCAATTTGATTTCCTCCTTTCCAATTTGGAAGCCTTTTCTTTCTTTTCTTTGCCTGATTGCTCTGGCTAAGACTTCCAGTACTATGCTGAATATGAGTGATGAAAGTGGGCATCCTTGTTTTGTTCCAGTTCTTTGAGGAAATGCTTGCAGTCTTTCCCCATTTATTATGATGTTAATTGAGGGTTTGTTATTTATAGACTTTATTATGTTCAGATATGCTTCCGGTATGCCTAGTTTGTTGAGAGTTTTTATTATGAAGGATCGTTGGACTTTATCAAATGTTTTTTCTGCATTTATTGAGGTTATCACATGGTTTTTGTCCTTCATTCTGGTGGTGTGCTGTGTCACATTTATTGATTTGCATACATTGAACCACCATTGCATCTCTGGGATAAATCCCACTTGTATTATATTTTTGAAGTGCTACTGGATTTGGTTTGCTAGTATTTTGTTGAAGATTTTTGCATTTATATTCACCATGTATAGTGATGTGTAGTTTTCTTTTTTTGTTGTGCCCTTGTCTGGTTTGTGTATCAGAGTAATGCTGGCCTTGTAAAATGAGTTGGGAAGAATTCCCTCCTCTTCAATTTCTTGGAATATTTTGATAACAATTAGTGTTAATTCTTCTGTGTAAGTTTGGTAGAATTTGGCAGTGAAGCCATCTGGTTCTGGACTTTTTTTTGTTAAGAGACTTTTTGTTACTGATTCAATCTTGTTATTTGTTATTAGTCTTCTCAGGTTTTCTATTTATTCCTGATTCATTGTTGGTAGGTTATATATGTCCAGGAATTCATCCATTTCCTCTATGTTTTTCAGTCTGTTGTATAGGTGTTCATAATAGTATCTGATGGTATTCTGTGTTCTTGTGGTATCAGCTGTAATGTTGCCTTTTTCATTTCTGATTGTGTTTATTTGCGAATTCTTTTCTTGGCTGGGTTGGTTAGCAGTTTATTCATTTTATTTATCTTTTAGAAAAATCAGCTTATCATTTTGTTGATCCTTTGTCTTACTTCTTTTGTCTTTATTTCATTTAGTTTTGCCCCTATCTTTATTATTTCTTTTCTTCTGCTGATTTCGAGTTTGGTTTGTTCTCGCTTTTCTAGTTCCCCTAAGTATATTATTGGTTTGTTAATTTGTTATTTTTTTACTTTATTGATATAGGCATTTATTGCTATAAACTTCCCTCTTAGCACTGCTTTTGCTATATCCCACAGGTTTTGGTATGTTGTGTTTCCATTTTTTGTTTCAAAAATTTCTTTTTTAATTTCCTTCTTAATTTTTTCATTCACCCAATGGTTGCTGAGAGCATATTAATTTTCATATATTTGTACAGTTTCCAAAGTTCCTCTTGTTACTGATTTCTAGTTTTATTCCACCATGGTCTAAGAAGATGCTGAGTATGATTTCAATTTTTAAGAATTTATTGGGACTTGTTTTGTAGCCTAACTTATGGTCTTTTTTGGAGAATGTCTCATGTGCTGATGAGAAGAACGTGTATCTACTGTTGTTGAATAAAATGTTCTGTTGATGTTGAATAGGTCCATTTGGTCTAAGTTGCAATTTAAATCCAATGTTTCTTTATTGATTCCTGTCTAGATCATTTGTCTAATGCTGATAATGGGGTGTTGAAGTCTAAAACTATTATTATATTGGAGTCTATCTCTGCCTTTAGGTCTAATAATATTTAATTTATATATACCAATGTTGGGTGATATATATTTAGAATTTTTAAATCTTCTTGCTGAATTGATCCCTTTATTGTGTTTTAATGACCTTTTTCTATCTATTTTTACTGTTTTTTGACTTAAATTCTGTTTTATATGATATTGATATAAGTATAGCTACTTCTGCTTGTTTTTTTGTTTTCCATTTGTATGGAATGTCTTTTTCCATCCCTTTACTTTTAGTCTATATATGTCTTTACAGGTAAAATGAGTTTCTTATAGGTAGCATATAGTTGAGTCATGTTTTAAAAAAATCTATTATATTTAGCTAGTCTATACATTTTAAGTGGAAAATTTAATTTGTTCACATTCAAGGTTATTATTGGTAAGTGTGGACTTATCCTTGTCATTTTGTTAATTATCTTCTGGTTGTTTTCTATCTTTTTCCTTTCTTTTTTCCTTTCTTTCTTTCTCTTTTGTTGTTTATCATTGTGGTTTGGTGTTTCTCTGTAGTGATAACATTTGGGTTCTTTCTCTTCCTTATTTGTGGGTTTGCTTTACCAGTGAGTTTTATACTTTCATGTGTTTTCATGATGGTAGATATCATTCTTTTGTTTCCAGGTATAGAATGCCCTTGATCATTTCTTGTAGGTCTGGTCTAGCAGTGATGAATTCCCTCAGTTTCTGCTTGTTTGGGAAAGATTTTATTTTTCTTTCATTTATGAAGGACAACTTTGCTGGGTATTGTATTCTGGGTTGACAGTTTTTTTTTTAATCACTTTGAATATATCATTCTATTGTCTCCTGACCTGTAATATTTTTGCTATATGTATTTTTAAAAATCCCCAGTTAGTCTGATAGAGGTTCCCTAATATGTGACTAAACACTTTTCTCTTGCTGTTTTTATAATGCTCTTTGGTTTTGACTTTTACCTTAATATGCCTTGGAGAATAACTTTTTTGACTTATATCTATTTAGGGATTATAAACGTCCCATATCTATATGTCTAAATCTCTTGCTAGACTTGGGAAGTTTTCAGCTATTATTTTGTTAAATAGGTTTTCTATGGATTTGGTCTCTTCACCTTCTGGAACACCCAAAATTCATGTATTTAGTTGTGTTGTGTTCTTATGTCACAGGATTTGTTCATTCTTTTTTATTCTCTTTTCTTCTTTTCAAAAAATCTGACTGGGCAATTTCAAAAGACTTGTCTTCAGGTTCTGAGATTTTTGCTTTTGTTTGATCTATTGTTGAAGCTCTTGTATGAATTTTTAAAATTTCATTCATTGAATTCTTTCTTTCCAGGACTTCTGGTTTGTTCTTTTTTATTATATCTATCTCTGGTGAATTTCTCACTCACATCCTGAATTGTTTTTCTGATTTCTTTCAATTATTTTCAGTGTTATCAATCATAGCTCACTATGAACTCAAGTTCCTACTCTCAAGCCTGCCTCAACCTGCTAAGTATTTAGGACTATAGCCTGCAGTGTGCTGCCATTCCTGGCTAACATTTTATTTTTATTTTTAGCACAGACAAGGTTTGCTATGTTGCCTGGATTGGTTTCTTGTGTTTTTACGTTGATAACTGTACCTCCGGTGTAACAGTCACTTCTTCCAATTTTTTTTTGAATTGACTTTTACAAGGGAAGGGATTTTTCCTGAAGATACATCTATGCTGTTGGTTGGGTAGGACACTAGCTTTGATTCTGGGTGCATGCAGTAGTGTAGTCTCCATATGATTTATTCAGCTGTAAACAGCATCAGCTGTGTCTGTGATTTCCTAAGTGGCTTAGGTTGTTGTTGTTAGTGGAGGCTATGGTGAGGTTTTGTTGAGGATGAGGATTACAGGTAGGCCAGTCATCAGATTCCAGTCGCGGCAGCAGTAGACCAAGCATGCCTGGCCTCGGGTTCCCAGTTGGCGTATGAAGTCACCAGTGTTAGTGGGTTGAAACAGGCCAATACTTAGGTCTACAGATGGCTGAAGTGCTGCAGTGGTAGTGGTGGGTCAGTCAGTCGAGTGGGTCCTTGGTCCCTGGATAGCATGTGTGATGTGGGTGATGGCAGTAGTAATGGCAAGACAATCCTTGGGCTCTGAAGTGACACACATTGGTGTTAGTGATATCTACAAGGAGCTGGGTATGTCAGTCCCTCATTCCCTAGGCAGTATGTGCAGTGGGTGCTGCTGTGGTGGTAGCAGCCCTAGGAGGACTGCACAGATGCCAGTGGTGGTGGACAGGGTGAGACAAGCCCTTAGACAGTGTTCTAGGGCACTGGAGTGGGGGGAGTGCCAGGCCAGGTAGGCCTGTTTCCAGGGACCCCAGGAATGTAATCAGGCCCTGGCTATGGTGGGCAGAGAGGAGTGACACTCAGGCTCCCAGTAGAGAGCTTGGGAGTCTGCTACAACAGGGGTGGTAGGCAGGGAAAGCCTGCCATTAGGGTATGTCCAAGTATGCTGCAGTCCTGCTGTTGGAGTAGAGGCAGAGTTTCTGACAGTAACTATAGCCACAGGCAGGCAGTTCTTAGGCTGTGTGGGAGGAGGGATGCTTTAATCCCCAGTGGCAGTGGCAGTGGTATATCAGCTGTAGTAGCAGCAGGGAAAACTAGTTCTCAGGAAATGTGCAAATGCGTGATGGGAGCCCTGCTGCTTGGTAGATGGAGTCGTGACCAGCTACATGTGTTTTGGCTTCTGGTGGCAGCAATAGTGGCTGTGGCTGGTGATGAGAGGGTCTGTCCTCAGAGTGTGATTGCAGTAGCCCTGCTGCTGGGGGCAGGGTCATTATATGTGGTAGCTGTCCCAGGTAGGTGGTTCTCTGGCCATAGAGAGTATGTGCTTTGGCTTTCTTTGTCCTGGGAGAGCCTCCCTAGGGTGCTGCACCACCGTTTACCTGGCATACAGGGCACTGTGTGTGCTGGAGTGCTGGGGACCCTGCCATTCTGCTGAGTCTGACTGGTGTTATTGCTGCTACGGCTCTCTGGGTGGACACAGAATGGTGTCAGTGGGGCTCCAGGGACGTGAAGGTGCAGGGGCTCTTGGGCCCCAAGGCGGGATGCAACCTCCAGTGGGTCCTAAGCTCTCAAAATGGCCCTATGGTGAATCTGCTTAGGACTTGGTGGGTGCGTTGGACCATTATGAACTCCCACTCTAGAGCAATGCCTTTGTGTCATCTCCAGGCAGGTCCCTATGCTATTCTGAGAGCCTGTGATGGGGTCTCCCATGGCTAGGGTATCAGGAGTCCATGGTGGGAATATGGAAAGGTGGGTATCTACTGCTTACCCTTTTCCTGAACTAGGGAGTCTTTATGAGCTCCCAGCTGATCCCAGCTGAGCTGACTGCCTCCCTTCCTGCTCCTTCCATGCCTCAGGTGCTTCCTGTTCCTTCTCTGTTGAATTCCAATATTCTCTCTTAGATGCTCTATTCGAAGTTTGATTATGCACTTGCTATTTTGGTTCTTGTCTGTGGAGGAGGTAAGTGTCAGATGCCTCCAGTCAGGCTTCTTGAAGTTCCTCTCACATAAGTCTTTATGTCCTTCATGACAATCTTACTATCCCAATGAGTGAATGACTATATGACAAAACAATCTTATTATATGTCGACATCACAGTATCACAGTGGATACTATGGTAGGCACCATGCCCCTATTCAAAATCAAGGCACTCATTTCCCCAGATGCCAGGAGTATTGGCTGCTAATGGCTCATAGCTAAACCCCTCTCCAAGCACTGGCCTTGGATTAAGACTATATTTCCTCCTGAAGAGAGAGTGGGGCAGCCTGTGTACAATGCAGGACCAGGACTAGGGTGAAAAACTGGCCTTGAGTGCTAAATTTAAGCAGGAGCCAAAAACTCAGTAATCAAACAATATTTTAATGTAATATTTTAAAAATAAAAAATGCAAAGGTTCTGTAATTATCAAAATATCACAATTTTAAATAAAGATATAATCAATATGACTGATTTTTCTCTTTGCTTGAGGCTCCAATATGGCTCCCCAAAACACTCTCTATTTTAAAGCATTATTTAAAAAATACTAACCAATGCAAAAGTTCACCCTGAACAAAATACTGAAATTTTTAAATAAAGGCTGACTTTTGCATTAATTTAGGTTTAAAAAATAATAATACATTAAAATATTATTTATCTTGGCTACTGAGCTTTTTGACGCCCTCTAAATTTTGTCCTCAAGGCAAGCATCTCACTCTTCTTATGTAGTCCCAATCCTGGCAGATTGACTCAGGGGAAACCAATGTCTGTCTCCTTTGCCTTAAAGGGAGGCCATGGGAGGCCATCCCATCAACACAGTCCCTTGGGGATCAGCTGAAGCCTTCCTTGTGACTTCATTGCAGTCCAATCCTGCTTTTCTCCCTCCCTTACCAGCATTATTCCTAAGAGTATCCTGCAGGTGAGTCTCTGAGTCTCTTTCCTCTAAGACCTCCCCAGAGAAGAGAGGTGAAAACTGAAGTTCACAGAAGGTGAGGAACTTGCCCAAGCTCTCAGAGCTCCTATGAGATGAAAACCCAGGTGAGACCAGGCACAGTGGCTCATGAGGGTAATCCGAGAACTGGGAGGCTGAGATGGGAGGACTGTTGGAGCCCAGGAGTTCAAGATCAGCCTGGGCAACATAGTGAGACTCTATCTCTTCAAGCAATAAAAAAATTAGCTGGGTGTGGTGGGTGCACGCCTGTAGTCCCAGCTACTTGTGGGGCTGAGGTATGGGGATCACTTGAGCCTGGGAGGTCGAGGCTGCAGTGAGCCATGATCACGCCACTGCACCCCACCCTGGGTGACAGAGCAAGACCCTGTCTAAAACAAACAAACAAACAAACAAAAAACAAATCCCAGTCAAGTTAGTATGACTTTAAAGCCAGTGCTTCTCATTATAACATTCTATAGGCTGGGGCCAGAATTTGTGGCTACAGTCTAATAAGTCAAAGGTAAAACAGAGATACCAGCAATCCCTATGCACTCTCCTAATTGAATTTCCTAATTGCAGACTAGAAATCAGGTTCTCTGATTTCTAGGAAGTGGGCCTCCGATTATATCAGACCCTGTAGTCAGCAGAATAATGCCCGCATCCCCACTGAAGATGTCCACATCCTAATCCCTAAAACCTGTGAATGTGTTAACTTACATGGCAAAAGGAACTTTGCAGATGTGATTAAGTTAGGGATCTTGAGCATATGCTGCATTATCCATGTAGGCCCAAATATAATCACAAGGGTCCTTATTAGGGAGAGAGGGAGGCAGGAAAGTTAGAGAAGGAAACATGATGACAGAAGTAGAGGTCACAGTGATGTGATCATGAGACAAAGAATGCAGGCAGGCCTTAGAAGCCAGAAAAGTCAAGGAACAGAGCCTTCCCTACAGCTTGCAGAAGGAAGGGAGCTCTGTTGCCCCTTGGTCTTAGCTCTAAGACCCATTTTGAACATCTGACCTCCAGAAGTGTAAGAAAATAAATTTGTGATGTTTGAAGCCTCAAGGTTTGTGGTAATTTTTTATAGCAGCAATAGGAAAGTAAAAGACCCCTAAAGCAGTGTTTCAGCCCTGGCATTATGGCATCACCCATGTGGCTCTGAGATGTATTGGATCCCTAACAGAAAACAGGTAGGACCACCAGAACAATTTAATGAAGACTTCTCAGTTGTATTATATTTTTAAAAATTTAAAATGAACTTGTATATGTGGAAGGATTGATGATCTGTACTGACTCCAGATGGTTATGTTCTCCTGATGACAGATGGAAGTCCAGGAGGCGGGGCCATCTACAGGAAAGCAGGAGAGAAATGATTGATATAGGAAGCCAGTACAATCCAGGAACTCTTTATACAAGCACAATTTTTACTTTTCTGATTCTCCGGTAGTATTTTTTGAATTATGGAAGGAGATGAACATTCCTATTTTTTTAATATGGAACTAGCTGTACTGTTGTTTCTCTTTCCTTGCTGTGCTAGAAGAGTCTGGAGTTTAAGCTCTTCTTGTATTTGAGCAAAAGTTAATGTTTTTAAATTCTTTTTGTTGATTAGACATTTGGGTCTGATGGATCACTAAGGTTTATTATAAAAAAGTTTGAAGTTCAAGGATATTTCTTCTTTTTTACATTAGTTGTAAGGAAAAGGACAAAATGCCTTGGAGAGAAGCCAGAACAAGAGAATTTGGAGCATCAACAAAATATGTTGAACATAAACAAGAGAGTAGAGTTTCACTCTAGGCAAGAAAGTGGTTCTCCCAGGGGGATGAACTAGAAAAAGGGAGAGGAAAGTATCATGTGTATATGAGTAGGAAGATGAAGGAAACAGGGAAGGGGGAGGTAGTTATAGTTAAGCAGATCGGATCTTAAGCAACTTTGCCAATGATATTCTTACCCCAAGTGTATGCCAGCAAGATATGGTTCTACTGCTGGTGACCTCATAGAAGCAGAGTCATCACTGGAGAAAGACATAGCTCTCATCCTGATGGGCATCTCCTGCCCCTGAGGCCTCAGTTAGCTGCACTTGCCTTCTGCATCTCCTGGGGATTTCACTCCATCAGTTAGCATCTTGTTTACTGCCTTCCCTAAAGAAGTGATATGTATTAATATTAGTCTGTTATAACATCGCTATAAAGATACCAAAGACTGGGTAATTTATAGTGAAAAGAGGTTTAATTCACTGAAAGTTCTACATGGCCAGGGGGCCTTCAAAATTTACAATAATGGTGGAAGGCAAAGGGTAAGCAAGCTACCTCCTTCACAAGGCAGCAGGAGAGACAGCAAGAAAGCAGGGGAAATGCCAGACACTTATCAAACAACCAGATATTGTGAGAACTCCCTCACTATCACAAGAACAGCCTGGGAGAAACCACCCCATGATTCAATCACCTCCCAACAGGTCCCTCCCTTGATATGTGGGGATTATAATTTGAGATGAGATTTGGGTGGGGACACAGAGCCAAACCATATCATGATGCCTATCCATTTCTTTGAATTTTGTTTGATTCCTGACTGACTTATTCTTACCTCACAATGCCCCAGGATATATGTGAGCCCAAGAAAATGGGATTAAAGTCAGAGAGACTTAGTAGCGTGGCCTAATGAAAAATCCTTGGGGCTAACTGGAGCCAAACTGATTTGATACCTTCCCAGCATCTCTCCATCTTTTACATGAGCTGGGACCATGGTTAATGGCTCTTTTTATATAATAATTTAAAAATGTGTAAATATAAGGGCCACCTAGCACATAAAGAAGGAATATAAAGGTCAAGGGTCTTGTTGTTTATCAACATGGTCTTTGAGAATTGCTTATACTCAATTTTGATGAGCCTGGCTCTTTATGGCTCCTTCTTCCGTGATTTGGAAAAGTGCAAGCCTGGGCAGCTGTCAACTCATTGATACTCTCAGCAGCACAGTTCCGACTGAACTCTTAGTTTAGTCATGGTGATATCTAGTGGTTGTACCACTAGGGTGGTACAGCCCTTGGTACTGTCCTGGTTTGGGTTGCTTGGACATTTGGAGAAATAAAACAGATGGGAGAATTATGATTTTGAACAAATAATTTACCATGTTGCAAATTTCTTTATCAGTGAAAGTCCAGTAATTTTCTACATTGTTTAACTAAAAGTTGTGGGTTTTTAAATGTAGGTGTTCAACTAAGCTAGCACTTGAGTGAATTAAAAAAAAAATTGGACTAAATACTGTGGAGGGAGAAGTGCAAAAGGATCAGATAACATGTTGTAGTGGAGCCTTCAGGCTGTCTGCCCAGCAACCTTTTTATCCATAGATGTGGGCCTGGGTAACCTGTGTCACCTGGTGGCCTCCTTCCTGGCCATATTGGTGGTGGGAGTTGGGGACTAAGAAACTACACATCATTCTCTGCATGTGGCCAAACTTACAACATGGGAGTAGTGAAACGTCTGTGAGAAGTGAGAACTAGTGTATTAGCCCATTTTCATGCTGCTAATAAAGATACCCAAGATTGGATAATTTATAAAGAAAAAGAGGTTTCATGGACTCACAGTTCCACATGGCTGGGGAGGCCTCAAAATCATGGTGGAAGCTAAGGAGGAGCAAGTCATGTCTTACATGGATGGCAGCAGGCAAACAGAGCTTGCACAGGGAAACTCCCCCTTATAAAACCATCAGATCTTGTAAGAGGTATTCACTATCATGAGAACAGCATGGAAAACACCTGCCCCCATGATTCAATTACCTCCCATGGGGTCCCTCCCACAACACGTGGGAATTCAAGATGATATTTGGGTGGGGACACAGCCAAACCATATCACTCTGCCCCTTGCCCCTCCTAAATCTCATGTCCTTACATGTCAAAACCAATCATGCCTTCCCAACAGTCCCCCAAAGTCTTAACTCATTTCAGCACTAACTCTTTTAAAAGTCTACAGTCCAAAGTCTCACCTGAGACAAGGCAAGTCCCTTCTGCCTATGAGCCTGTAAAATTGAGAGCAAGTTACTTGCTTGCTAGATACAATGGAGATACAGGCATTGGGTAAATACAGCCATTCCAAATGGGAGAAATTGGGTAAAACGAAGGAGCTACAGGCCCCATGCAAGTCCAAAATCCAGCAGGGCAGTTAAATCTTAAAGCTCCAAAATAATCTGCTTTGACTCCTTATCTCACATCCAGGTTATGCTGATGCAAGAAATGGGTTCCCATGGTCTTGGGCAGCTCTGCCAGTGTGGCTTTGCAGGGTACAGCCTCCTTTCTGGCTGCTTTCATGGGCTGGCAACGAGTGCCTGTGACTTTTTCAGGTGCACAGTGCAAGCTGTCAGTGGATCTTCCATTCTGGGGTCTGGAAGATAGAGACCCTTTTCTCACAGCTCCACTAGGCAGCACCCTAGTGGGGACTCTGTGTGGGGGCTTCTACCTCACATTTGCCTTCCACACTACCCTAGCAGAGGTTCTCCGTGAGGTTTGTCCCTGAAGCAAAACTTCTTCCTGGACATCCAGGCATTTCCATACATCCTCTGAAATCTAGGTGGAGGTTCCCAAATCCCAATTCTTGACTTCTGTGCCCTCACAGGCTCAACACCACGTGAAAGCTGCCAAGGCTTGGAGCTTGCACCCTCTGAAGCCACAACCTGAGCTCTAGCTTGGCCCCTTGTAGTCATGGCTGGAGTGGCTGGGACACAGGGCGCTAAGTCCTTAGACTGCACACAGCAGAGGGACACTGGGCCCAGCCAATGAAACCATTTTTCCCTCCTAGGCTTCCAGGCCTGTGATGGGAGGGGCTACCTTGAAGACTACTGACATTCGCTGGAGACATTTTCCCCATTGTCTTGGCAATGATTCACATTCAGCTCCTCGTTACTTATGCAAACTTCTGCAGCCAGCTTAAATTTCTCCTCAGAAAATGGAATTTTCTTCCCTATCACCTTGTCAGGCTGCAAATTTCTGAACTTTTATGCTCTGATTTCTTTATAAAACTGAATGCCTTTAACAGCACCCAAGTCACCTCTTGAATGCTTTGCTGCTTAGAAATTTCTTCCACCAGATTCCCTAAATCATCTCTCTCAAGTTCAAAGTTCCACAAATCTCTAGGGTGGGGCAAAATGCTGCCAGCCACTTTGCTAAAACATAACAAGAGTCACCTTTGCTACAGTTCCCAACAAGTTCCTCATCTCCATTTGAGACCACCTTAGCCTGGACTTTATTGTCCATATTGCTATCTGCATTTTGGGCAAAGCCATTCAACAAGTCTCTAGGGCATTCCAAACTTTCCCACATTGTTCTGGCTTCTTTTGAGCCCTCCAAACTGTTCCAACCTCTGTCTGTTACCCAGTTCCAAAGTTGCTTCCCTGTTTTCGGGTATCTTTTCAGCAGCATCCCACTCTATTGGTTCCAATTTACTGTATTAGTCTGTATTCCTGCTGCTGCTAAAGACATACCTGAGACTGGGAAGAAAAAGAGGTGATATGGTTTGGGTATGTCCCCACCCAAATCTCATCTTGAATTCCCACGTGTTGTAGGAGGAACTCAGTGGGAGGTAATTGAATCATGGGGGCATGTGCTATTTTTCTGATAGCAAATAAGTCTCATAATATCTGAGTGCTGTTCTTGTGATAGCAAATAAGTATCATAATATCTGATGGTATTATAAGGAGGAATTTCCTGCACAAGCTCTCTCTTTTTGTCTGCTGTCATCCATGTAGGATTTGACTTGCTCCTCCTTGGCTTCCACCATGATTGTGAGGCCTCCCCAGGCAAGTAGAACTGTAAGTCCCACTAAACTTCTTTTTTTTCTGTAAATTGTCCAGTCTCAGGTATATGTCTTTTATCATCAGCATGAAAATAGACTAATACAAGAGGTTTAACAAACTCATAGTTCCACATGGCTGGGGAGGCCTCATAATCATGGTGGAAGCAAAAGCTACTACTTACATGGCAGTGGCAAGAGAGAATGAGAGCCAATAAGTTTCACAAGATCTACTGGAGAAGACCAGGTCTGCCCGATATGAGGGCTTTCCCTCTGCCTGGCACAGTGCCTGGCATAGAATAGGTCTTCAGTGAATATCTGGATGGATAGTTGAGTGAACAGCAACATGCAGAAAGTATCAGAGGAAAGGCATAGAGTCCTGCCCACATTCCAGTCCCTGGTTCCAGTTCCTTCCCACCTTTCAGCTCCAGTGCCAACTTGAAGAGTTACATATAACTCAGGCCATCCTAAGTTGGTTTCTGCTACTTGCAAATTGTAGAGCAATCACTGATAATAATGGTCTCTAGCTTGGGGGAACTTGGAGTATACTTTTAGACAACCTGAAAAAAAATTATGTATTTGTGTAACTGATTCCTTCCTCTTTACATGTGTGTATTTATATATGAATGTGTGTGTAGGTACATGTATATAATTATATGATATTATTTTTGGATATATACATATGTATATAAAAATGCATATATAAAAATGAATTGGGCAATTTAATCAATGTTCCTGAGCTCCCTTTTTACCTCTAAAATGAAAGGATGAGATTCAATGATCTAAAATTTTAAAAGTACACGCTTTCCAGGAATTATGTAATTGCTTTGTTAGAAAGTCACCAGAAGGTATACTGTTGCTAGAAAAGAATGCCCAGGGAAGGCACTTTGGGAATTCACGTACATGCTATGTTTTGTCATTGCTGGAAATAGTTTGGCAGCGCCTCCAGGAAGTACATTCACAGGTATTCACATATTCTCCATGGAGGCAGATGTCCAGTCTAATGACTGTGATGACTGAGGGTGCTGGTAATGACAGTTCAGACAGAAAAGCAAAATTTAGTTAAGAAACAGCAGTAAGAGTTTTCACTGTGAACTGGCCATGAAGACAGACCCACAAGGAGTATCATTCACTGTCACTATGGATAGAACATTGGTGAGGATGACATACCAAACCTTTCTGAAGCATCAGAAAGGTAGATAACCTGCAGTTGCAGTCCCCAAACTTGGCTGCCCTCTTTTTGGCTGGGACCTCAGTACTCTTCTCACATCAAGCATGGGCATGTACCAGGTGTTCAATTAGTACTGAGTGGTCAGTTAAGCCAAACTGATTATAACAGTCATCAGTGTTTGAATCAGGTGCTTTATGTATATTTTCTTACTTCACACAGTTAACAATACTCTTTTTAGTTTCTTTGTAAAAATTAGGAAAGTGAGACCTAGACACCTTATGGAACTTGCCCCAAATCACACTGTTAAATGGCACAGGAGGTCAACCCAGGTTGTTTGACTCCAAAGCCCATGTGCTATCCTACCTCTCTCTTCTCAGCCATAATTAGAGGCAAATGAGAATAGCACAAAGCATTTTTCCTTATATGTATTTTAACTTACAACAACCCTCCATAAACTATTATCCATTGGAACCACAATATTCTTGTGAATAACATCATCTGCCTGGAAAATAAGGTAATAGGATTATAAATCTTTCAAAAAAATGTACCTAAGTATTTTCACAATGTGGAAAATACATGTGGTACTCTGTATTTTCAGAGACATCTGAAAGGGCAGTGCATCTTCTCTGCACTGTTCGCATGCTCTCTTAGCTGTTCGTGTGGGTTTCACTGGCATGCATCATTGCTCCCCCTTCTCCTGTATGCCTAAGGTAGGGCACTTCTGCCACCCACTGAAGTTTGGTTCTAAAAAGGTAACAGCTTAAAGGGAATAGCAGAGGGGTTAGTTATTTTTTTCAAATGAGTGTGGAGAAAAAGCAACCGAGCAGGCTCTTCCCAGATGCCTGTTTCTAGTCAGCAGGCTGCTTGAATCCCCTGGTTGAACACATTTCAGTCATCCTGTGCCTAAGGAGAAAAACACCACTCCTGGCTCTCGTCGCTATGGCAACTGATGCTCAGCAGGCAGTTGCAGTTTCATTTAACAAAACTGGCTTTTAGAACTTGAGGGGAAACTATGCTTTCATAGAAGAGAAAAGGGAAGATGAGTGGTTTAATTAATGTGTCTCAATTTAACATGAAGATACAGGTCACTTCCACTGTTTGACCATACAGCATCTAGCTCCGCTTTATATCTGTATCAGATCTAAAGCTTAAAAGGATGGGATATTTCTCTCATCATATGTGAAGTGTACAGTGGGCAGAGGAGGAGAAGCAGGGGTTGTGTTAGACCCTTTGCGAAAGGTTTTTCACTTTATAAAAATCATCTCGGCTTGAGAGTGTATAGAAGAATTGCTTTCTCTTCTCTCATCCACAAAGGAGGCCTGAGAGATGGGTTGCTAGGCAACCTCACACCGAAGACAGGGGCGCTGTGGAATTAACATAGCTGACCTCCCCATCAGCTCTGCAGCTCTGCTATTCAAAACGATTTTATGAGACTGTAGGACTCAAGAAAATAGAAATAAAATATAAATACAAAAATAAAGAATAGAGGATATAAATCTAACTTTTTCAAGTGAAGATTCAATGAGAAAGGGTAGCAGTTGGAAACGGCGGGTTGAGGGGAAAAAACAGTATTAGTTGCTATAAACCAGAAACTTGTATTTTGAATAATATAGGAAGAAAATTTTCCTATTTCTTTAGAAATGTTTATGGCTGACAGTTAACCTATCACAGTAAAAGTGCTGAAAATACTTGAGGTCAAACAGAAAAATCAGTTTATAATAATGTAGATCTACAACATACTTTTAACAAAAAGCTCAACTCTCAATCCTTACCATGTGATGGTCTGTTTAAGCTCCAGAGTCCCTTACTCTCCTTCCTGCCACTATATCATCGATATGGTTGGCGTGGGAAGGGATGGCATTTATTCTGCAAGTAGATGAATATTTGGAAGGAAATTGCAAAGCTGATCCATGAAACAGAGCACACACTCTTATCAGCAATAAATAATTTAGGTGTTTTTTTTTTTTTTTTTTTTTTTTTTAAGACAAGTTTTGCTCTTGTCGCCCAGGCTGGAGAGCAATGGCGCGATCTTGGCTCATTGCAACCTCCACCTCCCGGATTCAAGCAATGATTCTCCTGCCTCAGCCTCCTGAGTAGCTGGGATTACAGGTGCCCACCATCACACCAAGCTAATTTTTGTATTTTTAGTAGAGATGGGGTTTTGCCATGTTGGCCAGTCTGCTCTCAAACTCCTGACCTCAGATGATCCACCTGCCTCGGCCTCCCAAAGTGCTGGGATTACAGGTGTGAACCATTGTGCCTGGCCTAGTTTGATTTTTAAAATACGTCATACTACTGGAAAATGGTTCTGGTAACATTTTAGGATAGTTTGTTGAATTTATCAACAATAAATTAAAAATCGACCAAAGTTGGTGGCATTGTGGGAGGTGGGAGACTGAAAACAAATTCTGAACTGGTTTTTGTAGATTTTGTAGACTTGTTTTTGTTATAAACGTTTGGGTGAAGCAATTCTGAAACCATTTTAGGTAGATTATAAGGTTGAAGAAATGGACAAATAGGTTGAAGTTGTTAGGATCCAGGACCACACTCTGGAAAAGGGTCATACAAATAAGAACTAGATGTCAGTGTATGTGAGACTGTGTGTATGTACAGTATTCGTGCAAACACCTGTATGTCTATATGTGTGTCTATGAGTATATGTCTGTATATGCATATGTATGTAGGCATGCATATGTTTTCCATCTTCTGAAAGGATCTAGAAGCAATTACACCCTAGTAGCAACGAGCAGACTTAGCACTTGGATCCTCATCTCTAACACCATTCCCAATAAAAGGAACCAGGGCTCCTCAGAGAAATGTGTGATTCCAAGGTTGAAGCAGGGAAATGAGAAGTTGAGCCTCAGACACCTTGTTATGATAGAAAGTAAGAAAGTGCTCAAAAAAAAGAAAAATGAACAATGAGAGCATGTCACAAGGACACAGGAACCAGCCTGAAGAGGCTTCTGCTGGACAAATCTGAAATAATTTGAGCACCAAAATAATTAAAGACATTAATGAATGATGAAATATTGAAAAATAGAATTTCACAAGACTGTATGATGTTAAATATTTTTAACAACAAAAAGCTCAAATCTGAATCCTCGCCATGTGCTAGTTTGTTTAAGCTCCAGAGTCCCCTACTCTCCTTCTATATTAAACAATGGATAAAATTATTTTATCCAGGAGGAAAAAAAATAAAGCTCAACTCTCAGTCCTCACTATGTGATAGTTTGTTTAAGCTCCAGAGTCCCCTACTCTCCTATATTAAATAATGGATAAAAATGAAAAGCAAAAACAATAAATAAGCAAAGGCGGGGCTCCTGCTTATGGTAAAACGCTAAGTACTAACTGCTGGGTACATGTGGAGCCTTTATTACCCTCACAGTAAAGATGGGACTAGGCAAGAATCATGATCAATCCAGTGGAAAGTTTTGAAGAGGAGCACGATATTTGATCTACGAGTGTCTCCTCACAGATTGCTTATTAGTTGCAAGAAAAAATATAACTATGTAGTGGAGAAATTTGAAGGAGTAATCAAAATTAATTCACAAGTGAGGGCAGATAAATATGTGTGCTTCCATATTTGATACCCTGAGGACATACTACTTATATAGCATTATGGCCAGGGATGTTTAGCTCAAATTGAATCATGATGAAATATCAGACAAACCCTAAATGAAGAACATTCTACTACAAAAAAAAGAGGGTGAGGGACATTTTCTTCAAAAAATGTCTATATTGTAAAAGAGAGAAAGGCTGTGGATATGCTCCAGATTAAGCAACAATAAAGAGACAAGACAAGTAAATACGATATCTGATTCCAGAGTGGATCCTGACTGGAGGAAAAAAAGGACTTCATTGGATCAATTGATGGTAAATGATGTGGATTAAAGTATGGAATCCATGTTAAATTTACTGAAGTTGATAACTACAGTTTGATTATATAGGAGTGTATCCATGTTCTTAGGAAATACAGACCACTGAAGTACTTAGGGGTACAGGGATGTGTACGATGCTTGTGACTTTCAGAATCTTCAGAAAAAAAATCATATGTATATATGTGTGTATACATACGTGTCAGTGTAAATGTATACATAAAATTCGTATACTCACACAGAAAGCACAAATGATAAAGCAAATGGTTTAAAATATTAGGAATATTTTAATGTTTACCTTAATATATATGGTATTTGCAATATTATTTATGCAACTTTCTGTACATTTAATTTTTTTCCAAATAAAAAATTAAAAAGTTGTTTCCTTTTTGTAGAAACAAAATCATTCTTATTGAAACTTGAATAATGAATATTGGGCATTTTAAAAAATCTACAAAAACAACCACCCAGCACATACATTTTATAAAAGGCAGTAGATTCATGTGTTTAACACAAGTAAGTGACATCAGGATCTAGACATGTCGTTTGTCCCGTTTCCTCACCTTGACTCTTCACATGGTACGTATTCAATCATTTTAACTTTGCCCTTGCGATTTCTCAATATCCTGCACTTGCACCCACCCAGAGTCCCCCTCAATCTATCCTCTGCAATTTGTAACTTAAGTCAATGTGAAAAATTGGACAAAAAAATTCTTCAGGAAACTATGTAAGGGAGGAGTTTTTATGTATTTACTAGAGCAACTTCACATATTAAACTTAAACTGTATGAAAAGAGCATTTTTGTAACTGCTTAGCGTTTTAGTGCATTCTTTTTCCTCAAAGTTCTTAAGCTTACTGTGTTTTTCAAAGAAAGTTTAATCTGTAACTGTGAAAAAGGACCTATTGCCCTGACCCGAAATAAGTGAGGATACTACTGAACATTTTGCAGCTTTGTCCTCTGTGTTTCATGTGGTTTTTTAAGGTTCTTACATCATTTACCCATTAAAAATAAAACTAGGCTGCTTTTGGTGAAAATGGAAATAGTAATTACCTTCTTAAAATACCCCCTTAAAAAAAAAACAGGATTTCTTTTACATTGCCAAAAGAATTTGTTTGAAGGAAGATAAATGTAACATACATACTATTTGAAAGCAGCCTGGTTTAAGGGTTGCCATCGAGTCTCATGTTATACCACTCGGAAGTAAGACATTTAGAACCTGCTCATTACTCCGCATCCCTCATTTATGGGATCAGATTGCTTTTATGGGCATTGTGCCAGATTCATTGATGTGCACTTAAGGCAGATTGCAGAGTGAAACGTTTTTCTAGAAAACATCTGGTTCTTAAGAGGAGCATTAGAAGGAGGGTAGCACATTTTTGATCATAACTGGGATTTATCATGTTACAGTAACTCCCCTCTAATCTGGCAGGCAGAATTCCAACAACCACAACCAGGAACCTGGAAATAAGTGAAAAATACCTCAGAGTCCAAAGAAAACAGAGGTCCAAGATCCTGTGCATATGAAGGAGTGGTATTGCCCTTAGCTCAAAGACTATTTTATTCATTATAAAACTACTGGAGCCAATTAGCATAAGGGCTCCTGAAGCCGCCTTTATATCAAGTGAGTCTTTCTGCAGTTCATTCGTTCCTTCACTCCCCTTGCAAAAATTGTGCACCCCCTGGATGCCACCATTTTTCTACTCAGGTTTTCCCCTCCTCTCTTTCTTGTACCTTCAATATTTACTGGCTTTTTTTTTTCTCCATAGATGCCCAAGTAGCTCTTACCTTAAAAGACAGACTTCTCACACCCTTATGGACACATCACTCTTCACCCTCAGCCTTATTTCTAAAAACTTTTCTATACTGACTCTAGTTCCTCTCCTTCCATTCGCAGGGCTTCCAATAGCCTATGAGAAAGTTGTATTCAAATTAGAAAAGGGAGTCCTCCTGCATGGAGATGCAGTTGCAGAGTGGTAAGACTTGGAGGATTTCTGCCTCCATCTCCTGTGCCCTTGGCTGGGTCACTCTGTGCAGTGCACACACTGCACGACCACACGTGGAGGCTCTGCAGGATTTCAGATATTTCCACTGGTTTTTAATTTATTATATTTGGTAGAATCATCATTAAAACTCTGTTAATGGAATAATGGACTAAAATTACAGAGGACTGGGTTTGCTCTCAATCCTTTATGTAATTGCAGGACTATGCTCTTACACATCCCCTCTGGAACTCTTACGTTCTAGTACCACTTCTGTTACCACTCCTACTACTACTTTCTGGCTTTTATTTCCATCTTTCACTTCCTGAATCTCTATCGCTGGCCATCGAAGTAATATAGATTGCATTTTGCATTAACAATTAATAGTAAAGTGTGGTATTGAGAGTTGAAATGTCAGCTTTTGTTTAGCTTCTTCTCTTCGTCTGTGTTCAGAAAAATAACTTTAAACAGCAAAAAGCAAGTTTGAGAAGGCTATTCTCTAAAAAACAACAAAAAACTTTTTTTATTGTAGAATATATGTTAATTCCAGTTAACTTTTACAATGGTAAATAAATATTTCATCACTCAGATATAACTATGTTAACAACTGGGTTTCATCTAGTTTTGTGTATTCTTATATGCATCTATAGTTTTGGCAAATGGATATATTATTATTTGAACAGTTACATTTTCCTCTTTATTCACTTATTTTGTGAGCATTTTAGCAGTTAAAATCTTTCAAAAATTTTTTTTTTCTTTTTTTTTTTTTTTTTTAGACGGAATCTCACTGTTGCCCAGGCTGGAGTGCAGTGGCGTGATCTCGGTTCACTGCAACCTCCACCTGCCAGGTTCAAGCAATTCTCCTGCCTCAGCCTCCCGAGTAGCTGGCACTACAGGTGCACACCACCATGTCCAGCTAATTTTTTGTATTTTAGTAGAGACGAGGATCCCCGTGTTGCCCAGGCTGGTTGCGAACTCCTGAGCTCAGGCAATCTGCCTGCCTCGGCCTCCCAAAGTGTTGGGATTATAGGCATGAGCCAAAAAAATTAAATACATAAATAAATCCTTGAAATAGTTTTCAATTACTACCTACTACTATATTATTGGTCAAATCTTACATATGTGACAACCTCATGTTGGATGTTTTGATAACCAAAAGCAGCAAAAAATTCAGTTACAATTTTTAAAATTGGAAACCTTTGAGAAATTTCGGAATATTTCCTGTGATAAATTTCTCTACGTGGGATCACTTGGTTAAACGAGAGACTCTTATTTTGTGCTGTTTTTAGAGAACAGCCTTCTCGAACTTGCTTTTTGCTGTTTATAAGTTATTCCCTTCAGGAAGGCTGTGCTACACTTCGATGAGCAGCGGTCTGAATGCGGTGGTTTCCTTGCACCTTTGCCAACCTTGCTTCTAAAAAAATCTGTCAGCATGAACGCTGTTGTATGATCCTATTTTAAAGCTATTCACTTGTCATCTCCAGTCGCAAACTAGGATAGCTCCTGTCAGATTCTTAATTGGTCTTTTGGTTTCCATAGTGATTCCATTATCTACTTCTACTCTAGTGCAAAGTTCAACTTGCTTCCTCAGCTGTCCATGCATAAAAGCCTTCCAGATTTGCTCTAGGTTCTTGACTTCTGGGGAAGAAAGATATTTCCTCTTGGACCCAGTTCACCATACTAGCTGAATTAAGGTCAAAAGTACATTAAACTTACAACTGTGTCCTTACCATGACGGGGGGCAGGTGTCCAGATCCCAGATCTACAGAAAATTCTTTCATTTCTGTTGTGTCCCCCTGCTTCCATCCTGAGTGTACGTCCCCAAACTTTCATTTAACATGTCATGTTCATTAGTTCCTTCAAATACTAGTTCAGAGCAGTCTGGAATCAAGACTGCCTAGTTTGAGCTCCAACTGTCACAGATCTTGGGCTTGTCACATAAGGCAATCAAATCCTTAAAGAAGAAAAAACATCAGAGGTAGTAAATGCTGCATAGAGTTTAAAAAGGATAATATGATACAGAATCACAGGATGGCTACTTGAGATTGTGGGCCTGGACATGAACACGGCCTCTTTGAGGAGGTGGTGATAAAGTGATACCTGATGGAAAGGAGCAAACCTGGAGAAGGAAGCTCAGAGACAGGAAGCGGGGGTGAAGGGAGGGACAGGAGGAAGAGAATTCTCCACTGAGGAGAGTAGGGCAAAAGCAAGCTCCAGGTGGATAAAATGAGATGCTGCATGTGGAGTCTAGCATAATGGTTGGTGGGTAGAGAGAGAGGAAAAGAGGGAAGTAGTTGAACAAAAATTAGAAGGGAAGGAAGGAGGGAAGGTGTGAATGAATGAGAATCTCAAATCCTGTAGGGCTGAGCTCTCTAGGGGACTTTACTCATCCTTTTAATCTTGCTTTGAACTGCATTTTCTCTTCTCAGTTGCAATTACTACTTTGCCCTGTTCTGCTTATAAGAGGAGCTACTATTAAGAGCCTAGTGAGTCAGATTCATTATAGGTTTTATATAAGTTCCCTTTAATCCTTACAACCTGAGGCAGGTTATTATCCTTATATGCTTGTTTATGGGTGAGAAAACTGAGGCTGAGAGTGTGTAACTTGGAGAAAGATGAAACATCTAGGTAATGGTAGAGCCAAAACTTAAATCCAGGCTGGTCTGATTTCAGATCCATGCTCTTGACTGCTACACTATAGTGCTCCTCAATTAGACTGCTCTTTAATAGTTTCTACATTTGTAACAGCTGTTCATTCCACTCAGTCCATCTTGTTCTTCATTATTTAGCTATCTCTGTGATACACCAGTTTCTTCTGCTAGCCAGATGTAGAAAAGATCACTTCTTCTTACAGAAACATTATCTCTTAGTTATAGAAGGCATCTTAATATAATAAATAAGGCAGAGGCTTTGAAGTTGACTGGGCCAGTATGGAATTCAGGTTCTGACACTTTTCTCTGTGACCCTGGGCAAATCATTTAGTCCAGGTCTCACCTTTCTTATCTGAAAAGTGGGAATATTATTTCTCTTAATAGCTGACTGAAAATTAAAAGACATAAAGTAAGGAAAGTCCCTAAAATAGCATCTAACAAATGGCAGGTGCAAAATAAATGGCTGCTTAAGAAACAAAAACAAAACCTTCCTCTCCTCTTACAGATAGGAAAACTGATTTGGAAATGTCTTGCTGAGAGAACAGATGCTCTATTTCTCTATCCAATTTCCATGATTCCAGCATCCCATGACACAAGTTCACTGGAACTACTAAAGGCATTCTGTTAATGTGATTTCTGCCTGAGTCAGCTCCGGCTGCAATAATAAAATATCATAAACTGGTGGGCTTATCAACAAAAGAAATCTGTTTCTCACAGTTCTGGAGGCTGGAAGTCTGAGATCACGGTTCCAGCACCACCAGGTTCTGGTGAGGACCCTCTTTTGGGTTGCAAATAGTTGACTTCTTATTTTGTCCTCACATGGTAGAAAGATAGCTAGAGAACTCTCTGGGATCCTCTTTTTAAGGGCACTAATCGCACTCGCAAGGGCTTCAGCCTTATGACCTAATTATTTCCTAAAGCTTCACTTCCCAATACTATCACATTAAAGACTAGGATGTCAACATACGAAGTTTGGGGTACACAAACATTCAGTCCATAGCATTGTCCTTAAAAATGTCCACTCAGGCTGAAAGATATTTCTCCACCTGAATTAAAGAAAAAGAGGTAATGTTTCACGATTCCAGATTTGTAAAACAGGGATAATAATGCCGGCATTTTAGGTTTGTGAAGATCAAATGTAAGGAATATGAAAGTATTTTAACATATATGAAGTGACTTATAAATTCTATTATTAAACATTCTATGAAATGCCATAAATAAAAGCTAGGTGACAAGGCGGCCAGATTACTTGAGGCCAGAAGTTCGAGACCAGCCTAGCCAACATGGCGAAACCCCATCTCTACTGCAGATACAAAAATTAGCCAGGCGTGGTGGCGTGTGCCTTTAGTCCCAGCTACTCAAGAAGCTGACGCAGGAGAATTGCTTGAACCCAGGAGGTAGAGGTTGCAGTGGGCCAAGATCGCACCACTGCACTCCAGCCTGGGCTACAGAGTAAGACTCTGTCTCAAAGAACAACAACAACAAAAAACCCCACAAAAAACTGTTTTGCTAAGTGAAAAGAAGAATAATTGGAATTTTATAACGTAATTGAAATTAAAGGGATTTTGAAAAATGGGAGAAATGATCAGAAACAAGAGAATGGAGTTCAAAACAAACACAGGACATTTAATAAAAAGCAGCAAATGACTTATAAATACTGTTTATTGTAAATGCAAATAAAATTGAGGACTGTGTTTACTACAATTTTAAGGAAAATTGAAAAAGATGTAGATGAGAAATTAAAAATAATGCTAAGGATTAAGTTTAGATTAGGTTAAATTTAGTGTAAGAGAGTGAAAGCTTCTATGCCAGGGTGCTGTTAAACAGAGCTGGGTAAACCGTTGCCTTCACATGGTGTGCTTTGTGACTCCCTGCTGACCAAAAGTATTTGGTCACCCTTTACCATCAAATGTTACAGTGTCTGAAATTATACCTGCAGACCAAGTCTTCTAGGCTAAGGTTAAATATCCCTAATAAGGGACCTATTTAAATTGAGGTTTCAGGACCTGATTATTTCTTAAGACCACAATGGCCTTGAAAGCAGGAAGAATGAGCTCAAGAAAGGAAAGGGAAACACACACTCTACCCTTTTCTAAAAAAGATTTTTCAATGAAAGTTACATTTTCTGTACTATACCACCACCCATTAACATTACAGAATGCAGGGGGAGCTTACCCTGATTTGCAAAACTTACCACATCTTTTGAGTTCCAAGAGGAATATAAATCATCTATTTATAAAACCTTTATTAAAATATATATTTAAAATATATATATTGTCTTTTTCATGAGTTATTTACAGGGAGATTTATTCCAATTTTTGAAACAACACAGAATACAACAAAAACAGGCTGGGTGCGGTGGCTCATGCCTGTAATCCCAGCACTTTGGGAGGCCGAGGCAGGTGGATCACAAGGTCAAGAGATCAAGCCCCTCCTGGCTAACACGGTGAAATCCCATCTCTACTAAAAATACAAAAAATTAGCCGGGTGTGATGGCACATGCCTTTAGTCCCAGCTACTCGGGAGGCTGAAGCAGGAGAATCGCGTAAACCCAGGAGGCGGAGGTTGCAGTGAGCCAAGATCGTGCCACTGCACTCCAGCCTGGGCGGCAGATCAAGGCTCTGTCTTTAAAAATAAATAAATAAATAAAAGAATATAACAAAAACACTTTAAAAGAGAACAATGCATTTTAAATATATTTCCTGAAATAATATTCCTTAGAAAAGATACAGGGTATTTAATTACCTAGATTTTAACAAAATATTCTTTATAGAAATAATTATAGTCTTTACCACAGAGTCACCAAATCTGTACCCAATCAAAACAGAGTCAAATAGACCAGCTCTCATTCAACTCCATTAGGAAACACCAATTTCACATAGTACTTCTCTTGATGTACAGCAGCAACCTCTGCTGGAGAAAAAAGGGTATACTTCTAATAACAAAGCACTGAGCTCAAACCTGTTTTGAACAGGAAGAACTGAAAGTTAGATTTCTTTCATTTCCTGTTAAACCAACACCTAAGTTAAAATTATTTTCAAGGTCTTAAAGACGCACGGGCCTTATCAAGTATATCCTTTCTGATTTTTGGATAAGTTGGATGTGCTTCAAGAACCTGCAAAACAAATAAAGAACCCATAAAAACTTGTAACTAATAATCAAAAACTACGGAGTTACAAAACTTATAAGAAATGAGCATTACAGTTAAGATTTCCTTGTACTAATACTACAACAGCTATAACACTTTTTAATGGTGGCATTTTAAATGTAACATGATGACTCCTTTATATTAATGGTAGTTAGATGAGAACAATAGAATGTAAATATCAAATGCAGAAAATATAACAAACAACTGCTTACCTAATAGATGAATTGTATAAAACAATTATGTATCAATGATTTAAAATATTTTTGTAATTTAGCTTTTCATTCATAATATCTGATAAACCCTTAGAGAGTGACTTTTATACAGCAGCACACATTAGCTTTACCTGAAATGATCTTGAGACATACGTATTTCTAGTTCTACTGAGTCTAAGAGTGGGGAGATGCTAGTTTTTTTTTTTAACTCCAAAAATGATCCTAATATATAGCCTTACATTAACACACAACCCTAACCTGACTGAAATACTGCTTTACAGAGACTCAGTAATCAACAGCAATTACTAAGGCCAAGTATTTACTGTAATGATGCTAACAGATTGCTGTGTGGGATAAGGGGCATTACAAAATTCTTTTCTAATGAACTTTTCTTGGAGGTCCTTACAATGTTTAATAGAATGTCTTATATGGAATATCAATGGGACAATGTATATATAAAGAGACTCTACAAATTCTAAAACTGTAATTTAAATATTTGTCATTTTAGTAGGTGATCATTTACTAGGGGATGAATTACAGAATGCAATTGAATGACTTCTAATAGAATTCCTTTTTATCTCTAATTGATCAGTCTGAATTCTCTAATAACCAGATTCAGACACATTCACAAGAACTTCTAATCAGAATAATGATCTGGAGAATCTATACTGTCTTCAAATATCTTCTAACTTAAAGACTACATTTTATTTAACATGTTTCTCCCACTGGTCTTTGTCTTTTTTTTTTTTTAAAGTAAAAGTCTCTTTTACTCCACCTCTTTAATCCTACTCCTTTCCATACATGTAAATATTTTATGGTTTATTGTTTAATATGTACTCTTCAGTGGTCTTTGTCTTTAAATTGACATAAACATTTTATTATTTGATCTCAAAGTAAAAACATGTTTTTTATTTAGGTGAACATCATTTTCTAAATTTCGAACACTGATAATCTCCCTAAACATACTGATAAATCATTTAACTAAAATAATGTATCCTCTATTTCTATTCACATACATCTGGAGATTTAAAAAAGTAGGAAATTGTGCATCTGAAAAATTTTAAGAAATCTAAATTTAAGTGTTTACCTGGTGACATATGTCAATTGAATCCACATATCTTTTTGCTTTTAAGTAATTAAATGCCAGTTTGTATCCTGTTAAGACAAAAACCATAAAACAGAATGATGGAGTACACTGCTACTATTACTTTTCCTTGCCTCCTCCTCTCTTTGCTTACTCACTAGAGAATGGTAAGGGAGGCTGGTGAATGAACAACCAAACTACGCTATACAGAGAAGTTGTGTGATAATAGAAGACAGAGTGACACAAAAGAAGTGTAAGAAGAAAAGAAAGTGGAGTTGGAAAAAAGGACCACAGTGAATACATTGATAGGTTAGAAAGCTGCCATCCCACAAGTGTGGTTTCTATAACTTACTAGAAAAGTCTCATTTATTTCAGGTTATAGTAAAAACTCATCATAGGGCAGTAAATGACAACACAGCCATTCATTTATACAGTACAGATTTATTTAGCACTTACACAGGCAAACTGATGCCTACAGTTATGAGGTTTGCATTCTATTAGGAGAAAAAGTACATTTTAAAATAATTGCATGAGTAAATAATTTCAAAACTGAGATAAATGTTATGAAAGAAAGATCCAGGCCAAGTGAGTTACCATAAAGAACCTGAAGGGTATCAAGAGATGTCTGAAATCTGAAGAATGAGGCATAAACTAGGCTAGGGTGGGAATCAAGGACACTCTCAGACAGAGGAAACTGCATGGATTAAGGCCAGTGGTAGGACACACAGGGAGTTAATGAACTTGGAGTATGGTGAGAAGACAGAGCACATAGGAGAGCGACACAGAGGAAGGCAGATTAGTCATCAATGACTGGTAAGAATTATCACAATTACTGATAGTGAAATGCCACACTTCTACTATCAACAATTAGAAGAATATTTAACACATTCCTCTTAATGGATGTTGTTCTCTTGTAACATGCTATAAAAATGAGAAAACTAAGAAGACAAGAAAAGTAACAGCAGCTGTGCACGCAGTAAACAAGATATAATGCAATGTAAAATAATGTGTAATAAAAAATATCTCACTCTACCTCTTAAAAATATGAAATAAGAAGTGTAAATAGTGCTCTTCAGCTCTAATAAAAGTACCAAAACAAATGTTTAAAATTTTAAATGTTTGAAAAGAATTACTGGCTAACATTATCAGATGGTAGTAAAAAGAAAGAAATAGAAATGATCTAAAATTCACACTATTTTATATATAGTCAGGCACTGCATGATGATGTTTCATTAACAACAGACCACATACATGATGGTGGTCCCAAAGATTTTTATACTGTATTTTTGCTGTACCTTTTCTATGTTTACATACACACATTGCTTATAGCATTCATGACAGTAACATGCTGTACAGGTATGTAGCCTAGGAGCAATAGGCTATACCAGATAGCCCAGGTGTGTAGTAGGATCTACCACCTAGGTTTGTGTAAGTATACTCTAAGATGTTCACACAATGATGAAATTGTCTAATGATGCATATCTCAGAAGATTTCCATTGTTAAGCGACACATGACTGCATATATATATGTGTGTATGTTTATATATGTGTGTGTATATATATGTATGTCTATATAGGTGTGTATATATATATCTCTACACACACACACATGCACACAGGCACACATGGGCAGGGCCTATGGCAGAATCTCACATCTCAGATTTTAGACAAAAATAAGAAGTTTCAGAGAGGTAAACTTAATGTCATTACCAACAAATTCTAAAATGAACTAAAAGGGTTTGTGACATTCAAAAAGTAAAGCAATTTTTAAGATGTCATGCCAAACATACTTACATGGGAACTAGTCAAGATTTCAGTTTTGGTTTGTGGTTTCTTGACTAGCTTTGGGATCTTACGCAAGTGGCTTGAGCTGTCATTTTCAGGTTTCCTCATCGCTAAAACAGGAATAACAACTCCTCCCTCTAACTCTTAGTATAATTTTAAAAATCATATAAAATACTTGTGAAATGGTTTTTAAAACCTTAGAATACCACAAAATATTAGCATTTTTTAATGTAAGCATTCACTATATTATAATCACAGAATTTTAACACTGGAAGAAACTTGATACATGACCTGGTACAAAAATTTCAGAGGAAATAAAGACCTAAGAAGGGGAAAGAAAATGTGCACTGCAGCTGCACTACACCTGCCAAACTTATTAGAACTCAACTATATGCAATCAGGAGAGACAGCGAGAGAATGCAAACATTCTACACAGTCTAATGACTGTCCTATAACCTGAGAATAGGTATGAAGGGTGAAACATGAGTAGTTTCTTCTCTCATTGGATCTCAGTTGTTCCTAGTGTGTTTCTTTTTTTCCTCGTATATATTTAAGATATACAAAATGATGTCGGTGTGTAGATGTGGGTGTGTAGATATATGTGTGTGTGTGTATATATATTTATTTATAAATGATTACTGCAGTCAAGCAAATTATCCATTCATCATTCATCCTGGTGCCTCTTATAGTGACAATATTCAACCCTGAATTCTATGGAAAGAGCATGAGCACGATTTTTTTTTTTTTTTTTTTGAGACAGAGTCTCACTCCGTCAACCAGGCTGCAGTGCAGTGGTGTGATCTCGGCTCACTGCAACCTCCACCTCTCGGGTTCAAGCAATTCTCCTGCCTCAGCCTCCTGAGTTGCTGGGATTACAGGCGCCCGCCACCATGCCCGGCTAATTTTTGTATTTTTAGTAGAGACGGAGTTTCACCATGTTGGCCAGGCTAGTTTCGAACTCCTGACCTCAGGTGATTTGCCCACCTCGGCCTCCCAAAGTGTTGGGATTACAGGTGTGAGCCACTGCGCCTGGCCATGAGCATGATTTTAAGGGTTTTCTGACAACTGAAAAAGTGAAATACATTGTTTATTTGGCCAGGCACATTGAGGGTGTTAGATGCAATGACAATCTTAAGGATGAAATTGAGGAATTAATGGAGAGCCTTAGAAAGAAATGATTACCAAAGCAAAGCTAGAGGAACTGATAAAATAATCTATAAAATACAATGATGACACAATGAAAGAACTAGTCATTTGGAATCTCTTTATTTGCTGAGGTCTTCCAAGGAATGGAATATATAAATAATTTAACTTCTATGTGCATTCCTTCTATGGAATAAAGTGTCAAAATTAATATTTTAAGGATATTTAAGGACTTTTCATTTTACCAGATGACTTTATTCTGAAAGATATATCACACCTTAGAATAAAAAATACTATAAAAATCATTAGTTTTTGTGCTTTGCACAAGTCTAGTATAGTATGAGAACAGACTCCAGGAAACTAACAGATGAGGGAAGACCTGAGCTAACAGCAGTTAGTATGAGGTTGACTCATTTGACTGCAAATCAAAATCGAATTCACACGGTGACATGGCTGCTGAAAAGACTGATGCCATCTTAGGCTGAATTAACAACTACAAATTGCCTAATCAAAAGAAAAAAATAGCTTAATTATACTTATAAGAAGCCAAATCATATTTGAGAGGTTGTTCATTTATGGTACAACAGGTCAGAGGGGCATGGAAAAATAAAACAGCACTTTCCAAACTTACATGGCCATGGCATCTACCACCTTCACACTTCATTCTTTTTAATTAAAAAAAAAATAATTATTAAAATCTCCCCAACTGTTCCAAAGCACAGTTTGGGAAACACTATTTTAGAGCTTCCAGGAGACAGCAACAAGGAAGATGAGAGACTCGGAATCCAATCTTAGGAAGAATGGACAAGTAACTGCAGATGGCTTGAAGACAAGTCCTAGGACACAGGACTGAAGATTGCAATTTAAAGGGTCATGATCTGTAAGAGGGAGGCATTCTGTAAGTTGCTCCGGAAAACAGACTTGGGCAGTTTCAAGGAGGCATATTTCAACCCAATACAAAGAAAGAGTACACAAACATGAGGATGAGCTCCCTCGTATGAGGAGAGAGGTTGGTCATGACATATATTCTGATGCCACCTCTGTTAGGGACACTGTAGACTAGCATTACCCAAACTAACAGCCTGCAACATCCAGCCTGGGACTGGATGATGTTTCTAGATGCTCAGGAGAAAAAAAAAATGTCCCATGGTCAAATAATTGTGGGAAACATGGCCCCTCTGTGATATCCATCGCAATATACGTTAGTGTTTAAAGGCTTTGAGAAGTAAAGAAACCTGTGTAATTCAATTTAATGCAATATTTTCCTAACTTACTTGGCAATGGAAACATCTTTTTCCATGGCATTCCCAATTTCAAAATAGCACCTTCTTTTAGAAGGAAGAGAAGGGGGCAGAATTAGACTAGATGTACACTAAGTGACTGAGGACAAGTTTGGAACTCAGGAAACTGAACTATTAGTAGCTAATAATATATTATGAATATAAAATTTATTCTCCTTTCAGAAAGGTTGACAATGAAAATTGACTCAATGTTTATTTTGTTTTGAAAAAAATCAAATGCATTTAAATGAAAATTAATAAATACAACATAATTTTTCTGTGAAAAATCTAGGTGATTGCCAAACTCACCTACTGCCGGATTTGTCCGATTGCTATATTTCCATGCCATCTCATAGTTCAAGGCAGCATCTGTATATGCTTGCTCTTTTTCCATAATGTATCCCATATATTCATAAGCTTTGCAGCAAGACTGAAGAAAAATGGGAGACATCAATAGATTAAACTTGATATCACTAAGATTTTATGGGATGTTTGTGACTATAGAGGTCAATCATATCAACCCATTTAAATGACAAATCAAACAATGGTTTTCAACCTTGGCTAGGCAATCAAATTTTTTACTGAACTTAATAAATGATTCTGATGGCAAGTCTCCATCACATATCTGCAGAATCAGGATTTTCTTTACAGAATCAGAAATACACAATAGGGCACTTGTGTTTTACACAAGCACAGGTACACTATTATGAGTGATTTAAACACATACAAATACAGAGATAAGAGCATAATGAACTCCATGAACCCTTATCTTCAATAATTATTTTTTGACTAATACTGTTTCACCTCTATCTCACAAACCTACCCTTCTGTATTACCAGAAAAAATCCTCAGATATTGTATCAACTAAGTCTAAATGTGTTAGTGTGCATCTGTAAAAGAAAAAGACGTTATTTAAACAGAACCACAATTTTATCACACCTAAAATGTTAATGACTCCTTAATAGCACCAAATATCCAGTACTGTCTAAATTTTAATTGTCTCAATATAATTTGTTTTTGTTAGATTGAGGACTGAAATAAGGACCAAACATTGTAACTGGTCAATGTTTTGATCTAGTCTCTTGATCCAGAGGTTTCCCTTCTGGTATGTCTGTCTGTCTCTCTGTGTCTCTTTTCTTGAAATTAAATGTAATAGAAACAAGAATATTTATCCCCGAGTTTCTCACAACGCAGGTTAATTGACTGCATCCTTGTGGTGTTTATATAATATATTCCTATGTCACTGACGTTTTCTGGAAGTTGTAATTAGATGTAGAGGTTTGGATTCAATTTTGATTCTGGAGGAGAGAGGTGAATCTACTTCAAACATCAGTGCTATGATAAGCCACACTGAGGCATAAAAACATGGATGCATGTTTTTGTATATTTCTTAATTGTAATTTTTTTCCAGAATATGAGTTTAAAAATATTGAAAAATCTGAAAGTATATATTAAAAATCACTACATTTAAGACTGAACATTTTATTTATACCTAAACTTAATTTCTTATCATTTTACTTTTCTCACTTTAATGGAAGAAATCTCACCAGTAATATTTTCATTAAAACCATTACCAATTACCCATTTTTTAAAAAACATAAAAATATGAATATAGGAATGCACATATTCCCTTTTGATTCAGGCTCCAATAAAGCTCAGCACAGCTGCATTAAATTATTATTTATCTTGATTACTAAGTGTTTCACTTGTCTCATCCCAACCCTAGCCCTGCCATAGATGTCTGTTCTTCTGTTGGGAGGCACAGAATGTCTGATTCTCCCTCTTTTTGTGATGTTACATCCATATATAAATTTATCAGGGTTGAAAAATGGGGATAGCCTATCAGTCTTTCTTCATTAATTAGCTGGAAAATGTCTATGATGAGAAACGTCTCATTGACTATTTGGTTAACCAATTCTGTACAGAAAAGGCAGGATATTTATTTGCAAGCTTTAGAAATAGCAGTCAGTTCACTAGCATACTGCAGTGGTTACCAATTAGGTTTTTTGTTTGTTTTGTTTTTTCTATTTTGGATCTTCGAGAAGTCATGGATTTAAACAGATTTTATGTATTTCAATATATTGCAGTTATCATTCTTATCAATACTTAAAGCATCCCAACTTCGGCTACTAGAGGTGTCTTTAAGTTGGCCCCTAGATCTTTCACACAAACTCTAATCATCATGGATAGCTTCCTTCATCATCTGGTATGGCAAGACAGTCTAGTGTCGTCTTGTACATTTCCTGCCCCAGATATGGATGACTTCCATTTTTTAAATTATGTAATTCAAGTTTCCTAAGCTTTAGTTCTTAAATATCATGCTTTCAATATCAACATATTCAACCAGCAGGGCTGAATGAAGCTTCTAAAGCAGCCATCATGTTCAACCATGCAATGTATTGTTATCAGCGTTCTGGCAAACTGAAATTGTATGTGCACTGAAATTCTCATGCAATCTTGGTTAATCCTAGACTAGATATAGAAGGGTAAACTATTCAGCAGTTTAGATTTTCAAAGCCTATTAATGAGCATTCGGCTTTTCAAAGCCAATTTAACATAAAATTTATGTAGCTAATCGTCTAGAATAGTGCATAAATTGACAAATGCTTGGATCTTTCAGGTTCTTAAGTTCCTAGGAAAGTATCTTAATAGTACTAGATAATCACAATTCCTCTTTAAAAAATAAACGGTCCATTTGTAATCTAATTCGCTCAATGAGAATAAAACAGATTTACTGTGATTAAGATTTTGAAGTAATTGATATGAATATATGAAGATAAATATCATTTCTAAGTTGTGTGCAATTATTTCTCAACAAAAAAATAAATCTTAACTTTAAAGAACTGTTATAATGACATCTTTTGTAATTAAACATCAAAATGTTAGTAAAAAGCCTTAAATTCTAAGGACTTTATAATATTCAATTTTATACCTAAATATAAGGAATTTTTATTAAACAAATGAAATTAAAAGCTGAAAAGATTTTCTCCCACAAAATATATTATGCATAATAGATTCTAATAATGAGAAAATGACATGCAGCTGCAGTAAATTCATCAAGAGTATTTCTTAATGGGAGGGACAGACGTCCGCAATTAATGTTCTTCTGCAATTTTCATTAGTTCTGGGATGAGATGGATAATCACAGGCAATCGTTTGACATTCCAAAAACACTTTCCGTTAAGTAGGGCATCACTACAGCTGAAACTTGAAATTGCATAAATCTTTCTTTTTTTTAAACTTTAAAGGACAAATGGCTTTTTTCTTATTATTAATGCTTGTTTCCTGATTGTGGTAAGAATAAACATTTAATTTTCAAAAATCACACAGGAATCCTTGGAAATGGACTAACACTCAACAATATCTATATGGAAAGCTTATGCAACAAAGGTCAATAATTATTTTTTACTCTTCAATCACCTACTCTATTATGACGCAGGCACCGTTTTAACAGGTCTTCTGCCATGTCATATTTTGCTGATTGAATGTAAATATCAGCAAGTAGCAGCCAACTCTTCTCAAACTCTTCAGCATCAATAGCATTCCAATTCATTTTCGCAATACGCTTCAGCTGGTTTCTGGCTCGTGGAGTCTGTTTCAAGATCATATAAGCCGTTGCCATTCCCAAGAGCGCTGGGATATGCTCCTTCTATAAGAAAACAAAATTTTAGACCATAAGATGCATAAACATAAATGCCCCAAAAACATACAGAAAGCAGAAAATGCTACATAAGAACTAGTTTGTGGATTCTATTTCTAGCTCCATTACAGATAACTGTGATTACAGGTCATTATTTAACACATCAAGTACCCTCAAGCTACTATGAAGAAAACTTGGTCAAGCACTGTGTGGTCAAGATAATTGAAGATAATGACAACTATTCAGATGCCATATGCACACAATTCCAAGAATTAGTGAGACTTTATCTTTAATGGGATTCAAACAGTCATGTTTTAGTTTTGTATAGAAACAGAAAAAATAAAACTCTATTTCAGTAAAATCCTTATTGAGCAGTTTGTATTTCAGATTTAACATTTAGGCTCCTTAGTTCTTTCACCTGTCAAAGACGAGTAACAATAATTTACCTGCAGATGATGGTCCTTACCCATTATGACTTCTATTGCTTTTTTTCCCCCTCCCTTCTCCTTTTATCCAAAAACCTCTTCTCCCAATAAAGTTTGAATAACGAAATGTTAAAAATAAGGCATATAATTAATTCACCACTTGGAAAGTATATGAAATAAACTCATGCCTTAAAATATGCTTTTAGATTTGGAGTCTGCAGCTTCCTAAAACAATCTATATGATATTCTTTTGGATAGAGTTTGAAGTCAGAGAATGTCACTCTGTGAAACCAATAGGTTAATGAGAACTCATAAAATGGAGGCCATTAGTGATCTATCCAGACAACTAACTTTCATAAGCAATAATGTGTATGTTCCTGATTAAGGTAGGATGCTTCCTAAATTTCAGCAGAGGGATTATGATGCATTTATAAAGAAAGAAGCCTCAGCTTAACATACAAATAAAGGGGCCAGGAGGGCAGCTCATGTCTGTAATCAAAGCACTTCGGGAGGCTGAGGCTAGTGCATAGCGAGACCTCGCCTCAACTGAAAATACAAAAGAAAAACTAGCTGAGTGTGGTGGCCAGCCCCTGTAGTCCCAGCTACTCAGGAGGCTGAAGTGGGAGGATCTCTTGAGCCTGGGGGTTCAAGGCCACAGTGAGTTATGATCGTGCCACTGCACTCCAGCATGGAAGACAGAATGAGACACTGTCTCAAAATAAAAACAAAAACAAAGGGTAAGAAATTGTGACTGAGGAACGGTGATACCATTACTATAATAAAAGTATACTATAAGATAGCAAATTTGGGTAACTCATAAGGAATACTGCAAAAGGAGAGTGGTAAAATGTTCAATGTCCAACTGATCTTTGGAAGTAAGAAATAACTCTGGAATAGAGAAGGGCAATACATCAGGGTTTTATAAAAACAGCTTTTAGAAATATAAAAACTTCCTTGCCTCAAATTCTGTATCTATCAATAAGCTTCCAAGATATAATCTGTTCCTCTAGGTAAGGGGTGGCAAAATGGTTTGAGTGTCAAATCCAACCAACTGGTTGTAGGTTATGAAGAAGTGTGGGATGTTACCAATTACTGAGCCTCACCCTCTCCCCACCTCAGCCCACCTCAGGTGGGCCAGGAGAGGAGAGAAGATAGAGGCCTGCTATGTATTTGTCAGCCAGGTCCTAGCACAGCCTAAGAGGAGGAGGGTCCTATGAAAAGGTCCCACATTCCCTCTACACTACACAATTAAAAATAACCTCTCTTACACTTTGAGTTTGATTAGAACGTATCGGTTCTTCACAACTTGATTACTCCTGAGTGAACTGAAGAACAGTTTCTAAAAGCAAACCTGAGTTCTAATCCCTGCATTAGGTCTTTTTTTCTGGTGCAGACATCCTAAGACCTACAGCCAACTTCTCTGTCTCTCAATAACTCTAAATTGCAGTAACTTTAGATTGCAAAGGACAAGACTTGGATGTGGACAATACAGCTGTTATTATAAACATCTCATCTTTATGGTTCAAGGTGATGCAATGAAAGCAAGTGGAAACACTTCAGCTTGGGCTTAATGTATCTTCCAGCATTTCTTCCATGATTTCTTGTCACATACCTCTTTTTTGGTCCCTCTGAATGACAAATAGGATTGTGAACATACCCTATGTTTTTCTGCCTCCCTGACTTTGTTCACATTTTCCTCTTCCTCTGAAACACATTGTCTTCATTTCTGCCTGTTAAAATGCAATTTATCTTGGTTCTTCAATCATACCTGTTTCTTAAATCCTATTTTTTCTTAAATCATACCTTCTTTACAAAAGGGTCTCCCAACTCTCCTTATACTGTCTCCTACAGCATTTTTATTTGCAATTCTAGTATGGAATGTAACACATTTTGCTTTGTATTAAGTCATCATAGTCAGTATGCTTGTCTTGTCTTCCATAGGCTATGAGAAACTTGAAAAACGGGACCATACATTATTTATCTTTGTGTTTCCCACTATGCTTAGCACTCGCTGGCTGCTTAATGAATATTCATTATATTGAATACATGCAGCCTAGGAGTTAAAAGAAAAAAAAGTGAGAAAATTTGATGCTTATGAAACTTCAGCTCATATATCATTGTCTTTTGAATAATATGGTTAGTAAACAGATCTGAAGATAGTATTTTACTAACCACATATGTAAGGATGATTAAAAAAAATAACACAGTCTTATCAACAGAAAGCAGGCATAGTCCTTCTAGGAAATAGCTGTAATATCATTCACTGCTTTTGGCTTTTTTTCTCTCTTAAACTTCACAGTAGGGATAACGGATTTAGTCAAAATAAACTTTCTCATTGTTATGAGATAGAATAGCACATCACAGCATTCAGTAGCTATGGCACCTGACATGAGAAGCGCTTCCTCATGTTCCTAGAGATTCTCTTAGATGTACATGATTGCCCTACTTCTGCTCTGCCTTCATTCAGCAGCTGTCATCCATCTGCTCCACAAAGCCAATTCAACAGAGCATGACCCCTGAGCACATTACTTCAATGTCTGCAGAAGGGCCTTGCTTTGGAGGGTTGCTGCTGCCATGCTGTCCTGCTGTTTTATTCCAAGCGCAATAATAAAGCTGCCATCTAGGATACTTGTACCCAAGCCACAACAAGAGTTGCAGGTCTCCCAAACCCCTGACATCTCAATCTCCTCCAGGGCCCTAAAAGGTGAGGGGAAAGAGATCACTGTCCAGGGCTTTGGGTAGTTTATTGCTGCCACTGTGACTACTGAATCACAAGAAATCACAGCAAAATTCTGTATGTTCTCTGAGACACATAAAATGAGTTTCCAGTGGCCTACAGCATCATTGAATGGAAGAACAAACATGAAATTCAATGAGTATGCTTAGAAGTAACTATTACCAACTGCTGATGGGAGGGTATCTAGAATTCCTTTCTTAATATCAAGCAATTGAAGAAATAAAGTGCTGTGTGAGGGAAGGAAAACAGTATCTAGAGAGTAAGAAAAAAGGTGGAGGAGGCCGAGATAGGCGGATCACCTGAGTCAGGAGTTTGAGACCAGCCTGGCGACATGGCAAAACCCCTTCTCTACTAAAAATACAAAAAATAGCCAGGCATGGTGGCAGGCGCTTATAATCCCACATACTTGGGAGGCTGAGGCAGGAGAATTGCCCGAACCTGGGAGGCGGAGGTTGCAGTGAGCTGAGATCGCGCCATTGCACTCCAGCCTGGGCGACAAGAGCAAAACTCCGACTCAAAAAAAAAGGAAAAAAGGTGGATTCGAGCACAGTGAAAAGAGAAGAAAGCCTCTGATTTTATAAAATAATACTATGAAAATAACAAATATGAAAAGATTGCAGGAGGTTATTTCAGTGTTGCTAAAGAATATCATTATTTGTATGACTAAATTATAAGCTATCAGTATTGATCTCATGTAGCTATATAGCTGGAAAAATTCCAAGTTCATGTAAGTGAAGAAGTAAGATATCAGGGCAGCCAGGTGTTTATTTCCACTTAGTAAGTTAATCTTGGCTACATCTACAACACAGAAATTCTCCAGGGGATAAAGTGGCTCCCTTGAGAATTAACTTATATACTTTTGAAGAATTCAGTTTCTGTAGAATTTAACATTCCAGTAGAGAGAAATATATCAACAACACAACAAAACAGTAACATCGTCTCTTCCGCCAAGAAGGGGACATTGTGTATGCCCAACTATATACCTAATTTTTAATAAAAGTTAAGTAATTAAGTCAATCTTCAGAAAATAAACAACTAATCAAAATATATGTTTCTATACTACCAAATAAAGATACCACATGAAGCTGAAAAAGGAAATCCACTAACCTCAGATGCTGCTATTTCAGTGAAGGTATTTAATGCTTGTTCAACATTAGATTTCTGTTTGGTAGCCATTAAGCAATAGTTTTCCATTATGCGAAGCTGTACGTGACCCTGAACAGTCTGAGGTTTTAGTTCCTTAAGAAGTTTTTCTGCTGTTCTTACTGCCAGTTGCACAGATTCTTGCTTCTCAGTTGAATTACTGTATATAATTAAAAATAAATCACTTCTGTCTCTTACTCATGATACAATTCATTGAGATTAGAATCAGCTTTTGTACACAAAAGCTCTGGGCACTCTTTTATACTCTTTTTGTCACTCATTTAAAAGTAATCTTTTGTAAAGAATGTCACTCATTCTCTTCTAATACAAAGTGAAGCACAGTTACAATGCATTTTAAACAAAATTAATATGGACTCAATAAAACACCATTAAGCATTAATTTCCTCTAGAATGAAGACAAAAGTTGGATAATATCTACATGTTGTAAATGTGTGCATTCCAGCAAATATAAAACTATAAGTAGAATCAGAAAATTAACATATATCTATTCAAAAAGTGAAAGGAAAGGAAAAAAGTGACAAATACTGTATTATTTCATTCTATGTTTAATCCATTTTACACACAGGAAAACTGAGGCTTGAACAGGTAAAGTAATTTTCTAAAGGTCACACAGCTAGTAAGTGGTAAACCTAGGACCTGAATCTAAGCTTATCAGACATATAAAATCTACTCTGTTCTCTTCACCACATTGCCTATCAGACTCTCAGAAATTATATATGTGTCAAACAGTAATTTCAAGTGCAATTTGAATATTTAATAGCAATTTTCTTATTTTATACACACAAACCCATGCACATAAATATACATAAATCAATTAATAAAAGGAAATTAAACACTCAAAGTCCAATCACTAAAGCCACTGGTCTTCTTCTCAGGCCTTAGGCTTATCTTGCCTAAACATGTCACGCTGTTGACTACCACTTCAAAGTTCTTCTCCCTTGGCTTCTGTAACACTACACAGCTTTAGTTCTCTTTTCACCATGCTGATTGCCCTTTTCTGACCTTCCTTCCTCCTCCAGACCCCTTAAATGTTAGCAAGCTTAACATTTAGTTCTCAGATTTTTGTTACTTCATTCTACCACTCACAAAGAGACCATTCATGGAGTTCCAACTATGCACTCTGCAGATGTCTCCCAAATCTCTATCCCTAGCTGTGACCTCTCTTTCTGAGTTTTAGTTTTGTATTTTGAATTGCCTGAAGAAGATTTCCACTTGAATAGCTTATAGTTCCATAACAGTAATGTTACCTCAACCTTCCTAAAACAACCATAAACATGCCACTTCCCTGCTCTAACTGGTCTCGGTAATCCAAGCGTTAAAATCTGTTGTTGAAATCTCTTGGCAATCTACCACTAATTTTCTCCAGCTCCTCCATGCATCTTCTCCTGAATACTATGCACTGCTATGATTCCTAATAAACTCTGACAATACTTAATATCTATTTAAATCCATTTATATTTAGTTGCAGATTGAAAGGTTTCAGGTATTGTCTTGCCTCTTAATTAAACACTCCTGAAGACAGAAACTACCTCTTATATTCCCTTTATGTCCTAATACATTCCCCACAAGCCTTGCCTGAGTCAGAAGAGAGGACAAGCTACTAATGCAGGTTGATAAATAACCATTGACTAGCAGTATACCACACTAACAGCAGTCAGGACTCAGTCTAAATCTTGCCTCCATCATTACTATCACATTAAACAAGTTGACTCAGCTTATTCTGCAATACTGTTATAGAAAACAAATGAGATAGTGTGTAGAAAGTATAGAGGACAGGGTCTGGAAAATAACTACCATTTGTTAAGTAGTTACTATTATTGTGTGGATAATTTTTGCTACAGTTGTCAAATTCTACAATTAGGGGAGTGTCTTCATAGCATGTCTATTATTATTTAGGAAACCTAAAAGCATTTCATGCCTGTTTCACAGAATAGTTACATTAGCAATAACTATTCTATTGAATAACTATTCAATTTGCTAAAATAACTATTCTCTGAAACAGGCAATGAAATGCCTATTTATTTAATTTATTCATCTGACCTTTCATTATTGCTATCCTAAATTTAGTTCTTTTGTATAGTATCCCTGTTTATTATCTCCAACAAGTGTTTTTTAAAAAAGGATAATATGTCAAATAACTCACCCCAGGTCTCCATCCAGGTTTTCAAATACTTCACCTCCAACAGTTTCATTATCTGGATTCAAACAGATCTCTATCATATTATAAAGGGCATTTTGGCCCCAGTCACGATCTTTCCGAGCTTTATTAAAATGTCGAAGGGCATCATTTGGTTCTCCAGTGTACCTTGTTAGATGTTTAAAAGAATTATTTATTTCAATCACTGACTACAAAATTTATATTAGTTTATAATCTGTCTGGTAAATAAAACTGTTGAATTATTTTGAAATGTACATTTTTTTTTACTACAAAGAAAAGCTTATTCTACTTGATTTACAATGAGAAAAAAAAATCATGTAGCATTTATTTGTAAATAGATTTACCAAAGATACAGTCCTTTACAATACTGAAATCCTGGTTCCAATTTTGCTCTGGAGTTACGTTTCTCAGCCATTGAGAAAAATCTTGGGACATCCTCGAGTTTTCCACATCTTCTTAGGAGATCAATCAAACGAGATAATGTCATATAATTATCTAGAAACAAATAATACTTCAGATATGGGCACCATTTTATACTGTTTCTTTTGTTGGTTATAATTCTACTTCATTAGAGTATAATTTACTTCATATAAAGTACATTTTAAATATAAATAAAAAATGCCTCAGGGTATAATTCCCTATAGAGGCTGTATGGCCAACTAGATGATCTACTAAATAATACAGTTTGGGCTAGGCTGGTCACAGTGTCTACATAGGCAAATCTAGAAAAATGCATATTTCTTGTAGCTTTTCTATTGTTTGGGGGACCAAAACCTTAGAGAAACAGCCCCTACCTAGGTAATCTAGACTTTCAACTGTGAAGTTCAGGAATACCGATTTAATTGCACAGGACAAGTTCACTGTCGGTCTCTGAGAACCCCTCTCCTACATACTGTTGCTAGGAAGGGTGTGGGAACAGTACAATTGACAAATAATGTATGGGATGGACAATAAGAAATTTTTCTCCAGTCTCTCTTTGATATGTACATGTAGCTAACATACCATATGCTAGCTTACCATACTAGAACCTTAGCATATTAGTCCCCATATTTTAATCCTGTTTCACCTTCTTCTAAAAAAAATTCATTCATTCATTCATTCATTCATTCATTCATTCATTCATTCCTTTGATCTCAGGTATAATTTCCTGGCAGGTTCCTAGAAAGCCTTCTTCCAATTCTATCTAGTTCTCTCTTATCAGTAACAAACTAAGCTTTGAGAATAATTTAATAAATCTTTTTTAGGATTGCAAAAATAATGTATAGACACTACAGAAAATAAGGAAAATATATATAAAAAGTATGAAGAAAAAAAAAATCACCATATTTCCAGCTAAAGATTAGCACATTTTGGTGTGCTTTCTTTCATATATTTGAAAACCAACCTATATATAAATGTAAGCAAAGATATTTCTTTGTTTACATTCATACAAAATAGATGTTTATTTAAATATATACAAAACTGGAGTCACATTGGGGTTTTGATTTTGATCGGTTTTGATTGGTTTTAATGTTGATTTTGATGAACATTAAACAGTTAACATTTCCCAACTGTCATTAAACAATCTTCTAAAACGTGATTTTTAATGGTTGCATAAGGGCCTACTTACTGATGATTCACATTATTTATTTCTTTATAGTGGTGTCTTTTAGATGTTTGTGTGCTCAAGTTTCAGTTAGTACAGGACTAGGGATTTGTAGGGGACTTGTAAAAACCCTTAAATAAGCTATTCTGAACATGTTCTTAGGTTGAATTTCTACAATTAAAACACACAAACAAAAAAGCTTGTTTTAAAGCTATTTATCCTTGACTCTATTTTGCTATTTGAAAAGAGATGACACCATGTAATTCAGCAACTTTCCTGAGTATATACCCAAAAGATTAAAAGCAGAGACTCAAACAGGTATTCGTACACCAACATTCATAGCAGCAACCTTCACAATACACAGAAAAAGTGGAAAGAGCCCACATGTCCATTGTGTTTGAATAGATAATCAAAATGTAGTATGTACATATAAAGGAATATTGTATATTGTATGTCTGCCATAAAAAAAGAAAATTTTGACATACACTACAACATGGATGAACTGTGAAGACATTATACCAAGTGAAATATGCCAGACACAAAAGGAAAAATGCTGTGTGATACAGCTTACAGAGGTGCCTAGAATAAATTCATCAACATAGAAAGTAGAATGATGGTTGCCAGGGGCTCCGGGAAGAGGAATGAGGAACGAGGAACTGGTGTACAGACTTCAGTTTGGAATGGCAAAAACGCAAAACGTTGATGGATAACGGTGATGACTTACACAACAATGCGAATGCATTTAATGCCACTGAACAGTACACTTAAAAATGGTTAAGATGATGAATTTTGTGTTATATATGTTTCACCACAATACAAAATATTCTTTAAAAAAGACTTTTGGAAATACTGTATCTACTTAATTACAGGATGTCAAACTAATACAGGCTGATAGTATCATTTGTCCCCTTGACACACAATCTTGGGTCCAGAGATTTTGTTCACCACACCTTTTAGCATCACTAAAAAGGGCACAATAAGAATATGGTTTCAGAAAAAGACAATTCAAATATTGGTCTTGTCCTTTAGCTATGTGAATTCAATCAAATTACTCAAATTCTTTGAGTCCAATATACTTATTTTCTTAAAATAGGATTATAATATTGACTGTAGGAGTGCTACAGAAATAAAGGCATGAAAAATATTTATAAATTACAAATGTTATTAATAATATTTATACTTCCAAAAATGTTGACAAGAAATAGAGTAACTACCCCATAATAAAGCCACAGCATCTGGAAGCTATATTGGATTAAGCAAGAACTAAAGGTTAAAATTTCGGATTAAATTTTTTTTGCATGATACTGCTAGTATTATCAACATTGGGAAGGCAATTTCTTGAATATTTCTTATATACTATTGAAATGTATTCATTATTAGTTCAAGTTATAATTACCAGTGACAGATTAAATTACATTCACTTGTCTTTGGTTAACCATGACATTTGACAGAAGGCAAATTTCTGCACTTAAGAAATGTATTAAAAACTAAAATGTATATTACCTTCTAAAAAACTTAGCTGGTCCATCTTTATTGATGAATAGTAGGAAGATATCAAAATAGTTATAGGGTGATGAGATGTGGCAAGCATGCAGTGCTATGGTATGGTATTACAAAGCACAGGATTCTTAACTTTGCCTGGAGGAGTTGGGAAATTTCACATAGGAGTTGACCTTTGAGCAGCCTCAAGGATAGGAGGAAGATCTTACTAGACGGACAAAGGCATTCCAAGTAGCAGAAGGCATGCGCCAAGAGGGAAGCAGAGAACAGTGTGGGGAGTGTTGGTAACTTTGATATTATTAAAGCGGAGGAAGAAGGATAAGAAATATAAATGGCCAAATAATTTGCGGCCATATTATTATTAAAATAATGCTATGATTTTAGACTTTATCCTGAAGCACTAACTTAAATTTTAAGCAAAGGGTAGGTTTTGATTTTTAGAACTGATATGCTAGTCCTATGATGACCTGGAGCAGCCAGAACCTAGAAGCTGGAAGATGAGTTGGGAATCTGCACTAGTTCAGATGAGAGGTGATAAGGGTCTTCATTAGAGCAGTGGGTTAGGATACGACAGACTGGATGTGTTAGCTAGCTATCAAGCAAACAGAGCTGAGGAGACATGTTAACCAATTAGTATGAAGGAAGGGGAAAGCTCAAGGCGATCTGGAGATTCTGAGAGAGAAAAGGGGCAATCTGTCGTGAGAGCAGTAATTAGATCTAGAAGAGGAATTTTTCAACTACTTAAATTAGGTCAAATTTGTATGGTACATTTCTGAAATAAGCTAAAATAGAGCCTTAATCTAAAGTACAAGATGAGTTACTGAGGATAACCAATAATGTACACATAAAATGAACGGAGATGCATGTTTTAGAGTAATTCCAACAAAATAGATCTGTGGATAAGTATGTAAGGTACTAGTAAGAATAAAGCATACAACACAAGATTAAAAACTCTTAAGATTAAAAATATCACATAGACAATAAAAATTTACTTAAAATTTTGTGGTTGTTTTTGAGACCAAGTCTCACTCTGTCACCGAGGCTGGAGTGCAGTGGTGTGATCTTGGCTCACGGCAACCTCCACCTCCCAGGTTCAAGCGATTCTCCTGCTGTGTTTTTAATTGACTTGGTGTTTTACAGTCATTCACTGATCCATTCAACCAATAAACATCTATGTTGCCACATCCATGTGTGTGGCATTTTGTCTGATATTGGGAATATGGTGTGATCCCTGAACTCGAGGAGTCTACAGTGTAATAAAGAACACAAATATGCACATAAATATTTTTAGTAAAATACTATAAGTAATAAAGACGTATGGACAAAGTAACCGAGGATTAGGGTTACCAACTCATCCCAGTTTGCCTGTGACTTTCTGTTAGCATGGGAAGTCCTGCATCCAGGAAAACCCTTTGCTCCGAGGCAAATCTAGGATGGTTGGTCATGCTACCCAGCACCACATAAGACATTTTTTAATGTAGGTGGTGGTAGTGGGATGCAGATTTACTTTTTTATTTTCCCCCAAGAGGGATATATTTTAGATTATGTGTTTGGAAAGAGAAAAGGGATAAGGAAGCTAAAGTTCATTTTAGGCAAAAGGAAAAAACCCAAGCAAAGACTTGGAAGCATGGTTGTATGTCATTTGGTGTTGCTGGAGTACAAGATCCTTATATTGCATTTATAAAAAATTGCTTTTATATTTGTTTACAAACAGTCCAAAGCAGCCAGTCTACTAAGCCAATTTTTTTGGGAAAAAGGCTGCTGCCAAGCAACAGAAACTTACGTGAAACAAAACCCACAAGACACATGAAGACTTCTTCAAATCTTAGAAAACTATAATGTGTGAGATTCTTCAAATCTTAGAAAACTATAATACTTTTAATGACTTAAAATATTCACAGTGGAAGAAGTCTGTTTTTTAAAGAAATAAAGTTAGATCATTGTCTCAAAGGGAAAGACTGTGAAATGGGAACAGCTTGAGATAGAATGAATATATTATGTATATTACTTTTAAATGGTAGTTTAGAGAAGAGGAATAAGAGAAAACAGTGTGGAACACAAGGTAGAAATGGCAGGGAAAAAAACGATACAGGCCTGAAGAAAATAAAAGTAGGTTTGGGCAATGTGGGTGGCAAGATGAGCCCATATTTTGGACCCAGAGTGAGTGGAAGAGGTGAGATGGTCAAGTAGTTCACAGCATTCTTTTAAATAACATCTGAGTATACTCTGGAATAGACAGGGCAAAAAACAAATGAAATTGCCTGTGGTAGTCCCCATATTAAATAAATTTAATTTATTTAATTAAAAAACTCAAAGAGTAAAAATAATAAAGAGAAAGTGTTGATATTACTGTAAAAAACAGACCATATTTTCTCCTTTCAATTTTTGTGCTCGCTGGGGATATTTTATTTTTAAATACAAACTGATGTTCTCTAAATTCAAACATCTTTTTATTAAAAGCGTTACTAGAGGTAGCCTGCAGAGCATATCTAGTTCTTTGAGTTGCCCTGCTTGAAGGATTGCCACCTCTGTGTCTCTGAGGCTCTGAGCACAGATGCCTAGGGCATCAGCCTGAGATGAAGGTGGTGGGGTTTAGAAGAACTGAAACACAGCTCTAGGACTTCCTCTGCCATTTCAAACTCTTTTTAGTAACACAGGTAGTAACATACAGTCATGTATTAGTCAAACAGTTCCCACCTCTTTCTTTTTCTCTTTCCTCTCCTCCCTCCATCCCTGCTTCCCTTTCTTCCTTTTCTCCCTCACTCTTCTTTCCATCTAGTATTTGTTGAGTACTAACTAGGCCAGATATTCTTCTAAATTCTGGAAACACAGCAGTGAAGGACAACGTTTCTGGTCACTTGATGCTTCCATTCTATGATTTGTAGTTTTTTGCTTTTGTTTCACAAGGGCTACACAAAACCCAAAAATCCTAAAGCCAAACCCCAAAAACTCAACTGAACAGAAAACAGGATAAAGGGACAGAGAGCAAGAAGTGGTGCTACTTGATGTAGGCCAGTGAGGGAGGGGCATTCTAAGGAAGAAGCAGCACCAGAGCAAAGGCACAAAAGAAAATGAGGCAGCAGCCAGATAGACCTGTGGGAGCAGCATATTCCGGGAAGTAGAAACAGCAAACAAAAAGGCTCAAGGCTGTAATTGGCTTGGGCTTTTGCCTACCTAGTTTCTGTTGTCCCTTTCTTCTTTACTATCAGAATTCTGATTTTATTCTACAGGGTATTAGATTCAGCTAAAAGATAACATTTCCCACCTTCTTTTGCAGCCACGGAGGTGATACTACTAAGGGTTTTTTTGTTTGTTTGTTTGTTTTGTTTTTAATAAAACGATGATTTGCTGGTTGGGAAGCCCTTTTGCCCAGCTCTGCACCCACCTTCCCCACCTGGGCCCTGGAACATCAATGCCCAGCACTGCGGTGGTCATCTTGAACCATGAGGTGATGCTCAGGCAAGTCAGGGTAACAACGTAGAACAAAAAGAGAGAAGGCTCTGGTTTCCTGATGATACTGTGGAACCGCCACACCAGTCCCTACACAGTGTACTTTTCATTTCTTTTACAGAGAGAAAACTAAAAACCGTGATTTTTAGCCTAGAATTTTCAGGGGTATCTCTGCCATTTTCAATGAAAGTATTTCTAAATTCTTCATAGGCTAGGGATGGAAACACAGATGAGTTATGACGACGCTGCAATAATCTATGTGGAAGATGGCAATGCCTTAGACCAGGGTGGCACTAACAGAGGTGGTAAAAAGTGATGGCATTCTAGGTATACTTTGAATGTAGCACTAACAAGGATTTGCTGATAGACTGGAGGTGATATATGAGAGAAAGATGAGACAAAGGTTAACTGTGAGGTCTGGGCCGGCACAACAGTGAGCAGTGATGCCAGTCACTGAGGTGAGAGGTGGGGGTGGAGCAAACTTAGAGGCGAGGGAAAGTTCAGGTGTTCTATTTTGGACATGTTAAGCTTGAGTTACTCCTAGACATCTGAGTGGGAATGCAAAGAGGCAGAGGTGTACATGAGTAAGGGCTGCAGATAAATGTTTAGGACACATCTGCACATACATGGGATATAAAGCCACGCACCTGGACAAAGTCACCTAGGGGGTGAATATATAAAAAGAAAGGGAGTTCAGGAACTGAAGCTACGAGTGTTCTAATATTTAAACGTCATACAGAGAAGAGAACTCCAAAAAAGGAAACTCAAACAGCAGGCAATGGGGCAAAAGAAGAACTGAGTGAGTTTAGGATCTCAGAGACAAATGAAGAAAGTCTTTCATTGTGGAAGGGAATAAACTGTGCCAAATATGATGACAGGTCAAGTCGGCAGAGAACTGAGAACTGAATCTGACCTGGCAGTATGGGGGTCACCGACCACATTGCAGAAGTGACTTCCCTAGGGTGCAGCAGTGGATGAGACAAAGTGAACACAGCATGTTTGAAAATCCTTCACAGAAAATTTGTTGTCGAGAAGAACTGAGGAAGGGCATAGTAATTGGGAGGGGATGAGAGTTAAGAGTTGATTTTTATTGACTGATTTATTTACAGCAGGAAGATGTCACAGCACAGTTCCATGCTGATTAGAAAAAAAATGATAATTCAAGAGAGAGAACTGTAAGAGTGAAGCCCTTTTTTAGGTGAGAAGCTGGCCACAGGCGGGATCACAGGCCTGGGGAGGACAAAGGCTGAGGGGTGGGTAAATTTGGTGACAAAGAATGGAGAAGTTCTCTTCCAGGTACAAATATTCTCTTAGTGAAGTAGGTGGCAAGGCTTTTAACTGTGGGCAAGAAATGGGGCAAGGGTGATGGAGGTTTGAGGAGACAGGAGAAAGTGGGAAAAGTAGTTCGAATCAATGAATTCATTTTTGGAATACAGTAGGATTACCAGGTTTGTGCTCATAATTTAAAGTGAGACCAGTCAACAGTGTTGCAATTTCCTTATAGCCATTTCAGCTACTCAAGCCCATGTGTGGAATAAACAGACAGTCTGATTCAACTAGGGACGGAGTTTGCCCGAGGGCATAACCACTAAACAGAAGAAAAAAGGAGAAAGGGAGGGGTGACTGCACTCAAAAAATACAATAAGTAGGTATTTACCTGGCTTACGTTCTAAAAGCTGCTGTAAATGAAACACTGCTTGTTCATAGTCTTGTTTTCTGAACATGAGATCAGCCATCATCTATAAAGATAAAAGTTGGTTCTAAAAATATTGCCATGTATTTTACACAACATGTTCTTCCAATCAAGATTTAGCACTAGAAAAATATAGATGATAAACATGAGGAGGGGGCAGCATTTTATAAAAAGGAGGCATTTAAGATTCAAGCCCACCTTGTGCAGAATAACTTGCAGATCAGTGTAACAGAAGATAATCAAGGATGTGAAACAGATTGCTCTGCTTGCAAAATTGTATTTTTAGCAAAAAATATGTTTCTAGCAATTGTTTTAAAAACAGAAATTTGAAAGGAATTGCACACTCTATGTGCTGTTGTAGAAAAGATACTCACTGGACCTGACTAAAATAATAATGAGACGATTCAAAAATGAAACAAAATTTAAATCATAACTATTTTGAAAAATTAAAAATGAGCAAGACCTACTGACATTTTTCTTATTATGTGTTTAAAAATGCAGATTTCATATATTTCTTTTTAACCACAATAACCTTAAATAAACCTCACAAAATGTCATCTGTGTAGCTGTCTGCAAAGCTAACAAATATTTTAGCCCACGTAAAAATAAGAAAAAATAAAAAACTCTATTCAAAACAGACTGTCTTAGACTGATAATATGAAGTTGTTTTTTTTCCCCTGTAACTCCAAAAATTCCACCCAAACTCTTAAATTTGTCCAGCATTCCTAAGTACTTAAAAGTTAGTTCTTAGCAAATTATAGTGTTACCACATGAACTCCACCTGACCAAGCATCCCCTTAGGCATAAATAAAAAATAACTAGACCCAAAAGGGCATGTAAAAGCCTGACCTAGGTTTATCTTTCTTATAAATAAAATCCTAATGATTCTGGGTCTTTATTGGTAAAATGTAGTAATGTTAGAAAAATGTTATTTCTTCCAAAAGCCAACGTGAGCCATGCCTCATCATCTAGTAGTAGTTCCATGGGGTAAAATTTAAAACTTATAAAACACAAGTGCTTTTATTGTACTGAAGTTCCTTGGACTGACCATGGTAGCAGCTTCGTTATCCTGGTCACTCTGAAGCAGTAGAGCACACTGCCGCAGGCAGGAATCAGGGTCATCTTGTGCCAGGTATAATCGTGCCAGTTCCAACATAATCTGTAGAGCAAAGGGCTAGATTCATCAGACACTGTATAGAATAAAAAGTCAATGAGGAAAATACGTGGGTACAGATTAAACTTTAGTTGACCAAAAGTCATTGCAATAAAATGCCAAGTATAATAGACAAAAAAAAAAAAAAAACAACAGTATGTATACCCATCTCTATTTTCTCTTACACTAGAAAAAAAAAAAACAGAGAAACAGGTAGTAACTCACTTCAAAAGTAGAGAGACATAATGCATTGTGAAAAGAACACTGGTCTTAAAACCATGAGACTGGATTATAGTCCCATAACGGGGCCAAGTCAGGTCCCTTCTACCTCCCTTAACCTGCTTTCTCATTTGTAAAATAAAAAGCTTCAAGCAGATAATCTCTAAGGTATGCCTCAGATTTAAAAGTAGGATTCCAACTCCTTTAGCCACCACTGAAAAAGGTATCTGTTTGGTTATGCCTTGCTAAAGGTTGTTTTTGCCGTTTATCTGAAAAAATTATATTAATAAAAATGTTCAAACTAGTTATTAAATTCTAGAGGATAGTTGTCTTTTGTACATGATCACTTACTTAAGTGTTTAGCCATTAATTATTTTCAGAAATTAATAATCTCTCCAAATCCTCTCAGATCTTGACAGAGTAAAAACTTTTTATATAATCAGTCATGTATGTAAATGTGCTACACCAAAATTATCTTTACATTTATTCTCCCACTGTGCTATATGAGGTCATAGATTGAGCCTAGCCATTTTTGCATCCTTAGTACTAAACACCAATTGAAATACAGAGTGTACAACAGCTGTTTAGTAAAAGGAACTGAATTATCTAAATCCAGGTATTTGTGATTGAGAAATTATTTTAAATTATTTTAAAATTAATTTTTGATAAACTAAATTGATACAATAAATTTGAAAATTATTTAAATTATTTTGATAATTAAAAACATAAATATTAAAACAATTTGCAGGTTGCTTTATATTACGTGTTCCATTATAGTTTTTAAATAATTGTAATGTTCTTTTTTCTTTTCTTTTTTTTTTTTTTTGAGACAGGGTATTGCTTTGTTACCCAGGCTGTAGTACAGTGGCATCATCATGGTTAACTGCAGCCTTGACCTTCTGGGCTCAGGTGATCCTCCTGCCTCAGCACCCCAAGGAGCTGGGACTACAGGTATATGCCACCATGCCTGGCTAATTTTAGTATTTTTTAGTAGACTGGGGTTTACCCATGCTGCCTAGGCTGGTCTTGAACTTCTGGACTCAAGTGATCTGCCTGCCTTGGCCTCTCAAAGTGCTGGGATTACAGGCATGAGCCATTGCATCCAGCCTTAAACTCTAATATTCTTAATGTAAGGCATCATGTAAGATTTTGAAAGTTTTTGAGGAATAATATTAATCTTTTAACTTGTATTTTTGTTACATTTCTTTTAAAATCTTGTTTCTATTTTTTTATTTTATTTTTTGAGATGGAGTCCCGCTCTGTTGCCCAGGCTGGAGTGCAGTGGCGCGATCTTGGGTCACTGCAACCTCTCCGCCTCCCAGGTTCAAGCGATTCTCCTGCCTTAGCCTCCCAAGTAGCTGGGATTACAGGAGGCGCCCCCCACCACGCTGGCTAATTTTTGTATTTTCAGTAAAGACAAGGTTTCCCCATGTTGGTCAGGCTGGTCTCAAACTCCTGACCTCAGATGATCCACATGCCTTGGCCTCCCAAAGGGCTGGGATTATAGGCATCAGCCACTGCACCCTGCCTACATCTTCTTTTAAAATAAGCTGGTAAAAATTTTACATCTGAGGAAATTAGAAGACATCTGGAATAAAAGGTATTTAAAATTTTATAAAGGTACTGACCTTATTATCTGTTTCGCAGTGAACCAGAGCCTCTCTATAAAACTTAATTGCTTTTTCATAGTCTCGCTGAGCAACAGAATGTTTTGCAATCTCTGCACAAATTTCAGCTGCTAAATGTTTCTGTGCAGGAACTGCATCTGGCTGTTCCATCTGAACACGTTTTAGTACCCGAGCTTGTAATTCTCGAGCCTAGAAAAAATCAGTATAAAAGGGAATAAAAAAAAAAAAGGAAATTAAATTCTCCGTAACTCACACACAGCATAATTTTACAGATTTATTTAAACATTATGAACCCTTGATCTAACAAAGTCTGATCCAAAGAAAATGTCTTATTGAGATCTCAAGCATGCACTTATTTGCAAATGAGCCAGCACACATATATCTTTCCAACAAAACACTTATGGAATTACTGAGTCTTTTCCCACTGTTACAACATGTGTATAGGAAGTTCACTAAGGAGGAAATACAACCGTGAAACAAATACAAAGAGGTGGGGCCTTCCTCAGAGTAAGAATGTAGAGTAGATTGTTATATTGGAAGAATATCAGCCTTTCCACCCATCCATCTGGTTTCTGGAACATTGAGATCTTCCTTTAATAAATGGTAAGAACTCACACGTTTTAGGTCTTCAAAAATAAAATTTATGTTTTAGCTACACATAATGATTCACTAGTGAATGCATTCATTTAACAAATAGTAAATGCCTACCACATGCAATATATTATGCTACACACAAGGCACCCTTCTGGGGAGTCTTGTCAAAATGTTAGCTAACAATTGCTTTGAAACAGGTTTTCTTTTTTTTTTCTCAAGCCAGAGGTTTAGACAGTCATAACAGCATTCTTTTGCAAATGAAAGAAAAATATAAGTATATAGCATGTGGTTAACATTAATACTGTCTCATGAAATTTTTATTTTGGTTATATTAATATGTGTTTCAGTATGTCAGTATATGTACCTTTATGTGTTTTAGATTATACACATGCATACATCTGTTCATGTTTTTGCATAGCTATACACATATATACACATTCATGCATGTGCTCCTAGTAAAAAACCTGAAAACAATTGGTTTAGATAGAATGATCTCTGTCTTGCAGGAAGGCATCCTTGCATCCCTGAATTCTTGTACCTCTACACATCAAGATGTTGTCCTCTGACATCACTTAGCCATTAGGAAAGTAGAAAGCAGGGAAAGACCCTGGGGCCCATCCCTAGCACCTCAGGGGTAAGGGTACCATCCCAAGGACACAAGTTTCCAGGCAGCAGCCTCCAAGAATTTTGTTAGAGATGTCCCATCACTTATGGCCCTACACTGTTTTACATCTGGACTCTGGATTGCAAGTGTAAGGAAGAAAGTGAAAATGAAAGAGAAAGTGGAACAAATATTGGCAACAGAGCCCCCAGAGGACAGTTGTCCCTTTTCCAACAAGTTAAGTGGAAAATGCTGTTGCCATGGGAGTACATAATAGAAAATCTAACTCAGTCTTGGAAGTCAGGTAAGAATTAAAGAATGGTTAGTAGTTACACCCTGGTGAGTTGGGGAAAAACAGATGGGATGAAGAGATGGAATGGCTCATAGGCATTAGGAATCACATGTGAAGGAAAGAGAATGAGGGATACACTGCCTGATCAAATAATTAGAAGAAAAAATGGCTGGAAAGATATAGAGAATATACAACAGGTAAGCCTGTTAAATAATCTACATTTTATCCTAGAGCCCATGGGAAGCTACTATGCCATGTTTATAGGCATTGGCATGACAGGATCAGGTTGCCTTTGGGAACCATCACCCTGGTGTCACTGTGAAGAACTGACTAGAGGGAAATGAGACTGGGATCAATCAGGAGGCTACTTCAGGACCGTAAGCAAGAAATAACGATGGAGTCAGCTAAAAGATGACAGAGAGGGCTACGGAAATGCGGAGTTATTGGAAAAGTCTGAAATGTTTAGAAAGCAAAATTCCTAAGACTTGAGATTTCCCTAAATTTACCATTTCCGTCATTGCCAAAAATGTTTAGCAACTTTGCAAAAACACTATGACAGAACCCCTAAGTTACATAATGTGGAGAATTAAGCTCAATAAATGGTTGCTGAATAAATGAACAGAAAATATCAAAAACTTTGACTCCACTTATAGGTTTCTGTTTGAATTGCATCTTAAGATTTGTCTCTTTGTCATTCAGAATATACAGCATGTCATTAGTGGGAAGAATGTTATAATTCTTCAAACCTTATTAAAGATGAATAATCCCTGGGATCTAACATATAAACTCAAAATTGATTATAGTTTGGGGTGCTGGCATTGTCTAGCCATGGCATGCTGTTTTTTGATGTTGCTTCATATGTCTGCTTTTATAACACAGAGGCTCATGGGACCATGGTGACTGGGACTAATGATATTCATAAAGGAGTGAACTAAGCTAAATTTATTTCTAAAATGTTTTAAAAGTCACCTTTACCAAAGATTACACTTTCCTTGTAGCTTCTGGTAACTAACCTATGGCTGGGTGCAATTCTCTATCATGTGATTCAGAAAATAAGAGCTAAAATGTACCAATAATTAAGGATAAGATATTAATATTGTTTAAGATTACATATTTTAATGATATCATAAACTTAGATAGATATCACAGAAATCTAATAATCCAAGCTCAATTCATTCACAATTAGAACAAAAAAATTTTGGGACTGTCTACTGAAACTTGGGTATGCACGCACATGCATGCACACACACGTGCACACACACATACACACACCCCTGTCAGTTAAATCTCAAAACCAAAACACTACAAATTAATTGCAGAATGCAGAACTCTTCTGGGTACACAGGAATCTAGTCAAAAGGTGACTAGTATAGTATCCTGGAAAGCACAAAGGGTTAGGACTGAGGCATCTGCATTCCACTTCAAACTCTTCTAGTAACCAGCTGTATAATCTTGGACAAACACTCTCTGTGGGAAAATAAGCACAGTAATACATAAACTGTTTGCTTACCTCACAGACCTGTTGCTTCCAACATATCACAGGGGCTTACAGACACAGAATAAACAGAATGAGATAAAAATAATGGGGGTCCTTTTTAAAAAATATAAAGTATTAAGAAGGTAAGTGATGATTTCACTTTTATATCCAGAAACTAGACAACTGCAAAACAAACCAATATTATGGATCCTATCTGGGGAACAGTAAAGTGCCTCCAGGGAACTTGGGAAGTAAGATCATCCCTCTCAGAAGTAAGCTGCAAAATCAACACATAATAGATAGGGCAGATAGGCAAAATCGCTTAAATGAGAGGGAGAACCTAGAAGATTTCTCTAAAAATCTTCCAGTGTCTGATACTGAAATAAAATATATCACATTGTGTTCCCTATAAACAAAGTTTCAAACAACTAATTTAAAATGCATGACAACAATAATAGAAAAGGCAAAGATAGAATAATAGAATTTGGATAAGAAGAAATGTGTGTTGTAGCTAACACCGAAAAATAATAAAAGGAGGTATAAATAACACAATAGAGGGGAAAGTGGAATAAGAATAATTTAACTCAGATAAAAGTCAAGAAAATTTAGAAAAAAACAGATTGTAAGATGGCAAATCCAAATGCAAATATAATTCATAACTATATTAAATGTTAAAAAAACTATAATAGATTTAGATTGTCAAGAAAAAAATTGTATGCTGACAGATCTTAAACATAAGGACACGTAAAATTGAAAGTAAAAGAATGCAGGAGATATACCATGCAAGTACTAAAAGGAAACTGGAGTTAGCTATAATAACACAAGACAAAGGAGATTTTAAAGCAAGAAGCATTACTAGAAATGAAGAAGGCCATTTTATTATTTTAAATAACTTAATTCACCAGGAAGATATTGTAATTCTAAATCTGGATCATTCAATAATGTATCTTCTAAATAAATGAAGCAAAAATACATAGAACTAAATGGAAAAAAAAGAAATCCACAATTACACTGAAAGACTTTAACACCCCTCTCATACAAATAGACCAAAACCAAGCAAACAAATAACGACCAAACACTAAGAACAGGGAAGATGTACAGAAATCAGTCAACAAACCTGACCTAATTGACATACGGTTGAACTAAGTATTTATTAGGTTGGTGCAAAAGTAATTGTGGTTACAGTAATGTTAGAAACACATTATTTCAAGTCCACATGGAACCTTTACCAAAACTGATTATAATGTAGGATGTAAAGCAAGCTTCAACAAATTGCAAAGGATTGAATCATTCAAAGTATGTCTTGGCACAGCAGAAGTGTACTAGAAGTCAGTATCAAAAAGATAACAAGCAAATCAGAACTCCATAAAAATTCAATGTTACACTTTTAAATAACCCACCGGTCCAAGAAGCAATCAAAGTGAAAATGAGGAAATGTTTTACACTAAATAATAATAAACTTGTGGAATGCTGATAAACCAGTGTTGAGAGAGAAATTTACTGCTTCAAATGAATAGGAAAATAACAAAAGCTCGAAATCCATTACCTAACATACTATTTCAAGAGGCTAAAAAAAAAAAAAAAAAAAAAAAAAAATTAGTAAACCAAACCCAAAGAGTGTAGAAGAAATTAATTATGAGGTTAAAACATTTAATGAAGCCAGAAAAGGCAAAAGTTGACCCTTTGAAAATATTAATAAGATAACCCCTAGCATAACTGATTATTAAAGAAGAAAAAATTACTAATATCAGGTTTGTAAAAGGGACCTTTTTCACTGCATTTGTAGACATTCAAAAGAAAAGATATAATAAACAAGTTTATGTTAATAAATTTAACAATAAACTGAGTACTTAAAAAATTCCAAATTGATATAAGAAACAATTTGAAAATGATCAGTCTGAAATCTATTAAAAACTTTCCTTCAAAGAGGTCTCAAGGCCTGCAACAATGAATTATTCCAAACATCAAAGAATTAGCAGCCGGGTGCGGTGGCTCACGCCTGTAATCCCAGCACGTTGGAAGGCCGTGGCAGGGGGAATCACCTGAGGTCAGGAGTTTGAGACCAGCCTGACCAACATGGTGAAACCCTGTCTCTGCTAAAAATACTAAAAATACAAAAATTAGCTGGGCATGGTGGTGAGCATCTGTAATCCCAGCAACTCAGGAGGCTGAGACAACAGAATCGCTTCAACCTGGGAGGCAGAGGTTGCAGTGAGCTGAGATCATGCCATTACACTCCAGCCTGGGCAACAAGAGCAAAACTCCGTCTCAAAAAAAAAAAAAAAAAAAAAAGAAAAAAAGAATTAGCATCAATTTGTTGAACACAGATGCAGAAATCCTGAACAAAATATTATAAAACATCTTTAAATTCCAGCAATATCTTTTTAAAAATTATATCAAAGTGACATTTATTTCAGAGATATAAGGTGTTTTAACATTTGAAAATAAGTCAATTTAATATACCACATTTGAAAAGGAAAACAGGAGGAAAGACATATGATCATCTTGATAGATGCAGATAGTATATTTGATAATAATTCAAGTCACTTATAAAGAAGTTGTTAGCAAATCAGAAACTGAATCATCATTAAAAAAACATCAACCACTTGGGAACATACCTAAGGAAATCTGTGTAAAACCTCTACACTGAGAACCACAAAATATTAAGAGAAAAAAGAAGATCTAAATAAATGGAGGAAGAAAGCACTAAGTTCAAATCCTGATGACACTATTCATATGACTTCACACAAGTTAATCAAGTCTCCTCAGCTATAAAATGGGATTAAAAAATTCCAACCTTCCCAAATTGTTATAATAGTAGTAATAGTATATTTAAAATGTATAATTCATAAGCATTCAATAAGTATTTTGATTTTGACATATTTTCTGTAGCTGTTTGGCCAAAAGAGATTGCTTTCCTCTTATACATGGCATATTTCCTTCTGCATCCATCTCCTACCTCATGACCACACTCACAGACAAATGTGTTTACCTGTTGTAATGCAGTGATCGCATCACCAAGTTTTTCCATTTTACTATAAACTTTTGCTAGAAGAACTTGACAACGTCCATCCTCCATGAGAGCTGACAGTTCATTTACTATGAAAGAATGGAATGTAATGCAAAAAATTATTCATCTTAAATAAATGTTTATATTTTTCCAGAATTTTTAAAACTGGTCTCTAGAAAAAATGATTTTGAAAAATAGTGAATACGGTTAAAATTTTCTCAATCAGTTGCCTGAAGAATGGCCAAATTAAAAAAAAAAAGAAAAGATTTAGGATAAAAACTGGCTGGATGAAAAGTTAAAGAACGGGTTAACAACTAGAGGCTTTTCTTAGACATATATTAGGAGATAACAATTTAACACCACAATAATTTCCATTTTTATTCTTAAGTGTATAAAAATTTGTTTACTGAAGTCATTAGAAGATAGAGTAGTTGCTATATGCAATTAAGAAGATAACTGCTCTTTTAAAAATCATAGATATTTGATAAGCAATAAAGTACAGTTGTTAAGAGCACTGACTTTGATGTTGAATGGTCTGGTTTCAAATCTAGGCTTTACCACTTACTAGCCCTCTAATTTTGAGCAAGGTACTTAACCATTCTGCAGTTCCCTCTCATCTGTAAAATAGGAAAAATGATAGTAACTACCTCACAGGGTGGATGCAAGATTTTAATAGCTAATAAGTTACTAAATAAGTTAAAATATGCAAAGTAGTGAAAACAAACTCTGGTACGTGGTAAGTTCTATATAAATATTTGGTTAATGCCAAATGTTTTGTGTCTAAGAACAATAAAAGAACCCTAGATAATTAACAAAAATGTTTCCTCCACCATTTGTCAAGTGCACAGTTCATGACACGCCATGCCACTTTACCAACTAGGTAGTCCTGGACACATCAATAAAACTGAGTTTCAGATTGCTAAATTTAAAATGGGTATGATTATATTTGCCTCAAAGATTAATATGAGTCCTGATGAGATAATGTATGAAACGTATATGAAGGCATCTAAGTATGTCATGGGTATGCTCAGCAAATATTAAATGAAAGCATTTATGTTACATAAATATAATATACCCATTGTAACTAAAACATATGATACTTGAATCTCTCTCCCCCTACAAACTTTTCAAAATGTATATCCACATTTAGGCCTTTCAAGTGTTTCAAAAGAAGATCTGACAAATCCATGCATATATTTTTATGGAACTACTAACACTTCATACAATAAATACATTTATAATTAGAAGAATTTAAGCACCAATGTCATTAAAGCTAAACCAAAAGATCATTTTGAAAATATCAGAAAACTTACAATGGGCTTCTCTCATCATGTGTTCAAATGTATTTTAAAGCTACACTAAACATGTTGTTGGCAAAAGAAAAGAAACATACACAATGGAATAAAACAAAGATTCCTATAATCAGAGCAATGTATATGAAGGAGTTTATTATAAAATAAAGGAGCCAGTTCCATAAATGGCATGAAAATAAAATTGGCTATCCATTTTGGAAACTATATAGTAAAACTTGTATGTGGAATAAAGTACATGGATTAAAGTTCTCAATATAAAAATGAAAACAATATAAATGACAAAAATATATGGAAATAGTTTCATAACGTTAGGATTAGGGAAGGTCTTTTAGAGAGTGACAAGAAATTCAGAAGCCAAAAAAAGACATGAAAAGCAGATATATGATCATTAAATATTCTACTTGATCAAAGATACAATAAACAAATCTGATGAAGAAAAGACAGCCCGGGAGAAAATATCTACAACATGAACATTAGGTAAAGGATTAAAGACAAAGAATATAAATTAAAAATTCCTAGAAGAAAATAAGATATATAAACAAAATAATACCTAACCTTATCACTCATCAAAGAAATGTAAATTAAAATGTTTATTTTTCATGACTAACACGACATAATGTCAGGAAGTTTTTAGCCTTAAGAAAGAACAATGGGGCAAGATTCAATTCTAGGAAGTACAGAGAGGTATATGTATATAAACAAGGACTTTATCTCAGTACTGCTTCCAACTATTTCCCAAGCTAAATGTCTATTCCAATATGAGACTCATCAAATCAATTATGATATTAAGATACAGTGGAATACTCTACATATGCTAAAAAATAAAGAAGAGCTATATTTCTAACAAGGAAAGAAGTTATTAAATGAAAAATGCATACTGCAGAATTATAGGTGTACTATAATCCATTTAGATAGTAAAAAGTGGTAGGTATAATAATTGTGTATATATGAGAGGCAAAGATGGGGGCAGGGAGACTGAATATCATGATATACAAGTTGTTAAATATGGTTTTCTCTGGAGAGCGGGAGAGGACACAACTTTTATTCACTTCTGTAATCTTTAAATTCTGGCAATGGGCAACCACTAGATTTTATTTAAAAATAAAGATCTTAGGCCAGGCGCGGTGGCTCACGCCTGTAATCCCAGCACTTTGGGAGGCCGAGGCAGGCAGATCACAAGGTCAGGAGATCGAGACTGTCCTGGCTAACATGGTGAAAACTCGTCTCTACTAAAAATACAAAAAATTAGCCGGGCGTGGTGGCAGGGGCCTGTAGTCCCAGCTACTAGGGAGGCTGAGGCAGGAGAATGGTGTGAGCCCGGGCAGCAGAGCTTGCAGTGAGCTGAGATCGTGCCATTGCACTCCAGCCTGGGCAACAGAGTGAGACTCTGTCTCAAAAAAAAAAAGATCTTAAAAAAGTAAATTTTTACAAACTTGAAAGAAGGTAATTTGATAGTACCCAAACAAATTTTACATGCACAAAATCTCCAGCTCAGCACCCTACTCTAAGAAATATATGCAAATGTACACTAAGGAATGATACAGTGATATTCATTGGAACATGGATTATAATATCAAAATAATGGAAAGCAAACTAAACATCCAATAATTTCAAGAAAATTAAGTAATTTATTGGTGTTATGGAACATTATGATGCCTGTAGATAGAATAATATGAATAAAATTTCCTAGAAGAAAATAAGATATATAAACAAAATAATACCTAACTTTATCACTCATCAAAGAAATGCAAATTAAATGCATGATGTACTGACATCAAACTATCTGGGACACGTATGTGGAAAAAATTGCAGAAAAGGAAGAGTAACAGTTTCGCACAGGAAAATCACATTACACTTATATATACACACACATATATAGAATATATATTAAATTACAAGCTACTAGGGAGGTAATTTGAGAACAAGGCAAATGGAATTCATAGGAGAAACAGATGACTTATGCATTATATTCTTTTATAGAGCTTGAATTTTAAAAAAGAAGCATGCTACTTTTTAAAAAAGATTACAAAAATGCTAATGTGTTTAAATATGAGATAGCTGTAATTTAAAGATAACTATATTATTTTGGAAAGTAAGCTATATTTCTATAACACAATTAACTGTTTCATAAATCTGCTACTAGATTTCAAAATATCACATTTTAGTAGAGTGGCATTCTGATAAAAGAAAAAATACGCATGTATTTATATAACCAACCACAAATAAAATATTGAGAATACAAATACATATTTATGCAATATAAAAATAAAATGGATCAGAGTTATCAGACTTTTTTCAAACCAGAAAGACTTTCATACCAGGTTCATGAGCCAGAGCATGCTGAAGAACTTTTTCTGCTTTGTCATACCATTTCAATTTTAATAAGAGCTCAGCCAGGTCATAGCAAAGATAATTCTTTTGTCCAGTTTTCAGAGCAGCTTCATAGTAAGTGATTGCCTAAACAAAATTCATTCCATTTAAGGGAACAAGGCAATGAGAATGGCATTCAAGCAGAGCTATTTAATACATTACAGACTTAAAGCATTGGTATAACTAGAAATAACCAGGAAGAATTGTAGGCATACACCTGCCTGTCAATTAAGTATGTCATACTTCTCAGAGAATAGATCATCACATGAAACAACTAATATATATATATATTTTTTTTTTTTGAGTCACAGTCTCACTCCATCACCCAGGCTGGAGTGCAGTGATGCAATCTCAGCTCACTGCAACCTCTGCCTTCCAAGTTCAAGCAATTCTCCTGCCTCAGCCTCCCAAGTAGCTGGGATTACAGGAGCCCACCACCATGCCCAGCTAATTTTTTGTATTTTTTCGTAGAGATGGGGTTTCACCATGTTGGCCAGGCTGGTTTCAAACTCCTGAACTCAATTGATCCACCCGTCTTGGCCTCCCAAAGTGTTAGGATTACAGGCGTGAGCCACCACACCTGGCCAACAACTAACATTTCTTATGATAAGTAGATAAAGAACGGTACTTGGCAAAGAATATTTTTTACAGGTTTTATGAGGCCAGTGAACCTTATCAAAGGCATACATTTTGCTAGCTGTTGTACATATGGTCAACAATTACCAGGAATAGGGCAAGAATATAACAGTTCAAGAAAAATCTGTTTCCCTTACTGGAAAAAAAAATGAACTCAAAACACATAGCTTGCAAAAATTGGTGCAACAGAAAGAACATTTATCATGTTTTGTTACACAATGAAAGAGGTGTAAGAATAGCAACTTTATGGTAATTGATTTGGTAGCAAGGATTCTAGCTGCAAGATGAAGCAAGGTCTAGGGTCCAAATAATCACCACGAAATGAAGCAATGAAGAATCTGATAAATCTAAGAAGGCCTTTAACACAAATCCCAGTTCATAAATACAGATTTGGAGTTTACAACCATTAAAGATGCAAATGGTGCTCGCTGAAGCTTCTCGAGGACAGGGTATGATAAATTTGATGCAACAGACATATTTCAAACAATAAAGTACTTACCATTGAGTAGTTATGAGTTTTGATAAGTGCTTTGCCCATTTTGCTTGCCAATGTTCCATCTTTCGGGTTCTGATTTAATGCTTGCTCATATGCTACTATGGCTTCTTCAGGCTAATATTGCCAGACACAAAAAATAAGCAATAAAAAATAGCATAACTGGGTCCCATTAAAGGGCAACAGTTCTATAATTAATCTCTACATTTGTAATATTACATAAGACTTGGCATATATTAAAGCACAGGAACTTTAACAATTTCAAAAAGGTGATAAATGAGAAAAGCAGGTATGGATAGGTATAATTTATTAGGATAATTCTACCCATATTAACTGTGCTCTTGTCTATATAAATAACAATATGTGGACTAAGAGACACCATCTTGACTTTTCATTTCCAGAAGTCATTAAACTGCCAGTTATAGAGGGCTGAAGGATTGGTTCCCTTTGAAGAAAACACCACCTTAGTCTGTAGCTCCCTTTATCCTTCTGTATAAAGAAGAAGACTCCTAACATACCTCTGGTATCAACTCTACATTTTTTTTTTTTGAGATGGAGTTTTGCTCTGTCACCCAGGCTGGAGTGCAGTGGCGCAATCTTGGCTCACTGCAAACTCCACCTCCCAGGTTCAAGTAATTCTCCTGCCTCAGCCTTCCCAATAGCTGGGACTACAGGCAGGGCTAATTTTTTGTATTTTTTGTAGAGACGGGGTTTCACCATGTTGGCCAGGCTGGTCTTGAACTCTTGATCTCAAGTGATCCACCAGCCTTGGCCTCCCAAAGTGCTGGGATTACAGGCATGAACCACCGTGCCTGGCCTCATCTCTATTTCAAATAACAATAGTGCTGAATTACTGGATCTCAACTTTAAAAATAGAATCCATTTTTAAAAATTGATATCTCCCTTTTATTTTATTTATCCTTTAAAATGGATATCTCCCTTTTACTGTGATGGCTGGATCTTCAAATATTAAACATTATTTTAAAAAACATTCCTTTTAATAGGAAGTTGTACTCATCACAAATAATTTTTTAAAAATGCAGTTCAGTAACATCAGAAATTTTACCTCTAGAATATTCATGTATGCATCACCAAGGAGAAGAAAAGACCGAGGGTTAGCCATTCTTTCAGCAATTTCTCTGGAAATCAGACCAACATTACTTAGCATATTGAACACAGATATCTTCTTCCAAAAATAAAATAAAATAAAAAATAAGCTCCCTTATTTTAGTTAGCCAGTAGCCTTCAGAGTATCTCTATATACCCAACAGTGTAATATTATAAAAACCTCATGCATACCCACACCCAAATTGTTTATGCTAGATCAGCTATTTCTGTCACTGAATCTTTCCATTTTCTGAAATGCAGGTAACTGAGTTCAGATAGATAGTAAATATCTAGGTTCTCCTTATTTGGACCTACACATTTTGCTATGTTTACTTCTGAAATGATGTGGGAGTGAAGGTACCAAAAAAATGATGGGAGAATAAAATTTTACTGTCCTCCTATGCATCTTGAGCTCTGATACTCATGGCATAAATTATATGCTGAAATAAATTACCTTAAAAAAATACAAAATCTTCTATTTCAGTATTTGTTGCTTACATTTGACCTGAAAATGTAGACTACTAAAGGTCAAATTACCAAAGTTATTGAAATAATAATGTGGTGTTAAGTCTTTAACATACAGTATTTCATCTAACTGGTCCAAAAACTCTTGAGAATTATTATCCCAGTTTTACAGATGATGTTAAGAGTTGCAGCTGATGTGTCAGATCTTCCTGAAACAAAACCTATACTTTTAACTATTACATTATAGTACATCAAAAATAAATCAACCCTATTTTGAATTATTTTCATATCATTAGAGATGACAGTGATAATCTTCTGGAAATACCTTAGAAAACACAATCTAGGAACTCCAGTCCATCTGTCTAAACATGCGGTGCTGCTCAGTTTCTCTGAATCACTCAGTGCTTAAAAGAATCTGAGCAGCTTTTTGAGTTTGATATAATATAGATGAGCCAATACTGAATTACTTCATCAACAGTTTACTATGATCTCAAGAGCTAAAAACGTTAATTTTCTCTTACATAGAGTGTATGCTTCTATGTTTACCCTTCTGTTTGGGGAGAAGAGGAAGAGCAATCTGTGTGTGTGTGTGTGTGTGTGTGTGTGTGTGTGTGTGTGTTGTGTATCCCAATAACTCATAAGGGCATCAGTGTGACATACTTTTAAGGTCATGCTCTTTCACCAAGAAATATCTGTAATCCACACGTTAGCATGGTACATACTAAAATAACTTTTTTTTTCCTACAACTACTATATCGACTAATAAATACACCTGCCTATCCCGTAGATTATTGTTATATTACATGATGCTCTTAAGTTATTAGAACACAGGGTACAATTTCCCTTCTCAAACAGGAAGATCTAGGGTCTAAAAATAATATTTGATAAGGAGAGCTGAGAAACTACAGCAAGCCAGTTTGAAGGAATCATAATTATGTTTTAGGGAGAGCAAATAACTTGGTTAGAGTGATTGCAGTTGGTGGTAGAAGGAATCAGGACCACATTCAGAAAACGATCTGTAAAGTATTTGTGAAGCAGTTGAAAGAAAGTTAAAAAAAAATTGGGAATTAATACTAGTGGCTAAATGTATCAAAATATAATGGGTTAAGACAATTACTTACCTAAAACAAGTGATATATAACATTTTATCTTTTCTGTGCTTCAGATAAATATCTGCCATTTTTTCTCTGGCCTCTATAAAATAAGGCTGTTCGGCTGTAACATTCTGAAGGATGCTTAAAGCCCGTTCAATATCTCCTTGGGCTAGAGCAAGGTCTGCATTAGCAATGGTAACCCGCACTTCTTCAGATGTTCCAGAAAATTCATGGATGGCATCTTGTAAAACTTTGGTTGCCTCATGCTGTAAAGATGAAATTAAAATAATCATTCTTCCAAAATAGTGAACAAATAACACTAGAAAGGGAGATTTTCTCATAACGCAGAATGAATAAATGCTAGTACATTTATAATATTTACGAAATAAATTGATAGAATTTTCTGAAACCTCAAAAATTTAAAACTAAACCCATGACCAAAATCAGATGAGCCTGTAAATATTGTTAGCTAGATAAATGTTTTCACAACTAGGACAACAGCAGCTGCTACAGAGGGTCACTGCTACTATATTAATGAGCACTTACTAAGCACCCAGCATTGAATAATGAAGAGCTGTACACACTGGCTCTTCATTAAGTGGCAGATTATTCCCTCCACCAGAACACTGTTGTTACACTTTGGGTGAATATTCTACCTCATTTCCAAATGTGTACCTTGATGAATCTAAAATGTCATTTAAGAGTCATCTCAACTTCAGAGATTATAAGAATTCCAGAAATGTTAAAATGTAATTTAAGTGTACCTCAGAATCAACTTTATAGGGTATAATTGGCCTTACTTGTTAAATGTACTTTAAGTTAACTAGTAAAACAGAAATTCTCTCACACCTGTAATCCCAGCACTTTGGGAGGCCGAGCTGGGTGGATCACTTAAGCCCAGTAGTTTGAGACCATCCTGCATAACATAGGGAGACCCTCTACAAAATATTTTAAAAACTAGCTGGGCATGGCCCAGCTACTTGAGAGACTGAGATGGTAAAATCTCTTGGACCCAGGAGTTTGAGGTTGCAGTGAGCTATGATTGTATCACTGGATGCCAGCTGAGGAGACAGAGTGAGACCTTATCACTAAAAAATACAGTAAATAAATGGAAATTCTTTGTGATTTGGCAAATATTTAGAAATACAGCCTTCTTAATTTTCATTAAAATATGAAAAATAAGTGATTAGCAAGTGCTGCAACCTAAAACAACGGATACAAATGACTTTGAGTTCCTCATTTTCTACAAAGTTGTAATTCTCCCAGAATTACTTTCTATCTTATCGTATATATTATTATTTTTAAAAATATCTGACTTTATAATATTCCTATGAGTTTACCAAAGCTGTATTCATCAAGTATTTTGTCTCCTCATCTACTAGAATTTCAGGTTGGTACTTCCTTTTTATTTCAGTAGTTCTGGAGTGTGCATAAATGTGTGTTTGTGTTTATGTGTATAAATCTTTTTAGAGATTCATAGGATTATAACTGCATTATATTATTACATTCATGGTAACCAAGAGAGTTGTACATCATGTTATTATGTTCCATTGTAGCCAACATGAGCACACTGATACTTAAGGTCAACCAGGAGCAAATTATGCTTAACTTTCAGGGGCTTACAGGAAGTTTATTTTTAGTGCAAGGTAATGAAAATTAAATTTTTCTAAAGTTTACCACCTGGTCAAGGGAATACATTTAGCTTTTCATTTTTTTTCTCTGAGATGGAGTCTCATTCTGTCACCCAGGCTGGAGTGCAGTGGCATCATCTCGGCTCACTGCAACCTCCGCCTCCTAGGTTCAAGCGATTCTCCTGCCTCAGCCTCCCGAGCAGCTGGAACTACAGGTGCGCACTACCACATCCAGCTCATTTTTTTGTATTTTTAGTAGAGACAGGGTTTCACCATATTGGCCAGGCTGGTCTCGAACTCCTGACCTCAGATGATCCATCTGCCTCGGCCTCCCAAAGTGCTGGGATTACAGGTGTGAGCCACCATGCCTGGGCAGCTTTTCATTTTCTACTAATATATATGTTAGAATAAGAAAGTTCACATCCGAGCCCTTAAATTAAAACTTGACCTACCTGCTCTCCATTTAAGCGGTGAACGTCTATCAATTCAAGAAAGATCGATAAACGATGGCTTGTATCAACTTCAGTTTTTCTGTCTTTTGATTTTGTGGAAGCTCCAATTCTTTTCATTCCTGGTAAACTCATTGCCATATGCAGTGTTTTAATTGCGTCTGCTATTTCTCCCATTTTCTTTTGTGACTGAGCTTTTATCAAATGGTATAAAGGATAGTCTCTCACCTGAAGAATAATATTTAATATTTCCTTGGAGTGCTTACAACATCAACACATAATTTACAATCCATCAAACATTAAAATAATGAGATCACTGAGAACAGTCCATCTTTGATTGTATGCATGAGGTCTATCTCTGCCCTCTTATTAACCCTCTGATTATGTATCACATTAAATCGGATTCAGGAAAATTGCTTCTCCCTGCATCCTTTGAGATGACAAAGAGGTTGATTACATATTTCTACTGTGACAGAAGAGAAAGTGCAAACAAGCTTTATAAGGCTAGCAAATACATTCTAAGAGATTACTTGAATTTTCAGGAAAAGAATTTCTTTATCTGGCACTTCTACAACTGATATGAAGTTATTAGATTTCTAGAAACACTGTTTCTCCCCTTTATTTTTTTAATTTGAAGATTAAAAGTTTCAGGACATTTTAATCAAACATTGACCTTCCCCTTTGACACTACTCCTAAATATGTAGTTCTGAAGCTTCCATCTTTACGTTGGCTATCAACAGTATATACAGAAAACATAAGAAAATGATAAAAATGAGGTGGGAAAAAGAAGTCAAAGGGAAGGAGAGGACTCAGAACGAGGTGACGTGGCAGCCACCTAGCGATTAGGAAGTCTATAATCCTCCTGATGCTGAGGTTCTCAACCTTAGGCAGCCTGCACATTTGCTTACAGAGCTTCGTGTGAGACTCACGCTTGTGCTCCTTCCTCAGAGATTTTGACTCAGTAAAGGTGGGGCACCAGCACTGAGGCTCTGACATACCACTAGTCTTGAAAACCACTATCATAAGAAGCAGGTGATATTTTCTGCAATTTTTTTTTTGAGATGGAGTCTCGCTCTGTTGCCCAGGCTGGAGTGCAGTGGCGTGATCTCAGCTCACTGCAAGCGCTGCCTCCCAGGTTCACGCCATTCTCCTGCCTCAGTCTCCCGAGTAGCTGGGACTACAGGCACCCGCCACCACGCCTGGCTACTTTTTTTGTATTTTTAGTAGCGACGGGTTTTCACTGTGTTAGCCAGGATGGTCTCGATCTCCTGACCTTGTGATCTGCCCACCTCGGCCTCCCAAAGTGCTGGGATTACAGGCGTGAGCCACCACGCCCGGCCTTCTGCAAATCTTAATTAGGATTCTCTAATTCACTGAAGGGTTCTCTCTTAACAGGGTCCATGACCCTGTGAAGCAAAGCAGAAGTTTTCAGAGCTCCTCCATGACTTGAGGTAGTTCAGGAAGCAACTGAACCTAGGATTTTCCCTAACGTTGAGGGGATACTGGATATAACACATAATATCTTGGATAGAAAAGTACTGTGTTTTTATATCCTCAAACCACAAAATTACTTTCAAAATGACAAGATGTTCTTTCACAATGAATCTAAAAAGAAGTTATTAAAAACTAAGGTCCAAGAAATAAACAGACAATTATTATCTTTATACATAAAAATATTTGACATAAGGATCATCATTTTTATATACCTTCATTATTGCATTTAATTCTCATTGTAACAGCAGAGTATTAGTAAATGAGTTTTACAGAAAAGAAAACTGAGGCTCAGAGAGAAGTGAAAGACCAGACATTAACCTCAGGATTTTTGTCACCAAGTCCACATAGTTTTTTACCCATACCTGAATTGCCTCAATTTTTCCTCCTACTGCTTGTGAGTTCCATTTTTTTTTCCATTAAAAATGCAACTGTTAGCAAAATACTACAGGCTAAAACACAAAATACTTGAATATGTAAGCTTTCAAGGAGGGTGATATGTCTTATCCACTTCAGTCTGGAATACTTACCTTAAAATCATAGCTCAGACAAAGTTCAAGAGACTGAGAACACAATTTGACTTTTTCTTGAGACAAGTAAACCTGAGCTAGCAGCAGATGAGCATCAGCATAAGAGGGATTGTGTTCTAAGCAGTGCTGAAGGTTATTGAAAGCTGCTTCAATATCACCTAATAAGAAAAACAATGCATTGTTATAATTCAAATGATTAAGAAATGGAGATCTGAGAGGGAAGAGGAAGAAGAGTGTTTAGTTTACGGATAGCCCTAGTGTTTGTAAACTTAAAGTTTGCTGTTCATAGGCCATGGTTTAATTCCATCTGCACTAGTTAGCTTCCTTCTAGTCTACATGAATGAATACACCTGCAAGTCAGGCAAGTTCTTGATCCTAACGAACAAGCCAGGGAAAGCAGGAAAGGATGAGAGCCAAGCACTGGTGTTACTGAGAGGCCAATAAACGGACCTTTATTTTCCTTGTCAAAAAAAGGTTTTATTTATAATTTCATTAAAATAAATTATGTAGAACAAAAACATTTGAATAGCTAGAATTTTGTTGTGTCACTTATGTTAACAAAGAGGATATCAGTCTAGTAATCATTCTTGGTCAAAAATTCTATTACTACTATACATAAAATAACAAAAAAGGCCTAAGGATATACTTCAGAGATTCAGAAATATGAGTTATAGATTTAAAATACCTTTAAATACCAATGGAAATAATGCCAGTTATATATCTGGGAGTCTTAAAATAGAAGGAAATAATCAAGATTAAAGTGACAGGAATTGAGGAATTGACCTCGGGCTGATAGATGCGGTAAGAAGAGGCTCTTCAGAGGAAAACACTGCATTGATTCTAAGTCTTAGAAGTTTCTCATGATGTAACCCGCACTGATCTGCACTTAAGTCACCTCATAAATGGGCCTTAAGAAGATGTAAGTAGGCTAACTCCCCATTCAACCTTGCTAGGAGAATGTGGGAAGAAGAGAGCCTAAATGATTTTCTGTTCATTTATGCCCCTCAAACTCACCTGATGCCTCAGTCAACAAAATAAGGCTTAACTTACTGGTAACAGACATGCACTGAGACTGAAAATGTTCTTCTCAGAGACAGAAGATTAATAGAAAACTAACTGGCTGAGATAGCATAATGACTTACTAAACATGGCATCAAAGTTTAGCAATCAACCGTCAAGCATAATTAACAAGGTTAGATTCTTAACTTATTGTGATACAATCCAACACTCAAAACTGCACAGGTACAAAAAGGAAGAGTTAGGCATAATAAATTTGTGTGAAAATTCTTTTAGCAAGGAGAAGGACTAAGGCGATAATTTGAAGAAACAGGTTGTACTAACAGGAGAAAGTGCATAGAGAATTAGGGTTTGCAACTAAGAGAATGAAGAAAATGAGTGCCGTATGAGTAACAGAAATGAGAATCTTTGTTTCTTTTAAGGGTGAGGAGATGGATATGTAGGGTAGGATACTAAATATTTAAAATATTTTGAAATATTTTAAATATTTAAAATATTTTGAAGGATACTAAATATTTAAAAATGAGAAGTGGGTCATTACTTTTGAGGAAAATAGACCCTGTCACCAGAGATCAACACCAACATCACATTCTTTCTAAGAGCAGTCCAACTTCCCTTGAGTGAAACTGAAAGACATTTCAGTCCTGTCTGTCTGTCTTTGTCAGAATTCTGGGTAATAAAGCATTTGGCTGACGTTTGTCTTGGGTTCCTGGAAGGAGACTCTAACTCTTCAAATTTCCCTCATGTTAGGGATTTCTGTGTTATTCATTATGGACCCTGATAGTTTATCCTAATTAAGAGAATCATGGTGTGCCCCTGGATAGTTTATGCTAAAGATATGACTTGGAATGGGGGCTAGCTGTGCCAGAAAGACCAACCCTGTGATTAGAGGGTTGGTGCTTAGAGCCACATTATCAGTTGGTGGGGGACTGGAGATTGAATTCAATCATATGGCCAATGATTTAATCCATGCCTATTTAATGAAATCCCAATAAAAGCTAGGGACACCAAACCTTGGTGAGCTTCCCTGGTTGCTAATACTCTGATTGTCACACATTGACATGTCAGGAAGGTGATGTCTCCTGACTCCATGGGGAGAGGGCAATGGAAGCTTTACATCTGGGACCCTATCAGACCTCACCCTGTGCATCTCTCCCTGTTGCTGATTTGGGTTAGTATCCTGTTGCTATAATAAAACTGTAATTTCAAGTCTAGTGCTTTCTTGAATTCTGTGATTCATTCTAGTAAATTAATGAAACTGAGGGACCTCCAAATTTGCAGCTAGTCAAAAGCACAGGAGGCTCTAGGAGTGCCCAAATCTGTGGCTGGTGTCTGAAGTCAGGGCAGTTTTATGGGGGACTGTGCCCTTAACCTTTGATGTTTGGCCCAACTCCAACTAGTTGGTGTCAGAAGTCATTGCAGTTGGCAATTTAGCAAAAACACTACTACTTAGACACATGCTAGCAGTATTTCACATGAGTTAAGGCTGCTCTTCCTTTTTTTTTTTTTTTTGGTTACTAGAAATTTTCTTAATCTTTTTTTTTATTTCAATAGGTTTTTGGGGAACAGGCGGTGTTTGGTTACATGAATAAGTTATTTAGTGGTGATTTCTGAAATTCTGGTGCACTCATCACCCAAGCACTGTACCCAATGTACATAGTCTTTTATCCCTCCCTCACTCTCCTCCCACCCTTTCCCCTGAGTCCCCAAAGTCCATTGTATCATTCTTACGTAGGCTGTTATTCTTAAAAATGGGATTAATATAAGAAATTTTCAAGACTAGAGACTTTAACAATTAAGTATTACTAGATTGACATATAAATTTTCACAATATAAATACTTAATAAATTATAGGAATCAAAGTCCCAGTCTAATTATTTAGTAGGCGATACCCCTTCCAATTAGGAGAAAAGCTGAAATATCATGTGGCTTAATAGTACAATTCAATCAGAAAGTATTAGTGTCACTTCTTACAATTGAAATATTTTAGAGGTAAAACAACCCTCTGACATCATCTAAATTTTTTTTAACAGTTAAAACAGAAGTCCATAATTTCCACAATCTATAGGGAATCCAAACAAATCATCAAGAAAAAAAAATCCCATTAAAAAGTGGGCAAATGACATGACTAGACATTTATCTAAAGAAGATATACAAATGGCCCATAAACATTTTTAAAAAATGCTCAACGTCACTGATCATCAGGGAAATGTAAATTAAAACTATAGTTAGGTACCACCTTACCACAGCCGGAATAGCCACTATTAAAAAGTCAAAAAAAAAAAAAAAAAAAAGACGTTGGCATGGATGTGGTCAAAGGGAACACTTATACATTGCTAGTGAGAATGTAAATTAGTACAACCTCTTTGGAAAATAGTATGAAGATTTCTCAAAGAACTAAAAGTAGATTTACCATTCAATCCAGAAATCCCACTACTAGATATCTACCCAAAGGAAAAGAAATCATTATATCAAAAAGTCACCTGCATGTGTATGTTTCTTGCAGTACAATTCATAATTGCAAAGACATGGAACCAACATAAGCGTCCATCAACCGATGAGTGGACAAATAAAATGTGGTCTATATATACACCACAGAACACTACTCAGCTGTAAAAAAGTAATGAAATAACGTGTTTTATAGCAACCTGGATGGAACTGGAGGCCATTAATATAAATGAAGTAATTGAGGAATGGAAAACCAAATACTGTATGTTCTCACTTGTAAGTAGTAGCTAAGCTATGAGTATAAAGGCAAACAGAGTGATATAGTGGACTTTGGAGACTTAGAAGAGGGAGGATGGGAAGAGGGTGTGGGATAGAAAGCTTCATATTGGGTACAATGCACACTACTCATGTGATGGATACACTAAAATTCCAGACTTCAGCACTATACAATTCATCCATGTATCCAAAAACTATTTGTACCCAATACAAATAAAAAATTGAAATAAAAAATAAAAAAATAAAGAAAACAGAGGTCCAAGGAAGCAGTAAAGACAATCTCATCACTCCATTATATTACAGGAAATAACTATTCATGAAAATACCTTTAAGTTGGTTTCTGCTCTTAACAGTTTTACAAACGTTATTTACTTTTATAGCATTCAGTTGGCAAAGGTACATACAGACAAGCATAATATGATGGTCTTTTTTTTTTTTTTTTTTTTCCAAGACAGAGTCTCACTCTGTCACCCAGGCTGGAGTGCAGTGGCACGATCTGCTGACTGCAAGCTCCACCTCCCGGGTTCACGCCATTCTCCTGCCTCAGCCTCCCGAGTAGCTGGGACTATAGGCGCCTGCCACCATGCCTGGCTAATTTCTTGTTTTTAGTAGAGACAGGATTTCACCATGTTAGCCAGGATGGTCTTGATCTCCTGACCTCGTGATCCACCTGTCTGGGCCTCCCAAAGTGCTGGGATTACAGGCATGAGCCACCACGCCCAGCTGGTTTTTTTTTTTTTTTTTTTTTAATGAGACAGGGTCTCACTCCCATCACTGACGCTGGAGTGCAGTGGCGTGATCCTGGCTCAATGCAGCCTCAACCTCCCTGGGCTCAGGTGATCCTCCCACTTCAGTCTCCTGAGTAACTGGGGCTACAGGCACATGCCACCAAGCCCAGCTAATTTTTGTATTTTTTTGTAGAGATGAGGTTTCTCCATGTTGCCCAGGCTGGTCTTGAACTCCCAGGCTCAAGTAATCTGCTCGCTTTGGCCTCCCAATGTGTTGGGATTACAGGTGTGAGCCACCGCACCCAGCCATGATGGTCTATTTTTATGTGTAAAGTCAGGCATTTGTCTGTGCCTTAGAAAACTAAGGTTATAAACGGATTGTTTTTATTTTAAGCTATCCATAACAATTCACAGAAACTAAACAAGAATTACTCAGTACTTTTCATTAGGGCCTGAAATCTGGCAAATGTTGCATTTGGTTATACCAGTAAGAACACAACCATGGATTAATGACTGTAAATTCTTATTGCTAGTCTCCAGTAATTTCTGACAGACTTTTTTTTAAAGTGGTATAACTGCATTTTCCCAGCAATTCGCTTAAGCCACACAAGTTTATAGTAATTTTTAAAGGATTAAAGAGTAAGTTATGCAATTCTATTTTGGATTAAAATTACTTATCTATGCATATATAAAATGTACATTTTATGTGACTATTCTCTATATATACACAGTGCTTAATTTATTTACGCTTGTTTTTATCAACATCAGAATAAAAAGGTTAAAAGTTTTTAAGGTATACTCTACCTGACAAATATTTCACTTTTGCTATTAGGAAGACTGTTTGCAGAAGACCTGGAACAGTTCTTACTACAGTCTCCAGGACTGAGATGCAACGCCTGAGAAGTGGACAAAGAGGTTGCCCAGGACTTGCAGGCTAAACAAAACAAATCAGCAGATCATTTTATAAGTGTAAAAATAATATTTACCTAAAATAAACATATATTAATTTTAGTATAACTAACCAAGCTATATACATTTTTCTAAAATTTCTTTGATTTAACTTATTTTGTAATACCTTTATTATGACTTAACTAATACTAATTTATTTCCCTGGGATCTATGAACAGACAATGCAAATAATGGCTCTTGTTCAGCAAAATAATTATGAAACTATTATACAATTCTAAATGGATAACATATCAAGTGGGTATTATCTATTCAAAAGTTTTATCAGAGAAATATATCTGTTAAAGGAAAGATAACTGAGAGGTACAGTTTCTTGCTAGAACTGACAGAGTCAAGGCAGTAAGTGTTCGAATTCTAGATTTGCCTTGTGATTTGCTCAATTCAATTACTTTCATTATCCCCTAGAGTATTGTAAACCAGTTTTTTAAAGAATTCAGATTTCCCCCAGTGGTAAACAGAAGGTAGAACACTCACTATGCTAAACTAAATGTCTCATACCTTTACATTCCCCACTCTTCATCCCGGCATGTTTTAGACCCTCAAAGTTTTCCTTTCAATTAATAATGAGTATGATAATTAAAGTGATACTAGAACACTACTTTATTCTTTTCACTGTTTCTTCTTCTTATAATGGCTGTCTACCCAACCAACTTTTATCCAATGGTCATCCAATCACAATTTAGTAATGTGATATCAGAATTTAAATATAAAATGTTCATTCCTCCTGCTTTGCCTTACTAAGGCTGTTTCTTTATGTAAGGATGATCCTCTCCACCCCAAGCCCCCTGACACATAAAGCTCTTCAATTGGACTGTGCCTTCTTATGGAAAATTACTCCTATAATGAGCCATTATTACCAACAAGAAAGTGCTACAACTTACTTATGTTGACACACACAATATATACGCTCAAAAAGATAATCAGAATATGACTATTATTGCCTAGAATACTTCAACTTCTTTATCATATATAATCTATATAATAAAATTTGGCACTGTATAATACCCATACAGTTCTACTGGTAGTTTCATATTTAGTTTTCCTTCTTTTATAGGCCTACGGGTTTTTATGTGTCTTGAAGATAAGATTTTTATGCTTCTTTGCACGGTAATAGATACAGAGCAAACAGTTTAAAAATATCTGTTTTTTTCAGCCTAAGTAAAAATAGTGAAAGTGTAAGTGATGGTGAGGTTATGATAATGTTCTTTGTCACCTGCTAAGAATGAGTTATTGAGAACAACCATCATTTTCACTGCAAACAATTTCAATGTACAATCATAGAAAAAATAGTTATGCAGACAATCTTTAAGATATCGTTTGTTCAATTAAAATTCTAAACAAAATTATGTCTATAAAACGGTCAAAGAAGTAGGAACAGAGCTAAAGAGACAATTCTGCCTTTCTGATATTTCCCTATGAAAACAGTATCACATATGCTGATTACTTTCTATCATGCTGGTAAAGGAAAACAGAATTTCCTGGTAAAGGAAAATAGGATGTCCATTTGAACTAGAGGCCCAACTACCACTTAATGCATGATTTCTTGTTCTATCTACAGTTTATTCTCAGCACATCTGATAGAGAAATCCATTAAAACATTGAGTTAAAATGTTGACTTGGATCATGCTGGAAGCCTTTTGGTGACTCCCCATTGTACCCCATTGTACTCAGAATTAAGGCCAAAGGAGTTATAAGAACTGCTATGGCCCTACCTGGGCTGGTCTCCTGTGGGATGACCTCATCTCTGACTACTCTCCTCCTCCTCACCCTGCCCCAGCCACATTTGTCTCCTCGTGTCCCTTTGGGCTTCTGCACCAGCTGCTCCCATTGTCTGAAACACTCTACCATATTTTCACATGTTCTGTGATGGTTAATACTGTCAACTTGATTGTACTGAAGGATGCAAAGTCTTGATCCTGGGTGTGTCTGTGAGGATGTTGCCAAAGGAGATTAACGTTTGAGTCAAGAGGCTGAGAAAGGCAGACCCACCCTTAATTTGGGTGGGCACTGTCTAATCAGCTGCCAGCATGGCTGGAATATAAAGCAGGGAGAAAAATGTGAAAAGACTAGACAGGCTTAGCCTCCCAGTCTACATCTTTCTCCCATGCTGGATGCTTCCTGCCCTTGAACATTGGACTCCAAGTTCTTCAGCTTTGGGACTCGGACTGGCTTCTTTGCTCCTCGGCTTACAGACAGCCTATTGTGGGACACTGTGATCGTGTGAGTTAATATTCTTTAATAAACTCCCATATGTATATATGGAGTATATATATAAACTCCCATATATATATATATATATATATATATCTCCTAGTAGTTATATATATATATATGTGTATATATATATATCCTAGTAGATATATATATATATATATCCTAGTAGATATATATATATATATATCCTAGTAGATATATATATATATATATCCTAGTAGTTATATATATATATATATCCTAACAGTTATATATATATATATCCTAGTAGTTATATATATATATATCCTAGTAGTTATATATATATATATATCCTAGTAGTTATATATATATATATCCTAGTAGTTATATATATATATATCCTAGTAGTTATATATATATATTATATATTATATAATATATATATAATATATAATATATATATAATATATTTTATATATATATATATATATCCTATTTTCAAGTCTTTGTTCAGATCTTACCCTCTTCATGAGGCCTATCCTGACCACTGTATCTAAAATCGCCATCACCCAACCATGCTCTATTATTTTCTCCTGTCATTTTCTAAACATATTATACAATTGACTTAATGATATTATCTGTCTCCTCCTGTTGGAATACATGCTTCAGGGGAAAGGAATGTAGTTTGTTTTACATGGGTATTTCCCCAGCTCTAAGTAGAGTGCTAGGTACTCTATAAACATTTGTACATTTGTAGAATGAATCCTGAATACTAGATTAATACTGAAAAAAATGTATTCCAACTTCCAAGCAAGGGAAAATGGATTATGACTGGGGAGTCTGAGGTCAACCCCTGGTACAATTCTATGAGGGTTTAAGTTTAAAAAATAAATAGTAATGAAAGCCTAAAAAAGGACATGATAATCAAAAAGTCTGTATGGGTTCCCTAAGGGAAGGTCATTTTCCTTATTTCCCATGTTAACACAGTTACTGAAGCTATAGATCAGGGACAATGCTAAGAAGTTTGCTTTCAGCAATGGAACGCTTGATAGTGCCTGCTCTGATATCCCTGTGCTGAATGTGAGCTGAATATAATAAAGTTAGGATGTCTGTATCTGCTTACTATCTGTAATAAGAGTGCTGACTAATAAATCCACATCAATTTGGAAAGAAATCTCTGGTAGTACAACATAGGGTTTCATCTTCAATTATACTCAAAACTGTTAATGCTTGGAAAAGAACATTATAGTAATAGTTATCTCAGAGCTAGATAAAGCAGATGACAGATGACAATAAAGATCCATCTAAAATAGGTGACAATCATGATCCACAAGGAATATGATAACATGGAATTATGAGATGAATCTGAAAAGATAAAATTTCACAGGAATAAATGTAGAGTCCTACATTTGAGTCCAAAAGTACAACAAGTAAGAGACTGAAAGTCTTTAATTAACTGTTAATTCAACAGAGGTCATTAATGTAATGTGATTTATAAAAAGAAAGTTGGATGGACTTCCAGAATAAGGGAGGAAAAGGTCTACTCTAGTTCTTGCAGGTCAAATCCACGTTTGGAATAGTAAACTTAATGAGAGGCACAGACAAAATAAAGAATATCATCAGATTCACACACAGAATTCTCAAAACTATTTCATATAAAACATAAATGGCTGGAAACCTGGAGTTGTTTAGTGGAATGTGAAAACTAATTGCCAATATCTGAAGGTCTGTTTAATGAATGAGGAATGATCCTTGCTCTAAGCAACTGGACTTGCCCTATGTCAATCTAGGGAGCAGAAGGAGGACCAGTAAATGGTCCTTTCTTTTTTTTTTTTTTAACCAAAAGCAGAGTTTGACTTAACACAGGAAACACAGGCTAACAATCATAGTTATATGACAAGAACTTCATTTTAGTGTGTCCAGACATGGGATAGACATTGACAGTGATGTTACAGACTGGTAGCAAATATAAGGTAGGTGTCTGAATTAGATGCCTTTTAATATTTCTTTAAACTGAAGATTTTAAGATTTTATGAAATACAAATGAATATTTGCAAACCAATACTTTCAGTAGTTGACAGCAGTCATTACTAAAAACAGTCTGATTAAAAGCGATTTCAACTAACATAGGTACAAATACTACCATTTTAAGATGCCGATATAGTCTAATGCATCAAAGAAAACTTTTAAGTTCTTTCATAAAACATCAAGTAAACGCATCCTTGAAAGTAAGTCCCATAATTACTTACCTGCATTGGACAGAAGCTCAGATACTCCATAACAATTTCTAACAAGAAATCAGGATTTAGCTTTTCAAAATACTGTATGCCAAGAGGCAAACCTTCTAATTGTGAAAAGTGAGTGTCCAGGACATCATTTAACAAATTAATAACTTCTTCTTGTCGTTTATTTTTCTTCATGGCAAGAACTGCATGTAAATAGATTAATTCCTAGAAAATAAGTAGTTTTCATAAATTATTCCATTTAGTTATAAAGCCATTTATTTCCACTTAGATTTCAAATGCATATAATGTGCTACTGATATGCAATTATTTGTTCAAACTCAAGTATTAGCTTGAATAGACTTTTAGAATCATTCAGAAGAATAAAGTTTAGTTTTGAATGGAGGTAAATAAATGCAATTACATATTAAAATTAGTGTACACTAGTGCTTTACAGCCATTACAAAACAATAAGACTGATTAATAATTTCATATTTTATAAACAGCTAGCATCTACCAGCTGATAAAATAAAATACTGTACCGCAGATTTTCCAATGGATTGCTGGATTTCATTTAAAAATTCTAGCTGCTGATCTGCATCCTGTAATTGCCCTTCTATCAACTGACATTGGATAAATCCTAAAATCAAACAGCAGAAAGACAGTCAAAGTCCACACCAATTCAGGGATGCACTCTTCAAGCTAACATAACAACATTAATAAAACACCCTTTCCCCCATCACAATACTTAACGTTTTAGATTAAAAACAACAGAAAGAAAGAAAATGAAGAGTGAAAGAAAATAAAATGGGTAGCCTTGGACCTTATAAAATCATTTACTGAAGAATTCATAATTTATAGGAACCACGTTATAAAAATCTATTCTCTCAAGATATTATTTGTGAATTAAAAATTTTAAAGACATGACTTTTTCGAGTGTGGGCAGTAGAGAACAATTTAAGTTTAGAAAACCACAAAATCCATGTGTTCTTCTCTAATGGCAAGTTAAAAGCAATTGCTACTTGTATCTATATTATAAATATTTATGAAAACAGTTGTCATACCAACTAGGGCAGACACACTAGTCTCATCAAGTGTCATGGCGGTCTTATACCACTTCAGTGCCTCTTTAACTCTTCCTTGTAAAATCATTTGGTATCCAAGTTCTGTAGCAAATTCTGATTGCTGAGGGTTTAAACTAAAAGCTCTCTCAAGTAACGTTTGAATTTTTTGAAGAATAAGTTGACTACGTCCACACTAAAAAGAAAAAAAAATGATGTAAGATTTCAAAGTCTAACATTTCTACTGAGACTAAAGGATTATTTTTTCTAAATATATATATTATTTGTACTTCAAAGGAGTGATGAAAAAGAAAAAAATTAATAATTAAGGAAAAATAAAACTTTCCTATTATCTAGACAATGCATCAAGAAAGAGTTTATATTCTATCAGAACTTAATATCCTAATGAATATAATGCTTTTACAAAATAACTAGTATGAAAAGTACACTTCTAATGATGTCACTGCAAAAACATATTTTTTGAACTCCTTTTCCAAGCTGTCTCATGACTGTTTTACAGATTAAACAGGAAAACCATTATTTTATGGTTACGTGGGTATGGGGGTGTGTGTGTGTGTGTGTGTGTGTGTGTGTGTGTATAATATATGTATGCTTTTTCTTATTGAATAAAAAACTAGGACTAGGATCTGTTTTCCCCCTAAACACTAGCTATGCCATCAGTGAGAATATTTTAAAAGCTCATGCCTTAGAATCTTCTTGAAAAAAATTTCAAGAAATAGCAGTGTTGTTAGAATAAGTACATAATTTTTCAAGACAACAAACTTTAAGAGTAAAATATTTATTCAAATGTTTGAACTTATATTTTATAAGCTTAGTAAAAAACTAATTGAAATAATGTGTCTAGCACTACGGTAAGCAAAAAAGGTAAATACCTCCTTAATTCAAACTTTCGTTATAGCATGGAGTTTTCTTCCTCTAAAGTTTACACAATCTGATATCTTTGTTTTTAAATAAGAAAATTCAGTATATTCATGTCATTTAACAATTAATAATCCTTTTTTCTTTCAACTTTATGCTTGCTAATTATTTTAACCTTCTTAGTTTAATGAACTTTTCAATATTCTCATTCCTTGTATTGATTTTGAGATTCTACTGTATTTTTCTATTTCATTCTTGATTACCTTTCTTTTACTGGGAGCTTATAATAAAAACATTTCTTTCCTGTTGTTTTTTAAAAAATAAGATACCAACCATTCCCTCCACCAAAATGGTCTTTTATACACTTTAAAACTTTTTAAAAATAGTTTTAAAAAACAAAAGCTAAGAGCAATCCTGGTCATAAATCTTATGCTCTGATGAAAATAAACCACCTTCTATTTCCTTTGTCTGGAAGGCACTTCGCTATGCTTAAAAGATCAGTAAGTGGCATTTCCTCCATGAAGCCTCCATCAGGTTCTTACAGTTGGAAACCACACCTCCTCTAAACTGCCTTTCCTAGGAGTATATCATATATTTAAATACATATTTGCACTCTAGGCCATATGCTCTTCCCTGCTTCCACCTTTTCCACTTATTTTATGTCCTCTACTATAGATAACAGAGCTCTGGTACATGGTAGGCACTCTCACAGTTCTGCTGAAGGCGAGTGTAATGTTATAGAAAAGTTGAGCATTCTGTGGTTCCATGGCATCCAATGTATTTCCCAAGTTTTCCAGCTTGGTGGAAGCCTAAAACAAAAGGAACTGGTATTAACTTAAAATATACTAAGTAAAAACAACATAATACATGCACATACACACTAACAAAGCATTACCCTACTAGTATTTTAAAAGACCTTTGCTTTTATAAATTCCTCCTCCTTCAATGGATGATTATATGTTATAAAACATATTTAAGATTCTAACAAACTCAATAATTATAAATGTGTTTTAGAATGTGTTTCTTTAATACTTGTTATTGAATGGAAACCTTTGGATAGGCGAAGACACCCATAATATTCCATTAACTGTACATGCCCAGCTCCGCCTTCAATAGTTAATTCATGACACAAATGAGATACGAATGATAATGTATTTACAAGTATATGAGGTCAGCCCTTCAATTGCCTATACAGACTGGTTTATATTCAAAATATATTCTAGACTAGAAAAATCATTACAGTACTTAGTATAAGTAATTTCAATGCCTGGAAAATTTACTGAAGATTTACCCCTACTAAGATACTCCTAGCATTTACTGAAGTATCTATCAGGCACTGTCACATTAACCAATTTAACCACACTAAACAAAATGCAAATCTACTACATGTTATACTAATATTACTTCCTTCAGATTAGAGTTTGGCACTCCATGATCCAATCTACAGTCAATGTGTTCACTACTACAGAAACAGATGTGCTTTATTATGAGGTATAATGGGATTTTATCCCAAGCCCATTTAATTTTTGCAAATTCAGTTAAATTGTAAATATACTATAAATTACATTTTGCATACATACTTTCTCATATCTAGTATCACTAGTTACATTACGTATCTAGTTACATTAATCATATATATTACTACACAGGAGTTTCATACAGAAAGCCATATATACTATAATTAATGATTTAAGGGATTTTCAAGGGTAATATTAACTGTATAGTATTTTTGCTTTACCAATAGATTTCAGAAGCTGACCTCTTTGTTAAGGTATACTCTAGTAATCAACTAAAAACTACCATGATGTATATTTTAAAAGAGAACTTCAAGGCTTTAATGTATATGCACATGCACACATGGGTGTGTATGTGTAATGAAATATATTTTTTAATATAGGAAACTTAAATAATACAATGCCACTTACCTTCTCTATATCCCCCTCTCTACACACATAGTAGAGTGCCTGCATTCTCAGTGCTTCCACATTTTGGCTATCTTGGAGCAGCAACCTGCAGGAAAACAATTTAGTTAATGTCAAAATAAATTTATATATTTTCTTTTATTCGAGGGCATGAAAAGTTGGTTTGCTTGCCTCACTATTCCACTGTTCAAATAAGTAATTTTCACTAGTAAAATGTCATCTGCTTTGTGAAAATTATCAACTTTATTATTTAAACAAGTAAAAGTCTCTGGAGTTTAATTTTTAATATGTTTTTAAAAGATATGAATAGATTATACTAGTCTCATTAAATCTTGTGGCAATCCTAAATAAAATATTAGCTAACTATATACAACAGTATAGTAAAAGAATAATTCACCTTAACCAGGCTGACTTATTACAGGAATTCCGGGAATGCAAACCAGGGTCAAACATTACAATACCTACTAATGTTATTCACAACAACAGATTCCTACGTGATAAAAACAAATGAGAAAATATTACATTAAAAAATCTTATTAATAAATGGAACAAAAACCAAAAAGAAAAACATAACAGGCATAAACTTAAGAAATGTGCAAAAGCTATAAAATTCCTATGAAACTGTACTCAGGGACATTTTTAAAAAGAACTGAACCAAAAAGGTAACGCCCCAGACTTCTCTTATCATGGATGATGTGGTACATATCACAATTACTGGTTCCAGTTTTTCAACCCTCCCTGAGTACGTGTCTTCTGCCATGTAACTAACTACAAAAGTTGGAGTGTACCCTACTGCTTCTTGACTAGGGACTTGGACATTTTTCTTATATTGGCCAATGGAATGTGGGCAGGAATAGCAGTGTATCAACCTAAATTTTAGAGGCACTGCATACTTCTGCTTGTTCTCTGGCACTTGCTATCAGTACAAGAAGAATTTCCTCTGGGTAGTGGCTGCTACTTGTTGTGAGTCTGGGGGAAACACTATTGGAGGTGACAAGAGTCCAAACTGCAATGATGTGCCACATTCACCCAGCTGCATCTGAACTGAAGCAGGGCCCCAGCCAAGCCTTGCCTGAGATCAGCAGACCCTCGATGACCCACAAAAATGTGAGTAAAGAATACTTATTATTATATGTCCTGACATTTGTGGTTGTTTGCTATACACCAATAGCTGCCTGATATAATAATGGTCATTTTTGGGAAAGAAAATTTTTTTTCCCCACATATGACTACAAATTTAATGCAATTCAAACCAAAATCTTCTATGGCTTCTTTTTTATTATTTTGTAAATTGATTATGACAGTCAAGAGCGAAAAAAAGAGCCAACAAAACTGTTATAAGAGAAACACGGAGAACTCCGTCTCTACTAAAAATACAAAAAATTAGCAGGGCGTGGTGGTGGGTGCCAGTAATCCAAGCTACTCAGGAGGCTGAGGCATGAGAATCACTTGAACCCGGGAGGCGGAGGTTGCAGGGAGCCAAGATCGCGCCATTGCACTCCAGTCTGGGCAACAAGCGAGACTCTGTCTCAAAAAAAAAAAAAAAAAAAAAGAAAAGAAACGAAACATGATGGAGAACTTGTGATAAAAATTATCAGAGTCCATTGAAAACTGAGGAGAGAATAGGCTCACTTAAAAAAAAAAAAAGCATATTTAGAACCAGTTATATACCAAAGAAAAACAAGAGCTTTTAGCATATGAAAAATTGCTCAATCTCAACACAATAAAAGAAATGAAAATAAAAATGAGATACCTCTCTTTCAGATTGCTTGAAAAAAAAAATACACGCACTGAAAATGGCCAGAATTGGTGAGGATAAGGTAAGGGATCATTCAATAGACTACTAGTAGGAGTGTAAATTAGTACAATTTCCTAGGAGAGCAATTTGGCAGTGCCTATCAAAATTTTAAATTTATATACTTGAGGGAGAGACTACAATTTGTCTCCTCAAATTCATTCTCTCCTTATTTGCTTGGGCATGTGGCTAGCCAACACTTCCTAGATATCTTTGCATTCAGAGGTGGTCAACGTGAAATAAAGTAATATATGCCATTTCTGGGCCTGGGCTTTTATGAAAAGTGGAATGACTTCTCTACATTATCTTTCCCTTTCTGCCAAGTGTTATGAGGTCTTAGGAGATGGCAGGACTGCAAGATGGAAAGCGTCTAGGTCCGTTAAAAACAGTGTGGAGCAAAGCTGCCTGATCACTTCTAACATTTACCCAAAACAGTTACATATGGGGAAACATTCTTCTATTACACTGAATCATTATATGTTTAGATCTGTTTTTGTAGCAGCTTAGCCTACCCTAACAAATACAGTATCTTGGATTCAACAATCTCTCCTTTGGGAAACTTCTCTGCAGATATAGTCCTACATGTGTTCAAAGAGGTATGTGTGTATGCATGTGTGTACAGTGCACTATACTGAACAGTGAAAAATAGGAAACTGCTTAGGTGCATACCAATGCGGAGAGATTAAATAAATTATTTGCATTTTCAATTCATAGAATGCTACTCAGTTTTAAAATGATTAGGGAAAGGAAGAAATACATAGATGTTTACAGATGACATGAACATCTATGTAGAAAATCTAAAAGAATCAATTAAAAAAAACTCCTGGAATCAACAAGCGATTATAGCAAGATTGTAGGATATGAGGTTAATATATAATATCAATTGCTTTCCTATGCACTAGCAATGAACAAGTGGTATTTGAAATTAAAAACACAATAACATTTACATTAGCACTCCTTAAAGTAAAATACTTAGGTACATATAAATCTAACAAAATATGTGCAAGATTTCTATGAGGAAAATTTTTAAATTCTGACAAAAGAAATCAAGGAAAAACCAAATAAACGGAGAGATATTCCATGTCATGGATGCAAAGACAATACAAGATGTTAGTTCTTCCCAATTTGATCTGTAAACTAACTCAATGCAATCCCAATCAAAATCCCAGCAAGTTATTTTGAGGATATTGACAAACTCATCCTAAAGTTTATACAGATTAGCAAAAAAACACAGAATAGCAACATACTATGGAAGGAAAAGAGCAAAGTTAGAGGTCTGACATTAGTTGACCTCAAGACTTACTATAAAGCTTCAGTAATCAAGAGAGTAGTGTGGTATTGGTGAAAGAACAAACAGGTCAATGGAACAGGGTGGAAATCACAGAAATAGACCCACATAGATAGTAAACTGATCTTTGACAAAAGAGCAAGGACAATGCAGTGGAGAAAAGACACTCTTTTCAATAAATGGCACTGGAAAAACTGGACATCCACATGGAAAAAATGAATATAGATACAGACCTCACCTTCTTCACAAAAATTAATCTGAAATAGATCACAGAGCTAAATGTAAAACATAAAACTATAAAATTCCTAGAAGATAATACAGGAGAAAATCTGACGGCCTATGGTTTGATGATGACATTTTAGATAATACACAAAAGGCATAATTCATGAAAGAAAGAGTTGATAAGCTGGACTTCATTAAAATTAAAAATTTCTGCTCTGTGAACGACAAGCCACAGACTGGGAGAAAATATTTATCAGATATAGATATATCTGATAAAGGACTGTTTTACAAAATATACAGAGAGCTCTTCAAACCCAACAATAAGAAAACAATCAATCAATTAAAAGATGGGCCAAAGACCTTAACAAACACATAACAAGCAAGATACACAGACTGCAAATAAGCATATTTAAAAATGCTCCACATCATGTCATCAGGGAAACGCAAATTAAAATTAAAATAACAATGAGATACCACTACAAACCTATTAGAATGGCCAAAATCCAGAACACTGGCAACATCAAATGCTGATGAAGATGTTTTAAAGCAAGAGAAACTCTCATTCATTGCTGGTGGGAACATAACATGGTATAACATTTTTGGAAGACAGTTTGGCAGTTTCTTAGAAAACTAAATATACTCCTACCATATGATTCAGGAATTATGTTCCTTGGCATTTGATCCAAAGGAGTTGAAAACTGATGTCCATACAAAAACCTGCACAAGGTTATAGTAGCTTTATTCATAAATGCCACAATTTGGAAGCAATCAAGATGTCCTTCAATGGATAAAACTGTGGTACATCGAAACAATGAAATATTATTTAGTACTAAAAATAAATGAACTATCAAGTCATGAAAAGACATGGAAGAAAGTTAAATGCATAATACTAAATGAAAGAAGCCAAGCTGAAAAGGCTACATATTGTATTATTCCATATTACAGGACATTCTGGAAGAGGTAAAACTATAAAGGCAGTAAAAAGAGCAGTGGTTGCAAGGAGTTGGGGAGATGGAGGGATATATAGCGGATACACAATAAAGATAATTTTTAGGGCAGTAGAAATATTCTGTATGATACTATAATGGTGGATACATGTGATTACACATTTGTCCAAACCACTAGAATGTACAACACCAAAAGTGAACTGTAATATAAATGACGGACTTTGGGCGCCTATAGTGTAAGTTCATCCACTGTAACAAATGTACCACTCTGGTGGGAGATGTTGATAATTAGGCAGCCTATCTATGTGTGGAGGCAAGGAATATATGGGAAATCTCTGTACCTTCTGTTTAATTTTGCTGTGAACCTAAAACTACCCTAAAAATACTGTCTATTAAAAAACAGTTTGGTGTATCTATGTGAATAGGTATAAAATGATATCTATGAAATACCCTCTTAAAGAGAAAAACAAGTTTAAAAGTACATTATGAGTCTATTTATTATTTTTAAAACACCCTCAAATATATACATATTTTTAAAATATATAGAAACCACACACACACACACACACACACACACACACACACACACACACACACACACAGTGCCTAGAAAAAAAATCTTGAAAGATATATACATCAAAAAATTACTAGTACCCTAATTGTGGCCTTCAAATATCATTTCACACTAAAAGAGATTAGATTGCCCTGGACAAATGACTGATACCTACTTGGGGAAGTAATACACAAAATGAGCCTGGACAGCTTGTCGTACCAAATAGCAAAGTAACTATCAAAGACTACTAGGATCATGTCAAAAGGACTTAAGAACAACTTGAAGAAGCTCCTAATAGTCAGAGAAAAGACTGTGCAATTATAATGACTAAAATGTCCAGAAGCACTCATCTAAATCCATGGTATGTAAAACAAACAAACCTGAGCCACTAATCAATTACCAATGAAGGATGCTAAGGAATTCTTGGCATTTTTTTTTTTAAACCTGGAAATAACGGAAAAGACTTCAGCATCTTATCCTACTTTTCTTATATGAACCATACCACTCAGTAACTAACCAGGAGAAGAGAAGTTTTTCTTTATAGGTATTCTAGCTAAGAAACAAAGAAAGAATGACAGAATTCAAATGCAACCCTACTATAATCCCTATGAATCAAGCACCTAGTTATTGAGCATGAATAACTGCTGATATCACGAAAAGAGAGAGACAAGCAGACATTCTGTCACTGTGATGAAAGACAACAGTACCACTCATGAAGTAATTGCCAAAACAACAAAATTGAATGTGAATTTAACCAAACCTCTAGATCCAACTACCAACTTACAGGAAATACAGAGGATAAAGCAACAAGTTGTACTACACCATGGCAGACAAACAACAAAATCTAGATCATGGAAAATGCTACAGGACAAAACACTGGTTTCTTCACTTAAAAAAATGGCAAGAAGAAAAAGAGAAGGGAAACAGGGAAACAGAAAAGGCAGGAAGAAGGAGGGAGGGAGAGGGAAGAGGGGAAGGAGAAAGGAAGGGAGAGGGAAAGAAAGAGTGAGAAAGAACTCACAGAGACAGGGAGACAGCCTCGAGACTTTAAAGATATAAACCAATCACCATATGTGGACTTATTTGGATCCTGATTAAAAAATAATTTATTTAAAAAACACAATATTTGAGACTATTGGTAATTTGAACACTGGATAATTGATATTAAAAAGCTATTTTTAATTTTTTATATGTGATAATGATATTGTCATTATGTTGTAGAGGGAAAAGAATTATCCTATTTTTTCAACACATCTTGTGATATTTACAAATGAAATGATGCAGAGTTTTGAATTTGCTTCAAAACGAAAATTAAAGCCAAGAACCAAATGGGAGTTTAGTCATGTGGTGACGGTAGCTAGGGGCAGGAAACAGATAAAGAGTACCTCATGATGTTCTTCTGTCTGCTTTTACATAAATCTGAAATTCTCCATAATAAATGATAGACGATCTTAGCAAAGATGTTACCAAGATGTTCGGCCCTGAGATAGCCATTAATATTTTGTCAGATATGAATAAAAGTTAGACATGCTTGCAAGTCACTTATTCTCAAGATTCTAAGACTATAAACCTTAATCCAAACTGAAGTAAAGGTGACTTTCTATGCAATTTATACTTCATTTGTATCTTGAAAGTATCCTGCCTATTGTTTGCATGAAAAGTTCTATTAAGACATTCTGATTTTAAAGGTATATTTGTATTACCTATGAAATTTACTTTTCTGTAATTTCAGTATTAAGTGACATGAATTCATCTGTTAGAAAGTATTGATTTGTGACTCAAATATATTTATTCTTGATCTCATGGCTTTAAAGTCACTGACACATAAATCATATCTATGTGTCAGTGACTCCAAAATACTAGCTATAGCCTAGACCTCTCACAAGAACTCCAGATTCAGACATCCAGCTGCCTGCCCATACATCCATCTCTACTTTGACTTCTCATAGGCATTTCAAACTTACAATGTTGAAAGCTAAACTCCTTACCTGCCCTGAAACCTTCTTTTTCCATAATCACCCTGTCCAGCTGAAGCAAACTCTATCCTCTAGTGCAAGTAGTGGGTAAGAGCACAGACTCTGGGACTAGAGTGCTCTGGATTTGAATCCTGACTCCACCACTAAGTAATTGTGTGGCTCTGGAGAAACTTCTTAACCTCTTTGTACCTTAGTCCACTCAGCTGTAAAACAGAAATACTAATAGTACCTTCCTCTTAGGGTTACCCTAGGAATAAATAGCACTTCCTATGAGCCAGGCATTCTGAACACTTCACAACAGTTCATTATCATCATTGTTGTTGTTATTCTGGTAGTTCAGGCCAAAAACCTTGGAATCACCTTAAACTATTCTTTCTCTTACACCTAAACAAAATGCTACAGGTCCAGATTCCAATCACTTCTCAAAGCACTTCCACCACAACTATACTGGGCCTGCCCCGACCATTTCTCAATGATGGCAACAGCTTTCAAAAGGTTCTCCCTGCTTCTGCCTTTGCCTGCTCGCCCACAGTCTGTTTTGCACATGGCAGAGTGATTCTTTTAAAACAGAATTTAGATGATGGCACTCCTCTGCTCAAAACCCTCCAGTAACCTCATGCTTCAGAAGAAAACCCCAAATCCTTACATGGGTAACAAGACCCTTCACCATCTAGCACGGGCTCACTCCCACCCTTTGTCTCAGACCTCACACCTTACTCACCTCTCTTACTCCTTCCCACTCCTCAAACATATGACATGTGCTCCCACCTCGGGGACTCTGCATTTGCTTTTCCTTCTTTCTGCAAAGTCTTCTCTCAAATATCTGCATGGCTTACTCCCTTACCTTCTTTAGAAGATGGCTCAAAGGTCTCAGCCTTCCATGACCATCCCATAAGATTGAACCCCTCAACACTCCCCATCTCTTTCTTGGTTTATCTTTTCCCCATAGCACTTATACTTTCTAACATACTACACAATATACTTATTTGGTGTGCTTAGTATATGGTTCCTTTCACTTAAATATAAGCTTCATGACCACAGGGATATTGGCCTGTTTGCCTAAAAAGAGTGTCTGTCTTAAACCAGGAATCAAATATTTATGTAAATCAATAAATTCAATGTTTAAAAGCAGTATGATTTTAAGTATTTCCTCGGTTCCACACTGTTTGAAAAAAATCAAATTTAAAAACCCTTATGAAAAAAATTCACAGATGTCGCTTTTTCTCAAAATTATAACCAAATCCAAAGAGACTTGTGTCATCTTTTATTACTTAACCTTTGTGCTGTCTCAACTGTCTGGTCCCAATCCTGCAAGGCTAGTTGTAATTTCATTTTCTTAACAAAAGCAGGAAGGAAGCTCGGAAAATTCACGATTATCTGGTTCACAGTCTCCAGGGCACCTGAATAATTCTGGCGCATCTCAAGGCATTGTGCCTAATGGAAGGGAAAAAAAGTGATATCCAAACTGTGATCTTTCATATCAAAGTTCTCATAACGCAGAGCAGGCAGAGTATGAGCGTTTAATACTTACTTTTCTGTGAGGAGCAGTTATCACTTTTTAAGTTTTTGTCAAAACAAAATTTTAAAACATCACAGAATAATACAAATACATTATATAAGCTATTGTGTTTTAAAATTTACTTTTAAATGGCTGAAAAACATGATTAAAGGATAAAATTTTTTAAAATGTTCTCGGAAATACCATAAAATAATGTTTCCATTTAAAACAAAATTATCTTTTTAGATTAAAATGTTTCCAGGAAATTTTCAAGTAGCATCTAAAATTTTAAGAAATTTTAGAAATTTTGCATCTTTTTTAAGAAATTATTTTCAGGTTAAAGAATATATGATTTTAAAGAACAAGCAAAATACAGTTCAAACAAATCCCTCTACTTCAACATTTTTCACTTCTATGAATTATCTGAAGGAAATAATTGGACAAGACCACAAGGAAGTATATAGATGATATTTATGGCAGAATTGTTTATGTATAAAATAATCCCAAATGTACCTAGAGGAGAAAATTATAGTATATCTAATTTAATAAAATGTTAAGTAATCATTAAAAATGATGATATAAATTTGTAGACGTAGATTTACTGACATGAAGAGATATTATATATAATAGTTTAACTGGTTATTTCCAATGGTGATGCTCATTTTCTCATTCAGATGTTATTGTATTTTCTGAAAAAAAGTTTTACTATGTTCATGTATCTCATAGTCAGAAAAAATAAAGCTATAAATATAGTTAGTACATTAAAAAGAGATGATGAGGCAAATTTTTATCAACTAGCTTTTCTTTAAGAGAAGGAAAATGATCAAGAAAAGTATATGGCCAATTTCTTCAGCAGTGCTATTAGGTAAAACTTGAGGGTAGTGGGCCTGAACACAAGATGTTCAACAGGCTTACTGTCCACACAAAGTGACAGGAAAAGTGATGTGGAGACATTAACAAAAGTCAAGACATGAATCCTCTCCCCTTCTTTTTTATCCCTCCAAATTACTGCTTATCTAGCAGACTTGTTCCCAACATATAATTTCTTTTTGCTGAGTCAAAAAAAAATTAAGGCATTTAGATAGCATCAATGGGGATTGAAGAAAGGGTCCTACTTAAATATTTCCATCCATCAGTAAGTTCTAATGACTCCTTCAATTGCTCATCCCTCAAAATGTATGTCCGATCATGTTATTTCTCTGTTCAAAACTTTGTATTGGCTGCCTGTCTCTCTAATAGAAGGTAGAAGCCAAAGGCCTTACAGAACAGGCCAGGCCCACCACTCCTCCTCACCCCCATCCCACCTTTCTTCCTCAGGCCTTCACTTCTGTTCTCTTTACTCAACCCACTTTGGCCTCCTTGCTAGCCCTGAATACACCTTAGGGTACCTGAACTCATCATCTCCTCTATTTGAAATACTTTCCCCAGATGCCTGCAGGGCTTTAACCCTCACCTCCATAAATGTGTTTGCTCAAATGTCACTTTCTCCGACCACTTCATGTAAAACTGGAAGTTCATGCCCTAGCTTTTCCAGCTGTATTTTCCATTATACTTATCACCTTCTAATATACCATATAACTTACTTATTTTGTTTATTGTCTGCCTCCATCAGTAGGATATAAGCTCCATAAAAACAAGAGGTTTTCTCTTGCTCAGGGTTTCTAATATCTAGAGGGATGCCTCACATACATAAGACACATAATAAATGCTGAGGAAAGAATGTGTGAACCAAAACAACAACAACAATTAACAGTTACAGCTGATCCAGGATTCAGGAACTCTGGCAGGGAATACATTTCTCTAGTGTATTGCTCATTGTCCTACACAAATGCCAGTCTACCTTACAGCTGTGAGCTGACAACAGTATCATGAAAATTATCAACTTTTTTGAGCTACTTGGTTTTGTCAGGTTTCAAATATATTATGAATATATTTTGAAACATGATTTATTTACCCTAACTCCAACTCACCTTACCCAGCAGAGCAAAAGTATCATTCCCATCTTGGAGTCCCTCTTCAAAATACTTCAGTGCTTTTTTAGTGTAAGGCTCTTTTCCTCTTGTAATATCAAGCCATGCTTTCAAAACGTGTCCCTGTAAAATGAATAATTCTATTTTTACTTTTTTAGAAATGAGAGAAATAAATGTTAATGAAAGAGCCTAATGTCATTTTTCTGGCAATTAATAACAAAAAGGACTCTATCAAATATGTTATGAACAATAAAATTCTGTTAGTGAAATCACTTTTGAACCCTTGCCAGCCTAGTGTCTTGGGAACTATACTACAAATTTCAGCCTTTAACATTACTATTAAGCTCAATATTAAAATTAAGAAGCTTATCAAATATTCCATTAGTGTTAAAACCATTATTTTCTCTGAGACTTTGCTAGTAATTGACAATTAATAACACTTAAACATGAAATTCAATATATAGATGAGAATTTGTTGTTTCTTTTTGGACAAACCGTCTAAATGAACTAAGATGAAATAACAGAAGAAGCCTTGCTTCACATATCTTAAAGATTCAGATAATCTGGCAACAATCTTCTTAACCTCTTTGATTAGTCCATTGAATTTCAAATGACAGGTGGATAGCCTGAGAAATTATAAACTGAAGAACTCATGGATATTTATCTTTACACATGTTAGTGGGCCGATGGGTTGTAAGACATATGGGATTGAAAACAAGATAAAAACTGGTTATTTTTCTCTTTAAGGTCAAATAAAAAACTGTGAAATGTGCTTTTTCTATTAAAAAAATCTAGGTTAACTGACAAATTTATAAACCTTTAACTAAGACTATATTTACCTCCCTGTATTTCACCCGAAAATACAAATAAGGATCTTAACCAATGCTATGTGCTAAATCAGTGCCATCATTGAATGGTTTTAACTATTGTCTCTGTGTGGATGATTCCCAACCTATATTTCTAGCCGAAAACCTCTTCTAAATTTTTCTTTTTCCAGAAATTCATCTGCTATCTCCATCTTACTGTTCTGCCAGCACCAGAAATACAGCATGTCTTAAGACAAATAGATCACTTCCCTTTAAGATTAGTTTCTTATGCCAATGTATTTTCTATTTATGCTAACTGGTCTCTAATTTTTTTAGGCTTAAGGCCTCAAAGACATCCTAATACGTGACAACTTGTTATCTTTCTAAACTATTATCAGTTCACAGGTCCTGTGGGTATTTAAAAATTTTGAACTTTGTACTCACTGTACAATATTTTAGTGTAGTGCCTCAAAACCTTCCACAAGGAAGTACTATCTTTTTCTTTTCACTGCATTTCAGTTTATTCTCAAGCCACTTCATCCAAGAAACCATTGTCTAATTAATCTTCTGGATTTGCACTCTAATAAAATCACTACCATAGTTAAAAGTCTTCAATAGCCTCTCAATGCATGTCAATCAGATACAAATATTTTTAACTAGCAGTCAAGATCCTTCAATTTGTCTCAAGTTACCTCTCCAAGCTTTTCTTCCCTTCTCGTTATCAACGTATCCTGTATTCCATCAAATATGAGTATCTTAGTGTACCCTCAAGTAACATGTCTCATTTCCATCTATTATTTCTCACCTTGGGAGTACCTACTTCCCTTTCCCATAATCTTTGCCTGTTGAAATTGTATCCATCTTTCAGGTTTTAGCTCAAATGCTAGTTCCTTCAAAAAAATTCTTTCACATTCTCTTAACACTTAAGCGTGTGATCTCTCCTTAATTTAAAACAGTGCCTAGCACAAAGTAAGCAAGCAATAAATGTTAGCTATTATTTTCTTGCATACTTTAATCACATATCTCTCATATCATCTATCATTTTTCTCACAATATTAGCTGGGGATGTGCTCTATGCACTACTGGGTTATTCATTCATGAAAGCAAAGTTTATGTATTATTTTCCTTTGCATTATTAACAGTACAAATAATGGTACCTTGTATCTAGAGCTGTTCAATAAGGAGAGAGGGAGAAAGGAAAGGACAAAATATGGAGGGAAGGAAAAAAAGGTAGAGAAAAAGAAAGAGAAAAACAGAGAGAAGGAACCAGGCAGGGATCTTTGAAGACTCAGTAGCATAAAACTAACCTTAGAGAATTCCTATTCTACAATACACTATTAACCATATTGATAACCATAAATGGGTTAAAATAAAGCTGTTATTTACAAACTGGCAATAGAGTGAACAATAATAAAGAGCTAAATCACAGATACTACTGGATATATCAATAACATAAGCATTTTTTAATGTTATTATTTTAAACTCAGAAAAATAGCTACCTGTTTACTACCATCTGATATTTTGATCATTCTGTCAATATATTCCCTTGCTTTATCATGGCGACCAATGTGCCATAAAAATAAGCCTGCATGGTATAAGGCTTTCTCTCCAGCTCCTTTACGTTGTTCCTTCACTCTGGCATCTGATTCCAGAATAGCTTCTCTATCTGGTAGGGGAAAATGATATTAAATAAAAATTAAATTCTGGATCAGGTATTTATAATAGGTCAGATAATTAACAAGGCAAAAAATTTACTTCTCTCTATAGTGGTACTGTCTAATAGAAATAAAATGCAAGCCATATATGTAACTTAAAATTTTCTAGTAGCACTATCAAAGAAATAGAAAGAAACAATTAAAATTAATCTTAATGTTTTATTTAGCCCAATATATCTAAGATATAATTTCAATGCATCATTGACATAAAAATTAATGAGATATTTTGCATGCTCTTTCCTTACTAACTGTGAAATCTGGTATTTCATAATAACAGCACATCACAATTAAGATGCTAAATTTTGGCTGGGCGCAGTGGCTCACGCCTGCAATCGCAGCACTTTGGGAGGCCAAGGCGGGCGGATCACGAGGTCAGGAGATCGAGACCATCCTGGCTAGCACGGTGAAACCCTGTCTCTACTAAAGATACAAAAAAAAAAAAAAAAAAAATTAGCCGGGCGTGATAGCGTGCACCTGTAGTCCCAGCTGCTGGGGAGGCTGAGGCAGGAGAATGGCGTGAACTCGAGAGGCGGAGCTTGCAGTGAGCAGAGATCGCGCCACTGCACTCCAGCCTGGGTGATAGAGCAAGACCCCGACTCAAAAATAAAAAAAAAAGTTAAATTTTATTTAAAAATACTTGATTTGTAGTTTTCATAAAACTTATGGCTGAAAAGCAGATTTTTAGACTCAAGTTACTCCTAAATAAGTTTTCTAATAACTGAATCAAGTATCATTTTTAAGTTTAAAAAGTAAATTAATTAGAATTAAATAAAATTTCAAATTCAGTTCCTCAAACTTGGTAAAAAAGCTGTATATGGCCAGACATGGTGGCTTACACCTGTGATCCCAGCACTTTGGGAGGCCGAGGTGGGTGGATCACCTGAGGTCAAGAGTTCGAGACCAGCCTGGCCAACATGGCGAAACTCCATCTAAAAATAAAAAACAAAAATAGATGGGCGTGGTGGTGGGTGCCTGTAATCCCAACTACTTGGGAGGCTGAGGCAGGGAGAATTGCTTGAACCCAGGAGGCAGAGGTTGCAGTGAGCCTAGATTGCACCACTGCACTCCAGCCTGGGCAACAGAGGAGGTATATGGTTAAGGATCACTGTAATGCACAATATAGCTATAGAGTTTACATCATTCCCAAAATAGAAAGGCTGTATATACTAATATTTTTTAATAATAAGACTTATAAAAATGTATAATGGTTCTAACCACAATTATTAGGAACAGGTCCAGTACTGGTACTCAACGTATTAATAATTCTTAAATACAATTCTAAAATATATAAACATGCCAGCTACTGTTATGGGTCAGTAAAAAGATGGCATAATTGCTGTTATAGTTTAATACTGACTGCTCCCTTAAATAGATAACTCTATTCACTTACATTAAGTCTATACACTCTCTCTCTCTCTCTCCCCTCCCCCATATATATATATATATATATATATTAGTATCTGCTTAGGACACAGAAGTCAATTACACCCAAACCCTGGATGGAATCAGAATCAGAATCAGCCATGCAATGAGGAAGAAGAAATGTAAGTTGCGGCCTGTGATTCCAACAGTTCTCTTTCTGGAATGGCTACCAAGAGAAAGGTATGTGACTCTTCCTTTCAACTCTAATGATACAAATTTAAATGTGAAATTAACAAGGTACAATCTAATGAGTGAAGGAAACAAAACTGTTTCTGTAAGTCTACAGATTGCTTAGCAAGAAGACCCTTTTCTCCTCTCCCCACTCCCCACCCCTACAACCCCTTCAGAAGTGTTCATTAAACAGCCATGATACAGAAACAGAAATAAGAAAACAAACAAACAAAAAAAACAACCACCAGGCAGAAGCAGGCATTGTACAGGAAATCTTTCCTACTCAGATTTCCATCACGTCCCTAATGAGGTATCAATCAGCTCTAACACCGTCTGCACAAAGTTGTTGAAAGATCGCAGCCTTTTTATAAGCAGGGTTTATTTACATCAGCATCCTGGAAGGAATGTATACTAACAATCTAGGACTTTCCTAGGCAGTATTTACAGACATCTGGGCCCCTACTAGAGCTCAAGTCCATTCAGCATCATCCTTGGTGCAAAGCAGAGTTAGCACTCAGGTTCCTCTGAACAGTATTTCTGATTCTGTCATTTCAGTGTCCTGCAAATCACAGTGTCCAACAGAATCAACACTGGTAAGAATAACCAATTAAATAAAAACTTGATTCTAATAATAAATTATTTTGTACTAATTTCTTCAATCTATACTAACTACAGCTCTCCCATGAAAATTTTCTGCTCTAGCTAAACACACTCCCACTGGAGTACGGAGAAAGGGGATCCACAGAAGAGCCTAATCCTGAACCACTTCCATGTATTTGCCCATCCATTTCTCCTCTCTGGCCAATACTCTTCATATTCAAATTCTACCAGTCCTTCAAAGATCAGATTAAGTTCCAAAATTTCAAAAGCCTTCTCAGCCTACTCTTACAGCTGAATAGTGCATACCAACTTCAATTAATTATAAACTCATGTTTCATTTTGTATTATTTAATAGAAACATTGGAATTTAATCTTTGTGTTTTTTACATTTTGTTTTCTCCACTAGATTACCAACTTGATGACATGAACCACTTATTAGAATTCTTTTGTAGCTTGTAACTGTATTAGGCACAGTTTCTTGAAGAAATTAAGCACATATTTACATGTTTTAAATAACTTTGTATTGATTTGCATATGTATGAAGGAGGTATGTCATACTTGGCTTTAGAAAAAAGTCTCGTCTAATATTCAAGGAACCAGTCTGTGACCTTTGTTTATTATGTAATTTTTTGAAACACAATCTATATTTACAATCCTATTAGCTGTTACTGGATATATATTTATGGAAGAATATAACACTACTTCTTCTTTATTACATACAATTTGGATACTCTTCTGCCTTCGCCATTAACTATACATTAAGACAGTTCACATAACTTTATTTTTTATTTTCTGTTTTTTTTTAGAGATGGAGGTCTAACTATGTTGCCCAGGCTGGCCTCGAACTCCTGGGCTCAAGTAATCCTTCACCTCAGTCTCTCAAGTTGCAGGGATTACTGGCTTGAGCCACTGTGCCTGGCAGTTTACACAACTTTAATTGCTGGTTTATGTATAAATTTCCTTCTATAATCTAGTCAGAATCTAGTCAACCTACTACTGCATAAAAATTTGCTGAATATCTCCCAAGAGCTAGCCCTCATAAAGGGTTTTAAGGCTCTCAATAAGCTTAATATACAGAAATAAACTGCATTGGCTGTATATTTGCACAAAAGTTGTAAACTTGGCTGCTGCAGAGCAATTTATGTACATACGGTACCTGTTTCTTTGGCTGTCCTTTTTTTGTGTAACAATTACTAATATACATTCCCTTTTATCTAAAAAAATCCCTATGTACTAATGAAACCTCTGCCAGAGGATATAAGGAACACGAAAATAGTATAAGACACATTTCTTGTGCCTGATGAATTTACACCCTTGTCAGGAAGATAAACATATGTATAAATTGTACCTACAGAAAATACATAATATAGTGTGATCAGACTGAATGACTTGGTAACTGAGAAAAATAAAAATAAACTGAATAGGAAAAAATGTCCTAAGCATTGCATTTAAATATCATACCTGGATTAGGACTCATTTTATGGGCATATATCAGTGCAAGTAGAGAACAAAGTGATACATCTTGTTTATTTTTAATAGCCTCAAATTCTCGAAGAGCTTCTTGAGTTTTACCTGAAAATCAAGATTATGATATGAAAAACTGTTCTTAGTGCAAAGCAAGAATTTAAAACTGATGGAACATGTTTAATGATTAACACGTACCTTCCATTAATGTGCCATAGGCATGATAAAACCTGAAGACTGGATCACTTCCATACCTCTTAATTCCTTCACTGGCAACCAGTAATACATGATGGAAATATCTCTCTTGACAATAGTAATTAATCAAAGTCTAAATGGAAATAATGAAAAAATGTTATAAAGGAATTCTGGTGCTCTGAAATACTCTAAGAAGCAGATAATAATCTAACATCTAGAATAATGTAAAATTCAGGCAATGTGACTTTTTTCTTCCAAGTTTCTTAAAATACTATTAATGGCTAGAACTCAATGCTAAGGATTGCAGAACTGAATGATCATAAAATTACTGAAATAATTCAATGTTTTCTAATAATTTAAATTATTTTTCCTAAGTTTTTGTTAACAGCACCGAAATGAGGCTGCTTTCACCTTTTTTCCTTTGCCCACATTTTCTTGAACGTTTTAGAAAACAGAAAGGCAGACAATAAACAGGAACTAAAAAAAAAAAAAAAAAGACAAGAGGCTTCCATTGCCAGACCATAGGTTTCTTTAAAAAAAAAAATCTTCTTTTTAAAATATCCAGTATTTTATTACAGCATTACAAAGTAATGACAAATTTAATTCTTCAACATATCATCAAATGTTATCTTACTCGGCTTTGAGTTCTGCGACAAATAAATTGTCAGTTAAGAATAAATAAACTATTTTTCAATGAAAATCGTTGTCTTTAAGCTTTTTCCAAAGTTATATTATTTCCATATACAAGACAAAACTACTATCAGGACCTACTAACTTCTGAATAAAAATGGGCCTGTGCTGTCTACCATTTTTCCTACGATTATGTCTAAGGCTTGGTTGCTAACCTCATCAAAGACAGAAACCACACTTTCCCACCATCACTAGGATACACCTGATTCACCAGAAAGCAGTTTGGGCCACCCCATACCTACCTACCTGGACTCTACAGCTTGTTCAGTAGCAGTGAGAAATACAGGTGACTAAGTGACAGGATTGAAATCTAAGGGTATCTAGACAGCTCTGGTTTGTTTGTTTTGTTTTGTTTTGGAGATTCTGTCACTCAGGCTGGAGTGCAGTGGCGCAATCTCTGCTCACTGCAATCTCTGCCCCCTAGGTTTAAGCGATTCTCCTGCCTCAGCCTCCTGATCTGGGACTATAGGCACACCCCACCGCACCTGGCTAATTTTTGTATTTTTAAGTAGAGATGGGGCTCCCCATGTTGGCCAGGCTGGTCTTGAACTCTTGACTTCAAGTGATCCACCCGCCTGGGCCTCCCAAAGTGCTGAGATTACAGGCGTGAGCCACCACGCCCGTCCGACAGCTCTGTTTTATATAGTCTCTTGCTTCTGGAGGGCTATAGTCCATGTACTTCTCTAGATCAGTTAGGCGACTGTTCTCTGTAATTTTACTCTGCCTCCCTCCTTGTGATCACTGCTCCCTAACCTCCTTTTTAGCCATGTTTCTTAAAAGTGTGCTCCATACCCCATCTCCAGACCCCCACAACACATTTCAGTGAAACACAGTTTTCCTCCAATGCTCCATTCCCTAAAGTTGCAGAATGACTTCTTACTTTGCCACAACTAAGGACACGTTTAATACCTTACTTGACTTCTGCACACTATCACTAAGCATCTATAATCCTCCTGAAAGGCAGTGGCATAGCACCATAAAAAGGACGCGAATTTAAAGGCAAAAAGAATCTCTGGTCCTTCTTACAACGCCTCAGTCTGCTCATTTATAAAATGCTGTTAGTAATGCAAATGTACAGGTCACTGTGAGAATTAATTAAGATATCATAGTATAAGAGTTCTATTCTGAAAAAAATAAGTTCCTCTGCATCCCATATGTTAATGGAATAAAAAAAAAATGTGTCCTGCGCCAAGACCTCTTGTCTATGTTCCAGATTCATATTTCCATTTTCCACCTGCTACCCTGCTACTCATGAATCCTCCCTTCCTATTTGCCCAGTCTCTCTAAGTCTAACCACTTAGTAGGTTCTTCTATTTCTCCAGTCTACCTCCCACTAAACATACCTAATGCTACTGCCTTGGTTCAGGTTAGGTTATTCAATCCAAAACATTTACTGACTGCCTACTAGTACCCAGGCACTGGGCTAGCTACTATGAATAGAAAAATGAGTAAGACATGGTTCCTGTCCCCCCGGAAAACCTACATTTTTCAGATGAGACTGTAATCTGAAGACTAACTGAAATATAATGTAGTAAATGTAAGAAAAGAGCTTATAAACTCCTTTGGGAATGTGGGATAGCAACATTTTGACAGCATTGAAAACTGAATGTGGTGTGAGGGGAGGATGGATGACTAAAATCAAGGGAAAGATTATTGGGGAGGATTTCAGAGCTGACTCTTGAATTGCAAACCCCTCATTCTCCCTCCACACACGTACACGCTCTTCCTATTTCCTTTTCATGATTCTTGAGGAAGGTACAGGAGTTAGGAAGAGGAACTGCAACAACACAGATAACAAGTCATCAATGGTACATTGGGATGGCAGTGGTGATGAAGATGACTAAAAGCCACTCCATACTCTAGAGCAGGGTTTGGCAAACCACACTCTGTGGGCCATATCTGGCTGGCTGGCTGTACAGCCAGTGAACTAAGAATGGTTTTTATATTTTCCAGCTGTCAAGGAAAAAAAAGAAATATTTCATAACATGAAAATTACATGAAAGTCAAATTTCAGTGTTCATAAATAAAGTTTTATTGAAACACAGCCATGCTCATTTAAGTATTGTCTATGGCTGTTTTGAACAAGCCAATTAGATGTGATAGACCATACGGTCCATAAAGTCTAAAATGTGTACTATCTGGCCCTTTGTTGAGAAAGTTTGCTATTCTCTGCTCTGGAGGCTTAAGTGAGACAGAGAGTATTGGATGATGAGGTTGGAGACGAAGGTGGGGTGAAAAGCCTCATATTAAGTACTTGGACTTGAACCTCAAGTCTAAGTAATGAGGAGGCCCATTTTTACATTTTACATTAAAGTGTTTTTATTAAAATGTTCATTTGGGTGGCAGTGCAAATAATACATTTAAGGGAATAAAAAAATGTAAGGATATAGGGGGATAGCTAGAACAGAGGATAATGTAAAACTTCAGGCAGAAAAACAAGACATTTCAGCATTCCCTAACCTCCTACATCGCCAAATTGTCCTCCATCCACTTATCACCATCTCACAGGATACACATTTCATTTACCTACTTGTTGTCTGACTCCTCCTACTCAAATGTAAGCTCCAAGATTGGAAGAGTTTTTCTTGGTTTTATTATTTCAGTGCTTAGAACAGTGCTAGACACATAGGAGGCATTCAGTAAATATTTGTTGAGTCAACTGAATTAGGGTTTTTCCCCAGCATTAATTAGCCTGTAAAATCTGAGAAGGCAGAAACTGTTCAGTTTTGCTCACTGCTATCTCCAGCTTCTAATGGACATACAGTAACCCTTCATAAATATTTGCTGAACGAGTGATTCAGTGAACAAATGAATAGAGAAGACCAACATCCGAAAAGTTATTTTATTTTCAAGCCTCATGTCTTTAACTGTTTTATATCAGCCTTTCTTAAGTTGACCGTCATTAATATTTGCTGAATGAATGAGTCAGTGATAAACAGAGAAGACCATCACCCTAAAATAACGACCCCTCCACTTTTAAGTCTTACGTCTTTAATGGGTTTCATATAATCTTTCTGCGCTCTTTTTACTGTCCAGTGTGGGAGCTGACACTAGTTTGCCTTAAGTCCTTAAAAATCGCACCCGGAGGCGCAGTGTCATAGGTAACCCAAGCTTTCCTAGTAAACATGATACAAAAGTAAACACAACCAACAGCATGGGGACCAGCAATTCAGAAACACCGAGCGGGCGGGCTGCCCAGACCTGGGCTTCCCCAGCAGGGCCCGCGGAGACCGGCCGTGAGCAGAGGCTGCAGGCCCACCCCGCAACCCGAGCAGCCGGGGCACCGCAGGGAAACAGCGGCCTAGCGAAGCCACCCGAGCTCCCTCCGCGCCCCCGGGCCAAAAGGCCGCAAAGGAACTCCGCCCGCCCGCCCGCTCACCCGCTCACCCGCTCACCCGCTCACCTTCAATTCCTGCGAGTCCATGGCTGCCCCGAGGCCGGGCCGCGGGGCTCTGGGGATTGTCTCGCCGCAGCCTAAAGGAAGACGCAGAATTCAGCTCCCCTAGCCTCCCGGAGCGCTCTAGCGCCCCGGGCCCCAGCGGGAGGGGCGGGGTCGCGCCGCGATTGGCTGTCGGAGGGAGAGGCGGGCCTGTGTGGCGGGGATCGTGCTGTAATGGAGCAGGGGCGGCGGGGACCCGGAGGTGAGGGCTGCGAGGGCCGCCCGGGAGGGTCCGGGCTGGGAAAAGGGCCTCCGCCGGAGAGTGCAGCTGGAAAAGGAGGTCACACTGGGAAACGGCTGTCTGAGGACAGTGGGTGGGCGGGCCGAGGAAATGGAATTCAGGAATAAAGGAAACGGAGTATGAAGAAGGGGAAGTCTGTTTCCTGTCACTGGTTGTAAAGGAAGACACCATTTTCTGCACGTTTGTCTGGAGGCGGATTCCCGCAGTGCGGCTCTCAGCAAGGCTCTGCCGGCGCGGGAAAAAGCGGTCAACTTTCACGTGGGCAAGTTGTTTTACGGCCACAAGGTGGCGCAGAAAAAAAAAATCACACGTTCTTAACAGAAATACGGTGCGCTTGGGCCCGTCTTTGCAGGCGTTGCTGCAATCTTTGTTAGAATGTGTGTTCAATTAGCCCTTTTTTACCAGCCCCGATAATAAGAGGGACAAATAAATTAAACTTCCAGAAAATTAGTGTCTTGTTTTCAATGATACTACTGATTTTAAACTGAGAATAAAATGAATCCCAATGCAAATTTTTATGTTTGCACCCCATTAGGCAACTCAATCAGTCACACATAGATTTCTTAAGTCCAGGAAATTAAATGGAAATATAATAGACTAAGATTTTCTATTTCTGCTTAAATAAATATTTAAAATAGTGCATAAGGTCTGAGATTTAAGTGATCTTTGCAGAATCTTTCACGTGGATTCCAAATTTTGATCCTAGTGTTAATTATCTTACTTTAGTTGACATGATACGTAGTTGCCTTTTCCAGATTTTAAGTTTCTTAAGGAGTTTATAAACATTGACTTTTTCCCCATGCCAATAGGTTATGTAAGGACAGTCTTGAGAAAAACGGTAGCTACCATCCTAGGCTTTAAGGTGAAGCAATATTTCTCACCGGTTTCTCTTTAAAGGAATTCACCACGTATTTTCACGAGCAACTTTTTTTTCTTTCCAATATTTATAGTCCAGCTAAATGTCTGTGGTGATGAACAACTGGTGATATCTCTTTGATTTTCAAAGCTGCGGATTAATCCGCACTTGGTATACAGCAAAGAATACCACAGGACCAGGGTGCTCAATGAAGTGTATAATCTTGAACTGTAAACCTTTGGTTATAAGAGAAAAGTTCATCTGTAAGGAAATATCTCAGGATCATGGTTAACAGAACAGATGATCAACCTACCTTTTGGAGATCTTGAAAGTCATATTAATTTAGCCTCGTATTCTCTTCACTGAATTCTGTTCTAAGGTTGAATTATTTAGCACAAAACACCAAGCCTGATGTTTCATAAATGTTTGTTGGATTAAAAGTACTCTGAGATTTGCTTTGACACTCACGGTGACTTGGTGTGCCCTGTGCCCTTACTAGATCTCATGTAAGAAATTTATTTTGGATCTCAGGCCAGGAAAAACTCTTGTCTTTCCTGAAAAATCGATGTGTTCCTTAGCAGTAACATTTTTATCGGCTCACTTTTACTAGCTACAAACTTTTGAGTCTGATATCCATGACCCTTCACCTCATCGTCTTTTCAAGCCTTATCTTCTACCTCCCCTTCAAGGAGCCTTTATTCCGCTCAGTGGGACAAATATTCCTTCTTCTGGTAATGCTTTCCCCTACTTTGTTTTGAGCTCTTTCTTCACCTGAGAAAATCTCCTTCTTCTGAGTTCATTTCAAATTTCATGAAGTCTTTAAGGATCACCATAACTGGATGGGTATAAAAATATCACAGTGTAGTGGCAAGAATACCCTCTTCTGCATCTGAGGTGGAGCTCCTATTACGCTAGCTACTTTTGTGACTTGGGGAAGTAATTTCCCTAAGCCTCATTTTCCTTATTTACTAAAGAAACTAAATGCCTTACAGACATATTAAAACTTCCTGACACATAATAGGCATTGTATAACCAATAGTTTCCATTAAACACGTAGTGCTCTATAGCAGTGGTCCCCAATCATTTTGGCACCAGGGACCAGTTTGGTGGAAGACAATTCACAGAAGATAAATTTTCCATGGACAGGGGTAGGGGAGATGGTTTCGGGTTGAAACTATTCCATCTCAGATCATCAGATTCTTATCTAAGGAGCATACAGCCTAGATCCTTCACATGCACAGTTTATAATGGGGTTTGCATTCGTATGAGAATCTAATGCCTCGCTGATCTGACAAGGAGGTGGAGCTTGGGGTAACGCTCCCTTTCCTGCCCCGCAGCTCACCTCCTGCTGTGTACCCCGTCCTGCTGTATACCCCATCCTGCTGTGTAGCACTGATTTGCAGTCCTCAGATTGGGGACCCCTGCTCTATAAGACTTATTACACTTGCATAGTCCTTGTATTACTAGTTATAGTGCATTTTTGTTTAATGTTCTCTACCAGATGATGAGCACTATAAAGCTAGATAATATAATGTAGCAGTTAACATCTTCGTCTCCAGAAATACGTCATTTTCGTTCAGACCTTAATGTGTCCGGAATTGGTGGGTTCTTGGTCTTGCTGACTTCAAGAATAAAGCCGCGGACCCTCGCGGTGAGTGTTACAGTTCATAAACGCACGCAGACCCAAAGAGTGAGCAGCAACAAGATTTATTGCAAACAGCAAAAGAACAAACCTTCCACAGAGTGGAAGAGGACCCCAGTAGAGTGCCCCTGCTAGCTCAGGTGGCCTGCATTTATTCCCTTATCCGGCCCCACCCACATCCTACTGATTGGTCTGCTTTACAGAGAGCTAATTGGGCTGTTTTACAGAGAGCTGATTGGTCCGTTTTGACAGGATGCTGATTGGTGTGTTTACAAACCTTGAGCTAGACACAGAGTGCTGACTGGTAAATTTACAATCCTTTAGCTAGACACAAAAGTTCTTCAAGTCCCCACCAGATTAGCTAGACACAGAGCACTGATTGGTACCTTTACAAACCTTGAGCAAGACACAGGGTGCTGACTGGTGCGTTTACAAACCTTCAGCTAGACACAGAGTGCTGACTGGTGCATTTACAAACCTTTAGCTAGACATAAAAGTTCTCCAAGTCCCCACCTGACTCAGGAGCCCAGCTGGCTTCACCTAGCGGTTCCCGGCCCGCCGAGACTGCAGCGGAGCTGCCCACCAGTCCCGCGCCACGCGCCCGCACTCCTCAGCCTTTGGGCAGTGGATGGGACCGGGCGCCGTGGAGCAGGGGGCGGCGCCCTTCGAGGAGGCTCGGGCTGGGCACGAGTCCACCGGGAGAGGGGAGGGCTCGCGCATGGCATGACGGGCTGCAGGTCCCGAGCCCTGCCGCGCGGGAGGCGGCTGAGGCCCCGTGAGAATTCGAGCGCCGCAGGGGCAGGCTGGCAGTGCTGGGGGACCCGGTGCACTCTCCGCAGCTGCTGGCTCGGGTGCTAAGCCCCTCACTGCCTCGGGCCAGCGGTGCCGACCCGCCGCTCCAAGTGCGGGGCGGGCGGAGCCCGCGCCCACCTGGAACTCGCGCGGGCCCGCCAGCGCCAACCGCAGCCGCGGTTCCCGCCCGCGCCTCTCCCTCCACACCTCCCCGCAAGCAGAGGGAGCCGGCTCCGGCCTTGGCCAGCCCAGAGACAGGCTCCCACAGTGCAGCGGCGGGCTGAAGGGCTCCTCAAGCACTGCCAGAGTGGACACCGAGGCCGAGGAGACGCCAAGAGCGAGTGAGTGCTGCTAGCAGGTTGTCACCTCTCATTAATACTACTATTCACTGGCTATTCAGTTGGAAAAAGTTATTTAACTTCTCTGTATACTTCAGCTGTAATATCAGACTAACACCTCAGAAAATTGTTAAGAAGACTAAATAAGTTAATATTTAAAGTACAGAGCAGTATTAGGGGTATGGTAAGTACTGAATTACTGTTACCTATAATCACTTGTACTCCCAACTACTCCAGAGTACAGTATTGATCACATAAGTATTTAGAAAGTTTTACAGCATTGATAGTTTTTTTCAATCATATCTGTGTTTGATTTTCTCCTCCTCCAATTCTTATACTGATCCACTTGTAGCTGTATTATTTTATATATTCAAATTAAAGAAAAACACTTAGGAAAACTAGGGAGTTTTGGTAACAAACAAAGTAAAAGTGAATACACTAAAAATAAAACAGAGGTAAGTATATGTCATCATTAAATTTGGGAGGTGAAAATAATGTTAGCAGCTTGAACAGTTTCATTTTATGGAAGAGTAAGATGAAGCCCAAAGCTAAGACCAATAGTTTTCCACCGTCCAATCTAGCCTGCACAACAATTGTGAATAAGAAGAGTGTTTGCCTTTTCTTTCTTTTTAAGGCTTGTTAAATTAAATTAAATTTGGCCTAAAGAAACCTTCATACATACTGCACCATAAGCTATATGTAAACAGACTGAAATGTAACTAAGAGTATGTTTTTTAAACAGCCAAGTTTTGGCCAATCATATCAGCCAATAACAAGTCGCAAACTGCTCAGACATGTTCTAATAAGGCAAATACCAAACTATAACCAATCAGGCTGTTTCTGTATGTGCCTTCCTTTTTCTGTCTGTAGATACTACCTAAAGAAGTTGCTGGGTAGACCTCTCTGAACCTTGACTGGTTCCAAGTGCTGCCCAATTCATGAATCATTTTTTTGCTCAAATAAACTCTGCTAAATTTGTCTCAAAGTGTTCTTTTAACATTATTACTATAAAATTGAAATTATATATAGAAGTTAAAAATGTATGAAATCCAAACTAACTAGCACATAATTCAGTCTCAGAGGCAACATCATGGAACAGTTAGGTTAACTGAAATCAGAATTGCTGAGTTGTTAGAGTTCTGTCCCTCAATAACTTCACAACTTTGGGTAAGTCATTAACTTTTTTAAAAGAAATTACTTTAGGCTGGACACAGTGACTCATGCCTGTAATCTCAGCACTTTGGGAGGGTGAGGTGGGCAGATCACTTGAGGTCAGGAGTTCGAGAACAGCCTGGCCAACATGATGAAACCCCATCTCTACTAAAAATACAAAATTTGCTGGGCGTGGTGGCAGGTGCATGTAATCCCAGCTGCTCCAGAGGCTGAGGCAGGAGAATCACTTGAACCTGGGAGGTGGAGGTTGCAGTGAGCTGAAATCACACCACTGCACTTTAGCCTGGGCAACAGAGTGAGACTCTGTCTAAGAAAAAAATGTATTTTATTGATGCATAATAGATATTTATTATTTCAGTTACATGTGATAATATAGATTCATACTTTATAAAGATCTAATCAGTGTGGTTGGGATCTCATCACTTTAATTATATGTCCTTTGTGCTAGAAACATTCAAATTATTCTAACTATTTTGAAAAGCACAAAAGAATATTGTAAACTTACCCTACTGATCTGTCTCACACTAGGTCTTATTTCTTTTGTCAACTATATGTTTATACACATTAATCAATTTCTCTTCTTTCTGCTACTTCCATACCCTTCTGTCCTCTGGCAACTACCAGTCTACTCCCTATTTTCATGAGATTGATTTTTTTAGCTCCGACATGTCAGTGAGAACACACAATATTTGTCTTTCTGTGCTTGGCTTATTTCACTTTAATATACTGACGTCCAAATCCATCCGTGTTGCTGTAAATGACAAGACTTCATTGTTGTGGCTGAACAATATCACATTGTGTATATATACTAAATTTTCTTTATCCATTCATTCACTGATGGGCAGTTAGGTTGATTCCATATTTTGGCTCTTGTGAATAGTGTTGCAATAAACATGGAAGTGCAGATCTTTTTCAGTATACTGATTTTCTTTCTCTTGAATATATACTCCGTGGAATTGGTGGATCATATGGTAGTTCTATTTTTAGTTTCTTGAGGAAGCTCCATCCTGTTATCCATAATGGCTGTACTAATTTATATTTCCACCAACAGTGTATGAGGGTTCCCCTGTCTCCACATCCTCACCAGCATCCGTTATTGACTGTCTTGTTGATCAAAAGCCATTTTAACTGGTGTGAGATGATATCTCATTATAGTTTTGATTTTCATTTCTCTGATTATTATTGATGAGCAATTTTCCTATCCCTGTTAGGCATGTGTATGTCTTCTTTTGAGAAAAGTGTGTTGAGAGCTTATGTTCATTTTTAAATCAGATATTTTTTTCCTATTGAGTGGTTTGAGCTCCTTATGTATTCTGGTTTTTAATCTCTTCTCAGATGGAGAGCTTATAAATATTTTCTCCTATTCTATGGGTTATCTCTTCACTGTGATGATTGTTTCCTTTGCTGTCCAGAGGATATTTAGCTTGATGTAATCCCATTTATCTGTTTTTGCTTTGATTGCCTATGCTGTTGAGGTCTGACACATACAATTTTTTCCTGTATCAATGTCCTGGAGCATTTCCTCAATGTTTTCTTCTAGTAGTTTCAAAGTTTCAGGTCTTAAAGTCTTTATTTTGATTTGATTTTTGTATATGGTGGGAATTTGGGGCCTAGTTTCATTCTTCTACATTCGGTTACACAGTTTTCCCAGCACCCTTTATTGAAGAGACTATCCTTTCCCCATGGTGTTCTTGGAGCCTTTGTCAAAAATAGGTTGACTGTAAAGGCATGGCTTTACATCTGGGTTCTTTGTTCTGGTCCGTTGGTCTATGTGTCTTTCCTGTACACATTGTATGGTCTATGCCCACACAATGCTGTTTTGGTACTATAGCTTTGTCATAAATTTTGAAGTGAGATAATGTGATGCCTCTAGCTTTGTTCTTTTTGTTCAGGATTGTTTTGTCTATTAGGGGTCTTTTGTGGTTCCAGATAAGTTTTAAGATTATTTTTTTCAATTTCTATGAAGAATTTTATTCTTATTTTGATAAGGATTGCATTGAATCTGTAAATTGCTTTGAATAGGATTGCCATTTTAACAATATTATTCTTCCAATCTATGAGCATGCAATATCCTTCCATTTATTTGTGTGTCCTCTCCAGTTTCGTTCATCAGCGTTTTACCATTTTCCTTATGAAGATCTTTCACATCTTTGGTTAAATTGACTTCTAGGTATTTTATGTTTTTTTAGCTATTGTAAATGTGATTGCTTCTTGATTTCCTTTTCATATTGTTTGCTGTTGGCATGTATAAATGCTACTGATTTTTGTGTATTGATTTTGTGTCTTGCAACTTTACTGAATTCATTTGTCAGTTCTAACAGTTTTTTTGATGGAGTCCAGGATTTTCTAAATTTAAGATCATATCATCTGTGTTCAGGGCTAATTTGACTCTTCCTTTTAAATATGGATGCCCTTTATTTCTTTATCTTGCCTAATTGCTCTAGCCAGGAGTTCCAGTATTATGTTAAAGTGGTGAAAGTAGGCATCCGGCTGGGCGCGGTGGTTCACGCCTGTAATCCCAGCACTTTGGAAGGCTGAGGTGGGTGGATCATGAGGTCAGGAGATCGAGACCATCCTGGCTAACACGGTGAAACCCCGCCTCTACTAAAAATACAAAAAATTAGCCAGGCGTGGTAGCGGGCGCCTGTAGTCCCAGCTACTTGGGAGGCTGAGGTAGGAGAATGGCGTGAACCCGGGAGGTGGAGCTTGGAGTGAGCTGAGATAGCACCACTGCATTCCAGCCTGGGCGACAGAGCGAGACTCTGTCCCCCACAAAAAAAGTAGGCATCCGTGTCTTATTTTAAATCTTAGAGGAAAGGCCTTCAATTTTTCCCTTTTCAGAACAGTGTTAGCCGTGGATTTGTCATATATGGCCTTTATGATTTTGAGGAATGTTCCTTCCATACCCAATTTGTTGAGGGTTTTTATCATGAAGAGATGTCGATTTTTTTTTTTTTTTTTTTTTTTCTGAGGCAGAGTCTCACTCTGTCGCCCAGGCTGGAGTGCAGTGGCACGATCTTGGCTCACTGCAACCTCGGCCTCCCAGGTTCAAGTGATTCTCCTGTCTCAGCCTCCTGAGTAGCTAGGATTACAGGTGCCCACCACCACGCCCGGCTAATTTTTTCTATTTTTAGTCCAATGCCTTTTTTTGCATCTATTGAAGTGATCACATGGATTTTGTTCTTGATCGAGTTAATGGGATGTATCGTGTTTGCATATGTTGAATCATACTTGGATCCCTGGGGCAAATCCCAGTTGATTATGGTGAATGGTCCTTTTAATGTGTGGTTAAATTCAGTTTACTACTATACTGCTGAGGATGTTTGCCTCTATGTTCATCAGTGATATTATCCTATGTTTTTCTTTTTTTGTTGTATCCTTCTTGCTTTTGGTAGCAGTATAATGCTGGCCTTGTAGAATGAGTTCCACAGTATTCCCTCTTCCTCAATTTTTTTTTGAAGAGTTTGAGTAAAATTGGTATTACATTTTCTTTAAATGTTTGGTAGCATTCAGCAGTGAAGCCATCAGGCCCTAGGTTTTTCTTTGATGAGAGACGTTTCATTATGGCTTTTATCTCATTACTCGATACTGGTTTGTTGAAGTTTTGTATTTCTTCATAGTTTAATCTTACTAGGTTGTATGTGTCCAGGAATTTATCTATTTCTTTTAAATTTTCCAAAAGGTTGGTGTATAGTTCTTCATGACAGTCTGTAATGATTCCTTGTATTTCTGTGGTTTCAGTTGTTATGTTCCATTTTTCATTTTTTATTTTATTTATTTAGGTTTTTCTCTTTTTTTTCTAGTCTAGCTAAAGGTTTATTGGATTTTTATCTTTTAAAAAAAAACTTTTCATTTTGTTGATCTTCTTTATTGTTTTTATAGTCTGAATTGTATTTTTTCCTGCTCTGGTCCTTACTATTTCTTTTTGTCAACTAATTTTGGGTTTGATTTGTTCTTGCTTTCCTTGTTTCTTGTGGTGCATCATTAGTTTGTTTATTTGAAGTCTCTCTACTTTTCTGATGTAGACATTTATTGTGGTAAATTTCCCTCTTAGAGCTGCTTAGATTTTGGTATGTTATATTTCCATTTTCATTTATTTCAATAAATTTTCTAATTTTCTTCTTAATTTCTACATTTACCCATTGTTTGTTCTGGAGCATGCTGTTTAATTTCCATGCTGTGTAATTTCATGAAGCTTCTGAGGTTCTCTAATTGATTTCTACTTTTATTCTACTGTGGTCAGAAAAGATACTTCATAGAATTTCTACATTTTGTTTTATTTTATTTATTTATTTATTTTGGAGACAAGGTCTCACTCTGCCACCCAGGCTGGAATACAATCATGCAATTGTAGTTCACTGTTACCTTGAATTCCTGGGCTCAACCAATTCTCTTCTTCTGCTTTGGCCTCCTAAGTAACTAGGACTACAGGCACAAGCTATCACGCTTGGTTGTTTTCTACAATTTGAATTGGTTGGAACCTGTTTTGTGACTTAAGATATTGTTTATTCTGGTGAATGTTCTATGTATTAATGAAAAGAAACAATGTTATTCTGTAGCAGTTGGATGAAATGTTCTGTAAATGTTAGTTAGGCCTTTCAGTATGTAGTTTATCTCCATTATTTCCTTTTTGATTTTCTCTCTTAATGATCTCTTCATTTTTAAGAGTGGGGTGATAAAGTCCCCTACTATTATTGTATTACAATCTATCTCTCCCTTAAGATCTATTAATGTTTGCTGAATATACTTGGATGTTCCAGTGTTTGGTGCACAGATATTTATAATTGTTATATTTTCTTGCTGACTTGACTCCTTTATCATTATATAGTGACCTTTTGTCTCCTTTTACAGTCTTTGATACGTAGGCTATTTTATCTCATATAAGTGTAGCCACTCCTGCTTTTTCTTTGGTTTCCCATTGCATGTAATATCGTTTTCCATCTCTTCACTTTCAGGCAGTATATTTATAGGTGAAGTGTTTTTTTCTGTAGGCAGCACATAGTTGGGTCTTGGCTGTTTATTCAGCCACTGTATGCCTTTTAATTAGAGAATTGAGTCCATTTACATTGAATGCTGTTAATAAGTAAAGGCTACTGACATTTTGTTGCTTGTTTTCTGGTTGTTTCATAACTCCTTCTTCCTTTCCTCCCTTCTTCCCTTCTTCCTTTGTGGTTAAGTAATTTTTCTCTGGTAGAATGCTTTAATTCATTGATTTTCATATTTAGTGAATTATTGGTTTTTGCATTGTGGTTATCATGAGACTTGCAAAAAACATAGATGGAAGTTATTTTAAAGAGAAGACAACTTACCTTACTTATATCAAAAAGAATAGGATAGAAAGAAATAAAAAAAAAATCTACGCTTTAACCCTATTCCCCCACTTTTTGACTTTTAATCGTCTCAATTTGCATATTTTTATATTATCTCTCTCTCTTAACAAGTTGCTGTAGCTATTACTGCTTTTGATAGATTTTTCTTTTGGGTTTTGTGTTAGAGGAATCAGTGAATTGCACACCATGCAGTATTACAGTAATCTGGGTTTGTCTATGTGCTTCATTTTACTGGTAGGTTTTATATCTTCAATTTTTTTGTTGTTGTTTTCCTTTCAGATTATAGAACTCCCTTTAGCATTTCTTTAAAAATGGGTCTGGTGGTGGTCAATTCTCTCAGCTCTTGTTCGGGGAAGACTTTATCTCTCCTTCATATTTGAAAGATAACTTTGCTAATTAAAGTGTTCTTGAATGGCAGTTTTTTTCTTTCAACACTCTGAAAATGTTGGTGCACTCTTTCCTTTCCTGTGTGATTTCCATTGAAAAAAAAAATCTGTTGCCAAAGGAATTGGGGATCCTTTATAAGTTATTTACTTCTTTTCTCTTGCTGCTTTTAGAATTCTCACTTTGTCCTTGACCTTTGAGAATCTGATTATTATATTCCTTGGGGTAGTGTTATTTGGGTCAGATCTGTTTGGTGTTCTCTGACCTTCCTATACCCGAATGTTTCTTTTGAAGTTTTGTGAAGTTATCTGTTATTATTTCTTTAAATAAGCTTTCTACTTCTTGCTCTTGCTCCATTCACTCTTGAACACCAATAATTCTTAGATTTTACTTTTTCAGGTAATATTCTATATCTTGTAAGTGTTCTTCATGCTTTTCATTCTTTTTTTTTATTCTTCTGACTGCATTATCCCACAGCCTGTCTTCAAGATTACAGATTCTTTCCCCTGCTTGATCCATTCTGCTGTTGACAGCCTCTAATGAATTTTGACATTCAGCAAATATATTTCAGTTTCAATATTTCTGTTTTATTTTTTAAAAATTATTCTAATCTCTGTGTTTAATTTATCTGATAAATTTCTGAGCTCCTTTTCTGTGTTAACTTGGAGATCATTGAGCTTTCTTCAAGAGGCTATTTTAAATTGTTGGTCAGAGAGCTCACATTATCACTATGTTGTTAGGTTCCTTGCTTTCGGGAAATCATGGTTCCCTCTTTGCTGTTGTTTTTTGTGGATGTACATCTATGTCTTTGCATTGAATGATTTATTATTTATTTCAGTCTTCTTTTTCTGGCTTGTTTGGGTTTTTATTGGATATATTTGCTTAAAGGTTCTTTACCACTAGGCTCCATCGCTCCATCGCTCAAGCTGGAGTACAGTGGTGCGATCTCTGCTCACTGCAAGCTCTGCCTCCCGGGTTCACGCCATTCTCCTGCCTCAGCCTCCCGACTAGCTGGGACTACAGGTGCCGGCCACCACGCCTGGCTAATTTTTTTTTTTGTATTTTTAGTGGAGACGGAGTTTCACCATGTTAGCCAGGATGGTCTCAATCTCCTGACCTCGTGATCTGCCCGCCTCGGCCTCCCAAAGTGCTGGGATTACAGGCGTGAGCCACCGCGCCCGGCCCAGGCTCTTGCTTTTTATCCAACTGTTGCTTTCTCATACACTGGGCCTTCCTAATCAGCCCATCCACTTGTCGGAATTAGCAAAATGAAAACAGCTGGAGCTCACGCCTCAGGATCCCTCTTCAGAAATTTATTTATAACTGTGCTTTAATTTGTGGCAGTATGTTTCTTTCCCCAAATGTTTATTTTGAGAATATTCAAACATACAGAAAAATTGAAGCAGAGTATAATGAATGCCTCATGCTCATCACCGGAGAACATTTTAGAAATGCTATTTTGCATTGCTCTTTATATTTTTCATTCTCTGTTTCAAGTAGATAGCCAGGCTATTTGTATTTTTACAGCAGGATAAAAGAAAAAGCCTGCTGTGCTTTAAAACTGTGCAGCCCAATAAGGTAGCCACTGGTCACATGAGGCTGTTTAAATTTACATTAAAATTAGATGTAATTAAAAACTGATTTGTTGCACTACCCACATTTTAAATGCTCAGTGGGCACATGTGGCTAGTGGTTACTGAATTGGACAATATAGGTATATAGCATTTTTATCCTCTTAGGAAGTTCTACTGGACACCACTTTAAAAGACATTTAGGTCTTTTATAAAAGACTAAATTTGTTAAAGAAATAAATCTGCGTTTCTTGGAGGGCAGGAAGAGATAGAGGAGTACCTCTGAAGCAAGAGAGGGAGGAGCAGTTTCCACAACTGGGAAAAGGATAAAAGCCGATAGGTCCTGTAATTTTTAGGGATCCAGCTGCTCGTCTGTAGCAGTGCACCCAGAGAAGACAAAATCTCAGATAAATGGTTGTGTGGTATGCCCAGGAGAGCTGAATCTAGGACACAAACCTCAAGGGTCCACTTTAATTTGGCAGTAGGGAGTCCACTAGAGGCTCTAATAGAAGGAAAGGTCAAGAAATTTATCCCATTTTCTGAGCACTGAGTGATATGGCTTGGCTGTGTCCCCACCCAAATCTCAACTTGAATTGTATCTCCCAGAATTCCCCTGTGTTGTGAGAGGGACCCAGGGTGAGATAATTGAATCATGGAGGCCAGTCTTTCCCATGCTGTTCTCGTGATAGTGAATAAGTCTCAGAGGATTTGATGGATTCATCTGGGATTTCTTTTTTTTTTTCTTTTTTTTTTTTTGAGATGGAGTCTCACTCTGTCGCCCAGGCTGGAGTGCAGTGGCGTGATCTGGGCTCACTGCAAGCTCCGCCTCCGGGGTTCATGCCATTCTCCTGCCTCAGCCTCCAGAGCAGCTGGGACTATAGGCGTCTGCCACCATGCCTGGCTGATTTTTCTGTAGTTTTAAAGAAAGAGAGGGGGTCTCACCGTGTTAGCCAGGATGGTCTCGATCTCCTGACCTTGTGATCCGCCCACCTCAGCCTCCCAAAGTGCTGGGACTACAGGCGTGAGCATCAGGGATTTCTGCTTCTGCTTCTTCCTCATTTTTCTCTTGCTGCCACCATGTAAGAAGTACCTTTCACCTCCTGCCATGATTCTGAGGCCTCCCCAGCCATGTGGAACTGTAAGTCCAATTAAATCTCTTTTTGTTCCCAGTTTTGGGTATGTCTTTATCAGCAGTGTGAAAATGGACTAATACAGTAAATTGGTACTAATAGAGTGAGGTGCAGCTGAAAAGATACCCAAAAATGTGGAAGTGACTTTGCAACTGGGTAACAGGCAGAGGTTGGAACAGTTTGGAAGGCTCAGAAGAAGACAGGAAAATGTGGGGAAGTTTGGAACTCCCTAGAGACTTGTTGAATGGCATTGACCAAAAACCAGATGGCAACATGGACAATAAGGTCCAGGGGTGGTCTCAGATGGAGATGAGAAACTTCTTGGGAACTGAAGCAAAGATGACTCTTGTTATGTTTCAGCAAAGAGATTGGTGGCATTTTGCCCCTGCCCTAGAGATTTGCGGAACTTTGAACTTGAGAGAGATGATTTAGGGTATCTGGCAGAAGAAACTTCTAATCAGCAAAGCATTCAAAAGTTGACTTCAGTGCTGTTAAAAGCATTTCATTTTAAAAGGGAAACAGAGCATAAAAGTTGCAGCCTGACGAATGCAGTAGAAAAGAAAAACCCATTTTCTGAGAAGAAATTCAAGCCAGCTGTAGAAATTTGCTTAAGTAGCCAGGAGCCTAATGTTAATCCCCAAGACCACGGGGAAAATGTCTCCAGGCCATAGCAGAGACCTTCACAGCAGCCCCTCTCATCAGAGGCCTGGAGGTCCAGGAGGAAAAAGTGGTTTTGTGGGCCGGGCCCAGGGTCCCCATATGTGTGCAGCCTAGGGACTTGGAGCCCTGTGTCCCAACCATTCCAGCCATGGCTGAAAGGGGTCAATGTAGAGCTCAGGCTATGGCTACAGCGGTTAGAAGCCCCAATCCTTGGCAGCTTCCATGTGGTGTTGAGTCTGCAGCTACACAGAAGTCAAGAATTGAGGTTTGGGAACCTCTGCTTAGATTTCAGAAGATGCATGGAAATACCTGGATACCCAGGCAAAAGTTTGCTGCAGGGGCAGGGCTCTCATGGAGAACCTCTGCCAGAGCAATGCAGAAGGGAAATGTGGGGTTGTAGGCCCCACACAGAGTCCCTACTGGGGCACTGCCTAGTGAAGGTGTGAGAAGAGAGCCACCATCATCCAGACCCTGGAATGTTAGATCCACCAACAGCTTGCACCATGAACCTGGAAAAGCCACAGACACTCAACACCAGCCCGTGACAGCAGCCGGGAGGGAGGCTGTACCCTGCAAAGCCACAGGGACAGAGCTACCCAAGGCCATGGGAACCCACCTCTTGAATCAGCGTGACCTGGATATGAGACCTGGAGTCAAAGGAGATCATTTTGGAGCTTTAAAATTTGACTGCCCTGTTGGATTTCGGCCGTGCTTGGGCCCTGTAACCCCCTTCTTTTGGCCAGTCTCTCTCATTTGGAATGGCTGTATTTACCCAATACCTGTACTCCCATTGTATCTAGGAAGTAACTAACTTGCTTTTGATTTTACAGGCTCATAGGTGGAAGGGATTTGCCTTGTCTCAGATGAGACTTTGGATTGTGGACTTTTGAGTTAATGCTGAAATGAGTTAAGACTTTGGGGGACTGTTGGGAAGGCATAATTGGTTTTGAAATGTGAGGACATGAGATTTGATGGGCCAGGGGTAGAAAGATATGGTTTGGCTGTGTCCCCACCCAAATATGAACTTGAATTTTATCTGCAGAATTCTGTCATGTTTTGGGAGGGACCCAGGGGGAGGTAATTGAATCAAGGGGGCCAGTGTTTCCTGTGCTATTCTCGTGATAGTGAATAAATCTCACGAGATCTGATGGGTTTATCAGGGGGCTTTGCTTTTGCTTCTTCCTCATTTTTATCTTTCTGCCACCATGTAAGAAGTGCCTTTCACCTCCCACCGTGATTCTAAGGCCTCCTCAGCCATGTGGAACTGTAAGTCCAATCAAACCTCTTTTTGTTCCCAGTTTCAGGTATTTCTTTATCAGCAGTGTGAAAGTGAACTAATACACCAAGTAAGCCTGTGGATATGGTTGATTTCTAGAGAGAAAGATATGATACTGAGTAAGAATTAGTTTCTAGGCAGTCTAGTGTCCGTTTGGGATTTCATCATGAATAAAGAGAAGAAATTTGGCAACTGAGTTTCAAGCTCACTTAAAAACATAATAAAAGTTATCTTTGGAAATTATTTTCAACACAGTGTACAAACATATTTACATAAAAAGATAATGTACATATTTGTGGCCACTGGGGGACATTGTTCCCTCATACAAAAGACAAAGAAGATTTTGAAGCAGTGGTTCTCAAACATGAGCATACATCAGAATGACTTGGAGGACATTTCATCTAGACTCTTAGCATTTTTCAAGACTATGATTTACTGTTAACTACAGTTAACTTGTTGTAGAACAAATTGTTCTCACGACAAAAATGAAAAGTATGTGAGGTAATGCATATGTTAATTACTAGATCTATTAATTCCACAATGTATATACACTTGAAAACAATATGTCGTACATGGTAAATACACATAATTTTATATGTCAAGTTAAAAATTAAATAAAATAATAAAGATAATGAACATTTAAAAAAATCACTTGAAAGACTTGTTAAAACACAGACTGCTGGACCCCTACCTGTAGAGGTTCTAATTCAGTGGAGATGCTGGGAAGGAGACAAAAATATAAATTTTTAACAAGTTCCCATGTGATGCTGTTGCTGTTGGTCTGGGGACCACACTTTGAAAGCCACTGCTTTAGTAAAACTTTTAAAATATAGTATTAAGACTATTTATTGATCAAACTTACTTCACCATGAGAATATTATAATGAACACAAAGAACAGTCTGGATGTACTGATAGGTGGCTTTTATCTGGCATAAGAAGAATGTGTGCAATTATTCTATTTTTAGATGGCAATAGTGCTATAGAGCATTATACAAGGTTATAGTTTCTATATAGTTAAAGAGAAGGTGTACAGTGGATGGGGCACAGCAATGATGTGCAAGATCAAAAAACAGAACCGCTTCTGAGACTAAATTAGCTTAGGTTTAGACAGAGCCTAGTCCCCAAAATATTGGTATAGGAAAACCTCTCAAGGTGTGTACCTGGGAGACTTCCTGTTCCAAAATGTTTGTGTAGACACAGGTTTCCTTCACTCTTCATTCCCCCCACCCCACAAAACCAAAAGAAATATACAGCCCTGAGATTTCACCAGTGACTTCCAGAAATTCAAATGTGAGGATAAATCAGTTCCTGAGGACATAGAGAAGTAAAAAAATTCTGAGCAGATGGTAAGAGAATCAAATTTTCATATCCGAAATGCCCCTTCCTAATATCTGCCCTGCACCAATTTGCAGAAAATGTCCCTTGATTCACAGTTTCTGCACTGGATAAGGTGAGATCAAGATGAACAACCAGCTTTCCTACCATCTTGGGTTCCCTGGCAGGAGACCTATTCATGCCTCAATCCACAGCAAGTATTGTGAGTGTCTGGAAGGAGAGAACAGCCAGAGACAAGGAGAGAAGGTGGAACTACCATTCTTAGTGCTTGAAACTCTACTCTGTACTTAGGCCAAAGGAGATGCTTTGGAGGTACATGTGGCTGCTCACCAGCACCATGCTGTAGGAGGTACATGTCACAGGTCCCCTGAGCACAAATCCCCAGCCAGCCTTTTTATACGACCAGGATATCCCCTTTCAAATCTCCCACTGCAGATGGGCAGTGCTCTGATTGTTTGCTAGTGCAAAGGCAAACCTGAGTTTAAGGTGCCATCTAGTCCTGAAAGGAGGAAGTGACCAAGTGAGAAAAAAGTATAAGATATTGAACAGGTAATTTAAGAAGAATCTCTAAGTTAACATCCCATCCCCAATTAAAACCAAAACAAGCCAGACAGAGAAGACTAAAGTAATCCTTTAATGCAAAGACGTAAATATACATCCACAAGAAACAACAGGAAACAGGAAACCATGAACAACACAAATGGACAATGTAAAGAACCAGTGATTGACCCTAATGAGATGACAGTACATCAAATACCTGACCAAGACCTCAAAATAATAGTTTTAAGGAAACTCACTGGTATCTAAGATAACACAGAAAGGGAACTCAGAAATTTATCAGAGAAATTAAACATGGAGGTTGAAATAAAAAAAAAGCCAGCAGAAATCTTGGAACTGAGAAATATATCTGCTGAGCTCAAAAATTTACTGCAGGCTCTCAACAGCTGAATGGATTAAACAGAGGAAAGAATCAGTGAACTAAAAGACAGGCTATATGAAATCACGAGGAAAAAAAAATGAAAAGCAAGATAGAGAATATTACACAGGGTAGCTGGCATGATGGCCGAATAGGAACAGCTCCAGTCTGCAGCTCCTGGCGAGACCAACACAGAAGGCGGATGATTTCTACATTTCCAACCGAGGTACCCAGTTCATCTCACTGGGACTGGTTAGACAGTGGGGTGCAGCCCACGGAGGGAGAGCAGAAGCAGGGTGGGACATCGCCTCACCTGGGAAGGGCAAGGGGCCGGGGAACTCCTTCCAGTAGCCAAGGAAGCCCTGAGGGACTGTACTATCCAGCCCAGATACTATGCTTTTCCATTGGTTTTTGCAACCCAGAGACCAGGATATTCCCTTGTGTGCCTACACCACCAGGGCCCGGGGTTTCAAGCACAAAACTGGGCGGATGTTTGGGCAGACACTGAGCTAGCCGCAGGAGTTTTTTTTTCATACCCCAGTGGCACCTGGAACTCCAGCGTGATAGGGCTGTTCACTCCCCTGGAAAGGGGGCTGAAGCTAGGGAGCCAAGTGGTCTCACTCAGTGGGTCCCACTCCCATGGAGCCCAGCTCTCACTGCCAGCACAGCAGTCTGTAGTTGACCTGGGATGATAGAGCTTGGTGGTGGCAGGGGCATCTGTCATTACTGAGGCTTATGTAGGCAGTTTTCCCCTCACAGTGTTAAAGAAGCCACTGGGAAGTTCGCACTGCGGGAAGTTCAGACTGTATGAAACTCACTACAGCACAGCAAAGTGCCTGGGGCCAAACTGCCTGTCTAGATTCCTCCTCATTGGGCAGGGCATCTCTGAAAGAAAGGCAGCAGCCTCAGTCAGGAGCTTATAGATAAAACTCCTATCTCCCTGGGACAAGGCACCTAGGGGAAGGAATGGCTGTAGGCACAGCTTCAGCAGGCTTACACATTCCTGCCTGCTGGCTCTGAAGAGAACAGCAGATCTCCCAGCACAGTACTCAAGCTCTGCTAAGGGACAGACTGCCTCCTCAAGTGGGTCCCTGACCCCTGTGGCTCCTGACTGGGAGAGACCTCCCAGGAGGGGTTGACAGACACTTCATACAGGATAGGTCCTGCTGGCATCAGGCAGGTGCCACTCTGGGATGAAGCTTCCAGAGGAAGGAGCAGGCAGCAATCTTTGCTGTTCTGCAGCCTCTACTGGTGATACCCAGGCAAACAGGGTCTGGAGTGGACCTCCAGCAAACTCCAGCAGACCTGTAGAAGACGGGCCTGACTGTTAAAAGGAAAACTAACAATCAGAAAGCAGTAACATCAACATCAAAAAAAAAAAAAAAAAAAAAAAAAGGATCAGCACCAAAGATCAAAGGTAGATAAATCCACTAGATGAGGAAAAACCAGCCCCAAAATGCTGGAAATTCCCAAAACCAGAACACCTCTTCTCCTCCAAATGATCGCAACTCCTCTCCAGTGAGGGCACAAAACTGGATGGAGAATGAATTTGACAAGTTGACAGAAGTAGGCTTCAGAAGGTGGGTAATAAGAAACTACTCGGAGCTAAAGGAGCATGTTCTAACCCAATGCAAGGAAGCTGAGAACCGTGATAAAAGGTTACAGGAACTGCTAACTAGAATAACCGGTTTAGAGAAGAACATAAATGACCTGATGGAGTTGAAAAACAGCATGAGAACTTCGTGAAGCATACAGTATCAATAGCCAAAGTGATCAAGTGGAAGAAAAGATATCAGAGATGGAAGATCAACTTTATGAAATAAAGCGTGAAGACAAGATTAGAGAAAAAACAATGGAAAGAAGTGAACAAAGCCTCCAAGGAATATGGGACTATGTGAAAAGACCAAACCTACGACTGATTAGTGTACCTGAAAGTGACAGGGAGAATGGAACCAACTTGGAAAACACACTTCAAGATATCGTCCAGGAGAACGTCCCCAACCTAACAAGACAGGCCAACATTCAAATTCAGGAAATACACAGAACACCACTAAGATACTCCTCAAGAAGAGAAACCCCAAGATACATAATTGTCAGATTCTCCAAGGTTGAAATGAAGGAAATAACGTTAAGGGCAGCTAGAAAAAAAGGTCAGGTTACTTCCAAAGGGAAGCCCATCAGAGTAACAGCGAATCTCTCTGCAGAAACCCTACAAGCCAGAAGAGAGTGGGGGCCAATATTCAACATTCTTAAAAGAATTTTCAACCCAGAATTTCATATCCAGCCAAACTAAGCTTCATAAGTGAAGGAGAAGTAAAATCACTTACAGACAAGCAAATGCTGAGAGATTTTGTCACCACCAGGCCTGCCATACAAGAGCTCCTGAAAGAAGCACTAAATATGGAAAGGGAAAACCGGTACCAGCCACTGGAAAAACATACCAAAATATAAAGACCAACGACACTATGAAGAAACTGCACGAACAAATATGCAAAATAAACAGATAGCATCATGATGACAGGATTAAATTTACACATAACAATATTAACCTTAAATGTAAATGGGCTAAATGGCCCAATTAAAGGACACAGATAGGCAATTTGGTTAGAGTCAAGGCCCATCTGTCTTGACCCATCTCACGTGCATCAGGAGACCCATCTCACTTGCAAAGACACACATAGGCTCAAAATAAAGGGATGGAGGAATATTTACCAAGCAAATGGAAAGAAAAAAAAAAAGCAGGGGTTGCATTCCTAGACTCTGATAAAACAGACTTTAAACCAACGAAGATCAAAAAAGACAAGAGCATTACATAATGGTAAAGAGATCAATGCAACAAGAAGAGCTAACTATCCTAAATGTATATTCACCCAATACAGGAGCACCCAGATTCATAAAACAAGTTCTTAGAGATCTACAAAGAGACTTAGACCCCCAAACAATAATAGCGAGAGACTTTAACAGCCCACTATCAATATTAGACAGATCAACGAGACAGGAAATTAACAACTATATTCAGGACTTGAGCTCATATCTGGACCAAGTGGACCTAATAGACATCTACAGAACTTTCCACCCCAAATCAATGGATTATACATTCTTCCCAGCACATGGCACTTATTCTAAAATAGACCACATAGTTGGAGGTAAAACACTCTCAGCAAATGCAAAAAATGGAAATCATAACAAAGTGTTTCTCAGACTGCATTGCAATCAAATTAGACATCAGGATTAAGAAACTCACTCAAAACAGCACAACTACATGGAAACGGAACAGCCTACTCCTGGATGACTACTGGGTAAATAACAAAATTAAAGCAGAAATAAATAAATTCTTTGAAACCACTGAAAACAAAGACAATGTACCAGAATCTCTGGGACACAGCTAAAACAGTGTTAAGAGTGAAATTTATAGCACATTAAATATATAAATATAGATATACATAATATAATATATATAAATATAAATATAGCACTAAATTTATAGCACATCAGAAAGTGGAAAAGATCTAAAATCAACACCCTAACATCACAATTAAAAGAACTAGAGAAGCAAGACCAAACAAATTAAAAAGCTAGCAGAAGACAAGAAATAACTAAGATCAGAGCAAAACTGAAGGAGACAGAGACACAAAAAACCCTTCAAAAAGCATCAGTGAATCCAGGAGGTAGTTTTTTTGAAAAGATTAACAAAGTAGGCCACTAGCCAGACTAATAAAGAAGAAAAGAGAGAAGAATCAAATAGTCACAATAAAAATTGATAAAGGGGATATCACCACTGATCCCACAGAAATACAGACTACCATCAGAGAATACTAAAAACACCTCTATGCAAATAAACTAGAAAATCTAGAAGAAATGGATAAGTTCCTAGACACATACACCCTCCCAAGACTAAACCTGGAAGATGTTGAATGAATCCCTGAATAGACCAATAACAAATTCTGAAATTCAGGCATAAATTAATAGCCTACCAACCAAAAAAAAAAAAAAAAAAAAAAGCCAAGGACCAGATTGATTCCCAGTCAAATTCTACCAGAGGTACTAAGAGAAGCTGGTACCATTCCTTATGAAAGTATTCCAAACAATAGAAAAAGAAGGACTCCTCCCTAATTCATTTTATGAGGCCAGCATCATCCTGATACCAACCTGGCAGAGACACAACAAAAAAAGAAAATTTCAGGGAATATCCCTTATGAACATCAGTGTGAAAATCCTTGATAAAATACTGGCAAACCGAATCCAGCAGCACATCAAAAAGCTTATCTGCCACGATCAAGTTGGCTTCATCCCTGGGATACAAGGCTGGTTCAACATACACAAATCAATAAACGTAATCCATCATGTAAACAGAACCAATGACAAAAACCACATGATTATCTCAATAGATGCAGAAAAGGCCTTTGATAAAATTCAACACCTCTTCATGCTAAAAACAATAAACTAGCTATTGATGGAACATATCTCAAAATAATAAGAGCTATTTATGAAAAAACTTCATAGCCAATATCATACTGAATGGGCAAAAGCTGAAAACATTCCCTTTGAAAACCAGCACAAGACAAGGATGCCCTATCTTACCACCCCTATTCACCATAGTATTGAATTTCTGGCCACGGCAATCAGGCAAGAGAAAGAAATAAAGGGTATTCAAATAGGAAGAGAGGAAGTCAAATTGTCTCTGTTTGCAGATGACATGATTACATATTTAGAAAACCCCATCTTCTCAGCCCAAGGACTCCTTAAGCTGATAAACAACTTCAGCAAAGTTTCGGGATACAAAATCAATGTGCAAAAGTCACAAGCATTCCTATACACCAATAATAGACAAGACAGAGAGCCAAATCATGAGTGAACTCCCATTCACAATTGCTACAAAGAAAATAAAATACCTAGGAATACAAATTACAAGGGACGTGAAAAACCTCTTCAAGGAGAACTACAAACCACTGCTCAAGGAAATAAGAGAGGGCTCAAAAAAACTGGAAAAACATTCTATACTGATGGATAGGAAGAATCAATATCATGAAATGGCCATACTGCCCAAAGTGATTTATAGATTCAATGCTATTCCCATCAAGCTACCATTGACTTTCTTCATAGAACTAGAAAAAACTACTTTAAATTTCACATGGAACCAAAAAAGAGCCCATATAGCCAAGACAATCCTAAGCAAAAAGAACAAAGCTGGAGGCATCATGCTACCTGACTTCAAACTATACTACAAGGCTACAGTAACCAAAACAGCATGGTACTGGAAACCAAAACAGAAATATAGACCAATGGAACAGAACAGAGCCCTCAGAAACACCACACATCTACAGCCATCTAATCTTTGACAAACCTGACAGAAACCAGCAATGGGGAAAGGATTCCCTATTTAATCAATGATGCTGGGAAAACTGGCTAGCCATATGCGGAAAACTGAAACTGGATCCCTTCCTTACAACTTGTACAAAAATTAACTAGAGATGGATTAGAGATTTCAACATAAATCCTAAAACCATAAAAACCCTAGAAGAAAACCTAGGCAATACCATTCAGGACATAGGCATGGACAAAGACTTCATGACTAAAACACCAAAAGCAATGGCAACAAAAGCCAAAATTGACAAATAGTATCTAATTAAACTAAAGAGCTTCTGCACAGTAAAAGAAACTGTCATTATAGTGAAAAAGCAACCTACAGAATGGGAGAAAATTCAATCTATACATCTTACAAAGGTCTAATATCCAGAATCTACTAAGAACTTAAGCAAATTTACAAGAAAAAAACAACCCCATGAAAAGGTGGGTGAAGTATATGAACAGACACTTCTTGAAAGAAGACATTTATATGGCCAACAAACATAGAAGCTCATCATCACTGGTCATTAGAGAAGTGCAAATCAAAACCACAATGAGATACCATCTCACACCAGTTAGAATGGCAGTCATTAAAAAGTCAGGAAACAACAGATGCTGGAGAGGATGTGGAGAAATAGGAATGCTTTTACACTGTTGGTGGGAGAGTAAATTGGTTCAACCATTGTGGAAGACAGTGTGGTGATTCCTCAAGGATCTAGAACCAGAAATACCATTTGACCCAGAAATCCCATTACTGGGTATATACCCAAATGATTATAAATGGTTCTACTATAAAGACACATGCACACGTATGTTTATTGCAGCACTATTCACAATAGCAAAGACTTGGAACCAACCCAAATGTCCATCAATGATAGACTGGATAAAGAAAATATGGCACATAAACTCCATGGAATACTATATAGCCATAAAAAAAGAATGAGTTCATGTCCTTTGCAGGGACATGGATGAAGCTGGAAACCATCATTCTCAGCAAATTAACACAGGAACAGAAGACCAACCACCACATGTTCTCACTGATAAGTGGGAGTTGAACAATGAGAACTCCCACTTATCAGGGAGGGGAACCTCACACACCGGGGCCTGTTGGGGGGTTGGGGACAAGGGGAGGGAGAGCATTAGGACAAATACCTAAGGCATGTGGGGCTTAAAACCTAGATGATGGGTTGATGGGTGCAGCAAACCACCATGGCCCATGCCTGTTAGAATGGCTTTTATAAAAAAGATAGGGAATAATAGATGCTGGTGAGATGTGGAGAAAGAACCTTTTATACCATTGGTGGGAATGTAAATCAGTATAGCCATTATGGAAAACAGGATGGAAGTTCTTGAAGAAACTACAAGTGGAACTACCATATGATTCATTGATACCACCATTGAGTATATATCCAAAAGAAAGGAAATAAATGTATCAAAAAATATCTGCAACCCTGTTTATTTCAGCACTATTCACAATAGCCAAAATATGGAATCAACCTAAGTCTCTATCAACAGATGAATGGATAAAGAAAATGGATCTGGAGATCATCATACTAAGTGAAATGAGCAAAGAGCAGAAAGAAATATTGCATGTTCTTACTCATATGTGGGAGCTGAAAAAGTGGGTCTCATGGGGTAGAGAGTAGATTGGTGGTTACCAGATGCTAGAAGGGTAGAGGGAAGTAGGGAATGAAGAGAGGTTGATTCATGAGTACATATGTACAATTAGATAGAAGAAATAAGACCTGATGTTCAATAGATCAGTAGGTTGACTATAGTTAACATTAATAGAATGCATATTTCAAAACAGCTAAAAAGAAATAATTTGAATGCCCTAGAATAAAGAAAGGTAAACATTTAAGATGAAGGATATCTCAGTTACCCTGATTTGGTTATATGAGTGTAGCAAATTTTTACATGTATGACTAAAATAGGTACAGCTATTATGTATAAAGAAAAAAGATGTGTACTTGAATATGGCAGGCCTTAAAATTCAGTAATTTATTTCCAAATTGTTATTCAGACAGTATCAAGGAGTCTATATTTGTCAGGATAATCTAGAGTTAGATCCTATTTTAGAGTTTAATTAGAGGCTGAAACGTGAGCTTCCTGATGACATACGCACAGCCTTGAAGGGCAGAGTAGAGGAAAATCACCTTTCGCAGGTTCCTATCATCTTCCACAAATTCCTAAGAATTGGATGCTCTTCTATAATATTGGTATCCTTTTTCCTCTCATAGTTATAATACCAAAATCACTGCATAGACGGAAGTTATACCTTGTCAGGAGAAACCCTTTGTATATTGTCTTAAAAGTCTATAAAATTAATGTGAGGTTTACTTGATTCACTATGTTAGTTATGATAATTGTTTTATGCCACTAGAAATCGTTTTTACTCTCTGAAAAATAATGTTTCAAAACGAAAATGGACCTTGAAAGATTTTATCTTTCAAATTCTTCATTTTGTAAATGAGAACTCACTGTTCAACAAAGTTAAATAATTAGCTCAAGGTCTTAGCAATTTTATTAGACTAACAGTATTTCTGGTTTTCTGAAAGAGTGATTGAGAAACAGTAGCTTAGGAAGTTTGAAAAATTAAGTAAATGTTTTTGATCCAGTTTTACATATACTTACAACTCATGAAAAAATATGAACTAAGTTTTAGTAGTGTTTATCTTTGGGCTTCTCATTTCCTACTATGTAAATTTCATAGTCTTGTTTTGTTACAACAATCAAGACTAATTTCTATTTCAGAAATATCTTTTGCAATCTCTTTGAATGTTTTAAAATAAAACCTCTACTGCTTAATAAGATTAACTTCTTTTAACTATAATTGTTCACAGATAATTAATGTTTTTTATTTATTAATTCAAATGATAAGAAAGAATTGAGTAACATCAAATGTGCTAATAGTGTTTGCCATATGCTATAGGCTGAATGTTTATTGCTAATAGCATTTGCCATATTCTATAGACTGAATGTTTATATCTCCCCCGAATTCATATATTGAAATCCTAACCTCCCATATGATGGTATCTGAGGGTGGATCTTAGGGAGGTGATTAGGTATGATAGCAGAGCCCTCATGACTAAGATTAGTGTCCCTATAAAAGTGCCCAAACATCTCCCTCACTCCTTCTGTCATGTGCGGACTCAGTAAGAAGACCATTGTCTACAAACAAGGAAATAGGCCTTCTCGAGACATCAAATCTCCTGTGGCCTTGATCATGTACTTCCAGCCTCCAGAACTTTGAGAAATAAATTTCTGTTGTTTTTAAGCCACCCAGTCTATGGTATTTGTCGTAGCAATCTGAATGAACTAAGGCAGAAATTGATACCAAAAAGTGGGAGTGCTGTTATAATAAATACCTAAAAATGTGGAAGCAGTGTTGGAACTGGGTAATGGGTGAAGGAGGCTGGAAGAGTTTTAAGGTGCATGCTATAAAAAAGTCTACATTACTGTGAAAAGGGAATGTCATAAAATTCTAAGACAAACCTGACTAGTTTCATACTAAATTTAATACTATTAATGCCTAATGAATTTTATTCTAGCAAATCATAACATATAATAAATAGAAGAAGCTCTGCTGTAATAATGTCATTCCTCATTCTCTTCTCTGAGAGAAATATTCCTAGATACTTTAACCATTCCCCATAAATCCTATTATCCACCTTCTTACATATTTATACATTCACAATCTTATGGTTACTACATTTTGCTCTAGCATTTCACCTGTCTCAGGTTATCGATCAGTATAACTCAATAGACGTTTCCCTTAGGTAGGGCAAATGGCTGCACTTATGACTAAGTCTGATCAAAGGCACAATTTGTTTGCCTTTAGAAATTTTTGTTTTCCATGACTGCAAGAAATACTGCTGAACAAGACATTTCTTCATCATCCTTGATGAAAGATGAACATTAATAATGCAGATAGAAATCAGGCCAAGTAATGTTGAAGAGAAAACAAGGTCCAGTAGCACTACTTCCTTTTAGAAGATAAGAATAAACAGATTTAAAATGGCAAGCTCAATAATTTTACCCTAACAAAAAATGAGGTGAGTACTATATAACCCTTAAATTCTGAAGAGTTTAAAATCAATTTATGTACTCGTATCTTGAAAATATTTGTGTATAAACATATCTATACTTATCTACATCTATGACTATTTCTTTACAGGTATGGTATGCACTCTTATGCATGTAACATATGCTCTTTTAAATATGAGTCATATGTATCCAATATTACTGTAATATACCAAGGTCAACTTTCATTTGTAAGTTTTGTGATATCTTATTCTTTTATGTATCTTCTATATAATGGAAGCCCTCTGATATTCTGTATAAGTAAAGAAAAAAGATTTTAGAGGCATAAAAACTTAAAAAAAAACTAAAGCAATACTAACATTTAATTCAATTGCTCATTTACTAAATACTTACTCATCATTTTGTGTATGCCAAGCACTATAGAAGTTCATTTCTGCCTATCAGGCAGATGGTATATGTTTTCTTGTGGCAGCGTAGAAGTAAGGGTGATAAAAGGGGGAAACCTACATTCCCACATATACATAATGGTGGATTAGTAACCTTCTGTCCTGATGTGCCTGTAAGAGTCCTGGATTGTGCCTGTTTTAGCACAATTATTAATATTGTCCTCTTTCACTCTCAGAAGTGTTTGGGTTTGAGTATCTGGGTACATGTCCAAACCCTGACACTTTTGAATGAATCCCACAGAGATTCATAGGAGAAAAAATTCTTTTCCAGTAATAAGAAACAAAGAAGCTGTCTCCGAATCCTGAAGAATGGGCTTGCTTTCACTGGGTAGAAAGAAAGAAGATATTCAAGGCTTATGTCTCATCATTGCTTGTGTTTTCCCAGTAGCTTCCTAAACTTTGTCCCTGATTTCTGTTTCTTTTGTTTTTTTGTTATCAGCAGTTGCTTTTATTTATTTTATTTATTTATTATTTCCATTGCTTTAGTGGTACAAGGTTTTTTTGTTGTTGTTGCATGAGTGAACTGTATAATGGTGAAGTCTGAGCTTTTAATGTAGTGATGTAGTGATGAATAGTGTACATTGTACCCAATAGGTGATTTTTTATTCCTCATCTCCCTCTCCCCCTCCCTACTTCTGAATCTCCAGTGTCCATTATAGCACTCTTTATGGCTTTGCATACCCATGGCTTAGCTCCCACTTGTAAGGGAGAACATGTGGTATTTGGTTTTCTATTCCTGAGTTACTTCACTTAGGATAATGACCAGTTCTATCCTAGTTGCTGCAAACATGTTTCATTCATTTTTATGGCTGAGTAGTATTCTGCCATAAATAACTACTGTTCAGTCTTCAAGCTTGTCCCGCCTAACTTTATTGTTCTTGTTGTTCTGTTTTGTTTTGTTTTAGACTTTAGCAGCCTGAAGCCATGACTTTTAGTTTCTGTCCCTAGTGATAAGCAGAAAAGGGAGATGAGCAAGGGGCTTTACTGACCCAAACAGAAATAGAAACTAAGAACCCATGACTGTATTGTCTACCTTGGACACCCCTGATTTTCTTTATCCACTCTTCAGTTGATGGACACTTATGTAGATTCCATATCTTTGCAATTGTGAACTGGGCTGTGATAAACCTACAAATACAGGTGTCTTTTTGATATAATAACTTATTTTCCTTTAAGTAGATACCCAGTAGGGGGATTGCTAGATAGAATGTTAGATCTCTTTTAGTTCTTTGAGAAATCTCCATACTGTTTTCCAAAGAGGAAACATAAATGGTACATAAATAGTACATAAATTGTGCTAATTTACTTTCCCACCAACAGTGTATAAGCCTTTCCTTTTCACTGTACCTCACCAACATTTATTGCTTTTTTACCAATGTCATTTTTCCTAGAATTAGACAAAACAATTATAAAATTCACATTGAATGTTTCCTTTGTCTTGAAGTCAAAATCTACTCTCACCGACTTTTGCTTCTTTTACAATTTCTAAATGGGTCTTCATCACCAAGGCCCCCACCCTGCATTTAAAGCCCTTTATCATCTGAGTCCTGCTTGTCTCTCAGTCACTGTCATTGCTCCTTTTTCACATTAGCAACAGTGAACTCTTAAAAATGCTCTGAACTGTCCTTGTGTTTCTCATTTTCATATGTGTCTTTAATTGTCATCATTAAAACAAAGACTTATGTAGTAATTATATGCCTGGAACTGTTGATCTGAAAGCTTTACTTCCGTTAACTCATTTAGTCCTCATAAGAATTATTATTACCATTTTTACAGATGATGAAATTGAGGCAATGAGAGGCCAAGAAACTTTTGTAATATCAGTATAGCTGATATTTGGATCCAGGCAATCTGACTCTAGAGCCTGTGGTTTTGGCCATTGGTCTGATATTTTTGCTGTCCTGGCTGCCCTACCCCGCTTATTCTTCAAAACCCAGATCAGAAGTTATCCCATTATAGGCTCGGCGTGGTGGCTTATGCCTGTAATCCCAGCACTTTGGGGGGCCAAGGCGGGTGGATTACTTGAGGTCAGGAGTTCGAGGCCAGCCCGGCCAACATGGTGAAACCCCGTCTCCACCAAAAACACAAAAATTGGCCAGGTGTGGTGGTGGGTGCCTGTAATCCCAGCTACTTGGGAGACTGAGGCAGGAGAATCGCTTGAACCCGGGGAGTGGAAGCTGCAGTGACCCGAGATTGCGCCACTGCACTCCAGCCTGGGTGACAGAGGGAAACTCTGTTTCAAAGAAAAAAAAAAAAAAGTTTTCCTATTATATAACCTTTCCCTGTATCCTCACATAGCATTACTCATTTGTTCTTCAATATATCCTGTAATTGTACTTATTTCTTTTGCCGAATTAGAAAGATAACTTGAACAATAACAGATATGGGGAAAGCTGGTTGACTTCTGGCTAGTTTTGTTGATGGCTGATAGGGATAGACTATAAAGGGACTAGTTTTGGACATATTAAGTTGAAGGTGATAGCTGAATATGCAAGTACAAAAGTCCAACAGACGTGTGGAGATGCAGCACCAACTCAGCAAAAAGGCTGCTGCTGCACTACAAATCTAAAAGGAGAGAAAATATTGATAGAGAGTAAAGGCAAAGAATCAAAGATACAGGCCAGGCGCGGTGACTTAACGCCTGTAATCCCAGTACTTTGGGAGGCGGGGCGGGTGGATCACGAGGTCAGGAGATCGAGACCATCCTGGCCAAAATGGTGAAACCCCGTTTCTATTAAAAAATACAAAAAATTAGCTGGGTGTGGTGGCGTGAACCTGTAGTCCCAGCTACTCAGGAGGCTGAGGCAGGGGAATCGCTTGAACCAGGGAGGTGGAGGTCGCAGTGAGAGGAGGTTGTGCCACTGCCTGGCGACAGAGTGAGACTACATCTCAACAACAACAACAACACAAAAAAGAAGAAAGAAAGAAAGAAAAGAAAAAGAATCAAAGATACACTAAGAGGCCTAGGGTACTCTAGTTTTATGGAAGACACAGTAAGATGCAATTTAAAGAGGGAGGAGGTGATGATCATCATCATCACTGAATTCTAAAAATCTGCCAGATACGATGAAGCCTGAATAAAGATCAAATTTAGCTAATTTAGAGTGGTAAAAGTAGGAGCCAGGTTTGAGACCATGAAGGAGAGAGAGAAGGTGCTCTGGAAGAATAAGATTCAGCATTGGGCTGGTATTTGAATTTGTTTGAGTCACAATTTATTTCAAACAGCTTGAAGAAGAAAAATAAGACTTGTATCTCAATGGTTTCCAACAAAATATACACATGCATAATGGCAAGTTTAATTAACACAGGGGTAGTCAGTTCATAACAACTTAGGGGAAAAATTAAACTTTCTATAACAATACTTTTTTCATGATGAATTTATCCTTAAATTTTTTTTTTTACAAATTTATTTTAGGGACTTTCTGGTCTCCATATTCTCATAAATAAAAGTTGCATTCCATGAGGAGAAAACAAAAAAACCCATCACAGTGAACAATTGAATTGCTCCGTGGACATCATGCCTTTCTAAGCAAGCATTGAATATAGGAGATGTATTTATGATAACCAGAGACAGAGTATGTATAGCTTGGCTCCATAGGGGTGGTGTTCTCGGTTCCTATGTCTACCTTTTGTATTTTCCAGCCCTTCCCTCATAATGTTACTGGGAAAGTTAACAGCTAGCATAACATTTTGAAAACCCAAAGTGTTTATATCAACAAGATTATTCACAGTCAAATTTTCCCATAAATATCACTGGGACCTATATTTCTTTTAATTTTAACCAAGAGTGAAGGTAGTGAGTATAGAGCCCTGGCTTTAGAAACTAACCTTTAAAAATAATGAGATAATGACACAGTGAATAAAGATGCATCAGGGTTGAGCAAAGTTATTTTTTAAGATTAGAAAAACTGATTTTGAAAATGCAAAGGCAGACAAAAAGGATCAGTCAAGAGGGAAAGAATAAAGATAGAAGAGAAGTAGAACAAGTCATGGAGCAAGGTATCTGAGAATGTAGAAATGAATGGGAAAAATTGATCTCTGAAAAGATATAAAAGTATGGATTGAAGGAAGGAAGGAAGGAGAGGGAGAGAGGAAGGAAGGGAGAGAGGGAGGAAGGGAGAAAGGGAAAGGTAGGAGGGGGAGGTAAAGTAAGAAAAAGGAAGGAAAAAGGAAGAGAATGGAAGGAAAGAAAAAGGAAGGAAAAAGGAAGAGAATGGAAGGAAAGAAAAAGGAAGGGAAGGGAAGGAAAAGGGAAGGGAAAAGGGACTTAGATATTTTTCACTGGATAGGAAAGAAATTGAGGAAGTTTATAATGATGTCCTCTTGCTTGTTGCTGAGGTGAGGGGCTGAGTTATCTGCAAATATGAGGAGTGTTCTAACGGAATGATAAAGGACTCAAGCAGTTGAGTAAAATCAATTGATATTGCAAATTATCCACTTGTGATTTTAAGAATTTCTTGGTGATGCAATTTTCCCATCTATACTTGATTGTCTAGAGTATTTTCCTCCTCTAGTGCCTTTGCTGCCACACTGATTAAATCAATATTGATTGACAACCTCAGTGGGATATTTCCATGTGCCAGGAAGAATAGTACTATCAGCAGTACCCAATTCATGGTGGTTTAGAAACACATTTATTTTCTTATATAATAAGAAATTCCAGTGCACACATGAAGAATATGCAATTACCAGACATATTTGCTGTCTTTAGTGCGACAAGTTTATATAGTTCGAGTGTCTGGGCTTTGTGATACAGATATACAAACATACAAACTTATGCAGTAGAGTTGTCTGTCCCAATGGTTACTAGACTTTTGGATTTCATGCACCAGTAAAATACAAATGGGAGGACCGACACCAGGTTGCCAATTTTCCACTTGGCTAAATAAAATATTAAAACCAATGACCCATTATCACGTATTCTCACCATCATTTCCAAAGAACATTTAAACATTAAATGGTATTAGTCTTTAGAAAATAATCTAAAAGATACAATTTCAGGATAAAGGTCTTTAACTTGGATATGTTCAGCTTTATAAATATTTATGGCATTATTCTTAATTTTCTGGCTTAACTATAGACATATGAAAACCTTGTCATAAGGGTGCTGCTCTGTGGAGCTGTGTTTGGAATTACTATTTATACCCACAGTGTCTGGTCCCCAGCTTAAACAGCAAAGTGCCACCTTCTGTTATCCAAATCAGATCTGTTTAGCATCAAATACTGGGGTCTTAACCACTATGCCGCAGATCTTTTCTAAAATATTCTTATTTTAATTAAACAGTGATTATTATGAAGAACAAGGAATGTAATCATTTCTGTGACTTTTCAGGAAGATTACTGCTAGGAAATGAGAATAGTAGTTAAAAAACCAGTATATATTGAATTAATTACCAACAGTAGATCTAATTTTGAAGGTAGAAATTATAAAGTCCAGGGCATACAAAATATGATAGTGTGAACACGCAGACATAGGCACTTCAGTAACACACAGCAAAAAAAAAAAAAAAATCCTCCCCTTTCTAAAGACACACACACATCTATACTTTTATCTATGTCTGTTTACATACATACATATATATATAAATGTAACTCATTTTTCTTTGAACTGATTCAAGAATGAGCTGCAGACATTGTTGCATTCACCCCTAAATACTTTAGCATGCATTTTCAGAGAATAAGAACATTTTCTATTTTCATGGAACAGGCACACTAGTCTTAACAAAATTAGGAAAATTAACACTATTATAATACTAATAACTAATAAACAGTCCATATTCAAATTTATTCAACTTTCCCAATAATATTATTTATCTGTTATTTTTTAATTTGATATTCCATCCAGAATTGTGTTTAGTTGTCATAGTTCTTTGACCTCATGGAATTCTTTAGCCTTTCTTTGTCTTTCATGACATTGACATTTTTAAGGAGTTCAGTCCACTTATTTTATAGAGTGTCCTCAATTTGATTTTCCTTGTAGTTAGATTCTGGTTTTAAAATTTTGACTGTGTACCAAGAAGTAATGTGGCCCTTTCAGTATATCTTATCAGGAGGCACATAGTATCAGTTGGTCTCATAATTGATGATATCTTTGAAGGTATTGTCTGCTGTATTTCTCCAAAGTATACTTTCTTCTGTTTAAATTTTCTACTTAATAGAGAAGAGATACTTTAAGATGCTATAAATACCCTATTCCTCATCAAACTTTCACCCATGAGTTTTAATACTCATTGATGATTCTTGTATGAATCAATTGTCATTAGGGTGATTGCCAAATAGTGATTTTTCTAACTCCGTTATTTCTTCTACAATTGTTAATTAACATTCAACTGCAAGAAACAGATTTGTACTTTTCCTTATTTACTTACATCAGTATGTATTTGCTGATTCTTATTCAATGAATTATAATCTTTTACTATCATTTATTTTGATGCTCAACTTGCCCCAGATTTGGCCAGTGGGAAGCCCCTTCTAGTTGGTTCCTGTGTCTTACTGACATGACCTCATCATTCTTTGAAGAATAATTACTTTTTAGCACAGAAAATATCATGCCAAATATTTCAAAATGAATATGGAGATTTATATGATTATGTTTTACCAGTTCTTCTCTTTGTATTTGGAAAGGTAACAGTGAGTAATGGCGTGGATGGGTAGTATAAAAAGTCTGCAGGGTTTATCCTATAATTCTGACCTACCTTAGTTGGAAATGGGAATTTTTTTCAGCTACTAATATATCAGAATTAATTGTTGTGTTGCTTTAGGATTGTGATGTTATGAAGAGGCAAAGTCAGTCCATTGTACAAGGATGGGAAAAGCCTTTTAATTACTGTCCCTTTTCTGGTTGAGGCTATATTCCCTCTTCTGGCTTCACCTGATGACAAGGGAAGGCTTCTCGTTCCTCAGAAATTTAGATAGATTAATTTAGACTGTTAATTTTACTATCTGGACCACCCGAGTAACCTTTCCATGATATCTGTGAATTCTGCACTGGACTTCACTGTGGTTCCCCCAGTTACTGTTTTTCTTTATCTGCAAAAGTTAGCAAGATTAAGACCCCAAGCTGAAGCAAGGCACATCTTTGCTTCCTGCTGACTTTCATGAGCTGTTGAATCACCTTGTGTCAGCCAGGCAGGAGACAGATGGCATGCTGAAATGAGGCATATAGAAGAATTTCATGAAGGGGACATTTACAAAAGTGTCAGCAATGTTAGGAGAAAGCTACAAGGAATACAAAAGCACTCTCAATGCAGCAGCAGACCTGAAGGAGCAAGGGGAGGAGTGATTACCTGACCCCAGAGAAAGTAGCTTCAGTTGTATGAGGGGCAGTCTGATTGGAGTATGACTTTTCGGGGAGGAATGAGTCCAGTGCCAACCCAGCAAAGAAGGAATTGGAGAAGAAATATTCCTATGTCAATCTTCTCTCTCTGGTGCTTTCCCACTGGTGCTTCTCATTGGCCAAACCAATTGGGAGCTCAAAGGTAGGAGAGCCCATTTTTGCAATGTGTAGAAGTCACCCTTCTGGGACACACAGAATGATGCAGAAGCAGAGAGAGTGGCTCTGGAGGAGCAAACACAGTATCCTACACACATGGCAATTCTAAATTTTTAAATGATGATTTAAGGGTTTCTTTTCATAGCTCAAGGGGTCATCCACCATCACTCTGGCTTCCATACTTCTCTTCCTCCTAGAATCACTAGCTATCCTCTGACACCAGTTCTTCCTCCTAACAGAGAACACACCTGCTGCTTGTAATTCTGGGAGGTCATTACCCCCTACCTCCAGTGACATATCTACCCTAGGTTTTGTTGTCAACGTGGGTATGCCTCTGTGTGTGTGTGTGTGTGTGTGTGTGTGTGTGTGTGTGTGCGCGCGCGCTCCCCTTCTCCCCCAATTTGTAATGTAAAAAATCTCCATATCATTAGAATATTCTGTTAACAAAAAGTGACTGGGCAAACAATAAAATAAAAAATGTAATCTTTATTAGTTTTGCACATTTTAAATGTTGGTTAGCATTATTTAGCATAATAGTAGCATTTTCCAGCATGCAGTTCACGAATACAGTTTATCTAAGTAGTTTTAAGGAAAAGAGGAGCCTATGGTTTGCTTCTGTAAGAAACACAAAATGTCCTGATGTAATTGACTATATAAGTTGACTACTCTGTTTTTGTGGAAAAAAAAATTATGAAGCCCACATTCTATTTAGAACAATCTAGAGCAGCATTACTCCAAAGAAATGAAAACATAAACCGAAGTCAGAAAAAAAGAACAAAAATAACATAAGCACTACCTTCAATTCAGTTAGTGCAGGTACTACCAGAAATATAAATAAAATTTTAAACCCTTTTCCAATTGCAAAGCATAATTTGGATATGAATCGTGAACCTATTTTGCTCCTTAAAATTGTGAAATAATCTAAAATTAGCAAATGTAATTTAAAAAGCAGAAATCTACAACTACCCAGTCTTGTTTTCATGTCTTATTTAGCAAATTTCTTTCATGAAAAAGTACTATGGACAGAAAGTAAGAAAAGTGATTGTGATATCAACCTGAAGATAATTTCCTCTTCATATTTATGTACATAATGCTGAAAAATAAAATAAAGTGACTTTTTACAGTATTTATATTTGCTTATAAAATTCTAAACACATATTTAATAGGTTAAGCAGTGTGTTTTTTTAAACATGTCTGTACAGTCTGGCTATATACCATATGTTATCCACTTAAAATGTAAAAATAACCAAAAAGCTGTTAAAGTGCTGCAAACTATTGCTTAATGACTTAAATAAATGAGATCTGTTGAACAATTTCCTTGACTTTACCACTGACATATGGTTTCTCATAAATGAGATTCTGAGCAGTGAGAGAAACCAGATACAGCAGCATGGTAATATAAACATGCATTGATAGCATCCAAACTATCTATAAATGGTACAGAATACATTTTATTACCTGTGTAAAGCTTGCACTCTACATTTCTTGTGGTACATATTTGATGCAATAAATACTGTGCTTAGGTCATTATTTGTTTGCTCAAACGTGCACCACAGGGTAAAATGACTATTTACATAATAAATAGCATTTCATTAACATATACAGTGTCAACCTTGCTGAGAGCCGAAGATGGCTAAACAAAGTGCAGGAAAAAGCAGAAATTTATAAAGAGTAATTTTGGTCAATTCAGTCTTCTGGCGGTGGAGGGTGAGGGGCAATATTCACTATTCAGGTTTTTTTTTTAATACAACAAAAAGAAACATAACATTTATGACTCCAAACATTTGAATGAAGTTTGCACCTGCTAAGATTTACTGGCCTACCCACAAATAATCTACTTGGTCTAGGGGCTGGATTTCGCAAAACAAGATCAACAAAGCACCTCCACTTATCACCCAATTACCCCTCCCAGAAATATGGTGAAATTTAAGAATTTGTTTTTCTTGTGACTTTTTCTCATGCATGATCTCTAAGTGCAGCATGCCCTCATGCAAACCACGACTTTGTGTAGCTGGGAGGGCCATGTGGTTGCCATACCCCCCAGGTGGCATACCTGTTATAGAGGTCCTTAGCCTATTTCTCAACAGAAACTTCGTTTACAAAAATAGTCACATATAATAAACACATGGATTAACAAAAAGATGAATCCACTAACAGATTCCATAAAAATGTGACAAATGTGGCAGTTGAAATGCAAACAGTGGATACAATTACTACACTAAAGTGTTTCATGTTAAACAACCCCAAAATCACAGGTTTGCACCCCTTGAAACTGGTCCCTACAGTCTGACTAGCCATTGTGCATCTTATCTTCAGCAGTGTCAGCTGGTAGTGAGAACAGTAACCTCCTGTCAAGGTCATCTCCCCTTTACACAGAGTCACAGTTTGCTGACAAGGGGTCACTGTCTTATTGTAGGCACTGACCTTAAGGAGATTTGTGTAAAAACAGTCAGTTTGGCATTGACCTCCTAAAGGAGTCCTGTTGATAAAAATACATCACCTTCACAGGCTGTAAACAATTTGTCACCCAATTATTTTTATTTATTTTCATTTATTTCCCTTTGGCTTTTTCATCTTTGCCTTCTTGCTCATGTTTTTCCACAATTGGCTTTGTCACCCGGTCATAGGAAGGTGGACAAGCTGCAGTGGACATGGTCAGATCAGTTTTTTCTGTAATAGAGTTTTCATTTATTCTGTCAATTATCATGTCTTCTTTTATAAGAAGATTAGCCCCACCTTTGATTTTGTTTTTATTGTACGTAAAGGAAGCTTGTTTTACAGTTCGCTTTAAAAGGTGGCGTCTGTAAGCACGCTGAATAATGACAGCAGATACTTCCTCTTGTTTTCGTTTTAAAGTAGTAGTGATTGGCTGATAGGAGACCTTGGAAGGATTGGAAGCCATGAATCGCTCTTCCATCTGTATTCGTAGAGCATCCATCTCTCCACTCTCTCCTAGAACCCGCTTTGTAAAAGCAAATAAGATATCAAGACAGTGGATCCGGTCACCACTCACCATGGGCAAATCCATGGCAATGAGCTGGAGTTTGTTTGGTTGTGGCAGATTGAGAGGCGGTTCAAGCGCAGCTGCAAACTGAGATAATTTTTCAAATTCCATGAACTGAGTTGCATCGGGATCAAACTTCTCCCAAACCTCATAGAACATCTCAAAGTCATCCTCACTCAGAGGCTCTGCACTTTCTTCAGTAGCAACACTGAAGTTCTCCAGGATGACCGCGATGTACATGTTCACCACAACCAGGAAGGATATGATGATGTAACTGACAAAAAAGAAAATTCCAACAGATGGGTTCCCACAGTCTCCCTTAACTGAGCTTCCAGGGTTAACTTTATTAGGGTCACAGTCGGGTGGCTTACTGTTGAGAATGGGTGCTAGCAATCCATCCCAGCCAGCAGAGGTTGTAATTTGGAATAGGCAGATCATGCTGTTGCCAAAGGTCTCAAAGTTGAACATGTCATCGATCCCAACTTCCCTCTTAACATAGGCAAAGTTGGACATCCCAAAGATGGCGTAGATGAACATGACTAGGAAGAGTAGGAGGCCGATGTTAAACAACGCAGGAAGGGACATCATCAAAGCAAAGAGCAGCGTGCGGATCCCCTTTGCTCCTTTGATCAGACGTAGGATTCGGCCAATCCTAGCAAGACGGATCACTCGGAACAGGGTAGGGGACACGAAATACTTTTCTATCAGCTCGGCAAGAAACATACCTATGAATAAACAATGAGAATACCAACCAGTGAAGAAATCATGCGTTAAAATAAACATATGTTTCTTCTAAAGCTCCAAGGTAAGGTTCAGAGTCCTGAACCCAGTTATATTAAATATGACAACTATATATAATATATATATAATTGTACATAATATATTATAAATCTTAATTTTGAAATTCAGCAATAATTTCAATTATAAGGATTATAGTACTTTTTTTTATCTTTAAGAGATGTTTATAAACTACTTTTAGTTTATGTAAAGTCCCAAGTCAGAATTTAAAAAGAAAATAAGTTAAAAATGCACATTTGGCCGAACAGTAGCAGCCCAACAGTATAGGTACAAGTTTATATGTATACAGTGACTTTTTCTGAAATTGCCATATTCTAAATTCTCTATTTACTCCTTTTCCATCTGAAAGTATTGGTAGCTTTTGATGCTACTTTCATCTCCCCATGATCTTGGTACTTACTTAAATTCCACTCTAATATTTTTATATACTCATTTATGTATGTTCTGGTGCATTTCTGAAAGGATCCCAGGTTGATGCTCTTTTTAGTATCCTGTACTTAATGTTGTATTTCAATTCTTTTTGGTCTCCTGTACCTAACACTGTAATCTCAGTCTTCTTATTTTCAGCTTCTCTCTCCATTTGCTTTTTAGATAAAAACAATACTTGTAAAGTTAAAAAGAAGAGCTCAAGAAACTAAATGCCTTCAAGTTTAAATGCCTCATTCTGAAAAGACGAAGTGTAAGAGTGTGTGTGTGTGTGTGTGTGTGTGTGTGTGAGAGAGAGAGAGAGAGAAGGAGACGTGTGAGAATACAACTTTTATACCTTAGCCACACTAGTTATAACCAAGGATTATAATTAGTGGGAATCAAAGGCTATATACAATGAGCTGGATATAAGGCCAGTTTCTTCAGAGAGGGGAGTGGCATGAAAATCTGTCCAACACAGGTGCCTCGTTTTGGATAGTAAAATATTGACCCAATCATATCATCCTGTTTAGGGAAGAATGAATAGGCCCACAGACAGATGCTTTTTACTTTACTAGAGCTTTAGTTTTGTCTAATGAAATGAGCTATTGCTCATGAGGCTAGTTATGTGTTCCAGGCTTTGAAGTATAGTACTGATGATGTCCCATGCCACCTTATTTCCCTTGTGCATCATTATGATAAACCCATTTTTAAGGTAGTCTAGAAAATCTCTACATGACACTTGCAGAGAACCTACTATATGCATTTGCTAATGTTTAGTCCTTGTCTTTATTCTCTTTTTATGCAATACTTTTCCTTATCTTGAAACCACTTTCCACTAATATCTATATGCTGGTGACTCCATGTCTATTCTCTAAAGCAATTTTCGTGAGTACCAGACTACATTTCTAGTCTTGTTAACAGAACCATCTAGATACTATATTGGTTCTTCAATCTCAACATGTCAAAAACATTTTTATTTTAGTTAATAGCACAGTTCTAGTTCAAATGAATGAGGTTTTACTACATTTACACTAAGTATATTGTTCTAAATGGATAGAATAAGAAACAATACTGACATATAGTAGGAGACATTTTGTTAAAAAAACAAACACACTTGGATAAAATGTATCAAAATATTTACAGTGATTATCTCTGATTGCTGGGATGATCTTGAATCTAATCTTGATTGTTTCAGCTTTCACTTTTATTTAACTGAATTTAAGAACTTTAAATATTTCTTACCTACAATGGAGAGAATGACAACCACAAAATCAAAAATATTCCATCCAATGGTAAAATAATAATGGCGTAGAGAGATGAGTTTCAGTACACACTCTCCAGTAAATAGCACAATGAACACCAGATTGATGCGTGACAAAATGGTAGTCACATATTCACTCTGGTCATCTGTTTCCACCATCATTGTGACCATGTTAAGACAGATGAGAATCATGATGCTTATGTCAAAAACTTGTCTGGTTACGAAGTCAAAGACCATTCCTTGAAATTTGTTCTGTAGAGAAATAGAAATGCTTTTAACAACAAAGGAGTTTTCTCATGTGCATTAGCATTAAGTACTTTCTGCATTAATTGACTTTCTAGTTTCTTGCAAAGTAGTCATTGGCCCTGATTTTTGTAAGAATGATTTATAGCATATTAATTGTTAAAATTTAGTTATTTAAATTGCCATTTACTAATGTGTATTTCTCAGAATAACAATCCCTTATCCAAAGAAGGTTTCTGATAAAAACAAACAAACAAACAAACAAACAAACAAAAGAAACATTCAACACTGTATACTTCTTCCAGAGGTATGCAACACATATCAACATTTTAAGATTATGAAAAGGTAAGAAACCCATTTAATTTTTTTTTCAAGACTTTCCAATGATCAGCTGGACCATACATCCATTTTAAAATATAGTACTATTAATATTTCACTTGTTGTATTCTCAAATAATTGTTAAGGAGAATTTGGAATTTCCAAGACACATCTATAACATTATGCATTTAAATACCACATATGGCAATACTCATATTCTTCTACCAAATAGCCTTGGCTAACATTGTCAGACACAGAATCCTGAAACTGCACAAGGATAATGAGACCAGAATGACATTTCCTATATGTTTATGTCAAAAAAAACTTCACGTTCTTTGTCGTTGATCTGTGATTCTGCTTCCCATTTCTGCCACTGCTAGTCACTGAAGGCCATCTGCAGGCTTATTTCTTTGGGCCACTGAGGAATTCTGAGGGAATTTTCCAACTTATATTTTTCCTAAATTGTTGTTTCATTTCTACTCTTAGTGCTAAATTTTAATGGAGAAAGTATATATTTCTCATCATTCTCAGGAAGGCAATATTCAATCATCACAATATGAATATTTGCTAGTAGTTTTTTCCTTGATGCACCCTAGGAATTACTGAAACCTCTCAGATCATCATCATAAAAATATTTATAGTGTGGGATAATAGCTGTACATTTTCATAGCAATTTGTTTATTTCATCATGGAAGCATGAGTATTGTTATTTATCATCATAAACTGTAATTACTGACCCTGACTTCTGCAGACATTAGTAATACCTAACTCTATAGCCATACATATGAATAGTAGATACTGGAATTCTTTCCTCCTTTAAAACACTTAGTATCTCTAGTGAAAAATAAAATAGAAGTAAGGTGTTATTTCACTCAACACTTCATTTCTTAAAATATTAGGAAATTGCATTTCTTACAGCCCCATCCCAAGGTTTACTTCTTTCCCTGATATTACTTGGCAACCATTCTTGAGTTGTGTGATTAACTTTCTCTTGTGCACATCACATTGTCTATGTGTCCATTGGCCAATTAATATGGATTGTAATGGGGTGCTTCTAAATCTCTTGAAGTCAAGGGTGTATCTTCTATTTCTTCTTGTTCTTTTTTGGTCTTTAATTTTTTTTGTTGTTACCATTATCATAAAAGATACAAACATCACTTTTAGATGATGCTCTACAAGTGAAAGAAATTTTTTCTACTGGAAATGTTAGCTACTTTCTTTTTTGTGAGACAAGCATGCAAGTTTTTGTTTTTGTATTTTTCCCCCATATCATTTGATACTTCTTACTCCTGGTCGAGGTATAGGCTTTTGCGGTTTTTTCGATCCTAATTTTTTCATTGCATTATAGTATTTCTTCTGTTCTTCTGTCATAAAGATGTCTTGACCTCCAAAGTATAGAAAAGAAAAATCAAACTGGTTAAAACTGTGTCCTTTTGTACATTTTTTTCAATGTTAAAATAGAAAATGGATGGCTAAAAAAAGAAATACAAAATTCAACTGATTAGTATAATTATATCTGGGATTTAAAATGTAAAAAAAATTGTACTCTTTAGGTATGATAATATTTAATTCCCTAAATAATTCAAAATTGACTTTATTATTATTATCTTATGAAGACAAACACCCCCAAATCTCAAAAAGGTTAAGTATTTTACCCAAGACCTTATGCTTAGTGAGTGGCGAAATTTGGTTCACTGAGATAATAAATACTTGGTACCTTATACTATACATACTACCTTTATGATGTTAAAGGCAATAATTTTCTTATTTAAATGTAGCAAAGAGTTAGAGGATGTATACTGCAAGACAGTTTGGAGTTACTCATTAAAAAAGTCACTCTAACTCTGTCAAGAATTGGAGGAAAGGGATAAAAAGAAAACTGGATGAGTTAGTGAGAGATTTAGGGGATAAATCAGAGCTCATAGCATAGTAAGTATGGGACAGACCAGTAGGGATAGAAGATTGGAACACTGGCAAGTAAGTGAAATAGAGTAGCCTGATATTGACTTAAGAATACTACTGGTAATAAGAAAAGGGAATTGAGGGGAGAATGTTCTGTAGTCTAAGAAAGCACTCATTCATTATACAAAAAGCAAACCTACTGAACAAGTGAGATGAAGCAACAGTACATAAAGGAAGAAATACAAATGGCCAATGAGCATTTAAGAACATGTTCAAATGTAATAAAATACATAAAAGTCATAACAATTAAGGTTATAAAAGTCATAAAAATTAAAATTAAATACAGTTTTCACCTATTAAATATCAAATATTCAAAAACAGAATGTTTGGTGACAGTGAGGGAACGGTGGCATGGGTGTTCATACACTGATATTGGGAGTTTGAGTAGTTATATTACTCTAGGGGAGTAAAATACTTCATTGTGGGAATTTATTCTCAGGAAATAATTAAAGCCTTATTTTCTGTCCCTCTCTCTTTTTTTTTGTACAAAACTTTCAACAAGGTACTATTTAAATCATTAAAGATTAAAAACAATCTAAATTATCAACCTACTGGGGAATGAATAAGTAAATTATGATAATGCATATATGAAGACTTAACAAAATGAGAAAATACTTATGTTAAGTCTAAAGTGGAATTTATAATTATAGATAAAAAGTACAACAATAAGAGTATGTGCAGAAATACTCTGAACAGAAAACAAAATGTGAATGGCAGCAGTTACTTCCAAGTGATGATATTTATTTACTTTCCATATGTTCTATAATGTACATAGGTAATTGGGACAATCAAATGAGCCTTATAAATGATAAATAATAGTCATACAATTCAAGACTGAAACGGATAGCTTGTATTTAAATATCTTGGAGAAAGAAATGGGAATATATAAAAGAAATCAATGACAGAAAAAAGCGTAAAAATAAACACTAGAAGAAGCTTACATCCAGTGCCTAATTTATTGCAAAGAATTAGTTGGAAAATATATTTTCAAGGGGGAGTGGGTAGTTGTAGGGATAAAGTAACAAATTGCTTTTGGGAAAGAGGCATATTCGGTTGCTTTCTAGTTTTATTCTAATTATTATTTTTTAAAAGATAGAAAATGTTTCTTGATAATGAATAAGAGGAGGAAAAACTTTATGAACCTATGAACAAGAGTGTGGAACACAGTTATTCTTAGCTTTCTATAGCCGGAAATATATGGATAGTGAATGACAGAGGAAGAGGAAGGAAAAATCAGTTATAATATATACTCCCATTTTGTTTCTAAATTCAAGTACTCATTTGGCAGAGAAAACACTCCAAGGAATAATTTTCTATCTCAGTGGGAGAGAAAATATTAGAAATACTTATCTTCTTTTTCTGCTGGTTGAAATTATCTATGATGACACCAATAAACAGGTTCAAGGTGAAGAAGGACCCAAAGATGATGAAAATAACAAAGTAAAGATACATGTACAGACTTTCTTCATACTTAGGCTGGAGTTCCACCTACCAAAGGGGAATATTTTGTAAAATATTACCATACATTTTAGTGCTGGAAATGTCACTGGTGCTTTTTCATAACAATAGAAAAAATTATTCTTACTAATATGTCAGCATTTTTTTTTTTTCTGAATCAACTACCTCTAAAAAACATCCCTGAAATTGGCCTTTAGGGATGTTTTCATGTGAAAAATATGGCTATTATGACATTCTAAAATCTATTTTTATAACTATAAATACAAATAATATTCTTCCATTTGAACAGTAATGTGCTAAATTTGCAAGCTTTTAAGGTACTGAATTTTAGTAATTTTAAAATTATTAATAAAAAATTTAAAACTGTAAATATCTACAGGCTAGGTTTAGAAACAGTCATTCATGTATGCATGAAATAATGTAGCAAATAAGAAATGAGTTGTTCATTCAGATGTTTGGCACTTTACCCTAAAGTAACAGTTATTGAATTTTTCAGATTAAGTAGACATAGATGGACAGTCCATTTTATAAATCCTCAGTTGATTATTTAATTCCTAGATTGTGCTTAAAACAAATGGGCTATTACTTATAATTTAGTAATGGACTGAAAGGTCACTATAGTTTTTTAACAGATTCATGTCCTTCTAAAAGCAACAAAGTTAAAAACCAACTAAACACACAAAACAAAATATAAGTGACAAAGTGAAATAAAACAACTCTGGAGGTTATCAAAATGATATTCAACATAAAACTAAAGCTATTTGAAATGCACTTCAAGAAAGATAACATCAAACTCTATCAGGTTGAAGACTGCAGGGACAGAGGTTATTCTTTATGATGATAAACTAAACAGATGGGACTTGAGAATAGAAAGATGAAGGTTGATAGAAAATACTACATCTTACAAAGTTTTGAAGAGCAAAGTTGGAATGAGCATGAATTTCAGTTTAGGTCTTGGAGCCTGAAAGAGGCTGAAATCAAATAAAATAGGTTTATATTTTGGTGATATACACTTAAAGGAATCTGTTGGTCACAGAAGTGATTGCAACATTAGTAAAGGCTCCAGTCAATTTATGAATGCAAAAATCATATAAAAACATTCTTTTATATGGTTTAAAATAGGATTATTTGAAAGAAATCATCACAGTAATCTAAGGCTGACAGAACAATATCCATAACTTTTCATGCTGTCTAATATGGAGGGTGACTATACATTTCAACTAATGATAGAAATCATATATTTCTTCAAATTTGGTCCCGCACACTAAAATTACTACTAATTATATAATGTGTGGATAAATAGGAAACAAAATAGAAAATATTTAAAAGGAAAATATTTGTTAGTTACTAAATACATGAATTTGTTACTTTGGTTTTCAAAATAATTCATGTGTTGAATTATCTTAGTAAGATCTTTCTGATAAACATTGCTATGCTTGAATATTTACCTGTCACACTTTTTCCCAAATATTTTAAATCAAGATAGAATCATTTCATTTGGTCGTTTATGCTTTATTCGATTAATTTTACCACCTGATCAATATTGTAAAAAGACTTAGAATACAAGGAATACTTACATTTCTGGAATCAACTGCTGCATACATTATATCCATCCATCCTTTGAATGTGGCCTATTAAGAAGGACATGCATGTTTTACTTTGGAGTAAAAATAATTTAGACCTGATGTTTAATAAATATTCTTACTGATATAATTTTCAAAAGGGAATATTTTTGAAAGACATTTCAAAACAAATTTTACACAGATTTTGGACCAAGACAGTATTTTAGTATGGCTTTTCATTTCTAGAACACATATTGAACAAAATGGCCATTTGATATATCCTCCCCTTGATAACCAACTCACAAGCACTTTTCAATTCTTTAGAGTTCATGGTGTCATGATATTTAAAGCAGTATTAAAATTTGCTGGAGCACTTTTTAGAAAGTCTTACAAATGCCAACACATGGGTCAATAGCTCTATCAGCCAAATAATTACAACTTAGATCTAAGGATCATCTGCTAAAATTTATCTGCAGGGTGATCAAAGTGATTGAAAATTTAAGATTTCTCTTTATTGTAACAATGTAAGGATAGTACCAGGATACATAAAGGCAGGGTTGCAACTATCCTTTTAAGAATTTTGGAGCAAAACATTTAGAAATACAATCCTTTTAAGAATTTTGCATCAAAACATTTAGAAATAACCCCCTATTCTATTTTCTTTCTGAAATTCTTGAAGATAATAAGTTAATATGAATAAGAAATGTGAACAATAGTACAGCAGACACTTGGCACTCACAGGATGAAGGATACTCAGGCTAACAACTTACAGTAATTTGTTACTTGTCCTGGGGCATGAATTTTGAGTCCTGTGGGCCTAAAAGGATTATCCCTTAGCTAGTGAGGGAGGTTAGCAAAGCCTTTAGCGTCTGTATCACAATATATCTTTGTTCTGATAACGCTAACCCTTGTGAGGTGGTGGATTTCATGAGACAAAAGCTAAGCAAGGGTGTGGGTGACAGCAGTGAAAAGAAAGTAATGATTCCTAGCTAGAAAGTACAAGGCTTTTGTATATGAAAGAGAGAGAGATGTGTTAAATATGTCAGTGGCTTAGGTCAATGATAGAACAATTCCATTACACACTTGGTATAGAAACAAAAAAGTGATTCAAGGGACCATTTCAATGACTTACTAATCAATAGAGAGGTGATTCTATAAAAGCCAAATGTGAAGCAGTATTTTAGAGGGTTTTTTTTTTTTTTGGTGGCAGAATTTATTTAATAGCTTTGTGCAGGACCATCACTGTATTTTCAGAATTGCTTACATTTTAAAGGATTGCTTAAAATTTTTAATTTTTCTTTCCTCAAATTTATGGAGGAGGTGGTTGCTTTAGTGATATTTACAAGTATGGTCATTAGTTAAGGGTTAGAATAAGTGCCCAAATAAATATCATCATGTGTCGACAATTTTTAAAGAAAGCATTCTTGCTAGATTTTTTTTAACTTTTGTTTTTATTTGTCTTTAGAGACAAGGTCTCACTATGTTGCCTCCACTGGTCTAGATCTCCTGGCCTCAAGCAATCCTCCAGCTTTGGCCTCCCAAAGAGCTAGGATTACAGGCATGAGCCACCATGCCCCACCCGTTCTTACCAGATTTAAAAAATCTCTATTTTAATTGCATGAATATTATTCAGAGTAGATCAAAAATGTTAAGAAGAGAAATAAGAATTTCCAACAAAAAGGTGGGAAGAATTTGTAAAGTAATCATAGTTGACACCTCTGGAAGAGCTGCAAAAGGGTTTTGACCAGTGTTGGTTTGTTTGCTTAGTTAGTCTTCTGGTTGAACAGTTGAAATCATAACCTTGGTGAGCAAAAATTGATTTCTGCCCTAAAGACACTGTAGAACCACAAGGGAAGAAAGAAATTGTACAGTCTTTTTTTTTTAAGCTGAGTTTTCAAATAATCTGGACTCTTATTTTATTCCCTGCTTTGTTGTGGTGCTGCTGCAGCTAGAAGCAGAATCAAATGAAAATGTTTAAAGGGCTACCTTTTTTAAATATAAATTATAAACTATTTTTCTTGGAGACCCAGTCTTAGAGACCCAGTAGTGAAAACATTAATATTTAGGACAAAATAGACTTAAATAATGGTGCTGAAAGGTCATTTGAGATAAGACAACAGCTGCTTTTGCTTCATTTTTGTTTCTAGTTGCTTCCAGGTATAATTCTCTCTCTTTTTTTTTTTTTTTTTTTTTTTTTTTAGATGGAGTTTCACTCTTTGTTGCCCAGGCTGGAGTGCAGTGGCACCCACCGCTATGCCTGGTTCTAATTCTAAAACCTAAATGTCATTCCCCAAACTTTGATCCAAATAATAGAACTCAGCAGCAGTTAATCCCTACCAATTAATTACAATCCAATTAGGTGTATTAAGTGTATGTGTTTTGGAAGATGATCTATCTGTTAAGTGTATTCCGTTTTGGTAGCTGATCAGGGAAACAAGCCTTCTAATCACAATAAAAAATGGCAAAGTTACTGATTTATTAATTTACTTGTTTATATAGAAAGAGCAATATAGAAACAAAGAAAATACAAGAAAAAAGACAAAGAGGTCTTTGTTTGGTCTGGTCACTACTGACTATATCTGCAGTCCTTACATGTAATAAAGTTTTCACCCATCTGGGCTCATAAACTTGTACTAACAAATTGAAATTTTTTAAATAGAAAGAAATATATACTTTTTCTTAGGAACTAAATAATAGATGTATGTCATTATTTTGTTATTATTCCAAACAATAAAAATATTCAGAGAAAATAGTGTTCACTTACAACTTGAAGCAAAGAGAGATACCCAAATCCTACATTATCAAAGTTTACTTTCACATTTTTCCATCGAGCAGTCTCATTTCTTTCTATTAGTTTTAGGCAATCAGTATGATTATTCACGTCTTCGATGTCAAACCTGTCACCAGTTGTGGTGTTAATACAGTGGTAGAATTTGCCAGCAAACAAATTTACGCCCATGATGCTGAAAATTAGCCAGAATATAAGACAAACCAGAAGCACATTCATGATGGATGGAATTGCTCCTAAAAGGGCATTCACAACCACCTAATACACAAATGGAAAAAAAGAAAAGTCAGAATTCTTATCTGTTAATAAAGAAAAAAAATTCCCCTAGTAATCTCTGGTCTTTCCATTCTTTTTTTCTATCAATGCTATTTATTCTAGGATATGTAAAAGCAAGGTTCAAAAAAATCTTAAAATTCATTTTTTTTTCTTAAGCAATACACTTAGGAAAACAACTATAGGCAATATAACCAAGAAATGAAACAAAAATGTTTTTAAAAAAAAGGGAGGGAGAAGCATTAAAAGGTTAAAGGAAAAGGAAAATCAGAGGAACTTGCTGCCAGATGAAGTCAGAATTGTGTTATCAGAATAAAGAAAAGTTAAAAAGCCTATACAGAAGTTTAACTCATTTTAAAAAGGCAATATATTAAAGAACAAAACTAAAACATTTGGACCTGAGTTGATTTGACCAATATATTTTTAAAATAACTTAAAAATTCAGATGATAAATATAAAAAATATTATTAAATACCTAATATAATTGTCTTTAATTATTCATGCATTGCTATGACTAATAATTTTTGCATAAGAAGCAAGACAATTTGCATTATGTATTTCATTAGATCATCACATCGTTTATTTCAAGCTCCAGTCATGTCAGTTGTTTCATTTACTGAGTTTAATTCAAAAAACTTATTTCAAATGAAACATAATAGAAATCATTTCTTAGGAAAATAAGAAAAAGAGGGATGCCATACATAGTTCTCAAATCTGATGTGATCACATGAAGTTCTGTGTTCAATTATTATCTACTTTTTTTTTTTTCTATAGAAGGATGTTTTCCCCCTCTTTACTTCTGGACCACTAGTTAAAAATCTTGAGTGTTCATGTTTGGAAACAACATAGGGATGGCTTCCTTGCTTTTTCCTCCATACCTCCCACTGGAGCTGCACAGGAGTGGCTAAGAGGGAAGCTAAAAACAGACCCTAAAATGCTTATAAGGGGCAGCTGCCTCAAACTTGGACATTAATAGCTAAGTTTAATTCCACCTATGTGCTTGTATTATTCTTGTCAGTCTGATCCAATGGAAGTAGTCGTCAAAACATCTTCTATTTGCCATTTGATGCCAGTGTATTTTTAGAACAATTTTTTTTAACTGCCTGTCTGAAAAAAAAATACATGAGCCAATTTCTTATACTTCTGATCCCTGTTTAAAGCCTGTAAAGAACTCTAGGCCTTCTGGGGAACATAAAACAGTGTGATAAGTGGGCCAAAGAAAATAAGAATACCAGTAATGACAAAGGTGGAGGGGATGAGTATGAAAAATTAATTTGGTTGAGTTATCCAGGCAGAACCAAATGATGTGGCCGATGCAACTACCAAGCTGACACGTGACACTTTGCCTTATCTCATCTGACTGTCTGCATTAATACAATGGACTTCATAAATTCTCGTTATATAATTTATTTTAAATGGATGAATAGAATTAGATTTCTTTCAGATTAGAGATTTGGAAATTGAAATCAAGTTACTATTTCCCTTCTTTTCTGAATATTTTGTCCACTATCCAGATTACAATGCTGTTTCTAGTGTGTATACACAGAGTACTAATTAAAATACGTATTTTGCCTTCAACACCCAATTTAGAGTATGAGCAGAACACTGATTATCTATACCTATTTCTCGATTTTCTTTTCACATTACCTGTCTCACATTTTTTCTTTGAAACGTTTCTCAGCTTTGCCACCTCTTTTCCATTCTCACAGTCACCACCTAGAACTGCCCTCTGTTATTTCATACTTGCACTGTCATCTGTCTCCTAACCTTCTCCTTCATTTAATCTATGTAAGATGAATTAATCTTCCCCAAGTCCCACTTGAAAGTTATTTATTGGCTCTCTGGTAACTAACAAATATTTTTCTTACCTTGGTATTCACATCACTCCACAATCTATATTTCCAGTTTTAACTTCCCTGGTCATCTATACTTCATGCCACTTCAATTAATATAATAACCGTGTGCTAATATAATTGCCAGGTGATTGAGATGCCATTTACATTGAAATTCCTTGTCTAATAGCTCCTCTTCTGAAATACTCTCCCCTCTTAAAGGCTTTAGTTCAAATAGCACTTCTTTCATGGAGCCTAACTTTGTCCCCCAGTTTAGCCTCCAAAATAAAGAGGAATGTTTTCCCCTTTGAATTCAAGAATCAGAATTCTAGTACTGAACAGAACTGTACAGATAATTCAGTATTGCGTTCTCATTTGGCATATGAGAAAAATGAGGTTAAAACAAGTTAAGTTCAGAAAGTAGCCTATAAATAGCATTTAGTGCTGTTTCCAGTCTACGTGGAAGAGTTGCTCCCACTTATCTGGTACCCATATTACTCTGTACTAGAGTTCAGTGTAATCCTGACAGATTGTAAGATTTTCTAAAAATTTAAGATGCAAACATATGTTCGTGAATCTTCCAGGGCCTTGAGTGTCTTGAATATAAGAACATACCAGAGAGCTTTGAATATAGGAATAAAATAATGGTTGACAAAAATGAATGGGTTAATGAAGCAAAGTTTAGATTAGTATTTATTGATCAAAGCATAATTTTTAAATGTTATTTCTGAATATGGGATGAGAATAATTAAGGAACTGAGCACAGGGAGAAGTTTGTGCTTAGGTAATATGTTTGAGAGGTTTACTTTGAAACTGGGGATTGATTTAGAGTTAAAGCGAACTCTATGGAATTTATGACGCAAGCATGTACTCTGCAGCAGTGCACTTCAGGATATGATTTGCAAAGTTGGCATACATTTGGCCCAGAGAAAAGTTTTATTTTTTTTGTGAACATAAAATAACTTTATCTTAGAAAACATCTGGCACAGTATTGGGGAGTTTATTATACAAAGCTATAGTCATATTTATGATGTATTAAATTAGACAATGAAAGATCATAGAAAAGATTGTCTTTTCCCAAGAGTTCCAAGCCATTCCTTGGTTCAGCAAAGAAGGAGGTGTATTAACTTTTTTCAGTCTCAATAAAGCTGCAGTAATTGGTTCTTATGGGGGGAAGAAAGTAGGCAGAATTAGTCTGAATAAATTGGAAAGAACAAATTTCAAATTGAACTTTCAGGCTACATGAAAGGAAATGTCTGAGAAAGGAGCTATCTTAATGAATTAATACTGTACTAGAGGTTGTTTCTTCTCAGAAGCTTTTTTTTCAAAACAATCATCAAATAAAGTTTCTCTACTCTAGCACAACCAATTCTATTTCTGGTTCATTACCTGCATTTTTAAAAATAAGTCTACACTAAATGAAGGATTGATAATTAAATATGCAAATTCACATTAGAAATTTTCATACATGCAGAAATGTCTTTTTATCTGAATTAATTACTTTGAACTTCAAATCAACACTATTCATGAATTCTAGTGCTTCTCTAATAGAAATAAAGAAAATCTATGTGAATAAAAATAAAAGTGGGCAAAGTAGGAATCATCCATTTTTAAGTATAAAGAAGAATAATAGAATCTTTCTTAAAAATCTAAAAAAATTATGTTGTGGGTTTTAATTAAGACAGTTTTTTTGTAAGCTATGATATATTGGTGATCCAAACAAAAATTCTGACTTTTTCTGTCTCTCGAATATAAACTCTTCTTCTTGTATAATACACTTAAACTTTAAGAATAAATAAAATGTAGAGTTATGTTTATGTATGTTTTCACTGTGTTATGTTTTAAAATCCTAGAAAGTTAGTTGGGAGTTACTTATTCTAAGAAGTGAGTTTATGCCTTAAATTTTATCTTAATACTCATGATAAGACGTTTTTGTTTTATTTCTAGGTATGTATTCTATTCTGCATAATTCAAATAAGTGGATTTTTTTATTCTAACTTTTTGTTTACAACACAATTCACATGTGCTTATTCAACTATTTCTTAATATATTTTTGCCTTGTTAACATTTTGAAAATAACCCCATATGAACTTACACAATAAAAAATGAGAGTGGTCACAATCAATACCAGTCTTATGAAACCTGAAATATTGCACCCTAGTATCTGCTCATACATATCAATAATCAACTGATGGTATCTAACTGGTAATTTTCAGGACCCAGACCAATGTACTAAACAGCAGGGGCTGTATGCCTCAAACAGTATCATGAGCTTAACAAGTTAAATTGTTTTTTCACATAATCATTCTACACCAGGGTCCCCCGCCCTCACCAATCCAGTAATCTCCCCAAAGATGGATAACTCCATATACACATAACTAAATCATATTCAATGAAACTTAATAAAGATATCAACCATTGGGGTTAAAATCCACAGAGGGTAAATTCATAAAGGTTTTTTTTTTTTTCAAATGAAATTTAAGACAATTGAAAAGAGGGGATTAGGATGTAAATAATGTATTTTCCCTACTGTGGTGCAATAATAGTACCCTTCCCAATCCCTCCCTCACCCCACTACACATAAGTCACAGTGCAAGGATTAAAGGTAGCAAAAGGGGTAATACAGTACCCATAATAAAGGGCTCAGGGGAGGAACCAGCGCTCCACCCCATCCAAGTTGGAGCAAGATTATCCTATACAAAATAGAAATATATAGTTTGTTATTAGTTAGAAATCTGATATGACAGAACATTTGGTGTTACTTTTTGTTCATGATGCTCTCCGTCTGTTTCCCTATCCATTAAGACTTGAGTTCTTTTGAAAAAGAAGGTATTTAAGATTTCCTAGGTTAGGAAATTAAAAATACAAATTTAAACACAAATTTTATTTTACCCTAGATATTCACGACATCAATTCACTCAGTTTAATTTTACAAGTTGAAAAATTTGGACTGGAAATTTGAAATACAATAAATGTTTAAAAGCTGTCAGCCAGAAATGTGCATAAAACATGCAAAACACAAAGTGCAACGTGATGATAATTTATTTGTTACTTTCTAACTTCTTATCAAGCACTGTACAACATGCTTTATTCAGTAATGTTGCATAAAAGCACATGCTTTGAAAAAATAACAGAACAACAAAAATAAAATGAGTGCCTGAGTTACGCTTTGACGCAGCTATTGTGATTTTATGCTGCTAGGGCAAAGAATTAAATGAGAGTTTCTGAGCATGTTCAAATCTCACTTCCCAATCATAATCATCATTCTTATATCCAACCTCACCATCATTCATGATTATATTTTTACAAAATAAAATATCCAAACACTAGAAGTATAAAAAATAGAATCAATTATAACGTTATTTTGACTCTACAATGCCAAACACGTATTGAAGAGATTAGTCATTTTAGTGCTGTGTGTATGTTGTCATTATGAGGAATAGAGCCATATTCATAAATCTGACCATTTAAACTATTAGTTATATCACTATCAGCATTTATAAGGATTTTATGTCTAAAACTCCAAGTTTCAAAAACTAACCTCTTTTAATATAAAAGGCATTATTGATTAATAATTATAGATATGGTTATTTCTGAGAAAATTAAAAGTATACCGATAAGATCAGCTTTTTTATAGAAATGAAGTGTAATGTATGGAAATATCTGAGCACTTGACCAATGAATTTAATAAACTTTCAAATGGTCAAATGTAAAAGGTTTATAATATTTTCAAATGTTTAGCATTGTTCAGATTTCACAAGCCATATAAAATATATTATTTTGATTCAGGCAACATGTTTTCAAGTAGAATGTACACAAATGACATTTTTTTTCTCCAGAACTGAAACTGCCAGTCTGAAACAAAACAAAGTGACATTTAATTGGAAAACAGACTTAATTCTTATACACCCCAGAGATAATTTCTGTTAACATTTTGGTGAAAATTTGAGGCTCTCTGTGAGAAATAAAAGAGGACTACTTGTATTATATTGTTCTGAGTTGTCGATAATGAGGACAAAGTTTTCATATATGTTAGGGAAATCGAAGACAAGTCCTACGTTCTTACAAAGTGACATTTATAATAAGACTTGAGAAGAGAACATAAGGCTATAAACAATCTACAAAGTGCAAATGGAAGTCTACAATACAGCTTAGTTTCCATAAAAGTAACTACACCTTAGGAGGTGAAAGAGCAGTGTTTTTCTATTGGAATCACACAATTCAGTGTTTTGTTTTGATAATATTTTTTTTTAAAAAAAAGCAGAACTAATTTTTTATATTATATATCTATAAACTAATGCTTCATGCCGTAAAAAAAGGCATGGAAAATAAGTCAATAATGGCAAAATTTCTAATCTGTTATGCATGATGGAAAATGATTATTGCATCTTTGAAAAGGATAAAATAACATTTTGTGTGACTCTGACCAATAAGATGCAAGTTAAGGTTAATGTATAAATTACCTATAGTAATGAGTCAAAATTATATTTTCTGTTCATTATAAGTGTTTTACTTTATTGTTATAAAAATGATGTGGATTTGTATGTAATCTTTAAGTTAGTATTACTAGTTTTATAAATTCAGTCAACACTTAATATCTAACCATCTAATCTTGAATATATTCAAATAATGCAAACTTTGGCATTATACAGACAAAAGTTTTAACAACTCCTTTCATTTTTTTCTTAACACTCATACTTAGGCACATGTGTGATTCACATTATTTTCAGGAAAACTCGTTAAGTACAGTATATCATCACAAAGAATAAGTACCTGATATAGAATTTACTTTAGATTACCATTATATCATTACACATAGTACTTTAATAATGCATCAGCTTTTTTTTGTATATAGATTTGTAAGGAAACTCCCAAGATGGATTAGGAAATAAAGTCATTTAAATAAGCACAGCAGATAAATGATATTATATCATTTCAAGAGAGGCCTATTTCTCTTGCATATCACCTAGAAGTAAATATGCAACAGATAAAACAATAAAGTAGCAATTTTGCAAGAATTTGCCATTCCTTTTGCATGCATAGATTTTCCTTTTTCTAAATTTAATTTAGTTTAATTTTGGCTATATACAATACTTCAGGTTCTTTCATTTTTCTTACCCTCATCCCTTCAAATCGAGATAAGGCTCTTAGAGGTCTCAGAGCTCTTAGTGTCCTGAGAGATTTGATGGCTCCAAGTTCTGAGTAACCCAAGGCATTTGCTGTTAAACTGACCAATGAAACCTGCACACACAAAAATAATAACAATTAATAAACAGAATCATCATTCAATGTGTAGTTGCTATATAATACAACAAGTATAATTTTTGCTTATAATTATTCAGAGGATAAATGTTCAGACATTTTCAGTAAACCTTTAAAAAATTAAAGAAATAATTTCAGTTTGATGTAAAGGATGTAATTTTTAGGACATTAATTAAAAGCTAGTTGAAAAAAAATCCTTAAATGTCATATAATTTATCAACTGAATAAATAGAAAAAAAAAGCAAAGTAAAAATTAGTAAAATAAAAGAAGAAATCAAGGTGGAAAAAAATTCATTGGCTATTCTTCCTTTATTTTATTAAGTTGCTGTTGAATTTAAGGCTTTTCTTGTAGCTAGTTATAAAATACAAAAACTGCTGTTGTACTAAAAAAAGCAGGAAGTTTCTACTGTGCATCAGTATATTCAACTAATCATAATTGGTATTCTCAGAAATTAATGAACTACATCAGTTTTGAAGGTGATATTTTGTCTTGGTAATACCTTGCATTTTCACTTGTTTATTTTTACATAAGTAACTTAGAAAGAAATTCCATTACAAAACTTCCTCAAAATTTTTTATACTAATTTATGGCTTCTGCCATGATATCTGGCCCCAAAGGGCCAATCAATGAATATTTACCAAATACACACAGCAATAAATTTACTTCATTTGTATTCATTTGTAGGTAATATACATGACTAAAGGAAAAATCTTACGTATCTAATTCTCTAAATAAGGAATTTACTAAAACTTTGTATTCAAGGAAGATTATAACTTATTTGGTTAGAAAGATGCTAGTATTGGAGAATTCCGCATATACTGCACACTATTTTTGTAAACTTTTCTTTTTTAAAATGTATTAATTGTATCATATTTAATATACTTCTTACATTATTTGAGATGTGCTGTAATTAGTCCTTTTATAGAGTGCTATACTGATCTTCATTAAAGAATTAAAACAGAACATTGAAAATAAAGATATTATTGTTACAAACTACAAAATTTTCTATAAAATTATTTTCTTAAAATGTTTCAAAAATGACACTAAAAAACTTTCATGAAAAAGCTGATGTGTAATAAACATAATAGAAAAAAAACCTCAGGAAGTTTTAAAGGGTTAAATTACATTTAGATTTAAATTATAGTGTAAACAATTCTGAAATTGAAACATAATGTAACTTCTAATGCTTGAAACCTCAATATTACAAACTTTCTCCCTTATTGATGTGATAAAGCAATTCTTCCTTTGAGATTTCTCTCAATTGGCTCATTTCACAGTAACATTGTTAAGTTTTTTAAATAGCTTAGTTTTGCCTTTGTTCAGGGTCAAGGAAATATAATGCATTCATGATTCTTAGCTCAAGAAACACTTTCCACAAGAAACCCTCATAGTCTTGCTGGGTTAGTATCTTTTTGGGGTAAAACTACTCAATATGAAATCAGGATAGTTTTGCTGTAGCTTTCTAAAGCTGAAATTTTGCCAAGTTGATAATAGAAAACATGATGCTTAACTTTAACACATCTTGAAGTCAGTCACTTGTTTTCAGTAAATGCAGTATTAATCATTGGGGATACAAATTCTATAAAGGGCTGTTTGGGCTTGCCGTAAATCTAGTTTACATTCTAGGAAAACTTTCACTGCTGAATAAAGTAGACTTCTCTTTCCCTACACTCTACATACCTTACTTCCTATAATGAAGTCATAATCCATATAATCTACTATTTAAATCTACTCTTTAAAAAGTTTGAGTAGATCAAATAGAATTTTTTTAAATGACTGTAGCACCCAACAGCATCACTGTTTTTATTGAGTGCCTTTAATACTGTACAAGTTGGGGGTCAAGAGTTTGGGGCCAAGAAACTAACTCAGTGGCACAAAATCAACAAGTGATGGTCCTGGGATACAAACTTGAGTCTGTCTGACTCACAACATAAAGGATTTAAGCAACATACCTTTTAAGTTCCCTGTTTCACTACTTTCCCTACAAACTGCTGATGTGTTGTTTTTTCTTTAGCTTTCTCAGATAACTAGAGAACTACCATAGATTCCATCCCCCAATGTTATTTTAAATCAGAATTAAATTAGCCCTTGTCTTCCAGAAATGACACTCTCATTGCATATATGCGTTTAGTGGTTATTATAGTCTGTCAACATAACATAGTGGTCTGAGACTCACTATTGTAGAATTTGAATATAAATAAGACAAGCTACCTTGAACAGAGACAAAAATATGAACGATACCTACATCAACAATTAAGAAGTCCAGCCAACACCAGGCATTGGTGAAATATGTTTGATAGCCATATGCCACCCATTTTAGAAGCATTTCCAGAATGAAAATGTAAGTGAAAACCTTGTCAGCATATTCCAACATCGTCTTAATCGTCTTTCGCTGATCAATATATATATCTTCAAATGCCTATAAAGAAAATGTTACACATTATTAGCTTTCAAAAATAATTATACTCCATAAGCTATTTAAAAAATTAATCATATGCATATGACATTTCATTGGAATAGGAGGGCAGAGAAACAGTAGTTACTGTTACTTTTTTTTTTTCCTCGCAAAGGTCTTTTACTTATTTAATCAGGGGAAAGACTATTGGTGGAAGAAAAAGAAAAGTATGATTCCAATGAATTAATTTGACTTAGTCAGGAAATAGTTCTTGATGTTGTATCCTGATGTGGCCATCCCAACTTGAAGTTATGTATTCCTTTTGTTTCATTTATTTTGCTTCCTTCTATTGGCTTTTTTTTTTTTTTTTTTTTTTTGCTATAGAAAGGAGGTTGAAGAAATAATGAAAGCTTGTGCTTTTGTAAAGCAGAAATTGTGATTGATCTTCGCAGTCTCCAATTTGACTAAATAGTTGGGTTCATCTGCTTCTTTTTTGTTGTTGTTTGTTATTTTTTTAATAATTTATGTTTCTCAACAGACATACAGTGTGACAATGATTAAATGAAATTACTTTTCATTTAGATTCTAATATATATTCTTCTATTATGAACCTCTCGATGTTTCACTTCTAAGTATGCATTCCTTTCAACGGTGAAAGACTTCTAAAGTAGCGTGTAGAAAATATTTCTTTCTTCAGAAAAATTACAGGTAAATATATGTCTGTGTTAGAATTATAAAAAGTTAAACTTGTAACACACTTGCATTTCAATCAGGCAAACTCTGTTTCTCTCTCTTTCTTTCTCTTTTTCTATCTATGGTATTTCCTTTGTGTTAGTGTTTCCCTAAAATGCTATCTGTATGTTTTATTTATAGTTTTATAAATAATTTTCCTATAAAAATAAATTGATTCTGATGAAGTGAACACCTTGTTATAAAGATAAACCCATCCTTAAATGAATCTCTTGGGCATGCTGCCCAATATTTATTGTTACCAACTTTCATTATTTCTTAAGTAGCACAAAAATAGTGAGCACACAATTGGAAAAAGACAGAGAAGTGGTCCCTAAGGACTTACTACTGTCCATCAAGAGATAATAATAATAAATACCATTTAGAAACAAAATTCGTCAGAACTCAGAGAATATATATTCCCATCCCAGGGCTTCCAATAACTTTTTTTAATTAAACAATGAGTAATTGAATATTCACATCCTTTGGTGTTAATGAATAAGCTGAAGGGCTACACTTTCTGGGCTATTTAATAGTAAGCAAAAATTAATGATTAGCTTCTTAAAATTATATTTACATACATAGTAAAAGTTAATCCAGAAATATAGAGTTATAGAGTAAATCTATAGAAGATACAAGGTGGGATAATTAAAAATGCATTGGATACTAAGACAATGAAACAAAGGATTAATAAGTCATCAGTATTAGAGTGTTCTAAAAATTAGTGCTGTATCACCTTTTCTTAATCTCACTCACCAGAGCACCACTACTAAGGAGAATCATGAAAACAATGAAGGTCTCAAACCAGTTATGTTCAACTATTCGGAAACACGTCCTTCTCAGGTTCCACCATTGTTTTCCTCTGCCTTCTTCCACATTGATTTGACAACACTTGAATCTTTGTACACAGCCTGCAGAAAGTGTTGAAATAAAAGTAGATAAAGTGTCTCTGCTTCCATAATATCCTTTAGCAATGTCCTTGTCTTGTCTTTTTATTACTATGCTCATCTCTGTCTTGCTAGCATAGCTCTCTAAGCCTAGAGTAGTAAGAGCACATTCATCAGCTGTGTGAAGTTGTGGAAACATTCAGCCACTTTAAATGATGCCCTAGCGGACAGTATTTGCTTTGTCTGCCTCACAGTGTTATTGTCCAAGAGAAACTTTGTAAATTACAAATAAATGTGAGGTAGCTTTTCCTTGTACCATATCATCCTGTTGCACTCTGTTGAAGTCACTCCAGAAAAGAACTTTAAATTGGACATTAATAATGTTAAGCAGAAAACTTCCCTTTTATAAAGGATATAGAGTAAAAATGTAGATCTCTTCCAACAATGCTGCATTTGTTACCATTTAGGATTTTTTGTGATGTGCCTAGAAGGGCTTATGTAATTTGCATAATTAATTTAGTTCACTAAAAGCTAATTTGTATGATTTGGCTTTGACTTTTCATTGCCTTCCTCACACATTGCTTTCACTTAGTCTAAATGCAATCAACAGGTACTTCTGAGTACCATTGTAAGCACAAAGGCACTTAGGTACACACACAAAAAGGCACCGAACATGTACCTTACTCCCAAGAACCTTACCAAAAAAAATCTGGTTTTCAAAAAAAAAAAAAAGAAAAAGATATAAATACAGGATCCCTGCTCCAAGGCAAAAAAAAAAAAAAGGAGGAAAAGATATGTTTGAAGAAAAAGGAGAAAGGGAATGAATGGAGAAAAGGAGGAAGAAAAGAAGGGAAGGAGGAAAGAAGGAACTAAGGAGTGAAGGAATGGAGGAAAAGAAGAGAAAAAAGATAGAAAAGTAACATGTAACTGTTCAAAAAGAGAAAGAGTTTTCATAGGATAATGTATATTATCGGGTAAATTAAATGGAAATACTTCTTACAGCCATTCAGAGGAACAAGCTGCTGTTCCACCATGGTCAGATGAGGGCAGTTTTGAAAAGGACATTAAGTGATATGCATGATTTGTATAGGGAATAGAAGAAGACTGAAGGTATACTAGGCCTATGAAAAAATAACATCAAATAGAAAGTATGCATATTTCCAAACCTCAAATTCCCAGGGATATCAGACCACAGGAAATATTAGTTGTAGGAAAAACATATCTCTTCTATCTATTGCCCATACTGCACCAGGCTCAACTAGTGACTGTTTAGGTATAGAGTTTCTAGGGCAGTATTTATTCCCCATTTCATCCAACAATTATTGGAAACTGATGTTTTCATTAAAGAAACACAATTTAGCACTAGCAATCCGTTTAGTTTTAGCAGTCAGAAAGTTACTTTTAAGGCAAATTCTGTGTAGGATCATTTTCAGTAGTGTCTAAGATGCCAACTTATTGTGAAATCACTACTTACTTTAAAAATATAAGTTAGAAGTTTTGATGGTACTAAAATATTTTTCCTCCATGTTCTTAATCTCTTCCACATATTGGGCAGATATAATCAAAGCATGACACTAGACTTTAAGTTTTTTTGTCTGTCAACATATTAGAGGTGATTGAATTATATCTATTACAAAGTGCCATTTTATTATATGTGATTTATTTTAGCTGACCAACAGCTAAACAAGCTGCACTCCAAATGAAAGATTAACATTAGGATTCTTTTCTTTACCTTCAGTGAAACAAGCTTCTGGTTCAAGAGTTTCTTCAGGTTCCACTACGGGCTGTTCTTCTACAGGTGCGCCGATGTCCACAGTGCTACCTTCTGATGAGCTACTGCTTTCATTCAGTTTCTGTAAGTGAGATGGACATAGAAAGTAAAGTCCTTTAATTTTGGTAATAAGTTGCCTGCCAAGAAAGGATTATTACTATGAATTTGTTTTTTATTCTTCTTGAGGTAGAGATATTTTTAGAGAAAAAGAGAGATTGAATAAGGGGAAGAAATAAGAAAATCATTGTCTGTGCTAACCCTTTTACCATAATTCACAATGTAAGCTTGAAATCAGATTGCTATGTTATGAGGTTACAAAAGGCCATCAGCCACATGTACTGAGCAAAACACTGCCTTGTGGATTAGAGAAGCAGGGGACACAGGGAAGAGAAGAGGGAGGAAGAGAAAGGGAAAAGGAGCAGGAGAGAAAGAGAAAGCTTACCTTAGAAGAAAATAATGTCGTTAGGTTATTCTGCAGTTTAATGTTTGACTTTACATATTTCTTTAACAATGTCTTACCTGTGTGTACAGATACTACCTGTTGTTTTCACTTATGTTACTAAGATTCATGGTTAAGGTGTTCAGAGTTATTTACTATAAATGTGGTCATTTGGAGAGAAATTGTTATAAAATATGTCAAAAATTACATCAATAAACAACCTTAGAGATATTAAATAGACATCTTCAATTTCTGGCAAGTATTTTAGAGCCTGAAGTGTTGTAAAATGAGATAAATAGTGTGTGGGAAAATTCAGTTTCCTCTGACAAATCATGTTTATGTTAATGTGCCATGTGAAGCTGAAAGAACAAAATCTAGTTAAACAACAACAACAATAACAATATCCTTCATATTTTGACAATAGTGATGGGATGCACATTTCTCTTTCTAGAGTTCTCAGAAGACAAAGATGGCAGAGATAATAGAAAATATTAACTAACATATTAAGATAGGAAAAACTCATGACGCTCTTTCTGAAGACCAGCAAACTGGCTTATAAGTTTTTGGCAAGTGTAATTAATTCATTAATTTATTCAACTAATATTTTTTGAACACCAACAATATGCTACCAGCTGAGTATTCACTGATAACTGAAATATCTATTGTCCTTATTGGAGTATCAAATCTAGTACAGTATTTTCTAAACTTCAGGCTTATGTAGACCCGACAATAGGCATTCCAGTGCACACAGCAGCAAGCCATTCAACCCGTTATCACGATATTGTAAATAGTAAAAATTAAACACAATATTAAAATTGTTAATATGAATTTCACATACATAGGAGAGTGTTGATATTTCAGTAAAAGTTTCACCGAAATATTTGTATTTGCTTGAAGAAGGATAGCTTATATGTCTGGGTCCATATCTAGTTGCCTTCTTTCCTTTCCTTTTAATTTCTTAAAATAGAAAAACTTACCTGACAGTTACAGAAAATTAGGACCTATAATGGCATGTAGCTCTGTCATAGCTCTGTGAATTCAGGTTGAAGATGATCTTTGAAATTATAAAATATTTCTCACTGAAGACTAATTTCAACATTCTAACACATTAAATAGGCCTGCATACTATGCTCAGAAGCTGAAAAGTTGATTGTTCAACATGATAGACAGTAGTAAATAGATCATAATCTACTTTCGGGTTGCATTTAGCTTTGACTATCTTTGTGTTCTGTTCTAGCATTTGCACTGAATTTAAAACATATCCAGGAATAAGTCATTGGTTTCTTCCTCTGACAAACGAAGAGAATCACCTAGTGGCAGGCGTTAGTCACATTCTCAATCAAACTACTCATAACATCACATGATCTTCTGAAGAAATTCTTATGTCTTATCCTCAACATTACACAGATTCATCATTTGGCCGTAAAGTGATAGGCTAAGACTTGTCACTTCAACAAGTGCCTTCATATTTTAAAAATGACCTTGATTGGCACTATCCGGGACATAATGAAATTCATTACATACTTTATAAAAACCATGTGAGCAACATTTCATCACCCATTGTTCTTCACTGTAGAAAAGCAAATGCCCATTCTTCATGAAACAATTAGAGAGTGGAATTTGAGAATTTTAACAATTTTCGCCAAAATTAATTAAGAACTAGAAAGGATATTATTTCCTGTGAATAAATTTGTGTGGAGAGGCATTCAGGTACAAAGAATTATAATAGCAAACCTACCTTCTATATATATAATTGTTATCTGCTAGGTCTGATCCCCACATAGTTTTCCAGTCTATACCAAGACTCACAAAATAATAGAATATTAGCATAAAAATCTACTCTTCATCAGTATAGGTTGTCAGTAATAAGCAGAACAAAAAGTTGCTCAGTAATTAATCTTCATGTAAGTGCCACAGATAAATGATTGATTCTTTGCACATAAGTGTTTTATCCAATTGTAAGGTGAATTAGATCCTGGCATGAACATGTACATAAAAATTGTTCTTCCTTGATTACTAGTAATATCATGCAATTGTTATTGCATGATATTAAAGTATACTGATACACTGATAATAAAGTATTGCCAATAACTAGTTTTGCTTTTTTGCCAACCATATTTGTTTTCTTATGAGGAATACTACTTTTAATGATACCTCTGAAGCATTGATTTTTATTCTGCCTTTAAGTGAAACCACTTATTCACTTTATGAATTAAAGCATTGTTTTTTACTTTTTCTAAGACAAAGACTTATCTGACTTACCTAAGTTGTGACTATTTTCTGTGAAAATTACGAGAACCCAAAAGACCTTATGTTACTTTTTGACACATTTTCAAAATGGCATTCTCTGAAGAAGACAAATAGATCAACAGTTCAATAAGTTTTAATATTCAGATATTCATCTTATATTTCTTATTTAGACATTTATTTTTAGGATGCTTACCTAAGATGGTCACTCTTACAGAATTACTTTTTAAAAATACATGTAGATTTATGGTTCTTCTGATGTTTTTTCATTAGAGTCTCAATTCACAAAAAAACCTGAGTTTTAAGTTTATATGATTTCCATTCCTATTTTATCCCTTTGAGTTACTCAACCAAGATAGTGTAATGATGATGTAACACAATATGAGAATAACATCAAAATGGAAAATTGAACAATATAAGAGTTGGCATGCAATTGGACATACACGAACTCTACCCTGTCTACTAAATGTTAGGAAAGTAAAACTTACTACTAATTTTAAGTACATGAGCAAGCGCTTGTAAGTACCCATATTACATTGGTAACTCTTGAAGAATGTAGTGGATATTAATAACATAAGATTGTATGAACTGTATGATTGTATGAACATTACAAGATAATATGAACTCTAAATTATCTTATATTTAAAATATGTTAAATGTTTCTGAATAACTTTGCTATTTCATGAGGACTACTTTATAAACAAACTGGGACCATGGGTGGGCTGTAGATCCAGGAATTGGTGAATAGTGTTACTTCTCCAAATTGTAAAACATTAATGGCAAAGCCAAAGATAGTCACAATGGATGGATACAATATACTTCTAAGTGTGCTTTCTTTTTTTAATGCATAGAGCTTGGAGTCACTCCATATTTCAGAAATTTTAAGGTGATTTAAAAGATGATCAAATGCCCTTATTAGCATTCCAATGGAATATCTGCACTTGGAAAGTTCGCAGGTCTAGACAAGTGATCTTCTACATGTTTACAAATTAATTTTAAAACATTTTTTAAGCAATATAAGTATATTCTACAGTCTGTCTGAACTACTGTAGGAAAGTGGAGGTGTGCCTAATAATACTCAAATTTAGTATGCTCTCAATCTAAGTAATGACTTTTTAAACAATCTTAAACATACTTCTTTAACCAAATTCCTGATTCTGCAATATCACTCTTTCAGCACCCAGACTCAAATTTTTTTGTTTACTTTTACTTATTTCAAACATTGGCAGTAATCAAAAGTCAGTTTTCCTTATTTTATCTCTGAAATAACTATTTTCTCAGTCAGATTCCAAATTCCTATGAAATTTCTGTTTATTCTTGTTACCTTTTCTTTGTTTAACTATAAATAAAAATGGCCATCCTCATTCTAGCCTCATGTGACTTAGACCTTTGTGGTCCACAAAGCTTAGTGTATGTATGGTGAATGACTAACAAACATTTGGTGAATGAATGAATAGATGAATACCTCTGTTTCAGATATTAGTGATGGATGAAGTTTTTGTTTTCAACTTAGAGTTCCAACCAAATCTCCCAAATTTGTCTTTCACAGATAGAAGCTGTATGTTAATCAAGGTGAACTTCTTTTTTTTTTTTTTTTGAGACAGAGTCTCGCTCTGTCGTCCACGCTGGAGTGCAGTGGCGCGATCTCGGCTCACTGCAAGCTCCGCCTCCCAGGCTCATGCCATTCTCCTGCCTCAGCCTCCCAAGTAGCTGGGACTACAGGCGCCCGCCACCATGCCCGGCTAATTTTTTGTATTTTTAGTAGAGACAGGGTTTCACCATGTTAGCCAGGAGGGTCTCGATCTCCTGATCTTGTGATCCACCCGTCTCGGCCTCCCAAAGTGCTGGGATTACAGGCGTGATCCACCACGCCCGGCCCAAGGTGAACTTCTTAATGTTCTCTGACTTTTTCTCCTAGTGATTTTTCCTCCCATCATTGCGGAAGAGTAATAATTGCTCTCTTATTTAAACCCCTTTCAACACTTTACAGGGACTACTTTGGGCATATATTTTATTATAACTTCTCTTCATTCTAATGGACTTACTTACAAAATTAATGACACTTGCAGTTTTCTCAGTAAAATACAATAACTGATGACCTTGATGTGCAAAAATTGCTCAGGTCGTTGGCTACTGCCTAGGATATCTGCACATTTCTATTTTCACCAGCTGAATGGTATGCTTATCAAGAATAAGTTATGTTTATTTTCAAATCAATTTACACTATTCTAAAATACTGTAAGTGTGTAATTTAATCTTGTAGAATTTGAAAAATGCATTTAAAAAGTGTTGTTGTATTTATAAAAACTAAGTCAAAATCATTGAATAAACGTAACACCGGTAAATCCCCCACATAGATACATGTACATTAAAAAACCATAAAATTAGGTGTGAATATTTACTTTTTAAATAGTTACAAATATAAATTTCTGAGAAGATACTAAATTCAGGTTGCTTTATATGATTCGTTAAGATATTTGTCCTCTGGGGGAAAAAAAAAACTAAACAGAAATAATAGATGATGAATTACAAGTGCAGCTCATGCTAAAACATTGATGTAGCACTCCAAACAATGAACCCATGCTGGAACAAGGCACCTAAAGTGACATTTTTATACATGTCATTTTTATTTTGTAAATAAATGGAGCAGTTGAATGTTTGGGATCCAGAGAAGTGTATACATCTTTCAGGAACAATATATGATTAAAAATTAGATTTAAAAAATGGTATTCATATTTGGCTTAAGCTCTACTTCGCAAGTCAGCATTTTGCAAAGGGAGGCTGGTAAGCCACATCATGGCTAACCCTTATGATAGACCCTGATTCTCATAATAGTAAGAAGAATTTTCCCCTACTTTCAAATCATAATAACATCAGAAAAAGTGACATGTGACTATTAGAAAGATTAAACCATAAGCAGTGGGGCTTATGTCAATGAATTACTCTAGATAAACTATGATAACCTGAGAGAAGTGTTAGTGCTTTTTCTAGAAATTTATATATAATGTAAATAAATGAGCATTAGTGTAAGAAAGGAAAGAAAAACAAACAAAATAAAATAAGTTCACAAGTGACCGAACTAAACTGTTTTTAGCCAAAACATGGGGAACAACAAGAGTTTTGATTGGCATGTTAAATAAGGAATACAATACAGAAATTAAAATTAAATTAAACAAATAGTAAACCTTTTACATAGTCAATAGATTAAAATAAATAAAAACATTAATATAAAAGTCACCCAGACCTTCTCAAAGATGATAGTAAGTTTATAAAAACAAGAAAGGCATTAAGCTTAAACACATAATTTGTATAAATTATTTCTAAAATGCTATATGCTTAGTCTTTAATGTACTTTAGAACTTAGAGAAAGTCTATCATCTGCAGATCATAAGTTGTACAGCTAAATTTCAATCAACAATTATACCAACATTCAGTATGTATGTTGCAATGAAAGGCATCTGTCCTACTAATATGACAGAAGAGGTGTTTCCAGCCAATGTTCTCCAGAGATCTCACTCCAGCCTTAAGTGGCTGAAGGCTTTAATTCAAGCAGGGAAGTTCCACTTTCATCTAATTTATGCATGATACATGAAAAAATTTGATTAAAATATTATTTAAAAGATTGGAAAACTCCCTATAGTCCCAGCTACTTGAGAAGCTGAGGCAGGAGAATTGCTTGAACTTATAAGTTTGGGAACAATTTCAGCATTATAGCTGGATCCCATTTCTAAAATAAATAAATACATAAATGAAAATTTAAAAAATTTTGAAAATGTATTGGAAAACCATAATTGAATCAAAATTTGGGGAAATGCATGCCCAAATTTAAGAAGATGATGTTAAATGAAAGAAAAAATATGTGTGGTGAATATAGGGGAAATTATGTGGAATTTAGTATCATGAATTTCAGTGGAAAAAAGGTGATAAAATGAAAAAAATCTTCAAGATTTAGCAATTTCAGATGAAACAACTTGGCACTAAGCTAATGCAAAGAGCTATTATTTTAAAAAGGCTCTTAAAGTTTAGAATTTGTCACCAACACCACTAGTAACTAGGTGGGGGGCGGGGTAATACCAAGTGAAGAGACAGTATCTTTGTGGGTATTAAAAAAGTTATTTCAGGGGTTTAATCTATAAACTTGAAGAATTGACAGTATGTTGAATGACATGTAAGAATCTCTTCTTTATGTCTGCAAACATGCTTTCTTCATGACAGTCTGTAGTAAGCAGAATTCTAAGATGGTCTCCAAAATTTCTGGCCACTGTTGTCATGCCCTTGTATAATCCCCTGCCCTTATGTATGGGCAGGACCTGTGACTTGCTTCTAACCAATACAATGTGGCAAAAGTAATGGGATGTCACTCTGGTGATCATGTCACACCGAATCATTTTAGAAAAGTTACAATGTTTTCTTTTTTCTTCAAGAAATAAATAATTAGTAGTTCTGACTTTTTAATGTTAAGTACCAACAACCAGGCTTACAGAAGCAGCAAAATGTGAAAGCTTTGCTACGTGAAAACATATACTACCAATCAGGTAAACTTGACAAATTATACTCAGGTTTTTTACTAGAAGCTGAGAGGAGTTGGAATTGAACATGACCTCAGAAAACTGCAATATTCAGATTGGTAAAGTAGACCTGGATAGTATAATTGATTTGGCAAAAAGCACACAATAGGTTAAAAAAAAACAAACTAGGATGCAAAATTCTCAACTTTAAAGCTCTTTTTAAATTCAACATGGTGCCTCTATGAATATTTTATAGCTATACCTCATTACAATAAGTATGCATATTGGTCATTTTATTTGCATATATGCAGAATATGTGTATACATTATCATGTGGTAAAATGATCCATATATGGAGTAAGTAGATGATGTAAATTACTTTATACAGCCAAACCACATCTGTCACTCACCATTTCTGAATTGACTATTCCAAGAACTTTTAAAACAAGTTATGGCCTCCAGTGGAGCCAACAACCTTATTTTTTCACCCTTCTCCTGGCCCAGGCCACAGTAGTGGAAAGAAAGCCACCAACAATAAACTGGAAAGAAACCCAGACCTGGTTTGACCTCTTACTTTCTGCGTGGCTTTGCTCAAATAATTCTTCCTTTAGCCCATTTTTTAAATATGTAAAATGAAGAGATGATCTTTAAAGTTCCAGCTTTAATTTTCTATGACTTTGTAGTGTTTGAGAATTTGAAATGATACATTTGGACAGTCTTAAATCCAAGAGAGATATGAAGTGAGGACTGATGAGAAGGTGATGAGGGAGCAGATCTGGACTCAGGAGGAGAAAAGGATGAGGAAGTTCAGAGTGGGTATGGCTGCTGGGCCTGCACAGTCTGGGTAACATGTTGGGACTGTGGCTAAAAAAGTCCTGTGATCAGTCTGGTCAACATAGTGAGATCCTGCTGTCCCTACTAAAAAAAAGAAAAAAAAATGATGTTTTTTTTTTTGATACGGAGTTTCGCTCTTGTTGCCCAGGCTGGAGTGCAATGGCGCAATCTCGGCTCACTGTGACCTCTGCCTCCCGGGCTCAAGCGATTCCCCTGCCTCAGCCTCCCAAGTAGCTGGGATTACAGGCACCTGCCACCATGCCTGGCTAATTATTTATATTTTTAGTAGAGACAGGGTTTCACCATGTTGGCCAGGCTGGTCTTGAACTCCTGACCTCAGGTGATCCACCTACCTCAGCCTCCCAAAGTGCTGGGATTACAGTGTGAGACACCGCGCCTGGCCAAAAATTTTTTTAAATAGCTGGATGTGGTGGTGCATGCTACTTTGGAGGCTGAGGTGGGAGGACGGCTTGAGCCCAGGAGGTTGAGGCTGCAGTGAGCTGTGGTTGCGCCACTGCACTCTGGCGTGGATGACCGAGTGAGGCCCTGTCTCAAAAAACAAACAAACAAACAAACAAATAAATAAATGAAAAATCCTGTGATCATCTCTGACCAAGGAGAAGCAAATAGCTATTCCCACCTTAGAGACAAAGAAACCATCCACATGTAGCTGGGCTTTTAATTTCACTATTAGCTGTATATGAAATATTCAATTACTCAACATTTATTGAAAGATACCATGTTCTGAGATTTGTGTTAAGTATCTGTCTCATGGATCTCCTTCATCAGCATAATGCATTATTTACCTGGGTTTTTGTTTTGTTTTCCTTTTCATGTTTTGCTTTTGTTTCTTCTTTTTTATTGGCCAAATTGAAAAGCAGAAATTACACTACCATTGTTTTGATATTAACTTATTTGATAACAATTAGGAGTAATATTTCTTAAGGTTTGTCTTCCAGTTATATTTTTTATGACTTGTCTCTTTTGACTATTATTTGTTTGTTTATTTGAGACAGGTCTCATTCTGTCACCCAGGCTGGAGTGCAGTGATGAAGTCACAGCTCACTGCAGCCTCTACCTCCCAGGTTCAAGCAATTCTGCCTCAGCCTCCCAAGTAACTGGGACTACAGGTGCATGCCACCACACCCGGCTAATTTTTGTATTTTTTGTAGAGACAGCATCTGATCCTCAGGCTGGTCTTGAACTCCGGAGCTCAAGCAATTCACCCACCTTGGCCTCCCAAAGTGCTGTGACTACAGGAGTGAGCCACGGTGCTTGGTCTTTTGCCTATTTTTCTATTGGAGTATTAGTGTTCTTATTTGATTGCAATTGCTCTTTACACATAGAAAATCATTTGAGTTTTCCTAACAAGGATTATTTGCCAAATGTATTTGTTTTCTGTGTCTGTGTAACAAATGAGCATACACCCAGCATCTTAACATACATTCACCAACTCACAGTTTCTGTAGGTCGGAAGTCTGGCACTGCCTAGTTGGATTCTCTGCTCAGGGTCTCATTGAGATGATGTCAAGGTGTTGGCTGGAAATCCAGTTCTTTTCCAGGGCTCAGGATCTTCTTCCAAGTTTACTGTCGTTGGCAGAGTTCATTTCTCATAATTATAAGACTGGGCTTCCTACTTTCCTGCCAGCTCATGGCCCAGAACCACTCTCAGCAACTAGAGGCCACCCATAGTCTCTGGCCACATGGCTGCTGTATGCAATTTACAATATGGGTGTTTGCTTTTTTCTAGGCCAGGCAGAGCATATCTTTTCAGCTTCCTCTATGTGATAGCAGGAGAAATCACTGTGCATTTAAAGAGTTTGCCTGATTAGGTCAGGCCCACCCAGCATCATCCCCCTTTTTGTCATAAATGTAATGTAATTAAAGGGTGATACCATATCCACAGGTTCCAACCACACTCATGGAGTGGGGATTATACAAGGGCAAGTGTCATTGAGATCATCTTAGAATTCTGCCTGATACACCAAAGTTTGTGTGTCTTACTGATTTTTTTTTCCTAAGAACCATAACCTGTTATACCAATATTGTCTGCTACATTGATAATTCACTATTTTTTCTCTTTATGTATATCTTCTTCCTTTTTTGTTCCTTTTCTAATTTCTCAAAGATATTTGTTAGGTTCTTTCATCCCTTCTTAATCATATTAGTAATATTAAGTCATATTAATGACTACTTGGTCTTCTTCCACAAATTTTGACATAAAATGCTTTTATTTTTGAAATAGCTATTTTGGTATTTTATTATGCTTTTATTCAATATTTGTTTAGGAGGCAATTTCTTAATTTTCAAATGGTTGGAATTCTTTCTATCAATTTATTATTAATTTCAGGCTTAACTACATTGTGACTGGATAACCCTATATGCCAGCTATTTTAAATTTATTGAGCTTTACTTTGAACTCCAGTATATGGTTACTTTTATAGAAATATTCCATGAACCCTTGAAAATAAAAATTTTCTGTAAATATGTTTTTTGAGATAATATACAGTCATATTTACTTTTGCTATTAATATTATCCAAAATCTAAATGTTGTCATCTATTTTTTAAAATATTTTACCATAGGCTAAAAAAGTTGTATTAAAACCTTCATAACCAGTATATTTGCATCAATATATTCTTATAACGGTTGAGATAAAAGATGAAGTGGTCCAATTCTTTATTTGATTGGGATAATAACACTATTATTATTAAATACTCAAAAAGGGAAGGAAAAGCTCCTCTTCAGATGTGTAGGAAAAGTCCACCTCTATGTTAGCACATGAAATACGAATTCATATAAAATTCTAAAGAAATTCAATAACGGCAAAACTAAAATATTCTCAAATAAGTATTTTTACAGATTTAAAAATCAGTAAGGCCAATTAATTTTTCCTTTTTTGTTCTTAGATTGAAATTTAATTTCATTTTGAAATTTGCTATTCACTAATAAAGTAATTTGTTCTCACTGTTTTAGAGATTAATGGAATATTTCTCTTTCTTTCTTTCTTTTTTTTTTTTTTTTTTTTTTGAGACTGAGTCTTGCTCTGTCGCTCAGGCTGGAGTGCAGTGGCGTGATCTCGGCTCACTGCAAGCTCCGCCTCCCAGGTTCATGTCATTCTCCTGTCTCAGCCTCCCAAGTAGCTGGGACTACAGGTGCCCACCACTGCACCCGGCTAATTTTTTGTATTTTTAGTAGAGATGGGGTTTCACCGTGTTAGCCAGGGTGGTCTCGATCTCCTGACCTCGTGATTCGCCCGCCTCGGCCTCCCGGAATATTTCTTAAAATCTATTTTAATGTTTATTAAACCATGAATCAACCTTAAATTTTACCAATTTCTAAATAGGCTAGTTTATTTAAGAATATGTATATTTTCACACATGAATCTTAATAGCTAAATTATACACTTATACACTGACTTGTATCATCCATGTATTTTTGGCAGGCTGACTTAATATGTGAGCTGACAGAATGCAGAGACCACGTTGTATATGAAGCATCCACTTTGCCTTGTACACCAGGGCATTCAATAACCACTTAATAACTACAACCCTGATGGTAAGAGCAGTTTTCCTCCGCAGTGGATTTATGCAAATTTCTTGTTTTTTAACAATGCTCTTTACTATAGCAAATGATTTTGACCTTGAGGGTAAGGCAAAACAAAGCAAGGCAAAGAAAACTTTCTTCAATATTCTCTGAGAGTAAGTGATTAAATGCTTTTTTTCTTGTTCTCTGACTTGATCCTACAATGTTTATATTTTTATTTTTAAACTTGGTTTGTTATAAGGAGCTTATTTATAGAGTTTAGTAGGAGTTCAAATTATAATAAGTAATATAAATAAATCTGGAATTTAAGGGTCAAAAGCATACTTAATATGTGGTCATGCGATGTCTATATATTTGTATATGTATATATGTGTGTACATATATATTTAATATATATATTTAACATACACATGTATATATTTAACATATAAAGAATATTATCCAAAGTACTTATTTTTAAAGCTGGACAGGTACTATTTTAATGCTGGGTACTTTACTATTGTGACACATATATCTCCTAAGTCATGCTAAAATGAGGTTCTCTACAACCTCAGAAATGCTAGTATTAATATTTCATTGTGTACATTGTGCACTAGTAAATATTTCTATTGTACACTATGCATATTAAAAATTAAAATGACCCCTATTAAAGACTCTCAACAAAGGAAAATATAATATCAATGGAAAAGACACTGTAATGAGACTCAACATTTCCACAGGGCAGCTAGAAAACTCAAATATTAACTCATTAATTCCCACATTATTCCCAGTTGATTTCTTCATCAAGCTGTATGTTGAAAGGACAATCTTCAGTGATTATTCATATTTACAGAATGTCAGTTGTTTCTATTCTTTAGTCAAACACTTGCCCAGTATAAAAGTGAACGTGGAGGAATACGGCTCTAATATACTACTCTGAATTTTGCTTTCGATAGGTCACACATAAACTTCTGTATCAATAATTAAATATAAGGGAACAAAAGCAACATATTTCAGACATATTGAGTCAATAGAAAATCATGGTAATACAAAAAAATTGGAAAGAAAACAAAAAAATTCTGAAAAATTGCATTTATAATCCCCAAGCTAGAAACCAAAATGCAAATCAAATGAGTAATTTTCATTGTTAAATTCATTTTGCCAAATTGAGCACAGAGCTTCTATAATGTTATTTTGACATTGATTTTTAATGTTAAATTATAACATACTTAATAAGTGTCTACTGGGCAAATAAACTGTATATCTATATAATGAAAGAGTTGAAAGTACTACTGTTCAGAGGATCAGAGAAACTTGAGTTTGAATCACAATCACTGGTTTTATGGACTTTAACCAATTATTCTGACCTCCTTAGGCTTTAGGTTTCTAATTTGTAAAATGGTTCTTACTTCACATCCTTGTTATAAGGACTGAACAAGATAACACATGAATAACGTTTGGCGTATGCTTATTTGATAAATGGTAACAATTTCCATCACAGTATTGTATTGTTTGTAATAGGTGTAATTATTGATATTTGAACTTTTTCACTACCAAAAATGTGCCAGGCATCAAAACTAGGACTTGAAAAATAAAATAGTGAACATAATAGACTTAGTATCTGCCCTCGTCGGTTCACAATCAGATGGAGGATACAGAGAAGCAATTGCCACACACTCTAATAGGAGTAGTATAGAGTATATTGAGAACACCACCTAGCTCAATCTAGGAAGGACAGGGTAGAATAAAGTGACATTTGGGACAAGAAGGATGTGGTGGGTGAGGATGAGTCAGGTGAAGCAGGATAGAGTAAGAGAGTATTCCTGTCAGAGAGAAAAGGTATAACGATGAGAACTGATAAAGCATAGGGAATTACATTGAATGAAAGATTAGTATAGCTGGGTGGGGAGGTGTGAGGTGTACTATTCCATGATACTGAAGGAGTCAGCGGTGGTCAGTTTTGCAGGGACTTGTACCCATGTTAAGTAGTATAGACTCCATACTGTGAGCAATGGGCAACTCCTGAAAGGTTAGGGAGGACAGAACGGTTACGGGATTTGCATTTTAGAAAGACCACCTATTGTTTTGTCAAGACTACACTAGCGAGAGGAGACCCGTTTGGAGGCTGTAGCAGTAAAACTGGAAGATGATGGAGGTCTGACACTGGGTAAAGGCCTTGGGAATGCAGAGAGGTGGACAAAGATAGGTAGCTTTGGCAGTCCCTAGTGATCAATTAGAAGTAGTGGAGATAGTACTCTTGGGTTCCATGGATAGTACTCTTCGCAGAGAGTAGTTGCCATCTCTTAGAGACTATGTGCTTAGGTTGGAGATTGTCGTATGTTCCTTAACCCATATAACGTAAGATAAAAGTATTAGATGGAAAAATATCAGCAAAGCAACAAGTAGATTTAAAATGCATATATATCAGTGATATAATTGGGAAAAAATGGAAATCTAGAAGTAACTGCCCATCACCTATTTATTCATTCATTTAATAAATATGTTGTATGTGCTGTGGACTTAAGGGAAGACAGGGTTAGTGTTTTTCCTGTTCTCAAAGACCTCATAAGCTAATGATACATCATAGAAGTTCTTCCTAATGATTTGGAAGACTCTTCCAGCAGCTTTAAACTCAGAAGGGGATGCTCCTTAAGCACAACTATCACACTCTGGGAGACTAAGTGCTCTCTAAGTAGAATTAGACCACCACAGGTCAGTGTGGGATGCAGAAGCAGATCAGCCTAAAGTGCAGGCCAGTACCAGAGGAACAGGACCTTTCAGGACTAAGCAGGAGGACTCTGAAACACTCCAGACTATGCTGTTAACCTATGCCCAATGTGCAGTGATTGGAAGTTAACACCAAATCTATAGTTGACACCTGTACCTAGTTCTTCAACAAATAGTATTATTTATTTCAGAACTATGCCAAAGAAAGTACATTTTCAGACACTATTAAGATTTAGTGTAGCGGTTAAGAGCGTGACTCTGGAGCAGACTATGGAGCAGACTGCCAGGACCAACCACTTACTGTTTGTGTAACTTTGGCAAGTTTTCCTTTGTTCAAAATATGTTTATTTTTCTCATCTTAAGGCTGGAATAACAGTGTGTCTTACGGCATAAAGACTGAATGGGACAATATATGCCCTCCAATAGTACTTTGTCCATGGTGAACATTTAAACAATAGCTGTTATTAACATAACCTGAATTACTAAGGACCTCACATTTTTACTCATTATTCTAGAGCTCACTCATCGCAAAAACAAATGTATTTCTTTTATAATTACTTTAGTAATGTGCCTTTTTTGTTCCCAAAAGGTACAACTTTAATAACTCAATTTATTTAAAATTTTTATTTAAATGGAATTAAGTAGTAATTTTCTTGACATCACCTTACACTTTTGAACATTTTTAACTTCCAAATAGCTTTTAGATCTTCATAACATTTCTATAAGCATCATAGGACAGATATCTCATTTAATAAATTAGGAAACGGGGTAATATAGATTTAGCGATTTGCTCATAGTAGAGTTAAGGCTTATAAGCTCTTAATCTAGTATCCATATAAATCAACCAAACCTCAAAAAATTATTGGGCAACTGTTATGCACCCAGCATTGTGGTAGGTGCTTCGGAGGATAGAAATGTTATAAAATACTATCCAAAACCAAAATAAATTTACTTTCTATTTGGGGAGATAAGATTTTATATTGTCTTTTGCATAGTCTTGGCAGTTTTGCCCAGCCTTCAAAGCTCTCTCAGATCTGTCCAAGTCACCATTCTTTATTATTAATGTTCAATAAAAATTCATGTTTCTAGCTTATCATTATTCCTACTATGGCATGAGTCAAGAAATTTTCTGAGGTTTTAAAAAACAATTCCTCAAATTACTTGAATGTACTTTGAAGGTTGAAGTCTCTTAGGACTTAAAGAGAGGATGAAATGTGACTCATGCTATTCCCTTTCTTCTTTTGGAGACCAATAGGAGGAAGGTGTAGAAAAAACAGCCCTTAGTTTGCTCTGGAATGGAGGATAGTTAGGTGTGAGTTCACCACAGATGTAAGAGGCAAAATAAATATGAGGTTCCAGTTCACCACATCTCTTCATACCAGTCTATTCTTGCTTCCTGGAAACCAAGACTCTTTACCTACATCTCATCCTCAGCTCCTGTGATTTACGCCCCCGGAATTCCAAACTACTAATTGTCTCCAAATACATCCTCTTGCTTCCTGTCTTTAGGTTTCTGCATGTTTGTATTTCCTGATTGGAATGCCCCTTAGAAAAGTAATTTTCTTAAATATTTTAAGGAGCTTACCATATCAAGAATGTAATCAAAACAATTTAAAAATAAACAGAAAATATAAAATGTATCACCATCCCCAGATAAACTTATAAAACAATTTATTACAGAGGGCAAAAGGCAAACAACAAAAAAAGACAAATAGTGGAGTATGTTACCAGTAGTAATTCTTGTAAGAAAACTTACTGGAACAGTGTGGAATGCAACTGGTAACAATAATAATGATGATTTACCAGATATTCTATATTAATTAGGCACTGTGCTAAGTACTTCACATTTATTATCTCATTTAATACTCTGTCCCAGAAATGCAGTCAGTAACATTATGCACATTTTTGAGATGAGGAAACTGATTATTAGATAGGTAAAGTCACACAGTAAGCGGCTAAAATGAAATTATATAACCCAGTATCTGGCTCCAGAGTATAACCATTTACCAACTTTATAACTGTGGCCTCACATGTCTAAAAACAAATATTTAGTGTATGAAGAATAAACAGTGGGCACTTGTAATTTTAACACAAGGCATTAATATAATTTTGGAGGTATTATAATGATGCATTGTAGATAAGTCATTACTGGAATTCAGGAATGGAAACAATAACATGTTCAAATGAAACTAGTCTAATAGAGGCCATGAAAGGTAACATTTTTGCATCAGTAACATATGTCTCAATATGAAAATTCATACTTAAAGGTTGAAAGTCATACACACACACACACACACACACACACACACACAGAGACAGAGAGAGAAAATCATTCCTTATAGCTTATTAGTATACTCCTTTATCTAGTCTCCCTGGCATATGATAACTGATAAATAAATGAAAATAGGCAAAAAGAATAAAGGCTAAAACAAAAAGAACCAAAATGATGAGATTAATATACTACAGGCAGCATTCCTAATGTAGAACAAAGACTCTTCATCTATTGGGGCATCTGCTGTCAGCTTAATTCCTCTAAAAGCAGAATATCTCATAATTTATGCCTTACTTTGATGAACAGAATACAGTATAAGACTGATGAAGCAATGAGGGCAAACAATATTGTGTGGGTTTATTTCTGACCAAGAAGAAAGGAATTGTGAAGTAAAAGTGCCAGGAAATTTGATACAATGTGGTAATCTGTGAAAGAATATAAAAAGAAAGCCAGATTCAAAAATGAATAAAAGAAATTGAAATGTATCATTAGGGGATAAATAGAAGTTTCAGTATTTAATTACAAAATTTCGTCTGGATGAGATACAACTGCATTTCAACAGCAATTCATGTGGAAAAGATGAGAGATTATTACTTTCTTAGAAGGGTGGTGTAAAGTGACAAGGTAACATGGCTAACAAAAACAAAAACAACAAAATCTAACTCAAGTGAATCTTGAATCTAGAGAAAAAATTGGTCCAAAATAATTGGAATTAAAATGACAATCTCAAGTATGCTCTAATCAGAGAAAGTATTTATGAGAGCCCTTCAGAATGGTTTTATTAAGAAGAGTTGAATGAGCTGGAAAAGTTTGATCTGAGTGTCTACTTTGTACCAAACATGTTTAAGTAGGTCACCACATAAAAGGAGAGACATGCATGCATATAAGTAGCTACCCTAAAATATGATAGTACTTTGTAAGACGCATGAGTCAAGAAGATGCATTATTTATTACTATACTCTATGCCTTATATCTCTGGGAACCAAAAAAGAAAGCAATCTGTTCTGCCTAGGGTTAGGAAGGCTTCATTATCACTACCTTCAAAAAGCTGAAACAGTCTTTCTGAAGCTTAAGAACTCCTGGACTTCAGACACTATGCCCATGAACCAAGTGGTTGCATTCTAATTAGACAAACAAAACATTAAAGTTCAGCACAGGTGGCAAAAGCTTCATTTACCAGGACTTCTCCCTCTGACATGAAATGTGCTCTAACGTTATTCTGTTCTATTTCATTGGCCGGGTGCAGTAGCTCACACCTGTAATCCCAGCACTTTGGGAGGCTGAGGTGGGCGGATCACTATTTCATTAAAATTAAAAAAAAAAACTGGCCTATTAAAGGGATTTCTCAAGTCTAACTAAACTATGACTCACAATTTGAGAAGCACCACATTAAATTATCTCTAAAGTTTCTATTACCTTAACATTTAAAATTTCAATTAATGCAATGTTCCAAGATATAAAATACCACAAAGTAGAAAGAAACAGAACTACCTCTAGTGCTTCAGTGGATAGTTGCTTTATAAAAAGGTTAGTGTTTCTTTTAGCCTTGATCAATATAAAAAAACAATAAGAGTAAGAATCATGTCAAATTTTTACAGAAAATGTATATCTTATGGATGGTCTTTGTAAAATAGTCTTTTTCCTTTTTAATATAACAGATAGCATATGGTAGCCATTAGTCCTCATCAAATGCTAAATGTAGGTCTAAAGATTCAAGACAAAGGAAGCTAGACTAGGCTATTACTAAATTTATTTTAACAGAAGTTCAGAAACAATTTTATAAAGACAACAATTTTTCAAAAAATTAGCCTTCATCTGATTCCTTAGGAAAACTCAAATAAACAAAGTCTGAACTGACATAATATCCAAATTAAAATTTCTGTAAAAAAGTCCACAATATTTGATAAAAACAGTCTATTTTTTTTTTGTCCTGAATCTATTTCCATAGACATGGAAATGTGACAGGATCTATCTACTATTACATCTCTGCACTATATTTCTTTCCCTTCTCTCATCAAACAAATCTGAATTAACTAAGCAGCTCTAATGCTAGGGTCAGGGCAGCTGCTTCCAGCTCCAATATTAGCCCCCTACTCCTAAAAGTGGAGGCTGACCTAGATTATTCAGAGACTCATTATAAATACTTGAAGCATCTTTTAAGGGATATAGTCACTAAATCAAAAGAATGTCACATACCTGTGGTATCTTCCATGGACAACTATCAAAATGCAATGGACATGATGATATCTAATAGAATTGTATCTCTAATAAAATGTCTTTAATGTATTCAATCCTTTAAAATATTTAGACTATACAGCCTAAAAGATGGGCACCCTGCTGTTTTTGAGATTTCCAAACACTAAATGGGAAGTAAAGGTGCTTTGTCCTAGACTCCTTGTTAATTATCTTATATATCCATTAGACTTTTAACTTAATATTTCAAAGTAGGTTGCTATGGATTAAAGTTTTGTCTCCACAAAATTCATATGCTGAAGCTCTAACCTTCAATATGACTGTATTTGGGGATAGGGCCTGTAAGGTGGTGATAAAGGTTAAATGAGGTCATACAGGTTGGACTTTATTCTGATAGGGCTGGTGCACTTATAAGAAGAAGAATAGACACCAGAGTTCTCTCTCTTTCCATGTACATGCATTGAGGACAGGCCATGTGAGGACGCAGCAAGGAGGTGGCTGTCTGCAACCCAAGGAGTGAGCCCTCACTAGACATTGATGCTGCTGGTATCTTGATCTTGGACTTTCCAGTTTCTGGACTATGAGAAAATAAATTTTGGTTGTTTAAGCCACCCAGTTATGGTATAGTGTTATGGCAGTCCAAACAGGCTAATGCATAGGGCAGTGTAATTTTAGTTGAAGGAGCTACAAGAATATTTCTTGTTGTTAAGTTCTCTTCAATGTACATGAGCCAATGTGATGCAAAAAACAATAAACAGAACTTGTAAACAAGGGCTCTAAGTTCAACTCTCGGCACTCCCCTCACTAGCTATGTGACCTAATGCTCCCTAAGCTAATTTTCTTATCTGAAAAGTTAACATAATAACACATTTCTTTCCAGGTTATTGTAAGGATTAAATCTGATGATGTTTGTCTATTTGTTAGATCGTTCATTCATTCATCTAACAAATATCCATTACTAAGGATGAGAAAACTCACACGTATACTATATTACCCTTTAATTTATCAGTCATTTCCGAGTTAAATCTTTTGTTCCTCAGTGAAATAAAATTTTACATGATGTCAAAAAAATCTATATGGAAAATATATAATAATAAATACAGGCAATATAATGCATGTATTGTAAATGTTCCTCAATTTACAATGAGGTTAGTTCCTGATAAACTCATTGTGAGTTGAAAATATTGTACATCAAAACTTACTTAATACACCTAACTACCAAACTTTATAGCTTACCCTAGTCTACTTTAAACATGCTCAGGAAATGTAGATTAGCCTACAGTTGGGCAAAATCATCTAAAGGAAAGCATGATTTATAATAAACTGTTGGATAACTCAGGTAATTTCCTGAATACAGTACACTGTACGGTAAATATTGGTTGTTTATCCTTGTAATCACGTGGTTGACTGGGAGCTGCAGCTTGCTGCCCCTGCCCAGCATGAGAGTATATTGTACCACAAATTGCTAGCCTGGGAAAAGATCAAAATTCAAAATTTAGAGCATGGTTTCTAGTGAATGGCTATTGCTTTTGTATTATCATAAAGTAAAAAAAAAAAAAAATCTTAAGTCAAAACATCATTAAGCTGAGGATCATCTGTATGTGTGTATATGTATATATGTATATGTATTCATACCTTCCCACACCTATAGAATCTTACCTCTTTGCTTTCTTCCAGATCCGATTCACTACTAAAGTCTTCCGTGTTTAAATTTTCAAAGTCAGATTCTCCTACAGCAATTGGTACAGTCACAGTAAGACTGGGGTTGTTTATGAATGACATGTAATCACTTTCATCAATAATGTATTTTTCAACACTGCTGCCAGTTCCTATACCACTTGTAGTTCCATTTACATCTTTAAGATAGTCAAGATCTTTCCCAATTTCTGCTGTATGATTGGACATACAACTGTCTTTCTTGTTGTTTAGATCATCAAGTGGTTTAATTTCATCTAAAATCTTTTGTTTCCTAATGAAGGACTGTTGAATAAATTCATATATTTTTCTTTTCACATAAGCTACTCCTTTGTGCATCCTATCCACAGCAATTTGGAGATTATTCATTTCATTATCATCATCAGTGGCTGCAAGGTTGTCTGCACTAAATGAGCTCAGAAGCAAGGCCAGAAAGAGATTCAGGACCTTAAAAACAACAAAAACATGATTATAATTTTACACCAATGTAGGGAAGAGCAGATTACAATCACTTATTCTTTCTTTTAAGTGTGGAAAAAACTCTAAGTTCTAAAACTTGATGAGAAGGAAACACCACAGCATAGTGATTAGAAGATGGGTGATCTGAATTTGTGACTGGCTCAATAGCACATCCTTGGACAAAGACATGATTTCTGTTGCTCTCAAGTTCTCCCATTCGTAAAGTGAAATTGAATGAGCTAATCTAAGGTTTTGTTAACTCTAAAATTGTATGAGTAGAAGAAAACAGATTTATATGTGTACAATACGAGAATTCTTAAAAATCACTAATGTTTCCAAGTATGCATTTAAATGCATTCTATAATTTTTCAATAAACAAAGATATTAAATTGGATGTCAATTGAAAAATAACCATTACAACTCAGAATGAAGATTAGGAGCTTAACATAGGCTGACACTTGTTTTCTTAATCTATTATATTTCTCATACTTCATTGTTGACTAAGTAGAGCTGTTTATGAATAATCTCTCATATTTCCATGAGACTGGCACATGAATGTACATACCTTTAGAATATTTTATGTATTACTATACTATAAACAGTAACACTCCAAATTTAAGAGAGATAAAGATTGATCAGTTACTCCATTATGGTAATCTCAGGCATCATTAGCCATTCGAGAACTGATGAACTCAGGTTGGCTAGTGCATCTGCCATATGACATAGAGTGATTGAATATCATATGCTGCAATGGGGCAAAGAAATGGCACAAGCATTATGAACTCTTAAAGACACCACTTTTTAGTCCTAGTCTGGATGGTAATTTTGCACTTTCTCTCTACTTTTTTTAGACTTCTCTCTTCCTTGGCTCTGAATTTATAAAATGGTCCCAGCACATCCTTTTAGGCTCATCTCAATATGATACTCTATTGTAATTCACATAAAAAATGTGATAAAGTGACTGACAAAATAGAATTTGGTATAAAAAATGCAGGGGCACTGCTATATTGCTGTGTTGTTAAAGTGATAATATATCCAAGGTAATGGACTTTTAAACCAATAATCATAGTTTGTTTTTCTTTTTGACAAAACAGTCACCATTAAATTATACTCTTTTTTTTTATTATACTTTAAGTTTTAGGGTACATGTGCACAATGTGCAGGTTAGTTACATATGTATACATGTGCCATGCTGGTGTATTTCCAAAATGCATATCTTAAGTGGGTACATACCACTAGGTTTCCAATCACCATGACCATCATGAAGACAGTAAGGCACATGGCTTGACCAGCAACCTCCATACAGTCCCACATGGTCTCTATCCACTCCCCACACAGCACGCGGAACACAATCAGGAAGGAGTGGAAGAAGTCATTCATGTGCCAGCGTGGGAGTTGACAATCACTGGCGATCTTGCAGACACAATCTTTGTAGCTTTTACCAAAGAGCTGCATGCCGACCACGGCAAAAATGAAGACGATGATGGCCAAGACGAGGGTTAAATTTCCCAGAGCCCCCACGGAATTGCCGATGATCTTTATTAGCATATTTAACGTTGGCCAAGATTTTGCCAACTTGAAAACTCGCAGCTGGAAAATGAAAGATTAATATATATTTGTATGATTCTTAAAAGCATTATATATATTGAGCTTTACCTAGAAATGGTCATTAGAATTCAATATCTTACAATATCTGATCTGCCCTAACCGTCTCAGGCTCATGGCTAATTTTTGGACTCCCTAGGAAAAGCTGGATTTTCCATATTTTAACCATGTAGATCATTTTCTCTGATGGTGAATTATTTTTCTTTCCTTTTCTTTTTTTTTTTCTTTTGTCACCCAGGCGGGAGTGCAGAGGAGTGATCTCGGCTCACTGCAACCTCTGCCTCCCAGGTTAAAGTGATCCTCCTGCCCCAGCCTCCCAAGTAGCTGGGACTACAGGCACGTGCCACCACACCTGGTTAAATATATATATAGTAGAGACGGAGTTTCACCATGTTGGCCAGGCTGGTCACGAACTCCTGACCTCAAGTGATCCAACTGCCTCAGTCTCCCAAAGTGCTAGGATTACAGGCATGAGCCACCAAGCCAGGCCTCTTATAGTGAATTTTTAATGAGTACTTGGAATCCAACTGTTCTTAATTTGTTTTATAAAGGTGGTTCTAAGGCCGGATATTATAATATTAACATCTGAATCTGAAATATCTCTGCTGAAAGATATTAATTTGCCAGTAGTGTGCAAAGTAACATCATACTGAGCCCTGATATAAGTAAAGTGTTCATTATTCATTAATGCTCCTTAGGGGTATTCATGTAGTTACATCCACCTGCATTGAAAAACTTGGAATATTTCCTATAATTCTACAATTATTTTCCTGACTTGTAAGGATATATGTGTGAATTAATGGGCATGCTTAGTAATCCTACAGACTTTCTCTCCTTTGACTTTCGCAAGATGCATATTTTCCAGAGACAGAATTAGAAAAAGTTTCTGCATGCACATCTTACATCTGATTTTCATCCACTGCTACAAAGGGCTATATATATTTTCAAGTTACTATTAAAAGGTGATGCATTTTCATTAAAAATATTTTCTTAGGTCTAGAAATATTAACTGTAGTAGTCTCTAGAAGCAATACTTAGTGAAAATAGCAACTGAGTAATACGTTAACTTTTACGTAACTATGTTCTTTGAAATAAAGGTTTTCATAAATAATTGAGAATTTTTTTCCATGTAGGAAAAGTTTTTGACAATGCAAATGTTACAGAAAAACTTACAATGCTAATGGTTGTGTGGCAAAAAAACTATGACATTGCTATGCAAGAACCCTGATTGTTAGAAAGGTTTTTGAATTTGGTGCTTTTTTTTTTTTTTTTTACCAATCGAAATGAACGGAGAACAGATAATCCTTCCACATTGGCGAGTCCAAGTTCTACCAGGCTAAGCGTCACAATAAAACCGTCAAAGATATTCCAGCCTTCTTGGAAATAATAGTAAGGATCCATGGCAATAATTTTCAGAAACATTTCTGCTGTAAAGATCCCAGTGAAAACCTAAGATCAAAACAAAATTAATCTAATTCCACCAGATAATAACATACATGACATAAGATTTGCTCTTAGAACATAATGCTTATGCTATTTTCCCACAATGATTCTATTACTAACTTAAATTTGTATGGCAATTTGTAGTTGATGAAAGACTTTCATATACATTATTTAATTTTATCCTTGTGGAAACGCGAAGTAGATAATATACAATTATTACTTTACAGATAAGGAAACTGAGGTCTTCAGATGGGTGAAATGGCTTGCTTGATATCATACAGCAAGAAAATGGCAAAACTAGGATTTGAGTACAAGTCATCTTTTTTTTTTTTTTTTTTTTTTTTTTTTTTTTGAGACGGAGTGTCAGTCTGTCGCCCAGGCTGGAGTGTAGTGGTGCCATCTTGGCTCACTGCAAGCTCCTGGGTTCACGCCATTCTCCTGCCTCAGCCTCCCGAGTAGCTGGGACTACAGGCGCCCGCCACCACGCCCGCCTAATTTTTTGTATTTTTAGTAGAGACGGGGTTTCACCATGTTAGGCAGGATGGTCTCGATCTCCTGACCTCGTGATCCGTCCGCCTCGGCCTCCCAAAGTGCTGGGATTACAGGCGTGAGCCACTGCGCCCAGCCCAAGTCATCTATTTTTAACAGTGCTCTTTCCATTATACCAAACTACCTTTTTGTCCAGACTTTATATACCACAAGTACTGACAACATTTTGCCCATGAGCACTTTTATTTATCTATAAGCTTATTCCTATTTCCCTCAATCAGAGTTATACATTCTTATCTATTATACTAGGTGCATTACTATTGTCATTCTTTGTTATGCACATGAAAAAAATAAATTTACTTCTGTAGTATAAATAGTAGAACTTCAAAAATATAACTAATAAAATGCAGGTTGTTATGCATGATGCTTTTGTTTTCTACCATCAAAAATCCTAAACTTCAAACCAAATATTACAGGAAATGCATAAATTACTTTAGATAGCTCTTTCCTTCAGCAAATAAAAGCTAGTATTCCTAAGTTGAGTTGACTGGCAAACACTTTAATAATTTATGTTTTTGAAGCACAAAAAGGAAAAATTAAGTGGCAATCTTCACCAAAAATGACCTTTGTAATCATATAACACACAAAATGTACTGGAAGTTTTCAATAGTTCATGGTTTTGATATAGAATAGATGGATAAACAATACATGTACTACTTAGATCCTGGAAGAGGAAAAGCTGGAGACATTTTTGAGTTGTTAAATTATTTCTTGCAGTGATGATGACTAAGAAGGATAAAAGAGATCCACAATTTTATTTTAATCTTCTACAGTAAGGGAAATTGTAATAATATCTCAAAAAGTATGTTCTTAATCTATGAGCTACTTCTGGATCCTGAAAAATTATAAATATTGCTGTTGACTTTTCAAGTAGTGCTGTAGGCCTATGCCTTTCTCAGTTTTTGTGAGCACATTAAGGGTGATTATTTTTGGCAAAAAAGTAGAGTATAGCCAGCTAAATATAATTGCGATTTTGCAGGGGCCAGGAAGCATGAAGGATGGTTGAAAGACTGCTATACACAATTAAATGTAAACAGTTTTTCAAGCAGAAAATTTGAAGACTAAACACATTTACCTTCCAATATGCTTACCAAGTTTCCTACTGTAAGCACATTATTGAAATGGTCCGTCATTGGATAGTGCTCCATGGCCATGAAAAGAGTATTTAAGACAATACAGATGGTGATGGCCAGGTCAACAAATGGGTCCATCACAACCAGGTTGACAACATGTTTCACTTTTAACCAATATGGAGAACAGTCCCAGATTAAGAATATGTTGGAAAATTTATACCAACAGGGTGGGCATTTCTGCCTGGATTCTTCAAGTTCTAGATTAAGAAAAAAAAAAAAAAGAACCACCAAAAGGTATACTTTATACACACACATTTATTTCATATCCACTAAACTTATTTTCAGTAATCAACACATTTTTGTTACAGAGACAACCTTTTTTGTACTTGTTAAAAAAATTACAGTTTACTCTAAACCTCCCAAGGATATTTCATCAGACACACACATAGAGCCCAGGTAACAATGGGTAGTTTTTTGTCTTATGCACTGACATTGTGGCTCAGCACTTGGCCTCAAGTTAAATGAGTGGTCTTTCATGTGACGTCTCAATGGGAACATGGTTTAGGGTGGTGTAGATATTGTGTGTGCAACCCTATGTGAATGACTCTACATTGTCAACCTCAGACTATGAGAGCTAGAATAGGGATTGATGTGACCCAAGAATCATCTTTTTAGCTTGTTTTTATTTTGTGAAAATGACCTGCTCTTCCTCTACAATCTTGAGAGTACTTAGGATGAGGCTGAAAAGGGCTGTACTGCTGAAGTCTTAAACTAATGGAACAAAAAGAGGGTCACTATGACTAATGAGATTAGAAACCCCTAACAGAAATGCTTTGTTCTGCATTTTCAAAGAGTTGCTACACAGTTAGGAAAACATTCTTAGTCCCAATATCACTCATTTTAAAATAAATTGTTAAGGCTTCTAGAATATCTGAGTAGATATAAGAAATAACAGCTCTTGAATTAGACTGTCTTTTCATTAGAATGCACTATTCCCAACTCACAAATATATTTGTTTGAAATGAGACAATATAAGTTTGGTGAAAATAATTGAAACGAAAATAGAATTTGTTACCAACCTTCTACTGTATTTGTTAGAATGCTGGCTATACTCATTGCTCGTTGCCTTTGGGAAGGATCTTCTAGAAAGTCCATGGAAACGTGGAAAGAACTTGACCTTCTCTTTCTCATTTCAGTTTCAGTGGTTGTTCCCTGTAAAAAAAAATGCTAATGCATTAAACAATTAATTTGAGCAATATGACAAGCAAACAACCAAATGGTGACACAGTGAATTTCATGAAACACATGCATCATGCACTTTCATATTCAATTGGTGATGGCAGATATTTCTGACTTATTGTATCATTAGCCTGGAATGTTCAAACTGTTAACCATTTAGTCATACAGCAAAAACCAAGATGTTAACTTCCTGATTTCATAATTTTATAAAATACAAAATAATTTTAATATAGTTGATAAAACTCTTAAGAGATATATTTAACAGTTATTACCCTTATTTCTGAACTAATAGTAAAAGCCTAGTAACTTAAAAGTCCTACAAGTGATCAAGGCACTTGATTTTTGAGAAGGTAGCTATTTAATTTTAAGGAAGTATAAATGATTGCAACACACTTAGCTGCCATCTTATTTTCTGGACACAAGATGTAGATGGTCATTGACAACACAAACTCTATGTTAAAAAGAACACACACATGCTGCATGGACAACAGTTTCATCCAGGGTACCAAAGCAATAAGTCATCTAATTCTGACTTAGTCATGCCTCCTCATGCTGATATATTTCCAAGTGAGTAAACAGTCTAAGAAGAGGCAGCATCTGTTTAGAAATTCCTCATCTGAGTATACATCCACAAACACATAACATACCTTTGTACACAGACAATTATTTTATCTGTCTGTATTAATAATGTATTTGTGTCTCTTCATTTAATTTTGAGAAGACCTATATCAGCATTTTTTAGTAAGAAAAATATGAGTACTAGGAGTATTAAGGTAACAATGAAGCTATCTACTTAAGCAGTGTTTTTGAAAATCTAAACTAAAGCAGAGATCTTGAAGAATCCATTGGAAAGATTTATTACATACCCTTGACACTTAAACATAGAATCATTCATTTACTTTCATACCAGAGCCTTGGAGAATGTCCTGCTATCTAAATTCAGTGTGGGTATATAGCAAATCCTCCAACTGGAGGCAGTAATTATTGTGTCTAATCAATCCTTAGCACTTTTAATAAGTAAATGCATTCAGGTTTGTGCAGGAGACTGCTAAGGTTTTAAGTTTTAGTTGGTTAGTCTATTAAAGATATTACAAGATGCAGGTGCATTCACAGCGTGACCAACCAGGAATCATTCTCAAGGTTGCCGTTCTGTAGAAACACTGGCTGGTGCAGCAATAGTGAGCCAGCCATGCCTGAACTATTTAAAACTTCCTTACATTGTCATCAGTAGCTGGCTTATCTATTATCACCTCTGGCAGAAGCTGTCCAACAGGCGATGTAGGAACTGAAGGTCCACCAACCAAGGAAACCACACCATTGCAATCCACAGTGCTGTGCATCTTCCCATTCGCTGGAAACACTGCCAGCATCCGGGATGACCTACTGGTCTGACTCAGGTTGCTGTTGCGTCTCTCTCCGTGTCGTCGGGGCACAAACAAGGAATCTCTACGGCTCTCGTTATCCTCAAAGGTGCTGTGCTCATCATCTGCGAAGTCGTTCTCAGATCCCACATCCTTTGCTCGCCCTCTAAAGCTGAAAAGGCTTGTTCTGCTATTTCGCCTTGGTGAAAATAGGGAGCCACGGATGCTCAACAAAGACTAGAAGTTTGAAAGAGCAAACAAATAAAGTCATATTAATATGGACATTTGAATGTGATTTCATTTTGCAAGATTATGTAGAAGGAGATTTCAGCATTCATAACAGAATATGGTTCATTCCTTTTGATTATCATTCTCATTTTATGTGCATTCACATTAAATTAAATTACCTTGATAAAAGAAAGTTTCTAGCCCTTGGGATTAAAGAATGAGGAGATAGATTGCAACCTTAACATATTGAAACACACACACACACACATACACACACACCCTGAACGACCATTTCTCAAGTTCAAAGGGAAACATCCTTAGAATATGGCAATGGACGTGGTAAACATTCAGTGAACACTGGCACCATGACCTTAACAAGGCCACCTTGGTTTTTATGGATCTTGTCTTTCAAAAACTTTCAACACTCCTCACAATTTACTTTAGTCCACCTTTCTAAAATCACTTTAATTATTATTTCTTTTTCACCTATAAGGCATTGTATTGTTGGAACTTGAAGTTCATACTTCTGAAATTCAGAGTCATGTGCCTTTTGATCAAGTGTACCATGACTAATATTTTCAGAAGCATGCATGGTGACTTATAAAGAAGTTAGGGGGAAAAAAAACATAAAATCATAAAATAACCTAAGGACATTCCTGATCGACTATCCGGAGTTCCACATTTTTTTTTTTCTTAAAAGTGCTGAGGATCAAAAAGATTAAATGTCATTAGTTATAGACAAATATCAGCAGACAGTATCAGAATGACAGTCCAGTTCTCCTGACTGTCAACTTGGTGTTATCTTAACTACACCGAGCTGTAGACTTACATATCTGTGGAGTAAAGTTTTTGCATAACTATGTGAAGAAGGGATGGGTTTAAATATAACACAACAGTGGTTGATTCAGTTGATAAAAATTCCTGAGTCCATTTTCTAATTCTCCCCCTCTCTCCCATGTTTTAATTTTCAACCATGCATCAGTAAACTCAGCAGTGCCATACCTGGTGTGGGGAGGAGTACCTCTTTTCATATGTCAATCGGTTCCCTTCAATGGAGAAGCGAAAACCTTTCCTCCTGATGCTGTCCTCAGATTCAGATTTTTGGAATTCATCCTCATCTTTCTCTTCCCCACCAGACTGCTCTTTCTGTTTTCTTTTCTTCCTCCGATTTCTTCTTTCCTTAGCACTCTTGGAACTCAACTTAGAGGCTTCAGATGAGCTGTCTGAGAGCCTGCCTGCTGCACTGGGCTCTCTGGAATGTTCTGAGGCAGTTGCCGTTGCTGCCTGCTATATTGAAGAGAAATGATTTTAACATAGCACCTGAAGAGACTGTATCTTTCTTTGAAAGGGCTGAAGTATTTGCATGGCTTTTAAAAAATATATTGAACTGACTGAAGATCATCTCACAGAGAAGATTCTCTGCAAGTATAAGAGGAGATTTTTTTTTTCTTTCTACCTAATGAAGGCTTTTGGAGATAATTTAGTTTGCTCCATGGTAACATTTATTATGTCTCTGTTAATGCTCCACAGACCACGTATTCAAAAATATCCAACATGTATCAACAAGAAAATAAATTCATTACTTTTTGGGATTTGATTTACTTTAAAAATTGGTATTTAATTAGTGTTGTTTTCTTTTCTCCGAAAAAGAAACTCGAGTATGGAAGAAAAGCTGATGAGTTTAAGGCAGGGGAATGGGATAAGGACCTGAGGTCCTTTCTCTAGTTATTGAAATTGGATTGTCCAATACCCTCAAAATATTATTAATCCTATTTATGGACAGTTATAAAATCCCTTTCTCACCCATCCACAATATCCAGAAGAATGGGGAAGGGAGAATCAATAGTTTCTGCTGAGCAAGATAAGACATCCAGTTCTCCAAAAACTGTCCCCACCATCTTCAAATCAGTACTGGTTCTTAAGGGGCACATGGGCATGGAATAAAACAATGCTTTTTGATTATAGCTTGTACTGGTACTAAGTTGACACTTTTTTATTATTATCATTGTTCCCAGGGTAACCTCGATAAATTAATTACTCTTGCATATAAATTAATATTTCTGAAACAACTTTCTTCTTTAGTAAAGACAATAAGTTTGTATGCTAAACAGAAAGATGAGAGAGATAGGAGAGGCATTTTATGATTTATCACACTGTGAGGACTAACACTTCACTATAAAAACAAGTAATCCTTTTTAGATGGTCAATCTGTGTAAGATTGGTAACATTCATATGTCTATTGGATGCTGCTGTATCAGAGATCATTATATTATTTGATCACTTCCTTATAAAGGTAATAAAGCAACCACGTTAAAAGCCAACATATTTTTAGTTAAAGAAAAAAGGAGACTATGTTTAAGAACTAGAGGAGCAACTCTTCATATGATAACCAATAATTTCTTGTTCTAAGAAAAGATGATTTCCTCCTAATGCCAGTCTACTCATTGAATAAAAGTCTCTCACTTGAAAATACCCCAAAATAACATTTTCCCTTTACTTTGAGAATCTTAAGATGATTAAAATAGCATGAGAGAGTTCTATTGTGGTTATTATTATACACATCTCAAATAAAATAATTAAACTAAATAAAAGTAAGTGGATCATCAAAATATAGAAATCATTATTAATTCCTCATACAACCACCTGCTCTTAGGTACTCACTTTCTCTTCAATATTACGTAACAATCAGAACGATAAAAGGTCAGTGCCATGAGACAGGGCAGCTTTACCTGAGCTGCCTCCTGTTGCTTTTTAAGCTGTTCAATCATCTGCTGAAATTCGGCCTCTTTCTGTTCTGCTTCTTCCAAGGTGGCCTGATTCTGTTCCTCGTAGGCCATGGCCACCACAGCCAGGATCAAATTTATTAGGTAGAATGAGCCCAAGAAAATGACCAATACAAAAAATATCATGTACGTTTTCCCAGCAGCACGTAATGTCTGCAAACAAAAATATCAGAATTATTTCTCAATATTATTTCACTAAGTGGTGGCTTCAACTTTCAATTTACTCATGTGTCTAGCAAAACTCAGATATAAATAGTAATTATGTTGGTCATAGCACCCTGTACTTTTTTTTTATTGTTTCTTTAACTTCAGCTTCTTCCTTCTCTTCTAGCTTATGCATTCACACTATGATTTCTATGGCAGAATTTTTGTATTCACCAAGAATGAAACAGTCAATAAAATGCCATGGAGTCCTCCATTAACGACCTGAGCCTTTAGGAAAGTCAAGGAACAGACCAAAGTTATCTTTCTATATCTGCTTTTTCATTTTCATTACTTCCCACCTGAGGGATAATATTTGAGGGGGTAGATAGGGCTGAAGGGAGAATGTGCCTTCTGTTTAGGACAATCTGTGTCTGAGAAGGGTAGGGAACAGGTTTTGAGCCAAGAAGAAATGGGAGAGAATTGCAATCCTTGGCATCACTCTGCTCAGTATGTGTTATAATCAATAGGATAGAGGAACTCAAGTCTCGTTTCAAGTTCTGCTCTTTCTACTATATTATCATCCGGTTTTAATTTCATAACTCAATTGGTTTTCTTGTATACTTTTACTTAAATGGAGAGTGTGGCTCTTTAGTTCTCACCAGTTGATAAAGATTTTCCCAGAAGTCCTGAGTCATTAGTCGAAACAAGGACAAAAAAGCCCAACTGAAGGTATCAAAGCTTGTGTAGCCATAATTGGGATTTCTACCAGCTTTCACACACATATATCCCTCTGGACATTGGCTGCAAGTGGGGTAAAAGAAAGTATTACAAGTCGTTCTGCTGCCTTTTTACTCTGATACTATGCTATGATATTGCCTAGTCAGAAAGATTTGGTATTTCAAAATAAAAGTTTGACAAATAAGTAACTAATCTATTTCCCAACTTTTGACTGCATATAGTCTTATTAGCTACTTGGTGTCATCATTAAAATATGGTGCAGCATTTCTAATAATATTTTACAAAATAATTTTTGTTGATAATTTGCATTTTCAACACCTCCATTTCATTTTTACTACTATGGAGTCTCCAGAGTTTATAGCTCAATATACTTATCTAAAAGAACAACATTGTTATTATTATATACTCCTAAAAAAGTAGGAACAGGATTACTCCTCTTTTTGTATGTTTGCTGTTATATACAGTAGGTGTTTAATAGATATTTTTCTCTTTTTTTATACTTTTATTTGAAGTTCAGGGGTACGTACATGTACAGGTTTGTTATATAGGTAAATGTGTGTCATGAGGGTTTGTTGTGTAGATTATTTCATCACTGAGGTATTAAGCCTAGTACCCACTAGTTATTTTTCCTGATCCTCTCCCTCTTCCCACCTTGCACACTCTGGTAGGCCCTAGTGTGTGTTGTTCCCTATATGTGTCCATGTGTTCTCATCATTTAGCTCCCACTTATAAGTGAGGACATGCGGTACTTAGTTTTCTGTTCCTGCAATAGTTTGCTAAGGATAATAGCCTCCAGTTCTATCCATATCCCTGCAAAGGACATGATCTAGTTATTTTTTATGGCTGCATAGTATCCCATGATGTATATGTACCACATTTTCTTTATCCAGCCTATCATTGATGGACATTTAGGTTGATTCCATGTCTTTGCTATTGTGAATAGTGCTGCAATGAACATACGTGTGCATGTGTCTAAAAGTATTACTTCTTGTTTTAGAAAACATAAATCTTACCTAATATTTACATAATCTCATACTTTATCAAAAACCTTACATATAGCAAATTAATGTCAATAAAATTAGTTGGCTGTTATCTTCAGTTTCTATAAAAAGAGAGAAAAGATACACATATGTATGTGTACATACAAATATACACAGATACACACAAATTATTGACTTACCCTGCATCAGAGCTATTTCCACATAGTAGTGCATCTAAAAAACCCTCCAGGAAATAATGATATCCTGTTTGAAAAAAGAAAGTCGTATGATGAACATTTGCATTGTTAAAAACACTCAAATGAGAACAGGAAGGTCAGGTTCTACTTTTAAGTTTATTGAGTAATTTTAAATATATTATTCATTCAAAGGCACAAGTATTTGTCTCTTCTCCCTCTAAATTCTAGATATTCTATTAGATACTTTACAGTGCAAAGTATTTCTTCATTATGAAGAAATGACATTAGATTAGATACAGTGCAAAGATACTTTAGACACTTTACAGTGCAAAGTATTTCTTCATTATGAATGTAAAGTTAGTGATAATGACAGGTACTAACATAATCTTTCAAAAAGGTATTAGCATTTGTTCACCATTCTCACGAAAAAAATTCATTCAGTAAAAATAGACAGGAATGACAGGAATTTCTTTGTTTTTGCAAAACAGCCACATATTTCAAAATAAAAGAATAGTATATTTTCTGGTCCTCTCGCCTATATTTTTAACACTATACATTTTAATAATTAAGTATAACATATTCTCACATTTTGCAGAATATAGGCAACTTATAGTAAAATATGCATAAATCATATCAACAACTGAAATGAAAGCAATTTTAAAAAGTCTTAAATACTAAAGCTAAAATAATGACTATAGGTGAACACTACATTATCTCAAAGATTCCTGTTTCTTGCAAACTCCTTGGCTTCTTGCAATGTCCAGTTCTTCTATAACTTTTTCCTTGGTATTTTCAACTTTCTTTCTACTAAATATTGACATAATTAAGAACTCCCCTCACTGTGCTACCAGTAACCTGTATATACTTGAATTATTCTTAGGATGACACTACTATATTGTAATTATTTATTTACAAATATTCCTCCTAGAAAGTCCCAATCATTAATTATTTCTATATTAGTGTTTGTTTGAGACCGGGTAGCCTTTCTGTAAAGTTTATTGAATGAATAAGTAAATAAAAGACAAAAAGAGAAAAACATGGAATTAAACAATCAATGTTGGATTTTGTAAGAAGATATATTTTCTAGATGCTAAGTTTTCTGAGGAATTTATTCCATACATAGTTCTGTACAGGACACAGAAGCACATAAGGAAAAATATCATTTTTATTTCTAATATTCTGACTTCCTTGAACCTAGACAGGAAAGTTGACATAGTATTTCCTAACTTTCAATTAAAATTAAACAAAGAGAAAGGACTATAATAGTTTCTGGATGAATTTTTGATATCTCATATTTATAAATGAAGTTTTGCCCATTAAATTCAATGATCTAACCTTAATGATCAGCCTTAACCTGAGGAAAATATAATTTTTCAGTTATAATAGTTACCTTTAATTTTAATAAATTTAATTTTCTATTATTTTCAGAAATGAACCATTTTATTTATATTTGCATTTGGTTTAAAATAAGAACCATAGATGTTTAGAGCTGAAAATGACCTCAGATATTATTTTACTTCGAGTATTGGAAAAATGCAGTCCAATAAATTTTCCCTAGAGAGAATAAACCCTAAATAACCCTCATAGTCAGTATTTTGAACTTAGATAAAACAAACAAACAACAGATTTCAGGGAGCTGGTGATTGAAGTGGACCTACTGGCATTCGTATCACCAGCTACTAAGGAGGCTGAGATGGGAAGATGCCACCACACCCAACTCATTAAAAAAAGTATATATATATATATATATATATATGTGTGTATATATTTTTTTTTTGTAGAGAAGGGGTCTCACTATGTTGCCCACACTGGTCTCAAACTCCTGGCCTCAAGTGATCCTCCAGCCTCAGCCTCCCAAAGTGCTAGGATTATAGGTGTGAGCCACTGCACCCAACTAACATTTTCTATTACTGTCTCCTGAAGCTTTATTAACTGTAATTTTCTTCTTTTTAATGTAATACTACTTTTTAAATATAAGAATAAGATTTACTTTTAGGTATCACTTTATTTCCTTAAGGTAATAAAATAATCTATTAAACTATAACACTCTGAAGCCATGCATTACCTCCATTATTTTCCCCAGTGTACTATACAGTTTCTGATACATTAAAGACATTGTGTAATTAATGTATAATGAGTTACATTTGCATAGTATTGTAGAATTCGCAAAGGGCATTCACATATTTTATCTCCTTTCATTATATCAATCACCACAGGAAGAATGTATAGCAACCAAGGATCCTAGGAAAATTCTTTCTAGCTGAATTCTTCAGCCTTCCAAATGATGATAAAATAGAAAGTGGCATTTAGGAGTCAAAACTAGAGTAGTTATGAACAAAGTTGTTAAATGTATGTGGAAGCCATTGATAAGGTGATTAACAAAATTCTTCTTTTAGTTCCAGAAATATAAATAATCTATTATTTAAAATCCAGGGGGTAGAAATACCAAATAAAATATAATTTTAAATATTGTTAAATAGTTTGATTAGGTAATTTTCTAAAAGATCACGTCTTGTTATGTAATCATTTAAAAATATTTTTCATTCCTAGATGGAAGGCACATTAGCAATGAAAAGACCAAATATACATGATAGTAATTCTTTTTTAGAGGGTGTTTTATTTATTTCATTAGTTTTAAATTTTAAATTTTAATTTTTGTGGGTACATGGTAGGTGTTTCTATATATGGGGTACATGAGATGTTTTGATACAGGCCTGCAATGTGTGCTAATCACATCATGTAAAATGGGATATCCAGCCCCTCAAGTATTTATCCTTTGTGTTACAAACAATCCAATTCTACTTTTTAAGGAAATGTACATAACAATAATTCTTACTTGAATCTTGAATATATGACTTCCAGTCAAACTCAAAGACAGTTTCATTTATAAGTGTACCATTATAATTCACAGTTATATTCTTTTCTATACTATGTTCCTCCAAGGAAGCATTGGTGGGAGGCCATTGTATACATTTATTCCTCAGGTTGCCCATGAACAGCTGCAGCCCAATTAGAGCAAATACGCTCAGACAGAACACAGTCAGGATCATTACATCTGAGAGCTTCTTCACAGACTGGATCAGGGCTCCCACAATGGTTTTCAGGCCTGAAAGAAAGAAGTCTATTACTATGAAGACTTAACACGTGTGAAATAATAAAAGCTTCACACAATTTTCTTGAAAACATAGATTTCATTCATAAATCCAAGAATGTTTGCAACGCTAGTGGAGAAGCAACACTTCATTGAAGGGGAAGAACTTATGAAGATAAACTCCAGAAATGTAATGATTTAAACAATGAAATGAAGATTCATATCCCATTATGTCGAGATAGAGTAATGGAAGGTTCATGTTCTTCATGGAGCCTATATTAAGGAAAGGGCCTTGTCTTTTTCCTTTTTGCTACTGAAACTTGTCTCATATTTTCATTAGGGTCAGAGGTCAGTTTTATAACAAAATACCTGAATAAATATTTTAAAATTCCTATTTATAAGTAGGAAAGATTTTGCTGTACAACCGAAAATGGTCTGCAGTATAATTGTGCCTTAAGATAATAAATCCTCCATGCAGACTCACACTATTCTTTATTGTCTTATTCCCTTCTCTTTTGTTAGCAAAAAACTTAGAAGATTTGCATTGTATACACATAGTCATTAATGACTCTAATGAATAAGAAATTACAGATTGGTACATTTAAAAGGGAGCAAATTCTCGATAAAACTAACATGGTGAAAAAAAAAAAAACCCATGATATTTGTAAGTGCAGGTCACCTTGACCTCAAATTACAGTATCTCACATAAGACATTGTTAAACTCCAAGGCTGATAAAGCTTATGTCTAAACAATAAGAATCATTTTCTTTGAAACACCTAGTCTTATGATTCCTGATTTTCTGTAAAACTGAATGTCAAGCAGAGAAGGATGCTGAATCACATGATGGGTCCGTCTCATTATCTAACCTTGCTCTCACCTGGAATGACTGAAATCGTCTTCAATGCTCGGAGAACTCTGAATGTTCTCAATGCCGAGACATTGCCCAGGTCCACAAACTCTGTGACGTACCTGTAATAGGGAGTTCACACACAAACACAAAAACAGGACACAAAGAAAAAGCTGTAGGTACAAAGAGCCTATCCTTTACTCTAATCACTTCTTACCTGGAATTACCGAAATAGTTTTCAAAGCTCTCAAGACTCTGAAAGTGCGAAGAGCTGAAAAATTGCCTAGGTTTACAAATTCTGTTACAAACCTGTAGAATTAAATCAGAATTATTCAAGATTTTAGCAGGATTTATATTACTTGCATGGGTCTTTTATAAAGACCTTCTTGGTGATTTTAAATGATAAATATTATAAGTGGTAAATCAGGAATTAGATTCCATCATTAATCTTTGTTCACATAATTTAAGGCCATTAGCTAAATGTAAACTTCATAAAGTAGACACCCTTGTTGTCACTCTGGAAAGCAATGCAACCAACATCATGTGTAACTTGTAAAAAGAAAGTAAATCTTGGCTATGGTTTAGGGTTTTAGTTAGAAAAAAATATATGAAATCACCCAACAGAAATTTAGGCATGAAAAGGCAGTTTGCCTTACTGCTTTTATATATGAGATAAGATTTTCCTAGTGTAACTTTTAAATAAAAGTTAAGCAAATTAAGAACAATACTTGATGAGGGTCCAATGCTGCGCCTATTGTTACTGCCATTTTGTTCTTAAGAAATAGAAGTCCTGTAGGCCTTCTTTTGAGCTGTGACCAGAGAGCCTAGCAAAGAATTGGCTCATCCTGATCAGATAGGAAATTAAGACCAGACATTCGGAGTCCTGAGTGTATCAGTGCCACCTCTCCTGCTCCTATCCACTACATCACAACTGTTAGAGGCCAAAAAATCAGCTCCTGAAGGAAGGATGAGGGTAAGTGTTGTTGGGCTGCCTCCTTCTACACTCTACTTTCACTTAGTCTGGAATGGTTTTCTATTATTTTTCTGGGTCTCTTCCTGAGGAAGTTTGCCACTAGAAAAAAAAGCATTGGGGTGCATAAACTGTGCATATTACTGAGTGGATATGAATAGGAGATAAGGATAAGGAAGTTTATGTTCAGACTAAAGAGATGAAGAGAGCCATAAAAGGAAAGAAGAAAAGAAGAAAGAAAAGGGGTCAGGAGAGAAACAGAAAGAGGCAGAGAGAATGTATTCCTCTACAGGTCTTAGAAATCAGTAATTTAATATATTAAAAACATAATATTTCAAGTATCTTCTTTCTTCTCTTAGTTTGATTTGTCAGATCGTTTTGATGCTAGTAGATACTTACTTTCAATTATTTTACCAAACCAATAAAAGAAGCTGTGTGTAATATCAGCAAGGTCATTGCAAATTTGTGTAGCCAATAGAACTGTTTTGTGGCTGTAATTTTTAAAGTTATTTTCACAGATGTATTACAAATATGCTTGTGTTTTGACATTAGATTGTGTGTGTTCATATGTGTGTGTGTTTGTGCATGTGTGTGTGGAAGAGTGGCATATGTGAAATTTTCTGACTGATGCTACGTGTGAAAATTGTAGTTTTCAACTACTGCAAAGCCTTCATGCTATAGTGAAATTCCACTTAGACCTTTGTTGTGCTAAATTGAAATCCAGAGTTTGAATGTATAAATCACACCAAAATATTCTACAGGTAAAGCAAACCTATTCTTAAAAGCATAAGCACTGATGGAAAACCAAACTATGTTCTCTCTTAAAGTTTCAAAAAAGGCACTTACGCAAATGTAATGACAGTGAAATCGAGCCAGTTCCATGGATCCCGAAGGAAAGTAAAATCTTCTAAACAGAATCCCCTTGCAATAATTTTTATAAGTGATTCAAAAGTATATATTCCTGTGAAGGTGTATCTGAAAACAAGCATCCAAAAAATTTGATAAAGTAACAGTGTTTTTTCATAGCATACCAATTTCTTATCACTCCATCAGTGGAATAGATAAATACTAAAAAAGAAAACTAAGCAGATGGATTTTAATTTCATACAAATGAAACGTAGCCCTAAATTTAAATTCAGCTTCCTAACACAAAGAGTTGTTTCGTAAAGTGTCTTAAGAGTAGTGTGAGAAATACAAGGTATATGAAATCTATTTAGCCATTGTCTGAAATGTCTTGGTATTTATGTAAATATAGTCTCCTGAGAAATATTTAGTATGTTTACATGATGGAATAGCCAATCAATAATATTGCAGAAGCATGAAATGATTTTCTTTTAGGGAAAAAAATCTCAAGTTTAATAGTGTTCTAAGAATGAGAGGAAACTGACAAATTAGCACGTGTTTTTTTTTTTCTACAAGATAATTTAACTTGCTTGGAACAAGGACTTCTTTAAAATCAAAGTAAATACTTCTAGGGTTATAAGAAGTAAAAATTTAATTTAGAATAAAATTCTTCTGATAATTCAGAAACTTAGGTGTTTCCAAAGTTTAAATCTTCTACTCAGAAATTGGGGTGTGAGAGTGGCATAAAATCACAAGAAAACTAGGGCGACTGAAAACCTGTGGGGCCTCCCATATTAGCTTCAATACTTTAGAATTTTTTTGTATATAAAATTTATTATTTTCTTCAAGATGTCATGTTTCTTATTGGTTTCAGCCTGGAAGTGTCTAGGAAAGGAGACACTCTTGGAAATAGGTTGGTGCAAATGTTGGTGGACACTCTTGGAAATAGGTTGGTGCAAACATTAGCTTCAATTGAAGGTAATGGCAAAAACCACAATTATGTTTACACCAACCTAATACTTCTGTAGTTGCTATGGGTCAGCAGCTGTATAGTAACAGGCATTACAAATAGGAAGTGTGGGCAGGTGAGCAGCTATGGTTAGAGTAGCCCAACTTCAGTTATCACAAATCTGGCCTCTGTGCTTCGAAGGTATCCCCAGAACAGAGAGATCATCAATATAGTTAGTAATGCTTCTGGTTTCTGAAAGCTCTACAAAAAGTTCCACTTCTGTTAGTTTAGTCTTCAGTCTACTGAATTTTCAAGTTCTACAACCCTGAAACTTTGGATTATTTTTCAATTTGTTGGTGACCACGCTTGGAACTATATTGGCCTGACATGAAGTGAATGTGCCTGATGGAAATGAAAACTTTGCGAGGTTCAATGTTGTCTTCACATGGCATTTGTAACTAACCCTTTTTGATTCTTGATTCAATGTATTTATCTGGAATTTAACTGGAACCAATGTCTACCATATTGGCTCTTTTCTGCAATTGCTTTGACCACATTTGGTTTGGCTACTGTAGATTTTAAAGAAAAAGGGGTAAATGTCCAAGAGTGGTGGTCTTCAGGTGAACACCAGGTACAGGCAAAAGAGAGTGATAATCAGTATAACGCCAGCAGGCCTGAGGGCCAATGAGCATTGTCCTCTTGCTGCGTAATTTTGTCTAGGAATGACTTTAATAAAATGCTCTTCAGTTTTATTTTAAGACTACATTAAGACACAGTTTCAAAATCCCAAATGTATATATGTTATTAAAAATATAAGTTGAACTTACTCTACATTCTTTGTCCAATCAGGAGGGTTACTCATTGTCATAAACACACAGTTTGTCAAAATAGTGCACATAATTAGCATGCTGAATAATGTAGGTTATTGTTAAGGAACACACAAAAGAAAATCAAAATCCAAGTGTTATATTACAAAAAGCTAACATTGAAAAGCCCAAACTGCAGCTTAGCCAAAATTCAGGGATAAATGCATTGTGGGCAAGTCTTCTAATCTCCTTACATTTCAATTTCTTCATGTGTAAAATGTGGGTAATAATATCACCTTCACTGAGTATTTGTATAGATTAAATGAGGTAATGTATATGAAAGCATTATATCAGTATAAGGTGTTGTTTTTACAACTATTATTAAATCAATATATTCACCTCCCAGAGAACTTCAGTGGGAAGACTATTTTTGTGCTACCTGGAGTTGCACAGTTTTTCAGCAGAAAGTATTGACTTGAGCTCATTCAGGTGAATAAACTAGTAAATTGTTGAGGAAGGCCACTTATCTGCAATATTGTAATTTCTTAAACACATCTTATCCAACACAGTTCAACGCATGAAAACAATTTGTAGTCAAAGTACAGCACGATGCTAATTGTTGGGTTGCTCTATTTTGACTGAGTTTATACAAGTGCAGCAGGATTCGATAACATTAAAAGTGAATATTCTTGAAGGTTGACACTTAACATGATGGGAATGTAATTAAAATTCAACATAGCAAAGTGATGTTGGCCAAGAGACTCAACCTCTCTGTGCCATTGCCTTGTATCTCTTCCTACTTCTCTACAATGGAGCTAATAATGTACTCATTTTGTAATGTAACCATTTCTACATGCAGATTAAATGAGTTAATGTATTGGAAATGCTTGGAACAGTCACGGTACGTAAGTAAATATACTCTAAGTGGTAGCTAAAACAAATGAACAGACATAACAGAATTATAAAACTGAAAGGGACCCTAAAAATTAGTTTATCACTATATTTTAAAAATCAGGGAAATAAGGCCTTACTAAGCTCTAGAGGAATCAGATAAAGGGTCCAGGACTAGAATATAAGTTTCCTACATTAAGATCCAATATTCTTTCCACTATAGTTTACTGCCAAAACAAAAATTTTCCATAATTGAAAAAGAAAGTTTTCATCAAATGACCACATGATGGCGCTAGGAATACAAACTGGGACAAGGAAACTTCCCTAAGTATAAAAACCCTATCATATGATTTTTATGTTTCAAATCTTTTAATTTTAGTAATAGCATATTTATACCACTAAAGAAATTTCTTGCTGTCATATTAAAATTAGAATGGCCGTTCAAATTTTAGAATCCTTTAAAAAAAAGTATGAGCTTATGATAATTATAATGGTATTTTAATATCTATTATTGTCAAAGCTATCAAACAAGATACAATCAGAAGTGAATTGTTTTCCTAAATTGATTAACAAATGAATTTAGTCGTGGAGTCCTTTTTAACACCAATGGGAATCATGAAACCAAATCCCTTAAGACCATTTGGAAATATATGCCAACTTCTCTCATTAACTTCCGGAGTCTTTACTAAGCAAACAGTTTTGCATGGCAGCATCATAACTCATGACTTGAATTTGAAATTCAGCCAATATTCCAGTACTTCCTTCACAAAAATCATCAGGAAATTTCAAGAATTAACTAAGTACTGGCCAAAGACTCCTGACATTCTCTGACAGAAAATATACTTAAAGGTTTATTCTAAGATACACTGAAGTGTTTTATATCATAACTATGGATAAACTTGAGTCTGGAAGTAGATTTTTCTGTTATCATATCATTGCTCACTGAAAATTCTACACCATCACAAACTTTGTATAAAGATGGTAGAGGTAAACATGGTTATCTTACTTTAGATTTGTAGGATTCAATACATATAAGTGTTTTTAGAAAGATAACAAAAGTACATAAATACATGTTTATATATAATATATAAAATGTTAAAGAGTACATGTTTCAGTAATGTCTATGTGATTAATGAACTTTAAGAATGAGGCTAATATGACAAAGATGCAAAATGAGAGTGATGAAAACTATATAATATGGACATTTCCCAACTTAATTTGATATTTAGCTATAAAGTGCTTACAGATCATGTACAAATAGTTAATATTAATCACTTGAAAAAGGATATGAATGTACCAAAATCTTAATAGCTATTTTCCTAAGAGGATTGAAGGGAGTTAAAATGTACAGGGCAGAGGTGGCACTGAACCGGAAGATGGCCTTCCCTTTATTCAATACTATAAAAGTCTGTAAGACAGGAACACAACATAGAAGTATGAAAGTATAAACCACTTAAACTCTGTTATCTACTTTCTGTTACTTGTCATAATAAATTATTGTAAAGTTAAATGAGAAACCAGCACAATCACAATTTCTAAAGTGCCCCATGAAAACAAACTGTCACTGGATCTCTTCTTAATTAGAGAGGAAATCCAATGATACCACTTACCTTTTACCTAATACTTACCCTCAATTTTATTGTACATAAGACAATTAGCCAAGAGAAGTCATTTATTTTCTCGATATTTTAAGTGTCTGAGTTAAATGAAAGTCTTAAATGGGTGCACATTTCATTTCATTCCAAAAAACTTAAGGCACTACATGCTTTTTATAGTCATTTCAGCTTTCCCAATTCAAATATCTTGAAAATTAATCCTGTGGAACGCAAAATCATTCAACAGAACTGATACTATTTTTGAAATAAAGATTGTTTTTACCATCTATCCTCATAAAATAAACATTATCACTCTCTTCGTAATAGAAAATAAAAACAGCCACCATCAAACCCACTCTTGGGTTAGATGGATGTAATCCAATAATTGATTTCTGGAGGCCAAGATCCCTGGAGAGTACCCGTTGACCAGGAGTGCTAAATTCTGTACTGGGATTTCTGAGTTAGCTGACATATTGAATTCTAATCCCAATTGACTTCCTATCTTATGCAGTGCTTTCTTATCACAGAGGAGAAGCTCCAAGCTCCTGAAGAATCCAGGATCCATGAATGTGAATGAAATTCCTTCCAAAAATTAGACTTATTTGAGATCAATTGGCAGTGGGCAGACAAAACATTAAAGAAGCAACATGTAAGGGTATAAAAAGGGCTCTGACTCAATGTTTTCCAAGGTGCTTACTTATATTTAGACAGAGCCAGGGAGAAAGCCTTTATCTCTGTGAAGAGCATATTTGGGGAAGGAAATTTTAAGCTTCTTGATTTTAAATTCACCCATTCTTCGAAAGCTTTCTTTTCTAAGCCTTAGGATGCATATCTGCACAGATCATGTTATGATACAGCAAGCATAAATGTTATGTTTATTTTCTACTAAGAATCTTTGTATAGTCTTAGCTCATTAACAGATTTCCCCTATACTTGCAGGATTTTCTAAATTCAAGTAAAGCAAACCCACCCTCCCACACCCCTACCTGCTAATGGAGTTGGTTTTTGAAAATTAAGCACTTTCTATCTGGTATGGGTAGAAGTGTCCTAAACTGGCTGTGAAAGTATGGTCCCCCAACCAGTACTGGTTAAGTATAGATATGGAGAGTCCATGTTTAGAAATTTGTAAGGCAATTTGGCCAATTAATGTTGTGTCTGTCTATTCTAATAATAAAAAAGTAGGGGGATGTTGTTGTGGGCCTGTTTTTCATTTCAGTTTTCTAGAAACTAATTTTTACTTCATTTTATAGAAGAATAGAGACCTCACATCCTCAACAGAGTTTGAGAAGCACTGCTCCAAGTCTCACCTCTGCCTGCATTCCCTCTATCATCTTTGAAGGAGTATGAGTCCAGAAAACAGATAGAGCTTTACCACAAAGCGCATTTGAAGGAAGGGAGAATTTCACCTGTGCTTACTAGAAGAACAATCCCCTATGCCAACAATACTTAGCCCTCTTTTTCTCTGATTCATTGAGGGATTCTGTCCCTGAATGACATTGTGAGATCATCGTAAATCTGAACAGACTTGTGCAATGCAAATGCCTTTGCTGTGGGGGAATATGAGCATGTAACGACACAGAAAGGCCCAAAGTGAGCTAGCTCAGGAATAAATATGGTCCACCTTTCAAATGTACTGCATATACTTCCTTTCCCCCCAGATATGCTGAGTAAAATCTGAAAGAAATATTAGGGGCTCAGATGGCCAGTCGCAGTGGCTCACGTCTGTAATCCCAGCACTTTGGGAGGCCAAAGTGGGCACATCACCTGAGGTCAGAAGTTTGAGACCAGCCTGGCCAACATGGTGAAACCCCATCTCTACTAAAAACACACAAAAAAATTAGCTGGGCCTGGTGGTGGGTCCCTGTAATCCCAGTTGCTTGGGAGGCTGAGGCAGGAGAACAGGAGAATCGCTTGAACCCAGGAGGCGGAGGTTGCAGTGAGCCAAGATCGCGCCACTGCACTCCAGCCTGGGTGATGAGAGCAAAACTCCATCTGAAAAAAAGAAAAAGAAATATTAGGGGCACAGGTAGGAGAACCAGTAAAAATATAACACAGAATATATATATTTTAAAATAAGAATCTCTTGATTTCAGATAATATTAAAAGCTAATTTTGAAACAAATAGTAGTGATACAAAGAGATAATGAGAAAGAAATGACAATCCATAGATGGCCTAAATCATGGGCTGGAGTGTGAGGATAATCAAGATGGTACTGTTTGTACCTCCGTGGATAAGGAAAATAACCAGGCTCATCCTAAGGAGACAGGACCATACTTAGAAGAGAACACCTGTGATGCTGGCTCCTTGGCCACTGTTCAGCCCAAACCATGACCAGAGGTAATAAATGACCAAAACAGAAAAGACAGACAAGGAGTGGTAAAGTAAAAGGCAAAGCTAGAGATCTAAAAGAAGGGAGGGGAAATATTTCTGCCCTGAGTACTAAAAAGTAAAAGAGGCAAGATTCAGAAACCAAACACAAAAGGTTCCAAAAAGGAAGTCTGCCTAGAAGTAAAAAGAGCAGAGGATTCTAGACAAAAATCGGGGAAAGGTGGGGACAGAGAGAAATCTGTTAAAGGACACAAAATTACAACTAGATAGGAGGAACACATTCTAGCTCTCCACACCACTGTAGGATGACTACAGTTAAAAATAATTTATTATATAGTTTCAAATAGCTGGAAGGAAGATATTGAATGTTCCCAACACAAAAAATGATAAATGTTTGAGATGACGGATATGCTAATTATTCTGATCTGATCACTATACATCATATGTATTAAAACCACTATATGCTTCATAAATATGTACAATTATTACGTGTCAATTTAAAAAATAAGATAAAAGGAGGTATAAAGGGCTGAAACTAAGTAAGATGAGTTTAATGAAACCAAAGCACTCTCAATGTTGGTATGTGATTCTAAATCTAAAAGTCCTTTGACATAGAGAAAATTAATACTTTGACACAAAAGTTAAAAACAAATGGGCATAATTATCAATTGTTCAAGCCTTAGATGAAAACATTTACTGATTTTACAGTGTATTCCCTTTATTCATTTTAAAAATTTAAAGAATGTGTAGAAGATTATTTGGTAACAAGATTTATATGTGCAATGGAAAATACTTGCAAGTTGAATTTATAAATGGAATTGGTAAGGTTTTTACTGAACAACGGTATTTGTTTTGCTTTAATTTTTCATAAGACATACTGTTGTGCAAGACATCCTTGCTACCCAGGAAGCTAACAATAAGGCCAACATTAAAGGACCATTTTTTCATAGGATTTCTTCTGTGAGAACTCCATTTTTCTCAGATTGAAACATACATGCTTATGTACAAACTTCATAGATGTAGCTTTAAGGTATTGATGGATTTTAAACAGCCTTCCAATAAAGCAACAGTACCCAGACTTGTATAGCAACCCAATATGTATAATTTTAAATATGATAGCACTTTCATGTCAGAGTAAGTTCCATTTAGAATGTCAGTCTTATTATATGTAATTGATCTTATGTTTGTTTATTTCCTCAACTGTCTGTATCTTACCTCCTTGTAATTGCTTACATAGCCAAGAAGCCGATCATTCAGTTTATAAGTGTTAAGAATTAATAAAAGGATACTTGTTTCCAAGGACTCTCAGATACAGCTTTCTCCCAAAAGTGGCATTGATGATATTGAAGGGAGGGAAGAGTCTGAAGGAAATACTGTTTGCTTACAACAAATACTTAAGTAGCTCTAGAGTTTTCAAATATATAAATATTTGCCTTCCCCGCTATACGTATAAGAAAGGGCTCCAAGAGGGAAGAGTTCAAAGACTAGCTAAGATATTGCTGTACCTTAAACTGTATAAACAAATATTGTGTAGCTTTAAGCTAATCAAGATTTATGAACTATTAAATTGGGTGACTTTTTAAAAACTTTTTAAAAGAATGTATTGGTTAGCTTATTATAGTGAAGTATCTTAGCATCCTTTAAATCTAATTAGTTCAACAAAGATTTCATTAATACAACTTATCAGGATAACTTTTATTGCATTAAGTCATTTGAATAAAAAAGAAACAGTTCAAAGTTGGTGGTGGAGGAGAAAAGGTTTATACAGTAGTATCTAGCCCAAAACAAACCCCTTTTTACCACCCAAGGCTCATAGGAACATTGACATGACTGGCTCCACTTACAAGCAGCAAGACTTTGTGGTTTAGTACAATTCAGGCACATCTATGACTATTCTTAATATTTGTCCTTCAGTTCATTTTAGTGCCAAAACAAATGCTTTAATTGCAGTTCTACAAAGAAATAGAACTGTTTGAAATTAATAACATCATTTTAACACGTGGATAATTTTCTGCTTCAAAACAAATGTTGAAGCATGGCATTGTAACTGAGGTAACAACTAGATTTTATATATGAAAAATCACTTTACAGACTTATTTGCAGGAATGTAACATTCATACAATAGGGTTGTTCTAGCTTGTCACTTATGTCTTCATATACAGGTACCAAGTTTATTGGGCATATATACAATAAGTTGGTAATTATGTATGAGCAGGGACCTAGTTTAGGTCCAATTGTTAATTTCAATTGATGGCAATTCAGAATACATGTATTAACTGTTTAGTACAATATTTGCAATGCCCTGTGCTACATTCTAAAGAGAAAACAAAGATACATAGGTTATGACACCAAGACATTTATAAACTAGGAGATGCTCAACTATTTGTTTTAATAGAATATAGAAGAATTGATGAAGGTTACCTTGACCAGCACTTTCCAACAGAAATATAATGTAAGCTACAAATCTGAGCTACAGTTATGATTTTAAATTTCCTGAGAGCCACATTAAAAGAAAAACAAAGCAGGTGAAATTAATTTTAACAGTATTTTCTTTAACCCAACATATCTGAATTATTATCATTTGGGAATGAAATTGATATAAAAAATTTTTGAGATATGTATATTTTTATACTAAGTCTTAGATCTTTGAAATATGGAGTTACACTTACATATTTCAAATACTCAATAGCTACACAAGGCTAATTAATCTCTGCTATATTGGGCAGCACAGACCTAAACTTAAACCATCCATTGTTCAGCAAGCTCATACCTTCTTCAGCAATCCTTGCCATGTAAAAATCATTTCTGGTTTTAAAGAAAAAGCAAGAAGGAAGTTATATAGAAAAATTGGTAATAACCCTGGTAATTAACAGTTTAATAATCTGGGAAGCAACATTATGAAAATATAAGTATGATTTGTTTTATCTTATGTTAAGGGTGCAAACTCTGAAATTAGATTTCTGATTCAAAAGCTAACTTTGCTGCCTTCCAGCAGTGTGATCCGGAACAGGTTTCTTAACTTTCTGTGACTCAGTTATCTCACTTGAAAACAGAATAAATGTACTTAGCTCATAGAGGTAATGTGATTCCAATTTAGCTGGTCAGATTTTGATACCTAGTTTTTATACTTTAAATAAGTAATCCAGATGATTCTGTCATAGCAGGGCTGTTAATATGTTTGTTACCTAATGGTTGTAAAAAATCACAAACCATTGGCCAAATTATCAATGATTATGTTGTACATGTGGATTGAAATCTTGCCCCTTGATCTAACTGAATAGTTACTAAGAAAATAATTATGTTATAATGATTTGGTAGAAATTGCTATTTATGAAGCTATATTTGTTATTATCTAGTAATCTTTTCTTGTTTCTGGGCTTATAGAAAGTGATTTGTTTACAATTTTTTCCCAGGATGGACATTGAATTTAACAAGCCATGGTTTTCCAGTTTCTTTTTCTCATTTAAATATAGCCATTACCTTAACATTTATTTCAATCTAGGGGCCATATTCTTCAAAGTACATAGTTTAAACATAAGCTGTAACTTTGTGTTTCATCTAAACATTATTGAAACATTGCCAAATAACAGGACTGACTCCAAATTTATTGCACTTTCCTACTCTTAAAGTAAATCTACTGGCAAAAACAAGAAATAACACAGGAAGGTGAGCTATGATGATGAACAATACACAAAATGTAGAATATACTACTGGTTGGTTAAATTTATCCTTTAGCTTCAAAGTTTGAAACAGGCAATTTCCAACTTGTACATGAGCTGTGCTCCAGAAATGCATTTGGAAGTCAATTGTTTGGAAATGTGAACATATATTCTCACAGATACACATATATTTCTAGACCCACAGGTCTATCAAACTGTTAATGAAGTACAATTCTGAATGAATGGCACTGAGAAACTTTATCACTATGTGTAAGAAAGTGTTACTCTGAAAATGGCAGAGTTCTGTCCTTGAAATAGCCTGGAAGTCAGACCAGGAAAATTATCTGGCTCTAGCTCCTACCCAGAAGTGCTATTAAGTTTTTCATAGCTCTAAGCTGCTGGCTTGGAAAGAGGTTCCAGCATGAAGGGGGAGAATTAGAGCCATGTTGCAAGAGGAGAGATGCTTCAAAGTTTTGGGTGTGAAGAGCAGCATAGATGGTCAGGAGATTCCATTAGTATAATACATATCTCTGGGGACATTTCTTATGCTGGGTCAATTCCATGGTATATAATATTTTTTCCCCAAGGACTTTAAATGGTCTCACCTACTTCCCTTCTCATTTGTCATAGCCTGTGAGTTCAAGCCAAGCTTTTCTTCCTTTTCTGGCTCACTGGGGGATGAAAAGTTTTCTTGCAGGCTTTCTACCTGACTCTGAAGAGAGTATGCCATATTTAATATTTTTTCATCTCCTAGTCTCATTCAATTTTTTCCTTCCAACCAGTGATAACCAGACTAAACAACAATCTGTGTCACTTGCCTACCCGTGGGCCACCAAGCTTTAATATATAGCCTTCACTTAATGACAGATGTGGTCCTTAAGCCACAGATTACAAACTAAAATGCCCACAGAGGCTAAGTGACAATAGGTACCTGCCAGTTTTAGGCATATAAGTCAGTGATGCCTGAACTCATATTTCAAGAGGAATCCTTAGATGTATAATTTTATGAGTGTGTGAAAGATTTTCTGATTTATAAATGCCAGAAAATAATTCAAAATTATAAATAATTTTGTTAGTTTAACAAAACATGTCTGTGGACTCCATGCCTCACAGTCAGTTTTTAAACATTGTTGCCATATGCTCACACAAAAGAGAAGAATTTGTACCTAGAGAAGAGTCTGTAAAATTGCTTGTTCCTATGCTTTAGCTGGGTGGAGGGTTGGGGCCAGTGGAGGAGATAACTCTGCAGAAGGTGCCTCCCTAGAAAGTGCCTAGGTAGGCTTTTGTCAGCCAAGGCTGCAGAGCCCTCAACCTCTTCTCCAGCAGAGAGAAGAAATTATAACAACAAGGAAAAAGAATAAAATCTGGAGCTGAAACATTTTTCAGCCCTATATCATCAGAATGTACATACCATGGGTCTGCTACACTATTATATGGTCAGTTAATTTTTCTTTGACTGGAAAGAACACTTTTGAGCCCAGCTTGATTACAAGCTTGCTGTGTGAGAACTATGAGCAAACTATTCCCCTCAATTTCTCCATCTCAATGGAGAAGATTATACTAATACCAATCTTAGGATTATTTTGAGGATAAAGTGAAATAAAACATGTCAATGCCCTTAGTGAATTCTAAAGTGTCAATAAAAATATAAGGATTAAAATATTTAAAATGCGTCTCTGTATTCTAACTCTTAAATATACACATATAAGAACATTTCTGTTTCTCCAAAGCATGGCCAATTTTAGTATTGGAATTTTCAGGTTCAGTATCTTTCTTCTCAAACTTCCTATCTAAGAAAATGAGGCCATCAGCTTCCTTCTGTCTGACACCTAAACACCTCCAAAACCAATTCTGACTCTATCCATTATTCTCCATCTCCATTGTCAAAATGCTAGATCAAGTATAAAACTCCTAAATTTCTCCATAGAGAAGTTGAGTGATTTTTAACAATGTAAAGTGGACCATGTTACTGCTGTACCTAAATACTTGTTGGGAATTCATTTTGCTTTGAAGATAACCTTCAAACTCTTTAAGATGTACTGAAAGATCCCCTTTATCTAGCCCCAGGTCTACCTCCCCAACCTCACCTTATTCTCTTCTTACCTATTACAGGTCAGCTTGATTATATGTCTTATTCTATGCTGTTCTCTTTCCTTGGAAGATTCTCCTCTCCCTCCTCCTTTTTAACCTTCAGATCCCAATTTAAATGCCATTTCCTTATAGAGGCACACAATTTAAATTTCCTGAATTGATCCTCTTTGAAAATAGGTGCTTATCACCCTACTGGAATTTAGTGGGAAAAAAAATTTCTAATTATTTTAGAAGCTAATCTAGATCACTGAGTGTCTAAGATTTTAGTTTTTCCTTTGTCACCTCCCTGTCTCTGTCTCAGAAACAGTCCCAAGATGGTGATGTTGATAAAAATGAATAATAATAATAAATAAATAAGGTTTTACAAAGGCAGGAAATGGCCAAGTGTTGAAATGACCAGTAAGGGTTCGGGAAATACTGCCGGCCTGGGAGACCAGAATCACATCTTGCAAAATGGCATGAGTAGGAAACAGGAAGGACAGCTATAGGCTTATTTAGATTCCATCACTGACTTCTCTTTTTTTTTTTTCCACTGCTGTGATTAGTGCTATGACTGCAAATCCAAACTAACATGGCAATGGGCCATGGAAACTCACTGGTCTAGTTTTAAAACTAGTCTTAGGCAAGTTATTTAAACTCAGTTTTATTATTTTTAAATAAAGACAAGAGCTATCTTGAAAGAATCTGTGGATTAAAAAAGAACAGTAATTATACTGATATTATATATAGCATGTAGAGTACATAGCTTTTTTTTTTTTTTTTGCCTGCTTAGGACACCTTTTCTAACAGTTCCTCTTCTCTTCCTTTTGGAGTAAATCTCTGCCCCACTGTCTTCCCATGTGGCTTGGTGGAGCTGACCCACCCCTTGGCAACACAGGTTAGTATATGACAGAGACCATCCCATACCAAGGAGACCATCACATACCACTAGCCAAAGTGAGTGGTTCAGAGGAGGCCATGTGACCTAATTAGACTCAATTCTAGGACAACTGCTAGAGCTTTTGAAGGAAACCTGGGCCTTTTTTCTTTCTTCTTTCTTGTTTTAGCAGAAGATAGTAGTTACAAGGCTGTAGGATGTTAGTTTAGCACCACTGGTGGCTATTTCTGCCATCTTGTGGAAGAGCCAGCCTGCAAATGAAGCCAGCATGGGTGACAGCAGAGCTGACCATGGAAAAGGAGTACCCTCATGACATTGTTTGAGGTACTGGGTATTTTGATATTAAAACCAGATTCACTAGACACATTTCCTTTATTTTTCCCCAAAAGTTGTTTCTGTTGGGTTTTGGAAACTTTCAGTTGAAGGATCTCCTATAGATATGGCAGATACTCTAAAAATGCCAAGCATCATTTTATTGATCAACATCACCATCTTGGGACTGTTTCTGAGACAGAGACAGGGAGGTGACAAAGGAAAAAGAAGCACAAGGAAGAAATAGTGCATAGGGAAGAGAAAGATTGGGAAGTCAACTACAGGGTCCTGGATGTAAGGGAGAGTCTGGGTGACTTTTAGTTTTACAGGAGCTGATGATAAGCAAAGAACAGCTACACACTGGGGACTGCCCATATGACAATTCGTGAAATTATAAGCTTTTAATAATCATCCTCTTTTCTGATTTCCCGTTAATTACTTTTGCAAGAAAAACTCCATAATTCCAATTAAAAACAAAACAAACTCTCTCCACCCAATTTAACAACTAAAAACTCCTTTGGCAGTGATAGACCAAACATGAATTTGAAATCACAAATTCATATATGACTTCTCATGGAGCCCAAGAAAAAGGGAGTGTGCATCTTTTCAGGACAGTTGATAGCAAGAGAGAATAAGTTACTTTTAAATGATCCATAGGACTTTTTAAAAATGAATGCATTTCTGCACTCCATAATTAACAAACATCCATTTTTACTACAGATCTAAAATGTCTCATTCTATTTCCAGTAAACTGTCACATTGTTAAAATGATATTTTCTTCCATGGTAATAATGATTCGTCTGTAATTTTAACAAGAACATGAGAAGGAAGACATTTTCTGTAATAAAGAGTGGGTAAAGAATTTGAATGTAGGGCCAAATGGTACAAAATCAGCCCAAGCTATGAAAGGAAACTGTGAAAAAAAGTCCCGTGAGGGAAAAAAAGGTGTGTTCACAAGCTAAAATGTGCCTTGCTACACAGCTAAAGTAAATAAACAAACAAAGGGAAACCAATCTGGAATCATGTTCTAAAGACCACTGAGTCAGAGCTAACATGATATGAAAAATACTGTCACCATATTATGATAGCATTTTTTTCCCCTGAGTTTTTAACCTGGAACTCTGAAGGCTTAAAACATCTGAGGATCTAAAAACCTTCTAATGCTTCTATGCATCAGGAATGTTCATGATGCATAGATGCTACTATTTCTTTAGTTACTACTACAATATTACTGAACATGGATTAAACTGCTTTAACAATTTTAGTAGAATATTTGAACATTACATAATTTGCACATCTTAAACTGGGACAAAGAGGATAAAAATATGTGGGCATATGCCATTGGAAAATATACTCTCAGCAGTGACATTTTAATAAGCTCACTGACACTGCCTTTGTAAAAGATTACAGAGAGCTTCAGTGTGGTGGTTGTGTTTTTTCTATTCACATAAATTCCTTGCATGTACACTACTGCACTTTAACATAAAATATAACATAAGGAATGGATTCTGCAAATATTTTTACAATTGGCTTGTTTTGTCTATTCCATATAGTTGAGAAAGAAACCAGAGTCTTTGTATACTGATGCAAATGACACATTAACTATTGTACTAGAGTCCAACTTTAGGGAAATCACTAGTCTAACTGCATATTCCATTTCACTCAGGCAAATCTAATCCACACCCCCAGTATCAGCATTAGTGGAAAATCTCGTCCTAATAAACATTTTCCCTGGTGACATTTCCACTGTTTGACCATTTAGCTGTGTCAAGAGTACTGTGTATGTGTACCGCATTGTTTTAATGAAGATCACCCAGCCAATCTCAGATAACCCAGTCACTAAAGTAAAATTAGTCATCGAATATTGAAAGAAATATTCATTATTTTTAAAAGGTTCAGATTTTGCTAAGCATTCCAACTTTAGTCAGAGCAAATTAATTCCATTTAAGGATATTTTTCAATACTGAAATAATCCAATTAGAAAAGAAAATTAAAGGCAGAAAAAAGTGTACAGGCAACTTATAAAAGTCTTAAGACATAAAAATGCAGAAGAAGGAAATTTCAAACACATAACTCAATCATGTGTTCTAAGCACACCATGTTAGTTTTTAAGGATTTCAGCCCTGCAAAAAGCTTCGTGTGCATTGCTGTTGAATGACTTACATTTGAAGATTTGCTTGCTGTCAGTTCAATGTAAAAGCCATGAGTATACCTTACCTTGGGGAAAACTCTTTCCTGATAACAATATTTCCCTTATCAGGTTGTTCTACTTGCACACTGTGATTTGCTCCAAAATGCCAAAATGCTTTTCTTTCCTCATACCATGTGCATTTGAAGATAAGAACAGAAGATGTTAAGAGCAAGTTTAGACGTGAGCCTAACAAAGTTTATAAGGGTTTCCTCGACACAAGAATCTGGCTGTCACTTCATCAGAGTTGGCCTTTCACCCTCAGTTTTAAGATGTTTCTTTTGAGTATTTTGAAAATGTTTGCACAATTTTGTTTTACATCTGTCTTTATATCCTTTGCTATATATAATTCATTATAAACCAATTATGGACCATTTTGTTTAGGGACATCCCCTCGAGACAATCACTTTTATCAGTCTGAAAGCTCTTTAATTAAAGAAAAAAAAGATTGATTGGTTGTTCTGGTTTCCAGATGAAGAATGTCTACCTTTGTCAACATGCATTAGTTTGGTCTTTCTCAAAACATTCATTTATTATTTTACAAATAAGGACCCAGCATAGGAGCAGAGATACTAAATTTCTTCCCTGTTTGATTAAGGGATAGATGCTGGGTGGCTTTAATAATTTTTAGATGGTGATTGCTACCAAAGAGGTGAGGACCCGGTGTCTGGGGGTAGCAAAAGGCCTGTTGAGGATGGAGCCCACTAACATATCCCAAGAGCAGCCTCTGAATAAACTAAAAGTATCCAATGGCTATAAATACAGTAGCATACTCTATACTGTGAATGAATTTCTGCCTGGAACACATCAGTCTTCACTTCAATACCGAAGTCATTTTAAACGAATTAAAATGTTTAGGCAATTGGATTATCTGCATTTTTACTTTTCTTATACAAATAAAGTCCTTGTAGTTTGTTTAGTTTGGGCTTTGGCTTTTCAGATACATTAATTTCCAAAGAGTTGATTAAATAATAAAGTGCAACTTTTCTCATAACTTAAATGGCAGTTATGAGATTAATAATCTCTTATCAACTAAGATTTGACAATATGGTGTTCAAAAGCAAAGTTAGAGGAAAATGAAATACATGGAAAATGATCCATCCCTTCCTCTACTGTAAAATGAATAGATCAGTTTTTAAAAAGGGGAAATATGTAGTGATTCCTAAAGTAAATCCTAGTACCACTGTCAACTGATAATTTTAAATGTAATTTAGATTTGTAGATGGTGTAACATTAAAGTTGTATAATGTTTAAAAAAAAAAAAAAAGGAAAATACTGGCCGGGCGCAGTGGCTCACGCCTGTAATCCTAGCACTTTGGGAGGCCGAGGCCGGTGGATCACGAGGTCAGGAGATCGAGTCCATCCTGGCTAACATGGTGAAACCCCGTCTCTACTAAAATTACAGAAAATTAGCCGGGCGTGGTGGCAGGCGCCTGTAGTCCCAGCTACTGGGGAGACTGAGGCAGGAGAATGGCGTGAACCCGAGAGGTGGGGCTTGCAGTGAGCCGAGATGGCACCACTGCACTCCAGTCTGGGCCACAGAGCGAGACTGCGTCTCAAAAAGAAAAAAAAAAAAGGGAAAATATGTTATACTTAAACTGACTATATCCTGAAAAGTTAAAAAAAAATCTGAACCTAAGGCTAGTCAACCTTTTGTGACGCTCTTTCCTCCGAAACTGTAGCTGTCAATCGGAAGTGATTTATAAAACTGCCTCAAATTCACATATTACAAATGCCAAACTTTTGCATGCATTTGGCAAGGACTAACTTCACACAGAACTGGGCCAGAAACAGAGTCCCTAAAAGTTTAGGGGGTATTTTAAGGTCCAGGTCCAACAAAAAAATTTACTTAATTACAATCTTTGTGCCCTACCTTTCCACTAAGATTCACAAATGCATTGTGTCAAGTGATAAAGAAGAAAATGTTACGAATCACCTAACGTCATACATTTAATTTAAAATCAATGCAATAATCTTAAAAAAAATTTTATGCTTTTTGTTTTGGTTTGGTGAAATGACAGTCATAATGAACGGTTGGATGCTTAACATAAGATTCATTTCAAGCATGGATATGAAAAAAGCACGCATTCAAATATTGTTTATAGGTTCTTCAGGTTATGACATTTTTGTTAATTCTTGCCAATATTAGTACATTAATACCAAAATATTAAATAACTTGTAAAATTCTAGTTTATGTAAAAATGTTATTTTACAGGTAACAAAATTTCTTCAGGAAATTAATTGATTTGTTGTTTATAACATGACATTGAAATTGCAAACCCTTGTGGCATCAAATTTGTTTGCATGAAAAATTAGTACTAATATTTTGTATAGTCTTTATAACTCATGATTTTGAGATTTCCAAGTATTTCCAAGTACAGAAAGTACAAAAAAATTGTATAGTAAATCGAATCTGTGGAGAGAATCTGTCAATTTGTTAAATTAGCTGCCTCTTTCTTTCCTTCCTTCCTTCCTTCCTTCCTTCCCTCCCACCCTCTCTTCTTTCTTTTTTTTTTTTTTTTTTTTGACACAGTCTTGCTCTGTCTCCAGGCTGGAGTGTAGTGGCGTCATCTCGGCTCACTGCAACCTCGGCCTCCAGGGTTCAACAAGGGATTCCCCTGCCTCAGCCTCCTGAGTGACTGGGACTACATGCGTGTGCCACCACGCCCAGCAAATTTTTTGTATTTTAGCAGAGAAGGGGTTTCACCATGTTGGCCAGGATGGTCTCAATCTCTTAACCTCGTGATCTGCCTGCCTCGGCCCCTCAAAGTGCTGGGATTACAGGCTTGAGCCACCGCACCTGGCCTCTTTTTATTTGTCATGGTGCATTTGGGACAGTTGCATATGTTATGATATAATCAATTCATTTCTCATGTATATGCATAAACCACCCACAAATGTGTTTCATTTCTTAAACAGAAGGATACTTAAGATTTTGTGCTAATTTGGCATGTGTTGGTGCTACAACAGTCCAAGGAATGCAGTAGGCAATTAGCAGCAAAATATGCCTGATAAAAAACACTCACTTTCTTATTGATATAGTAGGGGTCCAGGTCCTCCAGGGGCTCTGACACCATCTCTGGAGGAATGTCTCCATAAATAAATGGAAGGTTCTTTCCAGCTTCCAAGTCACTATTTGGCTTTGGGCCATTTTCGTCGTCATCTTTTTTGTCTGGTTTGGGATTCTTTGCCTTTTCTTCTGCAATGCGTCTTTCAATAGCCGCAAGAGATTCTCTGGTGAAGAAGTTGAAGCTGTCAGGTCCTGGTGGTACAAGCACTGTTTGCTCCATCTTGTCATCCTGCACATTTTAATTACCATTTATTCTGCATATGAAATTCCTAAAATAAAAGGAATACAGATATTTTAAAGAGTGGACTAAGAGATGTTAATATAAATAAATTCTTGTCATGAAACATGAGCTAGAGGATTTAAAGTCTGTTTTCTCCTTAAATTGAAAGGTGATTTCTAAAGAAAAAATTTTAACACAAATGGTTTCTGTGTTGAGTTTAGTTAAGCATCACTTATTTATTAATTCTTGTGCTTTACTGATACAGGAACTGTGCCATGAGTTTTAAAAGTGGTTCAAATATGGCCTTAATCAAAGTACATTAGGCTAATTAACACTATATCACTAATGAGTTATTCAGTCTGTGACACACCCAGAAGATGGAGACTGTGCGTATAAAGGCAAAGGATAGCTCATTTAACAAGGATGAGGGGAAAAGGAATTGTCTCTGAGAGGACATAAAATCTAACCCTCTAGGTCTGACAAGTGATTCCTGGCCAAGATAGTCAGGATAGTTTGCAGTGACCAACCTTAATGACCAATCAAATAGTTATTGCTGTCTTGACTGGGCTTTAACCTCTTCTAAGATTTGAGACAACTGGAACTATGTCCTGCTCACTTCACTAGCCATGCATGGTTGGCTTACTTGAACACATAAAGATAAAGACAGTCCACGGTTGGACAAATGTCATTTATGTGAGTAAGAAGGAGAGGAAAACTAGGCTGTAAAGAAATTGCTAGATGGAGGTGGGGGTGGAAGAAGATAGCTGTAGGTGCAGGAGACAGCAGGAGTCTCCTGTTTCAAGAAAAATGATCAGAAAGAAGTCAGGGTGCCATAAACTCAATAGAAACTAAGTGTTTTTCTTCACTGAAGCAATAATGAAATTCTTGCTGATTCTATAGTCCTATAGTGCTAACCATATTATGAAGGCCTGAGGCAAAACCGTCAACCCCATACAGCAGAGTCAGACCTGATCTGATGCCAGACGCCAAATCCCAAATGTATTGTTTTAAGGCATATTTAATATGAGCTCAGATTTCACAGATATTACTGAGCCAAAATATTCCAGAGCCTAAGCTGCCACTTGGCCATGAATTTTATTTGGAGACTGCATTAACTCATTAAGGTCAGCAAGCTATGGTACAGTTAATTATAGCTTTGGTGTATATGAACTACAATAAGAAAATTGCAGGCATAATTATTTTGTGAGGGACAGAGACCTCAAATTTCAAGGAGGTTCTCATTGTTGTGAGGTTTATAACCATATTTTTCAGAGTGGATGATCAAAAGAAGGGAGGACTCAAGTTTAAATTTGTACCCTTAGTCTACTAAGTGAAGTTTTCAGCGGTTCTTAGAACTTAACCTGCAGTTATTTAGTACCTGCAAGAATAGGTTGTCTGTAAATCAATGAAAACTGAATGTTCTGTCTACAAACTCTGGTTCCCCTACAAGGCATCAGGAAAATACTAACATTTATTTTTTGCAAATAAAAGTTTAGGGATAACAAATATAGTAACTTTTCTCAAAAGGGAAATAAAATATTCTGATGTATATATATAGTTTTTATTTTTAAATAGCTTTTTGATAGAAAATATATGTAAATGATATAAATGCAAATATCTAAAAGAAAATGCAGTATAATATCTCCTTTTTACCTTGTTTCCCCAGGCCCAGTTCCCCTTCCTAGAGGCAACTACTACTACTTATCTCCCATATATATTTCCAGGTATTCAATAGGTATATGCTAGAACATGAGTGTATGTATACATATTCTATTTTAAAATACATATTCAAATGGAATCTTATTATACAAACTGTTTTACACCAGCATTTTTTACTTAAAATGTATATTAGAGTTCATTTATCTTAATTTTTATAGATTTGACTCGTACCTATTACTGGCTACATGGGTTTCCATTGCATGTTATGTGCCATAATTTATTTAACCAATTCCCTGAATGTGAGTATTTGGGTTGTTTCCAATCTTTAGCTAATATTGAATAAAGTTGCAAGTAATACATTTTTACACACATACTTTCAAATATATGTGGATATATTTATAAAATTAATTTTTAAAGGTAGACTTGGCTTTGTACAGAATGTTTATTTATGATAGTTACTGCAAAACTACTTTCTATGGAGTTTGTATGAACTTATTCTCCTGACAGCAATGTAACAGAGTGCCTATTTATCCTCACCAATATAATATGTTATCATATTTTTGATATTTCCAATCTGACAGGGACAAAGATGAGAGCATATTATAATTTTAATTTGCATTTGTCTTACTATGAGAAAAGTGGAATATATTTTTCTTATACTTAAGAATTATTTTTTATTTTCTTTCCTGCAACTGCTTATTTAAAAACAGCCCATTTTTTCCTTCTATTTTTTTCAATCTATAGCATCTTTTAAGACAAAATATTAGCCACTTGATTTTTTGATGTGTGGTCTTTTAAAAATGTATATTTTTTGACTTTATGGTGCTTTGTGCTACAGATTTTAAAAGATTTAATTAAAAATGTTAAAATTGTTAGGTGATTATCTAATTCTTCTTTGGCTTCTGGATACTGTATAATGCTTAGAAAGGCATCCAGAGAGATGGGCAGTAAGGGGTAGGAAAAAGGATATAAAATATATACATACACACACATGCATCTGTATCACCTTTCCCTCTTGTATTTTTAGTATTTTGGTGGTTTAATGTTATAAGTTTAAATATTTTATCTATTTGGAATTTATTTTCTATATGGAGTGAGGTAGAGATCAAAGAACAACTAAATAAATGCAGAGACAGTCCATGTCTTTGAATAGGAGTGTTCAATATATCAAAGACACTAGTTCTTCCCAACTTGAACTAAAGGTTTAATTTAATTTCTGTCAAAATCCCAGCAGTTATTTGTGGATATTGATAAACTGATTTTGAAGTTTATTTGGAAAGGCAAAAAACCCAAAAGAGCCAACACAATGTTGAAGAAGAACAAAGTTGGAGGACTGACACTAACCCAACTTTAAGACTTACTGTAAAGCTGCAGTAATCAATACAGTGTGGTACTGACAAAAGAATAGATAAGTGGATCAATGGAATAGGATAGTGAGTGTGGAAGAAGGCCCACATAATTACAGCCAACTGATCTGTAATAAAGAAGCAAGGTAATAAAATGAAGAAAAGATAGTCTTTTCAACATGTATTGCTGGAATAACTAGACATCCAAATGCAAAAAAAAAAAATGAACCTAGACCTTATGCCTTTCACAAAAAATAATTCAAAATGGATCACAAATCTAAATGTAAAATGCAGAACTAAAAAACTACTAGAAGATAATATTGGAGAAAACCTAGTTGACTAAATTTGTTGATAACTTTTTAGTTCTCTGTTTTTCTTGGAACTGTCTCATCTTCATATTTGAGTTCTGGAATATTTCTGGTGATATTCTCAGTGCTATATATTTGTTTTTGGTTTTCTAGGAGTGATGGTGAGGAGGAATTGTGCCAGCTTGCTTCTTCACTGCCATTTTGGAACCAGAACTCAGGTGATGACTTTTTAGATATAACACCAAAGGCACGATCCATGAAAAAAAAGAATTGACAATCTGATATCATTAAAATGAAAAATTTTGCTCTGTGAAAGATACTATCAAGAGAATAGGAAGGCAAGCCACATACTAAGAAAAATATTTGCAAAAGACATGTCTGATAAAGGACTGTTACCCCAAACATGCAAAAAATTATTAAAGCTCAACAATAAGAAAATGAACAATCTGAATAAAAAATGGGCCAAAGACCTGAACAGACACTTCACCAAAGAAGACACACAGATGGCAAATAAGCATATGAGAAGAAGATGCCCCACATCCATCATATGTCATTAGTGAAATGCAAATTAAAACAATAAGATAGCACTACACCCTCATTAGAATGGTCGAAGTCCAGAACACTAACAACATTAAATGCTGATGAGGATATGGAGCAATAGAAGCTCACATTCATTGCTGGTGGGCAAGCAAAATGGTACAGCAACTTGGAAGACAGTTTAGCAGTTTCTTAAAAACCAAACATACTCTTACCATATGATCCAGCAATTGCATACCTTAGGATTTAACCAAAGGAGTTGAAAACTTATGTCCACACAAAATCCTGCACACGGATGTATACAGCAGCCTTATTCATAATTGCCCAAACCTGGAAGCAACCAAGATGTCCTTCAGTAGGTGAATGGATAAATAACCTGTGGTACATCCAGACAATGGAATATTACTCAGCATTAAAGGAAATGAGCTATCAAGCCATGAAAAGACATGGAGAAACTTTAAATACATATTACTAATTGAAAGAAGCAATCTAAAATGGACATACAGTATGATTCCAACTATATGACATTATGGAAAAGACAAAACTACAGAGACAATAAAAAGATCAGTGATTGCCAGGGCAGTGAAAATACTTTGCATGACACTGTAATAGTGGACACATGTCATTATACATTTGTGCAAACCCATAGAATGTACAATACCAAGATTGAATTATAATGTAAACTATGGACTTTGGGTGATTATGATATATCAAATTGGGTTCATCAGTTGTAACTATATACAATACCTAAACACTGTCTCTAAAATAGCTCTTGAATCAAAGAGGACTTTGATTCTAATACATATAATATAGCACATATGTTAAAATATACCTATATACAATACAGGTATATTTGAACTGCGTTTAATTTGTTAATTTAGGGAAAAAATTAATTTTTTTCCTAAATTAATTTTCTTCCATTGTATTTTTTCTCTTCTAAATAGATTATTTTTACAGTAATACATATGTGCTACTCTGGTGCGAGATATTGATAGTTGGGGGAGGCTCTGCGTGTGTAGAGAAAGGGGAAACTCTATATTTTTGGCTTAATTTTGCTGTGAATCTAAAACTACTGTAAAACTAGTCTATTTCAAAGAGAAAAAGTACAATGGAAGAAATGTTTCTAAATACAATGTAAGCATTTTTTAAAAGCTTTGAATAAACCAAAAGTAAATATAAATGGATGGAAAGTTATATCCTATTATTAGATAGGAATGCTATATCATAAAGATATTAATTTTCCCTAAATTAATAAATTAAATGCAGCCTTTGAAAAATAATCACAAAATTCATATAACTAGAGAAATCTATTTGAGACTTCATGTGGAAAAATAAGCAAACAAGAATAACCAGAAAATTCTTAAAATGAATTTTGGTTTCAAAGTCCTCACTGATGCAAGAACTATTTAAAAGAAAGTGTTTAAATTTTTCAAATGATAGATTTTCCTTCTAAGTTTTAAATTTATGTTTAGTTTTATTACCCTATGCTCTGATAATGTAGTTCGTACCATTTCTGTTTCTTGGAATTTATTGTGATTTATTTTTATCCTAATAGAGGTTGTTTTTAAAATGACTTTTCTAAGAACATTAAAAAGAAACTTATTCTTTATTTTAAAGCAGTAGAGTTCATTATGCCTCAATTATATTGATCTTATTTCTTATCTTATGTAGACCTTCTATGTCTGTACATATTTTTTTTCTACTTGACTGTTCCAAGTTGGGAGAGGCAAATTAATGTCTATTTAATGTGTTTTTATTTATTGTGGTTTCTGTCATTTTTGTTCTATGAATTCCAATGCGGTATTGTTTGATGTGTAGATAACACTTATGATCAGATCTTTGGAGTGAATTGAACCCTGTACTTCCTTAAATGGCCCTTGTTTATCTTACTGTAGTTTCTTCCCTTTAAAGACAACTTTGTCTCATAGCATATAATGACTTTAATTTCTACTTATTTGCACTTATCTAGTATGTCTTTTTCCATCAATTCGGTTTCATCCTTTTCATTTTACTGTTTTAGCACTTTCCTTAATATGTATATGTTTAGATATCATATATAGGTATATTTTAACATATGTGATCATTACGACAATCACCGTCTTTCAGAGTGCCACACTTGATGTTATTGTCCATGAAGTTGTGTGAATGGACAGAAACAGTTACTAAAAGCCTTCCTATTCTCCAGAAATACTGCATTTGAGAAAAGCTCTCTAAAGAAAATCTCCCTGGTCACTAGCTATCATTTACTGGAGAAATAAACAACCAAGAAAGTAGAAGACATGAATTCTACACTGACAAATATGATCAGTTCAAACGTATTATATATAATTATAAATTAGTTAGATACAGGAATTATATTCATATGTAAGCAATATAACCCATATTATAATGAAATCATACTGATACTAGAAAAAGTATTTTTTTAACTCTAAGTAGATCTTCTATTCAAATGCTACCTAAAAATAAATTATGTTATATTAATTATAAGAATAAAACTCATTAAAAATCTCATAAGGTTAATTATGAAATACCTAAAAAACTGTCAGATGTCATTCAATATTAATATTTTTTAGTAATATGAAAAATTGTTCTAAATTACATTTGAAATCTGTACTTATTCTATTAAAATACAGAAATAAATCATGAATTTTCCATTTACACTTACAAAGGAGATTTCACCTCTTTATTCTAAAAATTTATAACAGAAGACTTAATTGTCCTAATTTATGAAAATACATGTCACTAGATACGGGGTAGTAACCTCATAGAATCTGCAGTTTTGGCTTACAGCTTTCTCTTTTCATAAAAACCAGCATTTAAATATTTGGTTACATAGAGGAGACCTTGCTCCTTTCAAAAGAGGTAAGACAATGAAACTTTCCTAACAAGAGAAGACTTCAAAGAGAGAGGCCTTTTCAAGATGATTATGGTTATGCATTTGGACAAAATAAAATTAAGAAGAGAACTAAGAAACCATAGCTAGGAAGAAAAAGTAACAAAGTGCATGTTAGCAAACTTCAAATCTGAAGGAATTTTAAAAAATATTGGAAATAAGTAGAGTAGTGGGCAATAGAAAACTGGAAGAAGAATGATTCTTTGGAAGACAAGAAAAATACATTAAAAGTGGAATTCAATTAGATAAGCAATCCTAAAGAAGACAGGAAAAAAATAATCCAAAAGAACATGAAATGGAAGTGAGAGATCATGGGGGAAAAAAAAGATTGTAAGAAAATGAAGTGGAAATTTTGAGTGGAAAGAAATAGTAAAGTAATAGCAATAACATGACCAATATCAAATAACGTGGACAAAAGAATTATAAGGAAAAATTTGTTAGAATATACAAATAATAAATAAAGATATAATATCATCTGGTAATATCTAACTGAAAGAAAAAGAGGGAGGTAAATCTGTAGCATTATAATTAACAGATTACCTTCTCGGGAGACTTTACAAGATCAGAAAGTTAATACTGATAATATTCAGTGTCATTTCTAAGACTTTACTAATTCATTACTTATCATAAATGTTCTAGTACTAGATGAGGTTTTTGCTTCTGGGCATTATATATCTCTGTTTCCCGTAGAAGAGGACACATGTATTACGTTCTGGACTTGAGGAGGCATTTATCACAGCCAAAAGATGTTTATACTTGAGGTGACTGGGAGTGGTAAACCATATGGCTTTGGTGACCCTCAAAGTGCAGATGGAGGAGCTTTATTTAAAGTAATCCTAACCCATGAAGCCTTACAGTTAAACTCCCTTGGGCATCTGCTTTTCTCCAGTCAAACAAATATGTACGATAGCTCACAATGAAGTATTTCATTTTCCCTGTGGCATTTCACACAGAAGTCTTAACTGTAAAGGCAACCTTATAAATGCTTTGTACCCGAAGAAACTGGCCTTTTATAAGTAAATCATTATGTAGTTTCTTCCTTTGGAGGGCAGCTCTGTGTGACTGCTTGGGCCTCTGTGGTTAGATCTGTTTGGTTAACGGGCTTTTGGGCTTTCACACAAAGCTATACTCTCCACAAACTTCTGTGAGATAAAAAGGTGATATCTGTCTTAGTCCTCTGAATATTTTTTCTTTGTTCAGAACCTGAGAAAGATGAATGAAATTTAGTGTTTCCCATCCCCGAGAGACACCCAGCATCCACAACTTCACACTCTGATGCCATTGTGTATTTATGCAAGAAATACCATAACTAAGGTAATGTCTTGAGATTTTTTGGTTCAATAATGTCCTTAAATTCTATGTTGTTTTTAAAGCCTAAAAGAAATTCCCCCTCCTCACTCCCCCGTCTCTCCCTACAACCTGGTGAGACAATTCTCTCATTTTCTCCTCCCAGTTTCCAATGCTATTGTTATGATCTATTAGAATAATTGCTATTATTTTTTTGCCTTATCTGACCCTAGAAGTGATTTACAGGGAAAAAAATTACTAACCAATTGATTAGTGAACTGAATATAAAGTGCAGCTCTTATGGTTTATTCACAGACAAGAATATATATAGTACTTAATGTGATAGTATTTTGTTGTTGATGTGGAACAGTGTTAGTCTATAATACAGGCTTTCAGGCAGACAAGACCTAGTTTACCTTGACCTCTGGACTTCTGAAAGGTTGAGTAAGTTATTTTAAGAGAATTAGACAAAGATAAGTAAATCAAAACCAATAAATGGCAAAGATTTAAAAAACAGAGATTAGTCTATTCCTCTCATTTAATAGAAAACAAACTGAATCAAAGAAAAATGGGCAATTTCTTTGTTTAGAACTTATGTGCTTCCTACTTTCAAAATAAATATGTCATTTGTCCCAGGTTACGCAGCTTATTAATGGTGGGACTTAAATCAGAACTTTTATTTTCTAACTCCCAAACCAGTGTCTGCCAGGTCCTAATAGTTATGAAATATTCTTTTAAAGCTAAATAAAATATATGAAAATATAAGTAGCTGTGTTAAAATAGTATTTATCTACTCTAATTGATCTAGGTCTCTCCAAGGAATTTATATTACTTGGACAGACCCAAAACAAATACAGTAAATAAAGCATTCTGGCAAAAATGGAGACTTCAAAATTTTGAAAAATGGGAGACTCCAAAATTTAAAAAGATGATTGTAATATTCAAGTTTAGAATCATATGATGCAGGTTTTAATCCTGCTGAACTATACCTCCACCGTCAATTTATGTTTTACTTCCGTTATGTTTTATGTATTGCTAAACTGGATTATTTCTAGTTACTAACTGAGCAGATGACTTTATATAATTTATCTGTAACTCCAAAGTTCAATATAGTTGTGCAACATTTATATATCTTCACCACCTTATAATATATAATCTGATGTGGAGAAAAATTATATATCTTCAATTCTGTCTATAAAGTAGTTTAATATCCATACTGAAGAGAAACCAAAAAGACTTCTGCCAAAATGCTTGCCATCTCCTTGTAAAGAGCTATTACTATTCTGGGGACATAAACCATCTGGGCACGACAATTTGTGAAGTGTTTCAGTTCGTTTTGTAGTGTTCTTGCCACCTACTTTACAAAAGAATGTTACTGCCAATAATAATAAAAATAACTAGGTAAAATGTTATTCTTACTGTTGTGATCTCACATAACTATTTTTTAGCAGCCAAGAAAGAAATTGGTTTTTACATAGAAATCCCAAACCTAGAAAGTATTGTTTTATAAATTTCTTTTCTAGAAATAATTTGATTTGGTGTAATTATAATTACAAAAATATTTCATTTGATTTCTCAATAAGCCAATTTTTAGTAGGTTGGGGTTAACTAAAACAACATATTTCAGCCATATGTTTAAAACTTTTACATTTAAAAATAACTTCATTATCTACCCTTAGTTTTTCATGCCTTATGCAAACTGCAGTTAAAATAAGGTCAGATATCTAACATATGTCTGTATCTACATTTGTATACTCCAGGGGTGTTTTTCAAGACACCCTAATAATAAACTAAGAAGTAAAAAATTCATTCAATCTACATACAATACATAGAAATACAATACATAGTTTTTGCCTGAGATTCAGATCTCAGGCAAAAAATTCATTCAATCTACATACAATACATAGAAATACAGTACATAGTTTTTGCCTGAGATTCAGATCTGCCATAGTTTATTAGGCTCTGCCTGTAGTTTTCTCATGAAACACATCAGTATCATTAGGATGATTAATTTCATTTTTTTCCTTACAGAGAAGATTGTCATTAAAGAGTAAGACCATGGATAGTTCACATAATAAATCATGTGAAATTTAGGATCTCTTCTAGACGATCATAGTCAGAATAATTTAAGGGAATTCCTTTGAACAAATGTCATTAGTTTATATCAAGAATATAGTAATGACTGTCATTGTAAGTAAATTATTTAAGTTAACCTCTTTTAGTAAAGTTTTCCTGTTAGAAAATAAGTAATCTTATTGTGTGGGTGAGTGGTCACTCGACAGAGATTTGGGAGGATGTAGAGAGTGAAGTCTAATCCTCGTGACTGTGATTGTGGTTGCAGATTTTGAGATACCAAGTGTGAGGTGATAGGCACTTAAAGCCCAGTGTGGGCCTCCCAGGGCTGTTTAGCTAGCAATGAGAGAGGCACTGCCTATATCCAAGTTGTATATGGCAGGTTTTGCACAAAGTGGATTACTCGAAGAGAAAGCCTAATGGCCAGTCTATTCATCTTCCCCTTTCTCGATGTTCATCTTTTCTCTCCCAGCTCTCCTTTATTCTCAATTTTCTTTTTTTTTTTTTTTTTGCTCAGCCTCCATCTCACTTCCGTTGCTGTCCTCTCCCCACCCCTTCCCACTCTGGACTGTGCCTCTCCTTTGTAGACACTTCAAGTCCATTCTATTTCATTCAAAAACCATGGTCTAGAAGTAACTTAATGTAAACCCACAAAGATGGAGACAGAATGAATGCCATTCTTCTTGCTGCTCTCTCAGACAATGCAGGTCATTTTTGCCTATGGTGCTGGTAAAGCCAGGAGTTATGTAGCTATAAGTAGCAGCCAGAGGAAATAGTGCCTGAGTCAGCAATTGTCTTTTTATTGCTGTGGGGCAATAATGGGAGAAAAAATCAGGCTTGGTACAATTCCCTTTGAAGGAAAAAGATGCCAACACTAGCATTTTAACACAAAATGCTGGTTGGGGGTTGGGAGGAAGGATGCTTACATTCCTTCTTTGGAAATATCTACTTTGATAACCATTTTGGTAAAATAATGCAGTGTTTTCAGTGTGCAAATCCTTTCAGGACTCATGGTTGTATGGCAGACGCACCTGACAGCAATAATTTAAGGGTACCCTGAGAATGACTCTGTGGTCTAAAAAGAATGTGTGTTTGGAAGTCTGAGGTAAGAAATCTGGCTGGAAGTGGCCAACCTGGAAATTTGCTCCTTATTATTAAGGATTTCCAAAGCCTGGTCCATTCCTCAGAATGTGGGCCATACAGTGGATGAAGCCCTTTGTTTGGATTAAATGAATGTTGCTAGGTGGAGAGTGCTAAGTGAAAATGCTATATAAACTGCATGCTTTTTACAAACATTAGTGGTTCTCCCATCCAGCCCACTGCCACTGGACCACCCCTGTATATGAGTCCTAGATAAATCCTATGTCTCCCTTGCTGGCTTCAAGTCTCTTCTTTAGTCTCTTGGCCATGATGCCATCCCTATTGGACTCAATGGTGTTCCAGCACAACAATGGTATGATTAGACTCTGTTCCTGGGAGACATACAATACCCTCCTTTGGTAGGATCTATGTGGAATGTTTAGTCATTAGTGTTATTAAGAAATCATAGTTATTTAATTTATGTTTTAAGACTTTCACCTTTCATTCTCTGAATGTTAGTTAGCTCAGGGTGTGAAATGGTTCAACAGAAATACTTGAGCTGCTGCAGCCAGAAGGATGTTTATGGTGTTATGCAGGAAATATCCTGCAGAATTCTGTGTGGAATTCTGCTCAGAGGGGTTTCTCTTTAGCATAAACTCAATTTAAAAATACTCTTCTGCTCAAAAGCATTCTTATGAAACCACCTCAACACAAAGCAAAACTGTCCAGGCATAGTTGCTGTATGGAGAGATACAGCATAGAACCCACGGGCAGCGGGGCTGAAGCAGAGAAAAACTGCAGGGGAAAGAGAAACAGATCCAGGAACGGGGAGAGGAGAGTGTTGAGCACAAATTAACTACCCTGGGGAATGAGTATCAGGTGTTTGACACTTTCACTTTTCCAAATAACCTGAAGACAAATGGAACCTCCCTGAGTTATGAAAAATTGAGACTAGAAGTATCAGAGCTGCAGAATTCATTTGGTTCAGATTCTGTATATATAAAATCTAGACATAGAACAAGTCTAAGCAAAGGCATATTATCTGCAATGGTTACTATGGATTATTGTTCAGAGAAGAACCATTTTGGTATAGAGAAAGCTGAAAGAACTTACAGAAAATAGGTCTTGAAAGATGAAAGGCAGAGATAATTTCCTGATTCAGAAACTCAGTATATTAAATTTTCTGTATGTTATTTATCATTTATGATATAAAATTATGCTTAATTTATCATGTAAACTGAAAATAAAATTCTAAGCCCCCTGACTGAATTGACCTTCTCCTGGCCAAAAGGATCCCAGAGTAACCTTGAAGACTGAATTCTCAGCCATGGTGGATCAGGGAGTCAGACATACCTCCTTATAACCCCTCCCTCACTAACCACTATGAGGCTTTCTTCCCTAAGGGCTAAACAGAAATCAGCCCTTTCAAAAGACTCCCCCACTGACATGGACCAACCACCTGACACTTTCCCTCCATTGGTGCCTCATAAGAGACCACCCACTAGGGAATGATTCTAGCCATTCCACTGAGAATGTGCAGTAAGGATTTTTGTGTCCTCTGCTTCACCTTTTAATGTCAGAGGGCCGAAAACTCTACCCTCGGATCATGCTAATGTCGCCATTTTTTCCACATGGATCCCACAAAGGGGCATGAAGCTCAGTTGAGGATGTGCATGCTTCTCCTCTCATAAATATTCATGACTCCTCCTATAACTTATTGAACATATATATTTGGCCACCGTGCTTAGCATAAATTTCTGTTTCCTTTTTCCCTCCCTTGAAGTGTCTGTTTCTGGCTTCTGGCTGGAAGTTATGCTTCCCAACCTGTCAGAAGGTCACTCTGCAGGCTGCAGCCCTTTATAAGAAATAAAGCTCTCCTTTCCAAATTTATGAACCTCATCATTCTTCAGGTGATAATCATATAAACGTCTACTTAAGTTTGCTTTCAGTCTGTCATGTGAATTCAGTCATTCTCACTATATTCCTTTTGTGGTATACTGGTCTGGGTTAAAGAGACCCTCTAGGGATTATTATACAGTTTCGTCTTGTTTGAGAGCTCAGCAGCTGATGATTATCACAGATTTGTATAGAGTGGACACTACCAGATGTCCAGCACATCTGTCACAGCAGATGTGACATTGAGCCAAGTCTATTTCTGTCTAGGTGTATGATACTTGGTGCTATACTTTGGATATGGTTTGTCGCCATCAAATCTCATGTTGAAATTTGATTCCTAATGTTGGAGGTGGGGCCTAATGGGAAGTGTTTGGGTCATGGGTGGATCCCTCATGAATGGTTTTTGCCTCATTCTCACTGTAACGAGTGAGTCCTTGCTCTGTTAGTTCTCATGAGAACTGGTTGAAAAAAAAAAAAAAAGAGCAGCCTGGCACGGTGGCTCACACCTGTAATCCCAGGACTTTGGGAGGCTGAGGTGGGTGGATCACCTGAGGTTGGGAGTTTGAGACCAGGCTAACCAACGTGGAGAAACCCTGTCTCTACTAAAAACACAAAATTAGCTGGGCATGGTGGTGCATGCCTATAATCCCAGCTACTTGGGAGGATGAGGCAGGAGAATCGCTTGAACCTGGGAAGCTGGGAGGGAGAGGTTGCGGTGAGCCAAGAGCATGCCATTGCACTCTAGCCTGGGCAACAAGAGCAAAACTCCATCTCAGAAAAAAAGCCTGGCACCCCACCCTGTCTCTTGTTTCCTCTCTGGCCATGTGGTCTCTACCCCACACAGGCTGCCCTTGCCTTCTGTCATGAGGGGAAGTCACCTGAGGCCCTCAATAGAAGCTGATTCTGGTGCCATGCTTCTTGTACAGTCTGAAGAACCATAAGTCAAGTAAACCTCTTTTTAAAAAAAAAAATTACCCAGCCTCAGATATTCTTTTATAGCAATACTAAATGGACTAAGAAACATGGTCTATACAGTCAATTTTGTTCATTTCTTTAATATTTATTGAATATAGACAATGTGCAAGGCACTGGTTAGAGATGTGGAGACTATGAAGTTGGCAAATAGAGAATAATAATATTGAGAATCCTGCAAAGTAACCAAATTGATTTTAGAAGCTCCTTTATGAAATAGACTTTAGGCTTTAGTCTTCTTGGATCTTTACTTGGAAATTTAGGTATTCCTGATTTTAACAGATTCATTTTTTTAAGTCCCAGAGTAGAAGAAAATGGAGGTTGAACACTGAAACATTGACTTTGAAAACTGAACATCTCTGTCAATCCCACAATCTGTGTGTTTGTGTGTGTGTGTGTGTGTGTGTGTGTGTAAGGGTATGAGCTACAACACAATCTTGAATTGTCACTAAACCATTTTTAAAATAATTGGTCAACCACCCATCACATCACTTGTATTCACAATCCCATAAAGTTATCAGACCAGAGTGATTTTTCTCTAATCTAGATGTACATTAAAATGTGCATCTCATTTAAAGATAGTTTTGGTACATCAAAGTGAATGTTGATAAACATGTAAGACAATGGAATATAAAGTTCAATGCATGTCCTGCATTCTCTCCATCTAACCATTTTTGTGGTGCCAATGCCTATTTTCAGGTGTCAATGATGAAGAACTGGAAAAAGATATAGTTAAAACAAAAATTGCTAAAGAAAAAAATGCATGCTTTTTTGGATTCATTTCTACTCTTTCATATCAATATGTTTTCTAACATTTCTTAAGTGCTGAGAAAATTTTCCTTTTTGTTATCCTCAATAGCAGGTGGCAGCTGAAATTGTTCAATTATATGCTTTGTTAAAACCTTATAAATAATTTAAATACTATTATTACAGTCAGCTAAAGCCTATGCTCAAATTATATTTTCTTTTGTTTAAATTCCCAAATATATCTCACCTGCTACCCTACATTCACCCCCAGTAAAGTCCCAAAGCCCGTGGGCTAGGTAGGGCATTATTGTTTTAGAATGTTACCAAGTTGGCCTAGAAGAGTACTTGATTTGTTGCGACAACTGTTGTTGTTCTCTAGGTAGAGTGTTGCGTAAAGGAAACAGTGATGTCCAAAGGGGCTGGACTGGCAGATTGGAAGTAGGGAGACCCAAGGTCAGCATTATGACATGGAGGATATGAGTAACCACCATAATGATTTAAGATATCTGAACAGGGTTGCCAGAAAAAATACATGCCACACAGTTAAATTTGAATTTCAGATAACTGATTTCTTAAAGCATAAGCATACCTCATACAATTTGTTTTATATTTACTATACTTTAAGTTCTGGGATACACGTGCAGAACTTGCAGGTTTGTTACATAGGTATACACGTGCCTTGGTGGTTTGCTGCACCCATCAACCTGTCATCTACATTGAGTATTTCTCCTATCCCTCCCCTAGGCCCCCACCCCTCGATAGGCCCCAGTGTGTGATATTCCCTTCCCTGTGTCCATGTGTTCTCATTGTCTATATTTGGGGCCCACTGCTAGTAAACATTATTCATTGTTTATCTGAAAGTCAAATATAACTGGACAGTTTGTATGTTTAGTTTCCAAATGTAGCAGCCCTATATATGAAGAAAGTCTTCTCTGCTAAAAAAATTATTTTCCTGCTTCCTGAAATTCAATTAATTAGCATTTTCAGTTCAGTTAGCAAGCGCTTCCTTTTAAAAGACAAGTATCTCTGGGAGTACATGAGTCGTTTATGCATCAATGAGACTACTTACTTCTCAATGTAAAATGCATTTCTCACTGTCAAAGTGGGTTAATCAATCAGAGAGAGGGCGTAAGAGTTCTTTTTTTGGTTGACTAGGTAGGGGATGGGGCTGGCTGGGACCTGTTAATTTCAGTGGAAGAATACATATGGATGAATTACTTTTAGTGGGGATTTTCTGATGGAATGAATTATCAATGTGCCAGGAAGAGACTATATAAAAAGATGGAATGGGGGTAGAGAGTGTAAGGTGGTACTGACAGAAAAAACTCACTCATTCTAGGATTTTTCTTGAACAATTAAATACTCATGAGAGGAACCAGTGTTGGGTTTTATTTTTCAAACATGGATGATGGTAAATGTTAAAACCAGTGGCAAGCATATTTTCACATTTCTTTCATTATTAAAAGTATTGATGTAAGATTATCCTCAAATATATGAGTAGTGCATCTTTGCACATTAAGGACTCCTCCTTTATTTTATCACTTCGCTTTAACTCCGTAGGTCCTATACAAACCAAAGAAATTATCTTCCTTCCTTCCTTCCTTCTTTCCTTTTTTTTTTTTTTTTTTTTTTTTTTTTGATATAGGGTATTGCCCTGTCACACAGGCTGGAGTGCAGTGATGAGATCATGGCTCACTGTAGCCTCAAACTTCTGGCCCCGAGTGATACTCACACCTCAGGCTCCTGAGTAGCTGGGATGCATACCAGCATGCCCAGCTGATTTTTAAACTTTCGTACAGGCAGTATCTCTCTATGTTGCCCAGGTGGTCTTGAACTCCTGGCCTCAAGTGATCCTCTTGCCTCAGCCTCCCAAATTGCTGGGATGACAGGCATGAGCCATTGTATCCAGCAAGAAAGAGAAAAGAATTTAAACTTCTAAAGATGAAACTGCTACACGTGGACAGCCATAACAACAAAGAGAAGAGTACTCTTAAGCATTTGTGAAAGTCAGAAACCTATAAACTTTTGGGAAACAAAATAAGTATATTTTCCCTTTAATCTTACAAGTGATGCAATACACTTCTAGCAAAAGTGAAAGGGCAAATAGGAATTTTGCAACATTGAGCTCTCTTTAAGCAGAAGCCAGGCCATAGGTTCTTCACTAGTCACCAGGGTCTACAGCCTTTATTGTCTTTACCAGTCACTAGGTATGAGACATTTTCTCATAAAATGTAACTACTATACATTCGCCACAAACTTTAAACCCCCTTTTCACCTCCCATGGTACCCAGAAGAGTGATAGGTACTTAATAGGTCCTCAAAAATTTTCAGCTAATGAATAATTGTTAATTAAAACTTATACTAGAAGCAAACTCTTAAAACATATTCTAAGTACTAAAGTCTAATATTTTATATCTATTGGTTTATTCATATTCTTGTTTGTTAATCCTAATCAAATAGTGCAAAGTTTAAATTTCATTTTCCTAAGATTTGTTTTAAAATAACACGATTTACCCAAGTGATTTCAAACCACAATTACATTCTGTTTAAATTACTAATATTTTATTGCATCACAATCTGCATGAAACAGATGTCAGGATATAATGAACTAACCTGCATTGTATTTTTATTTTTGTCTCCTGTGGCATAACGATTTCATAGGAAAGAGAACTACACAGCTGACTGACTGATGGGGAAAGTTACACAATGGATAGCTTTGCAGCAACATACTAATGCGGTAGGGAGATGCTGCAGAGAGGCTAGAAATAAAATCATTTCTTTCCGGAGCAGCACTGCTTGCTGTCGGCTGAGACAAAAAAGAGATTTCCTTTTTTTCCTTTCTTTTTTTTGAAAACTCACATAACATTAATTCTGTTAAGCACTGGATACACGGAAAGGTGTTTACCTTAGAAAATCATTTAGCAATTTTTAGAAACTAGACATATAGCAATTTTAAATCTTTTTAACTATCTAATGACCAAAGCAGAGGGTCCTCACAAGAGGGATTTAGATGCTACTGAATTGAATAAAGAAAATATGGATACATTTATTGTATGCCTTATTCAGTTTGAGGTTCATTTTGAGTTTAGAAATAGGGATATAAAAACATCAGGGGTTAAATAGCATGGGTAAAGGACATGAACCAAGCTGCAGAGAAGAGGCTGACTGCCTGCTATATTTGCAGGCATTACTCAGCACTTTTCTTAAACCGATACATCTTGCTGGCTGCATAAGCAAGACAAGACCCTTTTCCCTATGGCTCAGGAAGGCAGAGAAGTCAACTTCAGCCTTGAAAAAGGCAAATACTTTAGTGCAATAATGAAATCAACTAAACGTCTTGTGCTTAATGTTTCTTTCCCCACGCCACTAGAATTGTATGCATAATCATTCTATGCAACATATTGAAGAAACCAAAATGTTTGCCACAGTGTGCTCAGTAATTTTTTTTTGAATGAATGAATAACTGAATTCATGATCAATGCCTTATCCTAGGTCACCTGCTCAGTGCACGGGCTATAGGAAGGGCAAATGTCACTGTCCTTCCCACCCATCTCATTCTAACACAAGTGTTATCATCAAACTAAGGAAACTAAAACATGTAGCCATAAAACAACTGTTTAGAGCTTCATTCAGATAATATTTTTTTCTTTAAAATCCAAGAATGTAATACCAAATTTTAATTAAGCGAAGGCGTCTTTGTGGAGAACTTAAATAATATGGCATATTGCTTTCTGTTTATCTAGTAGAGACTACACTTTGAAAATATAGACCATTGCATTCATAAAAATCATGTGGAGATCTTTTTGAAAACACATAGTCCAAGGTCCCACCTCAAGATTTTGTTTCAGAGATCTAAGGTGGACCTAGAATCTGTGTTTAAACTGCTTGTCCAGGTGATCAGGATGTAGCACTCATAGTTAATGAATGGGCAAATTTTGAGAAACACTGTTTTAGAGAATGGTCTAGGAAAAGCATCCATTACAAATATAAAAAAGCAAGCTTTTGGTACCTAAGGGACTGAGTCGATTCATGCAGGTATTGGTTTGTTGATTAAAGATGCATCCATAATTCAATTAATTTAAATGTTAGAACAGGTCATATCTTTTGGGTTTATTTTTAATTGTTTCGTACAGATGAGGTCTCGCTATGTTGCCTAGGCTAGTCTTGAACTCCTGGCCTCAAGTGATCCTTCTGCCTCAGCATCGGGAGTCACTGGGATTAAAGGCATGAGCCACCATGCTCAGGTAGGAAAAAATCATTTCTTACATGGAGATTTATTTTCTCAACCAGGTAAGTTTTGTGATAAGATCATTAAACTTAGAATAAGAATAGTCAGGTTCAAAATTTGGTTGTAGTCCTTAACAAAACTGTGATATTAAAATAGTACCTTGGCCTTGCTTAGCTTCAATTCTATCATTTATAAAATGGGAATAATTTTTATAATAACACATGATAGGTGCCAACTCAGCCCTCACTCCTTTTTTGAAATTGTCCTCCATGTAACCCATACTGAAAGTATAAACTATGTTTATACCATGTGACTCTTTCACCCCTTTCCCATGGCCACAGCTTGGTAGGTTTTATGAGGACGCTGATCACGGGGCACTCATCTATAGGCTTAACTGAAACAATAGAATTTGCTTTCTGGGTGATGTTTAAATGAAGTAAGAGTGAGTGAGTCAGAATGTTATGAGAAGATGCACTGCATGACCTAGAGTTGAGGATGAGGAAGCTATGTCTGGCCATGACCAAGCAGAGGATATCGGCCAAAGCAGAAAAAAAAAACAGAAATAACAGTAGCCATGCAAGCATTCAGAAAGAATGTAGGCTGTGTTGATATGTTTCTGGACTTCTCATTCCAGTTTAATCTCTTTATGGCTTACTTGGGTTTTGGCCTATGGGATTTTCAGTTGAATTCTTCTTTTTTTTTTTCCTTTGAGATGGAGTCTCACTCTGTCGCCCAGGCTGGAGTGCAGTGGCGTGATCTGGGCTCACTGCAAGCTCCACCTCCCAGGTTCACGCCATTCTCCTGCCTCAACCTCCTGAGTAGCTGGGACTACAGTTGCCTGCCACCACGCCCAGCTAATTTTTTTATTTTTATTTTTAGCAGAGATGGGGTTTCACCGTGTTAGCTAGGATGGTCTCAACCTCCTGACCTCACGATCCACCCGCCTCGGCCTCCCAAAGTGCTGGGATTACAGGCGTGAGCCACCATGCATGGCCTGAATTCTTATAATAAATAAACCATTTTACTTATACCCGCTTAAATGTGCCTTTATGTTTTGAATACAAGTGTTCTGACAAAAGCACAATGTAAAAACACTGAACATAACATGTTCTTAACTTTTGTTTTAAAACAAAAGAAAAAAATGGAGGTTCAGCAAAGTTAAATAGCACAAGTTAATAAAGTGATGACCATTGTCAGACAGTTTGGAGGAAGTTTGAGATTTAAATCCGGGTCTAATCTTTCACAGTTCAATGCTCTTGTTTTAAAACCAGAAATTCAGGCAGCAAGACTGATATTTCATTAGAAACACTTATGACCCCAATATGTTTTCACATTGAGAAACTGAGTCATTCCACTTTTTCATGAAAATAGCTAAAAGAATCCTTATCGGTCAAATCTTTCACACACACACACACACAAAAATGATCTTTAACATTATTTCAAGTACTTGGACAAATACCAAGTTGGGATACCAGAGATCTATGTTATGAAGGATGGATAAAACATCTGATAAGAAAAAAAGAAAGCCATTATTATTACACCTTAAATATTAAATGAGAAAACAAGGAATGACCCTTGGAGAACGACTAATTTTGAGAATTGTATACTGATAGACGTGTTGGAATGGACTACTTGCAAACAGAATCACTGAGCCACTTAATGAGTTGAGTGGTTGAAAGTGTCCTTTTAAATGATCAATTTAGACCCCAGAGAATATCTGCCAGACAGAACAAGTTTTAGTGTAGTTGATAGTAAGTTGTGCCCAGAATATTAAATTGAGTCAAATTTATTTTCCACATAAAGTCACAGTTTTATATGTCATTATATAATCTCTTGGCAGAAATAAGGAATAACATTCTGAATGTTGCACTCCAAAATTCAAAGAATCTTAGTATAAAAATATCTAGCATTTTAGATGTTTCAAAGTAGGGCCAAATGCAGAAAATAAGTTGGATATGATAAAAATACCAGAAAGTTCTATTCAGTTGGCATCTTACTAGCAGTTTCATCTTCTAATAATTTAGTTGCTACGCATGGAGTAGAATAGAATTTAACAACAACAAAAGATCATTAAATACCAATCAACCAAACAACCAAACACCAAAGGACCTATTAAACTTCAACGATGCTCAGTTATACTCTTGAGGGTACAGGGCTATCAGAGATGGGCAGTGTGCTCCTTTCCTGTGTAGTCTATGGGATCTATCTATGTAACCCTCCATGTGCTCCTACCCTTCCCCTTCAGCTGTTAAAAACACAATGCCAAAATCAGGATCAAACAAAAATTGCAGTTACACTTCTGAATTTGGCAACATCTATTTCACCACTCCTTTTAGATCATTTGGTCTTTATTATTCTGCTTTATATTGTATTTGATTTTGTAAGTCAGATCAAATAATTTTTGGAAATAGAAAACAAACAAATAAGCTCCCCATTGCTACAGTTTATACCCATTTTAAATGATTTATCTTTCCATAGGGATAAAAATTCAATTACGTACCCTCCTTGTGACAAACCTCCATACAATTGAAGGCAGTTATTATGTCTCTCTTTAGTTTTCTCTTTTCCAAGCTGAAAAATTTTCAATATTTTAACCCATAGGTATGATATAATTATTTGTATTCCTCTTTTGCTCCCTTCTAATTTCTGCCCAACTTCACTAATCTCCTTAGGGTAGAAACTGTAATAGAATAATGGTGATAAGAACAGTAAAAAGATGATGTCTGATTTTTGTATACATTTCCCTTAGTACGAATTACTGTGTCAAGTTTTTTAGTAATATAATACCTTTATTTAGCCTTTGTCATTGTACAAGCCAGTTTGACATTTTAACAAAGGGGGATTGAAACAATAAAACTGATCTTTAAATATAAAAATATCCCATGATCCCATGATTCTCCTGTTCTTCCTGCTATCAATCAGAAACAACGATGCCTGTTAAATAAAAGAGCCTTATTGGTTCTACCAAATTTGTGACTAATTAGCTTCTCTGCCATCCTGTTATTTGTATAGTTTGTTCTTGGTTCAAAATATACTACACGCTAACCAAACTTGACACTAGAGTCTCACTTGCCTTGATGGGCCAATTCCTAAAGGTTTCAAGGTTATTCTGTTTCCTATTTATACATTCCTCAGAGCTATTAATATCAGTTTCACTTAAAATTTATATTTAATGTCAATACCCAGCATGAAAAACTATTAAATGGTAATAGTCTTTAGATTAATTTAGATAAATGGTAATTAATATATTTTTCCAGGATGTCATAAAATCATCATTACTTACCTTGAACCACTTGAACCCTCCCCTAAAAGCAATATGATACAGATGAATAATTGCAGAAAATTAGGCCCAGATTTATTCTAAAGTTTTCAAGAATTCATAATGTCCCACTCCAGTTTTGGATTCATGTTAAATACATGTCTTACAAACATTCACACTATATTCTTTTTAAATTATACAAATGTAAGTATTTAATAAAATGCAAATTCTCTCAAAGAGTTATTGACTCCACAGAAGACTTTTGAGAGTCAATGTCTATTGTTACTATCAACTGACACTGAAAGTTCAATTTCTTTCATTCATATGGTAGTCCATAATTCTGATATGAAAGTTGGAAATCAGGGATGAAAAATCACTTTTTTTTTTGGTTGTTGTTACAGAGTCTCGCTCTGTCGCCCAGGCTGGAGTGCAGTGGTGTGAATTCGGCTCACTGCAAGCTCCGCCTCCCTGGTTCAAACAATTCTCTGCTTCAGCTTCCCGAGTAGCTGGGATTACAGGCACCCACCACCACACCCAGCTAATTTTTGTATTTTTAGTAGAGACAGGGTTTCACCATGTTGGCCAGGCTGGTCTTGAACTCCTGACCTCGTGATCCACCCACCTCGGCCTCCCAAAGTGCTGGGATTACAGGCGTGAGCCACTGCGCCCAGCCTGAGAGATCATGTTTTTTATAAGAACATATACATGTATAGATATGCAAATACCTTCTTAAAGCACAGATAAGTGGTATCCATTATTTTTTTCTTGATCAACATGACATTTTGCTTCAACTCAAAAGAAAATTACATTGATCTGACAATTTCTTTTCACAAGGTCATAGTAATTTTATTCTATGCTATTCTAGGTGACTATTAATTTTAATATATGTGTGACTTTTTGTTGTTTTTGTTTTGTTTTTATTGAAATTTGAAGATACTGAGTTAAGATGAAAGTCCTAAAGTTCTTCAATCACTTTTCTGAAATCTAGACCTCCAAATTTGCCCTTTCATAAAGTTTACCACTAGACTTAACAAAACACTCTAAGTGTTCACCATTAGTGATGTAAATCTAAAATACTATATACTTCTTTCTTCTTTGTGTGTGTTTTTTTTGTTTTTGTTTTTGTGTTTTTGGAGACGGGGTCAGGCTCTGTTGCCCGGGCTGTAGTGCAGTGGCATGATCGCGGCTCACTGCAACCTAACTCTCCCAGGTTCAAGCAATTCTCCTGGCTTAGCCTCCCAAGTAGCTGGGACTACAGGTGCATGCCACCACACCTGGCTAATTTTTTGTATTTTAGTAGACACAGGGTTCCACCATGTCACCCAGGCTGGTCTTGAACTCGTGAGCTCAAGCAATCTGCCCGCCTTGGCCTTCCAATGTTTTCTTTTTTAACAATTTACAAATGTACAGTGATTACACTTCGTTTCTATTTTTGAAACTTTTTTCACCTTCCTTCCTAGAAGGGGAAACCTATTAATAGTTCTAGAAATCTCAATGCCTACCTCATCCTTTAGTCTTTATTAATTTGTTTTTTCTAAATGCCAGGGTTTGAAAATCAGATAAACACCATCTCTAGAGATCTGCTATATGTTTAAAAAAATGCTTATACGTGAGATTATCTAGACTTCACTTTGAAATAAGAGATATAAAATTATATTTGGTATGTTCAAAGGTACTTGTATTCAATTAAAAAAAAATAGGGTCTTGCCCTGTCACCCAGGCTGGCGTGCAGTGGCATGATCATAGCTCACTGCAGCCTTGAACTACTGGGCTCAAGTGATCCCTTCCTCAGCCTCCTCAGTAGCTTGGAGTACAGATGTGTATCACCTGACCAGCTAATTTTTAAAAATATTTTGTAGGGACAGGGTCTCACTTTGCTGCCTAGGTGGATCTTGAACTACTAGCTTCAAGCAATCCTTCCACCTTGGTCTCCCAAATTTCTGGGATTACAGGCATGAGCTATCACACCTAGCCTCTATTTGAAGTTGTATTCTAGAGTCTTGTAGAATTAGAAAACTTTTATCTAGATAAATAGAGGTCATTGTAGAAATATTTGTATGCAATCTGCCTTGTTTGGATGAAGTTTTCTTCTCTTGCATTTGTAACAATTCACAAGAAATATCTATCTGTCTATCAAAATCTGGCAGAGACACAATGAAAAAAGAAAACTTTAAGCTAACATCCCTGATGAATATAGACACAAAAATCCTCAACAAAATACTAGCAAATTGAACCCAGCAGCACATCCAAAAAGCTAATCCACCATGATCAAGTAGGCTTTATTCCTAGGATGCAAGGTTGGTTCAACATATACATATCAATAGATGTGATTCATCACATAAACAGAACTAAAAACAAAAAACCACATGATCATCTTAATTAAGATGCGGAAAAGGCTTTCAATAAAATTCAACATCTCTTCATGTTAAAAACCCTCAACAAATTAGGCCAAAGCATAAGAGCCATCTATAACCAACTCACAGCCAACATCATACTGAGGAGGCAAAAGATGAAAGCATTCTCCCTAAGAACTGAAACGAAACAAGGGTGCTCACTCTTACCACTCCTACTCAACATAATGCTGGAAGTCCTAGCCAGAGCAACCAGGCAGGAGAAAGAAATAAAAGGCATCCAAATACGAAGAGAGGAAGTCAAACTATCTCTCTTTGAAAATGATATGATTTTATACCTAGAAAACAAAACCCCACAGTCTCTTCCCAAAGGCTCCTAGATCAAATAAACAACTTCAGGAAAGTTTCAGGATGAAAAATTAATGTACAAAAATCAGTAGCATTTCCATACACCAATAACATCCAAGCTGAGAGCCAAGTCAATAATGCAATCTCATTCACGATAGCCACGAAAAGTATAAAATACCTAGTAACACAGCTAACCAGGGAGATGAAAGATCTCTACAACAAGAATTATGAAACACTGATGAAAGAAATCAGAGATGGCACACACAAATAGAAAAACATTCCATGCTCATGGGTAGGAAGAATTAATATTGTTAAAATGACTATGCCACCCAAAGCAATTTACAGATTCAATGCTATTTCTATCAAACTACCAATGTCATTTTTCACAGAATTAGAAAAACTATTTGAAAATTCATATAAAACCCAAAAAGATCCTGACTAGCCAAAGCAATCCTAAACAAAAAGAACAATGTCTGAGGCATCACACCACCCAACTATAATACAAGTCTACAGTAACCAAAACAGCATAGTACTGGCACAAAAACAGCTTATCCACCACAATCAAGTGGGCTTCATCCCTGGGATGCAAGGCTGGTTCAATATACGCAAATCAATAAATGTAATCCAGCATATAAACAGAGCCAAAGACAAAAACCACATGATTATCTCAATAGATGCAGAAAAAGCCTTTGACAAAATTCAACAACCCTTCATGCTAAAAACTCTCAATAAATTAGGTATTGATGGGACGTATCTCAAAATAATAAGAGCTATCTATGACAAACCCACAGCCAATATCATACTGAATGGGCAAAAACTGGAAGCATTCCCTTTGAAAACGGGCACAAGGCAGGGATGCCCTCTCTCACCACTCCTATTCAACATAGTGTTGGAAGTTCTGGCCAGGGCAATTAGGCAGGAGAAGGAAATAAAGGGTATTCAATTAGGAAAAGAGGAAGTCAAATTGTCCCTGTTTGCAGACGACATGATTGTATATCTAGAAAACCCCATTGTCTCAGCCCAAAATCTCCTTAAGCTGATAAGCAACTTCAGCAAAGTCTCAGGATACAAAATCAATGTACAAAAATCACAAGCATTCTTATACACCAACAACAGACAAACAGAGAGCCAAATCATGAGTGAACTCCCATTCACAATTGCTTCAAAGAGAATAAAATACCTAGGAATCCAACTTACAAGGGATGTGAAGGACCTCTTCAAGGAGAACTACAAACCACTGCTCAAGGAAATAAAAGAGGATACAAACAAATGGAAGAACATTCCATGCTCATGGGTGGGAAGAATCAATATCGTGAAAATGGCCATACTGCCCAAGGTAATTTACAGATTCAATGCCATCCCCATCAAGCTACCAATGCCTTTCTTCACAGAATTGGAAAAAACTACTTTAAAGTTCATATGGAACCAAAAAAGAGCCCGCATCGCCAAGGCAATCCTAAGCCAAAAGAACAAAGCTGGAGGCATCACACTACCTGACTTCAAACTATACTACAAGGCTACAGTAACCCAAACAGCATGGTACTGGTACCAAAACAGAGATATAGATCAATGGAACAGAACAGAGCCCTCAGAAATAACGCCACATATCTACAACCATCTGATCTTTGACAAACCTGAGAAAAACAAGCAATGGGGAAAGGATTCCCTATTTAATAAATGGTGCTGGGAAAACTGGCTAGCCATATGTAGAAAGCTGAAACTGGATCCCTTCCTTACACCTTATACAAAAATCAATTCAAGATGGATTAAAGATTTAAACGTTAGACCTAAAACCATAAAAACCCTAGAAGAAAACCTAGGCATTACCATTCAGGACATAGGCATGGGCAAGGACCTCATGTCCAAAACACCAAAAGCAATGGCAACAAAAGACAAAATTGACAAATGGGATCTAATTAAACTAAAGAGCTTCTGCACAGCAAAAGAACTACCATCAGAGTGAACAGGCAACCTACAAAATGGGAGAAAATTTTCACAACCTACTCATCTGACAAAGGGCTAATATCCAGAATCTACAATGAACTCAAACAAATTTACAAGAAAAAAACAACCCCATCAAAAAGTGGGCAAAGGACATGAACAGACACTTCTCAAAAGAAGACATTTATGCAGCCAAAAAACACATGAAAAAATGCTCATCATCACTGGCCATCAGAGAAATGCAAATCAAAACCACAATGAGATACCATCTCACACCAGTTAGAATGGCAATCATTAAAAAGTCAGGAAACAACAGGTGCTGGAGAGGATGTGGAGAAATAGGAACACTTTTACACTGTTGGTGGGACTGTAAACTAGTTCAACCATTGTGGAAGTCAGTGTGGCGATTCCTCAGGGATCTAGAACTAGAAATACCATTTGACCCAGCCATCCCATTACTGGGTATATACCCAAAGGACTATAAATCATGCTGCTATAAAGACACATGCACACGTATGTTTATTGCGGCATTATTCACAATAGCAAAGACTTGGAACCAACCCAAATGTCCAACAATGATAGACTGGATTAAGAAAATGTGGCACATATACACTATGGAATACTATGCAGCCATAAAAAATGATGAGTTCATGTCCTTTGTAGGGACATGGATGCAATTGGAAATCATCATTCTCTGTAAACTATCGCAAGAACAAAAAACCAAACACCGCATATTCTCACTCATAGGTGGGAATTGAACAATGAGATCACATGGACACAGGAAGGGGAATATCACACTCTGGGGACTGTGGTGGGGTGGGGGGAGGGGGGAGGGATAGCATTGGGAGATATACCTAATGCTGGATGACGAGTTAGTGGGTGCAGCGCACCAGCATGGCACATGTATACATATGTAACTAACCTGCACAATGTGCACATGTACCCTAAAACTTAAAGTATAATTAAAAAAAAAAAAAAACAGACACATAGACCAATGAAACAGAAGAGAGAACCCAGAAATAAAGTCACACACATACGACGTTCTGATCTTGAACACAATCGATAATAGCAAGCAAGGCAGAAAAGACTCCCTGTTAAATAAACTGTGCTGGGATAACTGGCTAACCATACGCAGAAGATTGAAACTGGACCCCTTCCTTTCACCATATACAAAAATCAGTTCAAGATGGATTAAAGACTTAAATGTAAGACCTAAAACTCTAAACCCTAGAAGAAAACTAAGAAATACCTCGATTAAGGCCTTGGCAAAGATTTCATGACAAAGTCTCCAAAAGCAATTGCAACAAAACCAAAAATAGACAAGTGGGACCTAATTAAAATAAAGAGCATCTGCACAACAAAAACAAAACTATCAATAGAGTAAACAGACAACCAGCAGAATGGGAGAAAATATTTGCAAACCATGCATATGATGAAGGTCTAATATCCAGTATCTATAAGGAACTTACATAAATCAACAAGTGAAAAACAACCCCATTTAAAAATGGGCAAAGAATTAAAAAGACAGTTCTCAAAAGAATACATACACGTGACCAACAAGCATATGAAAAAATGCTCAACATCATGAATCATTAGAGAAATGAAAATCAAAACCACAATGAGATACCATCTCACACCAGTCAGAATGACAATTTTTAAAAAGTCATGGGCGGGGCGCGGTGACTCGCGCCTGCAATCCCAGCACTTTGGGAGGTTGAGGCGGGCGGATCACGAGGTCAGGATATCGAGACCATCCTGACTAACACGGTGAAACCCCATTTCTACTAAAAATACAAAAAATTAGCCGGGTGTGGTGGTGGGCGCCTGTAGTCCCAGCTACTCAGGAGGCTGAGGCAGGAGAATGGCGTGAACCCAGGAGGCGGAGCTTGGAGTGAGCCGAGATCGCTCCACAGCACTCCATTCCAGCCTGGGCGACAGAGTAAGATTACATCTCAAAAAAAAAAAAAAGAAAAAAAAGAAAAAAAAAAAGTCAGAAAATAACAGATGTTGGCAAGGTTGTGGGGAAAAGGGAACACTTATACACTGGTGGTGAGAATGGATATTAGTTCAGCCACTGTGGAAGGCAGTTTGAAGATTTCTCAGAATAAATGAAAACAGAACTACCATTTGACCCAGCAATCCCAATACTGGGTATATATCCAAAGGACTATAAATCATTCTACCAAAAAGACACATGCACGCATATGTTCATTGCAGCACTATTCACAATAGCAATGGCATGCAATCAACCTAGATGTCCATTAATGGCTGACTGGATAAAGAAAATGTGGTACATATATGCTAGGGAACATTACACAGCCATAAATAAGAACAAAAGCATGTCCTTTGAAGCAACATGGGTGCTTCAGAGAAAATACCATTCAACAAAGTTTCAGTAATATTCGAGCTATTTTGTGGATAATGCACAACTTTTGTACCTTAAGGCATTGTTCAATTCTGTTTAAGAATAAATTGTTTTTGAGCTGCCTATTAGATTTCAAGCCTGACTTTAGATTTGGGAGATATATATATATATATATGACGGTTTCTGTTCTAGAGGAGCAGACAGTCTGTTAGGCCAGACACAGTTGAATAGCAATATATTATAATATTGAGGAAGTAGGCTGGGCGCGGTGGCTCACGCCTGTAATCCCAGCACTTTGGGAAGCCAAGGAGGGCGGATCACCTGAGGCCAGGAGCTCAAGACCAGTCTGGCCAACATGGCAAAACCTGGTCTTTACTGAAAACACAAAATTTAGCCGGGCATGGTGGCAGGCACCTGTGGTCCCAGCTACTCGGGAGACTGAGGCAGGAGAATCACTTGAACCCGGGAGGTGGAGGTTGCAGTGAGCCGAGTTCGCACCGCTGCACTCCAGCCTGGGTGACAAAGCAAGACTCTGTCTTAAATAAATAAATAAATAAATAAATAAATAAATAAATAAATAAATACTGAGGAAGTATAACAATAAGTTATCTTTGAGACACGGAGGAAGCACAGAAGAGGATATAATCACTTCTTTTGGGATATGAGGAGGGGGAAAAATGTTAAGAGAAGCTTCCTAAGTAGGTGAGAGCTGAAATGGGTTTTGTAAAATAAAAGGAAATTCACCAGGAAGATAAAGGTAAAGGACTGAGGACATGTGAGGCATGTAAAATTAATATGATCTTTTAGTCACTTAGAAAAAATACCATAAAGAACACTAATAGTGTTTAAAAGCATCTACCCAGTGCCAAGAACTGCATTATGTATTGGTGAACATAACTTTAGACTTTACCATACAACGTGAAAATATATATTATTATCACTATTTTACAGATGAAGCAATAAAAGTCAGAAAAAATGTAGCTAATTAAAGTGATACTGTGTATAGCTAGAGCAGTGTATAGCTAGAGCTGATTTGTCTGACTCTAGCCCTAGTTTCTTTCCATTATATCAATTTCCTGGAAATGTATCTCTGTTCATGGCATAGTGCCTGACACTATGCTTATTAATATCTTTTGAATAAAAGAACCACTGAGTGATTTGAAATAAAACTAAATTTAGTTAGTTAATTTTATTGGTGGTATATAGAGATAGTAGGAAAAATAATTGAAAAGAGACATAAACAGATTTGCCAATACTTTCTAAGAAAAATTATGGAACTAGAGTTTAGTCAAAATGAATGCTTTCATTGTTAGAATTCAACTTTAATCTTTGCAGAATACAAACAAAGACCCATTTTCTAGAAGAAGTAACAGGGAAGAGAGAGTAAGAAAGAGATAATGATGAACATTGTCTAATGTTACAGCATAATCTAGTAAGGTAAGAACAGAAGAGAGTTCATTGACTTACCAACATAGTTGTCCCTAATCACCTCTGTGAACCTAGAGTGCTACGATATAATAATGATTGTGGTGGTTTAAAAAGTAAATGGGGCTGGGCATGGTGGCTCACATCTGTAATCCCATCACTTTGGAAGGCTGAGGCAGGTGTATTGCTTGAGCTCACAAGCTCGACACCAGCCTGGGCAACATGGCAAAACCCCGTCTCTACAAAAAATACAAAAATTAACCAGGCATGGTGGTGCGTTTGTGTAGTTCCAGCTACTTGGAAGGCTGAGGTGGGGGGATTGCTTGAGCCTGGGAAGTGGAGGCTGCATGAGCCAAGGTGGCACCACTGCACTCCAACCTGCGTGACAGAGCCAGATCTTGTCTCAAAAAAATAAAAAAATTAAGGTACATTTTATATATGAGACTATGAGACCGCCAAATGATATTTCTCAGCCAACAGCCTTCACAGACATTTGTCTTAGAGCCGATTTGGCTACTTTGTGTTGCCAGTATGCTGTTGTAAGAAAGCACAGGAATGCTTGTAAAGAAGAAAAGAATTGGTATCATGGTCCTGAAAAAAGTTATTTCCTCAAGGAATAAAAATAGCAAAAGAAATGACGTAATTTCTCAGCTTCTGATATGTTTCAAATAACCTCAGTGAAGTCCTAGGGGAAATAGCTTATATCATATGTCTTACTCCTTAGGATTTTTGCTATAGAGGAAAAAGTGTGAAGTTTTCTTAATTTAATGTTTTATACATATTTGCTTGCTGTACCTGGACCTTACAAAGTGGATACTCTTTAGAAAGTGATGAATATTTTCACTTTTAAAAGGTTTCAGAGTTTAAAAAGGTTAAAAAGAATCATTCATAAAAGTTTAAAAACAACTTCATCAAGGGTTTCCCTTTTGCCAAGTTATAAGTTTAAAATGAGAGAATGAATTTGGTTATTAACAGGGTTACCACCAGGCCTGAATGTAAATTAAACCTTTGCCAATAGAAGTGAAACAGAAAGAATCAACCAACAATTTTATGAATTACAGACCTCATACACATTAAAACTTCTACATATGTAGTTATGCTTCAGTGAAACCCTTTACATTGTAGTTATGCTTCAGTGAAACCCTTTATATTAAAATAATCATCACGTATTTGACCATATGAAAATAGTTTACATCTACCACATTTGGTTTATCTTGGCCAAAAACAATTAATCCTTAGAAAATCTACTATATGAATAACTCAATAATAATCAAAGCATTTGAATTAGAAATAGGATCAAACACACTTTTTTGAATGAATGCCTAATTTTTATTTCTCAGTGGAAATGCTAGAGCATATCCAATATTCACTAGTGAAAAAGGCTATTTTCCATGAAGCCCATGAGAAGATGACATAAGTTAAACTTGTCCAATTCCTTTTCAGGGATAGCATCAAGAAATTGTCTTTACCCCTATAAACTGAAGCATTTGAAAATCAGTAATATTAACTGAGCAAAATAACTTGTGGCAACAGGTATCAGTCTGGGACACAATCAAGATACAGAAACCGGGCCGGGCGCGGTGGCTCACGCCTGTAATCCCAGCACTTTGGGAGGCCGAGGCGGGTGGATCACGAGGTCAGGAGATCGAGACCATCCTGGCTAACACGGTGAAAACCCGTCTCTACTAAAAATACAAAAAATGAGCCGGGCTGGGTGGCAAGTGCCTGTAGTCCCAGCTACTCAGGAGGCTAAGGCAGGAGAATGGCGTGAACCTGGAAAGCGGAGCTTGCAGTGAGCCCAGATTGCGCCACTGTGCTCCAGCCTGGGCGATAGAGCGAGACTCCGTCTCAAAACAAAAACAAAAACAAACAAAAAAAGATACAGAAACCACATGCTAATTTAAACAGAGAAAGTTTAATATATGAAGAATTATTAAGTACTGATAGGAGAGTAACCATAAAGATGTAAGAGAATCTAAAGGGTATCCTGGAGCTAAGGTAGAGGACTCAAAGAAGAGTGAACTGGAAGGATTTCCCATCCCAAGGTTGGGGTCCAAACTTCATTGGGAAAAGTGTGGTGGAAGCCCTCTTTCTCTACAGCAGAATAGTTTGCTGGGGTGTCCTGGCCGGAGCTCTGGTCCACAGTTGGGCTACTGTTGGGCAAGCAGAAACAATTCTTTAGGGCACAGGTGAGCTAAGGTTGGTGGGTGGGCCTTCAGAAGGAGTGCGGCACTGAAGTGAGGATGTGTCTGTGTTGGCAGTGTGCGGTGTCAGTGCTGGGAGAACTGTGGCAAAGTGGTCACTAGGCCCTTATATAGAGGCTGTGAAGTCACCAACAGACTGCCCCATCTGGGCATGTGGCTGGGGAAAAACACCACCAGATGTCATTACACAAGCACGTTGCCAATGGTCCATTGCTAATGGTCCACATTGCTAATGATCGAAGTAAAATCAAAATGTAGCATTAGAACCAGGAAGAGAAGCCCCTTCCTCCTGCAGTGACCCTTCACTGCCCTCTACTGACAAAGAGTAACGTTATGCTCACGGTCTAAGAAAAATGCTTTAAGTGCCCAATACACTATTTCTGGTTAGCTACCAAAGAGAGCTAAGAGGCAATACACTGGTAACTGTCATGTCTTGTACATGAATATCATTATTCATGTTTTTTTAAAATCACAGACTATACTTCTTAACAGCTACATACATTTTATTTATATTCATCAGAAACTTACTGCTTATTCTTTGCCCTTAACTACTTGTATAGACCAACATGGAACCAAATTTGCTGTCATATAGGCTGTTGATCTCTTCATCCACTAGCACTTTTCTGAAACAAAAAGCAAGTAATCTTCGAATTCACATAAGCATTTATCTGCAACTCTGGTGTTACTTGACGACTGACTTCTACCTCCCAGTATATTTGCTTGTGAATATGTCTTGTTTTTTGCTTTAGTCCATAAGCACCTTGAGAGCAGCATTTACCTTTGCATTCTTCACTGTATCGTGCAAAGTACTTTACCCATAACAGTCACACAATAGTTGCTGAATTAATTAATAAAATATTTGGAATAACAACACCTAAGAGTGAGAGGTTACAAAACACGATAGTTCAAAATTCAACAGTTATAAAAAAAAATCAAAAGTTAAAATACAGAATATGTTACAGTATTGAACATTGTATGGTAAATGTAATTTACTGGAAAGTATGAATTTTATAGTGATCACATACTTTTCTTAATATTTAGATATCTGACACATGTAAAGTAGCAATAGTTCTTATTCTGAACCATTCTTGAATAAATAAGAAGAGAACACAACTTGGCTAACAATTTTTATCAATTCAGCTTTGGGTGCTAACATAATTTAATTGGGAAAGAATAATCATTTCAGCAACTAGTACTAGAAAAACCAGATATCCACATGCAAAAGGAAGGATTTGAAACTGTGGATAACAATGTACAAAGATTAATTCAAAATTAATCATAAATTTAAACGTAAGAACTAAAACTATAATTCTTTAAAAATATGAGTAAATATGGTGCACATACATAAGGTAATAATTTCTTGGCTGCAACACCAAATGCATAAGTGGTCAAAAGAGAACATTGATAAATTGTACTTCATAAAAAATCATTTGCCCTTCAAAAGACAACATCAAAAAATGAAGACAACCCACAGATTGAAAGAACGTATTTGCAAATCATATATCTGATAAGCGATTGTATCTGGCATATATATATATATTTTAAAACTCTTACAAGTCAATAATAAAAAACCCCAAAGAACCTAACTATAAAAATAGGCAGAAGATTTGGGTAGATACTTGTCCAAAGAAGATAAATGACTAATCAACGAGCACATCAGATGCTCAACATCATTAATCATGAAGGAAATGCAAATAAAAAACCCAATGAGACATCACGTCACACACACTGGAATGACTATAATAATAATAAAAAAAACAGATAATCACAAGTGTTGGGAAGGATATAGAGAAACTGGAACCCTCATATATTGTTAGTAGGAATGTAAAATGGTACAGCCATTTGGAAATACACTGGCAGTGTCTTACAATGTTAAACATAGATTCATTATATGACCCAGTAATTTCATTCCTAGGTATCTAATCAAGGTAAATGAAAACATGTATCCATATGAAGACTTATATGGACATGTTCATAGCAGCCTTATTAACAATAGCCCAAAAGTGGAAAGCACCCAAATGTCCATTAGCTGGTAAATGGATAAACAAAATGTGGTATATCCATATAAGGGAGTATGATTGGTCAATTAAAATGAATGAATACTGAAACATGCTGTTAGGTGAGTGAATCTCAAAGATATTATGTTAAGTGAAAGAAGAAAGTCACAAAAGATGACACATTGCATGATTCTATTCATATAAAATGTCTAGAATAAGCAAATGTACAGAGACAGCAAATAGTGATTGCCTAGGACTGGGAGTGGGAATAGAGAGTGACTACAAGTGGGCATCAAGTTTCTTTTTAGCTCAATGGAAATGTTCTAAAATGAGATTGTAATGATTGCTGCACAACTCTATAAATATACAAAAAAGCACTGAACTAACAAGGAGCTAAAACTACAATGATAATCATGTAAGCAGTGATAATTATTTGATTCCCTTCTTTTTCTGTTTGAATCAGAATGCCTTGACAATTTTTTATTCTTTTCTCTTCTATAGGATTTCAAGGAGTTTAGAACTTTACAGAAATAATAACAAAAATTACAGCATTTGATTAATAAATACATCTTTTAGTAATTTTCTTTTTGCCTAAAGTCAAGAATAATTGTTCATCTTAGTATGTTTATTAACTACTCTTGGTGTTATGTTGGGCGTTATAATAAAGAAAAATCTTTGTTTCAAAATTTAGGTTGGAATTTTGGATCCTACTCTGACTAACTAGGTACACTACTGAATTTACATCAAGATAACAGTACAGATAGATAAGAACATTGATTTCCTTAAGATCAGTAATTTGAAGCTTAAACATAGTATGCAACACATTGAGAGTCTCAAAGAAGTAACAAGTGCCATCTTTAGAAAATATTTTATATACTTGGTGTGGTCTTATCATAAGAAGTATATACATACATACCTTGACATATTGTACTTTGCTTTATTGTGCTTCACAGATACAGTTTTTCACAAATTGAAAGTTTGTGGCAACCCTACATCCAGCAAGTCAATTTTGGTGCCATTTTTCCAACAGCATGTGCTCACTTCGTGTATCTGTGTCACATTTTGGTAATTCTTGCAATATTTCAAACTTTTTCACTATTATTATATCTGTTATGGTGACCTGTGATCAGTAATATTTAATGTCACTTTAGTAATTGCTTGGGGATGGCAAGAACTGCACCCAAATAAGAGTGAACTTAATTGGTGTTACGTCTGCTCTGACTGCTCCACCAACATGCTGTTCCCGTCTCTCTTCCTCTCCTTGGGCTTCCCAGTTCCTTGAGACACAAGAATATTGAAATTATTCCAATCAATAACCCTACTATGTGGGTGGTGGGGAGGTGGGAATGATTAATGGGTATAAAAATGTAGTTAGATAGAATAAGATCCAGAAATGTAGTTAAATAGAATAAGATCTAGTAACACAACAGTTATCACAGTCAACAATAATTTATTCTATATTGAAAAATAGCTAAAAGAGTATAATTGGAATGTTTGTAACACAAAGTAATGATAAATGCTTGAGGGGACACATACCCCATTTACTCTCATGTGATTATTGCATATGATACGCCTGTATCAAAACATCTCATGTAACCCATAAAGGTATACACCTACTATGTAGCCATACAAATAAAAAAAATTTTTTTTTAATCCCTACAATGGCCTTTAAGTGTTCAAGTCAAAGGAAGAATTGAATGTTTCTCACTTTAAATTAAAAGCTAGAAATAATTAAGCTTTGTGAGGAAGACATGTTGAAACCTAGATAGGCCAAATGCTAGGCCTCATGAACCAAACAGTTAGCCGAGTTGTGAATGAAAAAGAAATATTCTTAAATATTCTTGAAGGAAATTAAAAGTGCTACTCCAGTGAACACAAAAATGATAAGAAAGTAAAATGGCTTTATTGCTGATATGAAGAAAGTCTGAACAAAAGATTGAACCAGCCATAACATTCCCTTGAGCCAAAGCCTAATTCAGAGCAAGGCTCTAACTCTCTTGAACTCTGTGAAGGCTGAGAGAGGTAAGAAAGCTACAGAAGAAAAGTTTGAAGTTAGCAGAGTTTGGTTTATGAGGTTTAAGGAAAGAAGCTGCCTCCATAAAATTAAAGTGCAAGGTTAAGCAGTAGGTACTGGTGTAGAAGCTGCAGCAAGTTATCCAGAAGATCTAGCTAAGATCATTGATATGGTTTGGCTATGTCCCCACCCAAATCTCATCTTGAATTGTAGCTCCCATAATTCCCACATGTCATGGGAGGAACCCAGTGGGAGGTAATTGAATCATGGGGGCAGGTCCTTCTCATGCTGATCTTGTGGTAGTGAATAAGTCTCAGGAGATCTGATGGTTTTATAAAGGGGAGTTGCTCTACACAAACTTTCTTTGCCTGCCACCATGTAAAACATCCCTTTGCTCCTCCTTCATCTTCCACCATGATTGTTTGAGGCCTCCCTAGCCATGTGGAACTGTGAGTCCGTTAAACTGCTTTCCTTTATAAATTAGCCAGTCTCGGGTATGTCTTTATTAGTAGGGTGAGAACAGACTAATACAATCATTGATGAAGGTGACTACACTAAACAACAGATTTTCAATATAGATGAAACAGCCTTATATTAAAAGAAGATGCCATCTAGGACTTTCATAGCTAGAGAGGAGAAGTCAATGCTTGGCTTTAAAGCTTCACAGAATAGGTTCAGTCTCTTGTTAGGAGCTAATGTCACCAGTGACTTTAAGTTGAAGCCAATTTTCATTTACTAGTCAAAAAAATCCTAGGGCCCTTAAGAAGTATGCTAAATATACTCTGCCTGTGCTCTATAAGTAGAACAGCAAAGCCTGAATGGCAGCACATCTGTTTACAGCATGCTTTATTGAATGTTTTAAGCCTGCTATTGAGACCTACTGCTCAGAAAAAAAAAAAAGATTCCATTCAAAATATTACCGCTGACTGACAATGTTGCAAAGAGCTCTGATGGAGATGTACAAGGAGATTAATGTTATTTTCATGCCTGATAGCACAACACGCACTCTGCAGCTCATGGATTGAGGAATAATTTTTATTTTCAAGTCTTATTATTTAAGACATACATTTTATAAGACTATAGCTGCTATAGAGAGTGATTCCTCTGATGGATCTGAGCAAAGTAAATTGAAAATCATCTGGATAAAATTCACCATCCTAGATCCCATTAAGAACATTTGTAATTCATGGGAGGAGGTAAAAATATCCATATGAACAGGAGTTTGGAAGAAATCGATTCCAACTTTCATGGATGACTTTGAGGGGTACAAGATTCAGTGGAAGAAGTAACTGTAAATGTGGCAGAAATAGCAAGAGAACTAGAATTAGAATGCAGCCTGAAGATGTGACTGAATTGCTGCAATGTCATGATAAAACCTTAAGAGAGGAGGAGTTGCTTCTTATAGACGAGCAAAGAAAGTGATTTCTTGAAATAGAACCTACTCCTGGTGAAGATGCTGAGGACATTGTTGAAATGACAAAAAAGGATTTAGATATTACATAAATTTATTTGATAAAGCAGTGGCAGGGCTTGAAAGCATTGACTCCAATTTTGAAACAAGTTATACTGTGGGTAAAATGCTATCAAACAGCATCACATGCTACAGAGGAATCTTTTGTGAAAGGAAGATCAATCAACGTGGCAAACTTCATTGTTGTTTTATTGTAAGAAATTGTCACAGTCATCTCAACCTTCAGCAACTACCACCCTGATCAGTCAGCATCCATCAACATCAAAGCGAGACTCTCCACCAGCAAAAAGATTATATGACTCACTGAAGGCTCAGATGACTGTTAGCATTTTTTAGCAATAAAGCATTTTTAAATTAAGGTATGCACTTTTTTTCAACATAATACTATCACATACCTAATAGACTATAGTATGGTGTAAACATAACTTTTATATGCACTGGGAAATCAAAACACTTGTGTGACTCACTTTATTGCAATATTGGCTTTTTTGTGGTGGGCTGGAACCAAATGTGTAATATCTCTGAGGTGTGCCTGTATTTGGTCTTAGTTCTTGCTGCCTGGCACAGAGCTCCTATAACCCTTGTTATTTCCTGATTAATATTGGTGATAGCAGCATCTTTCTTATATTTGGCCTTAGTTCCATTTTCTGACATAAGAGCTTCTATAATCTTTAGAATCTCTGGAGTGCCTTTTTGTATGCTAATGAGATGACAAGTGGCTGAGGGCCCCTACATAGCTTCAGGATTGAGGCTAGTCACTAGAAAGACCTGCATCTGCAAGGGATGGGCTAGGGGTTGAAGATTAAGCTAATCACCAATGGTCAATGATTTAATCAATTATGCCTACATAATGAGACCTCCATAAAAACTCTAAATTATGGAGTTTGGATAGCTTCTCCTACCCTATACTTTCTGCTATATGTCTCTTCCAGGCTGTTCCTTTACAATAAACTGGAAATAGTAAGCTCTTAAATTCTGTGAGCTGTTGTAGCACATTATTGAACTGGAGGATTTATAGCTGGTCAGTCAGAAGTTCCAGAGGCCTGGGTCTTGCAACTGATGTTTGAAGTGGGGCAGTTTTGTGAGACTGAGCCATTGACTTGTGGTATCTGAGGATAATGCCAAGTTATTATTGAATTGAATTGTGGGACACTCAACTGGCTGTCAGACAATTGAGTGGTGAGGGAAAAACAGAAACAAAAACAAAAACAAAACGACCCACATATTTGATGTCAGAAGTGGTGTGGTTAAAACAGTAGTACTTGGCTTTTTTTTAAATTTAGAATCTAAGTACTTAAGAGTAGATATCTTGGCACCTAGTATTAAATATACTAGGTTCTCAATACATATTGTTAAATGAATGACTAGTAAATGAAAAAAGAATGAGAAAATTATTTCTTGCTCTGACCAACTTCCTGACTGTTTTACTCTAAGTCCCAATAAATATGAATATTACCATAATAGCTAAAAGAATGCTATTGATTAAAATGTTTCCTGTCATTTGTCTTTTAGCTTGAACAACCGATATATATACTAATCATAAATATAAAATAACAGGTGTGCTATAATTTTAAACAGCTACTTTTAAAGTTTTGAAATTGTAGATTACCCTCTGAGAATTAGATGCATACACCAAGGTTATTGCTAGAGGGCAAGAATTACTACACTTTAAGATAAAACACAATGGAGACTTGGAAGGGTAGTAGGTGCAAGGTGGGTGGATGATAGGAGGTTGCTTGGTGGATACAATGCACATTGCTCCAGTGATGGATGCACTGAAGGCCGTAACTTCACCAAAATGCAATATATCAATGTAGCAAAATTGCACTTGTACCCCACAAATATACAAAAATTTTTAAAATTGATAAAATAATAATTAAAATTGTTTTTCACACTCTAATGTTACCTTGGTTTGAGATATAATGTGATCCTTGGATCTCATGGAGAATATTAATAATTCTCTTTCTTAGATAATAACAAACCTGTAACTATTCATATTTGAAAAATAAATAAGAACTTTAAAACTGTTACCACTTCCTTACCTCCCTTCCAGCTATCATATTATTTAGTATGCTCATCAAAGACAGATTTTAATGTATATTTTAAATTTCTTAAAAAGTTTGTATCAAGAACTCTAAGAAGAAAGTTGTTTTCTGCTGTAAAGTGGTAGAAAAATCAGAAATTAGTTAAACAATGCAATGATTTTCAGAGAGTTGTTCAATGTTAATATATAAATTATTTTGTGCCTGTTTCTGAAAGCAGGAAAACATCTGAGAGTATTAAAGAACTAGCCCAAATGGGTTCATTTTGAACAAATGATGAGAGAAGGAGAGAGTGAATGAAAGTAGTGAGCCAAGCTCTTTGTGTGATTCCTACTCCCAGTGAGGACCAGAAGGGAGAATCAAAAAGAAAGAGAACAAGCCCAGTGCAAGAAACCATGCACTGGAATTGTTTCCTTCAGATTTAAGTGTTAATTGACTATATCTTGTGTGTACTGCATGGACTTTGTTGGCCTTCTGTTTTCCTTAATCAAGAAAACCCTAAGTTTTGGGATCTGTTTATACAACAGATGATCTTTTGGCTATTAATAAAAATGTAAAATTCTTGGTATTTTTAATGTGTTATTTAAATTTACTTCAAAAGTAATGATGCAACTAAAATGAAATAAAATTTCCATGATTATCAGAATAATTAAATAAATGTAAAACTACAAGGAAATATTATGAAGCCATTAATATTATACTTTTGAACTATTCTGATGGCATTAAAAAATGTTTAAGATGTAATATGTGCTACAAAATTGAAAACACCATAGGAATCCCATTATTCAAACAGGAAGAGAAATGGTTTAGAGCAAAATATTAACATGTTAAAAGCAATATTTTATTATTGTGGGGAAAATCACATAGATTATGAGATCACAAATATTATTTTCTTCTTTATGCTTTTCTAAATATTCTGTTTTCTATAATATCAATGCATTCCATAACTATAAAATATAGTACTTGAATAATTTGCTAATAATTAGACTCAAGCAAAGACCAAAGAATGCCTCAAAATGAGCTAGGCACGGTAGCTCACGCCTGTAACTTTGGAAGGTCGAAACAGGTGGATCACCTGAGGTCAGGAGTTCAAGACCAGCCTGGTCAACATGATGAAACCCCATCTCTACTAAAAATACAAAAAATTAGCTGGGCATGGTGGCGCATGCTTGTAGTCCCCGCCACTTGGGGGGCTGAGACAGGAGAATTGCTTGAACCCAGGAAGTGGAGGTTGCAGTGAGCCGAGATTGCTTCATTGCACTCCAGCAGCCTGGGAAACAAGAGCGAAACTCCGTCTAAAACAAACAAACAAAAAAGAATACCTCAAAATGATAAAAGGAGAAGTAATCAAATTTCTCAGACACTGAATAAGTAAAAACAGCTAACAGTAATAATTTGAAGAAAAAATGCATTCAGAATTACTTTGAAAAGCAGTGCTTAATCATAGTATATATAAGTAGTTCAATACTCATAGTATATATGAGTTTAGAATAGGAGTTTGGGACTTGCATAAGAAATAAAAGAATTATTTAAATTATTATATGCTTCAAGCATATTTCTACAAAAACAGTATTTGCGAAAGCATCCTATAAAATGTAAAACTGTCAGGTATTAATATTAAAGGTAACCCTAAAAATGTTTTTGTTTTGTTTCATTTTCATTTAACAATTTCTATTGAGAACCTAGACACCGAAAACGGAAGTAGGCAGTGGCAATGAGACTTAGTCACATCAGACAATATGCTGCACCATATTGCAAAGAAGGTACAGTATAGCAGAGGAAGACAGGGGAATAAGCACAATAAAGTGCAGTGGGAGAGATGATAGAAATGTATACAGGACCTAGGCACAACACAAAAGGAAATTAATCATACTTGGGGAAGAAGAGGTCGTGGCTATTCACCAAATAAAGAAGCAGTAGCAAAGACCTAGAGATAGAAACAGCTTTAGGTCTTCACAGAAATGCAATTAGTTCTTTCTGAAGGACTAATGGTAAGGTAGATCGACCATGGGGTAAGAAATAAACCTGGACAGCTCATGAAAGCCAGCCATGCTGAATAACTGAATAGCTTTTACTCCAGGATATAACTTACAGTCTTAAAAAGTAGAGATGTGGCCCACATGTTTGAAAGGTCACTGGTGGTAGTATGGAGATCAGGTTCTAATTGAGGGAAGGGAGTGGGTGAACATTTAGAAAAAGACCAATAGAAACTTCTTACATTGGTTTAGGTGAGGAAAGATGAAAGTCCTAACAAGAGTATTAGAACATTTATATTTTATAATCCTCTGATTTGCTTTGCAACAATTTTTACTCACTTTATACAGAACTTACTGAACTAAACTGATATGTGCAGCTCATATTACAGTAATGAAAAATGTACTAACTTGTGTAATGTGACAAATATCTTCTCTATCCTGCATAATTCTGGGGGACTCAATTATCTGCATTATAATAATCTCAACTAATACAGTGCAACAAACTTAATCTGAATAATTTATCAGATAATCTGATAATTCATCAGATTCAGTGTCCCAGAATCTGATGAATTATCAAATTCATCAGATTCAGTGTCCCAGAATCTGATGAATTATCAAATTCATCCTTGTCATAATTTTTTTGTCTCAAGACTCCTTTTGATTGTTAATATTATTGAGGAAACAAAAAATTCTTCTTTATAATGAGTTCAATGTATTGCCATTTACCATGTTAGAAAGCAGAAAAATCACAAGCACATCAATTAATAAATTTATAAATTATAATCATAAATCACATGTCAACAAAATAAATTTCAAGTGAAAATAACCATATTTCTAAAAGAAAAAGATCTAATGGGATGAGTGCTTGGCTAAGTTATGCAGGTCTTCAAAATATTGGAAGATTTCATTATTCATCTGTTAATATTACCACTAATCACATCAGAAACCCTGTAAGTTTTGAGAAGCTGTTGAGCTCATGGTGGCAGATGCATCTTTTTCAAAATAATAATTTTCTCTTGAAAGGCCAAATTTTGTCACTGACAACAAATATTGTCAAATGTATTTTTAAAATGACAGTCTCCATTTATTTTCAAAAATTTGTCTTTTCAATATCTGTTTGAATAATCACAATTTGTCTCTCAGTCATTTTTTCAAATAAAAATAGTATTCTATGGAAGTACAGCTAGTTTAGCTTGCAACTCAAACAACTACACAAGTGCTTTACCTTAAGACAACCAGCATTATTGTTGATATACAGCAGATGTTAATCATGTATACTTTCCATTTCTTCATGTATACTGAATATTAAAAATATGTGTACTTAATGGTATAGATTAAATAAAATTAATTTCTAGTGTTTCGTCAAAGACATTCTTTTAGTGCAACTGGCTTTAATTTTATTCATTTATTTATTTACTTATTTTTACTGGGAATGAATTACAGTGAAGAATACAATGACAGTATAGTTTGTTGTCACTGTCTTGATAAGTGTTAAGGCTAGGGGTTTCATTGTTCTTCCAAATGTCAACACAGTGAAAAAGGTAAATAATGTTTTTGTATCATTATGAAAATAGTTTGGACCTGATGAATCATTTAAAAAGTCTCAAGGGAATGCAAGAGCATCTGTGGACCACATTTTGAAAATAACTGCTAAAATCACATTAAGAATTTTTTGGCCGGGCACGGAGGTTCATGCCTGTAATCCCAGCACTTTGGGAGGCCAAGGCAGGCGGATCACGAGATCAGGAGTTCAGCCTGGCCAACATAGAAAAATTAGCTGGGTGTGGTAGTGTGCGCCTGTAATCCCAGCTACTCAGGAGGCTGAGGCAGGAGAATCGCTTGAACCCAGGAGGCGGAGATTGCAGTGAGCCGAGATCCTGCCATTGCACTCCAGCCTGGGCAATAGAGTGAGACTCTGTCTCAAAAAAAAAAATTTTTTTTTTGATTTTTTGGATTATATTCTATATGCATTAAAGACTATGAACATTCTGAGAACATGACTGTGAAAAGTTTTTTTTATATGTTACTGAATGGAAGGAGGGTTAGAAATCAGCAGAGTATGCAAAAACAGAGTAAAACAAAATGCCTAGGAATGAAAAAAAAAAGAGAGAGAGAGAGAGAGAGTCAGGGAGAGTAAGATAAAGTTTGGTCCCAGAGAAGATACAGTCAAGATTCCACTTTTTGCTATTCCACAGAGATTTCAGGAAGAAAAATCACACTCCTATTTTCTTTTTCTTTGCTTACTGATTTCTATTTAGTTTCTTTTTTTTTTTTTTTTTTTTTTTTTTTTGAGAAAGCGTCTCACTCTCTTGCGCAGGCTGGAGTGCAGTGGCTAGATTCTTCTTGAGTATGCTCAAACTTCCTTTTTGGAATGTCTTCCAAAGGCACTCTTGCCTTCATTTGTACAAGTTGATTGACCCTTTAAAGGCCTTAAATATTATTGTGCGACCTCACAGACTCCTCAAATCACCTGAAACCTGAAATGCTGAGGCCCAGGTGGCACTGAAATGATGGTATTCTAGACCTGACACCGGACTGTTTTCTCCTTGGTTTTGTCCCAACACACTGACATACATAGCCCAAAATACTACTGGCCTTTTTAAGTGGCATATCACATTCCAGGGTAATATCAAAACTGCTGCCTGGTAGCATTTGTGAAGTCTCAAAGTAACTCTTTCCAGGATTTTCAAATCCACTGAATTTCTTAGATTGAAATATGTATGTGACAGAATTCTCTTAGCTTTCTTTCCTCTATGAATATGTAATTGGAAACTCTGAGATCCGGTTTCTCATCTTTATTGGATTTTTTCTTTAATCTTAAAATTATGAATATTTGCTTTACAATAATCTAGATAAGGAGTCCCCAACCTTTTTGGCACCAGGGACTGGTTTTGTGGAAGACAGTTGTTCCACGGACATTGTGGGGAGTGGGGGCTGGCATTAGAATCTCATAAGGAGCACACAACCTAGATCCTGTGCATGCACAGTTCACAATAGGGTTTGTGCTCCTATGAGAATCTAATGCCGCCACTGATCTGACAGGAGGCGGAGCTCAGGCTGTAATGCTCCCTGGCCCACTGCTCACCTCCTACTGTGCGACCCAGTTCCTAACAGGCCAGGGACCAGTACTGGTCCGTGGCCCAGGGTTTGGGGACCCTTAATCTGATGTTACTAAGTTACATCATTAATAATCTATTTCTCCTCACACAGATTTCTTTCCTCACATCCTCAACACATATAATTTCACATCTCCAAATGCAGCATTCCCTAATAATTACCCTTCTTACTCCATTCTGCCACCTCTGGCTCATTTTCACTTGCCATTCCATTTGATAATCTAGTAACTTCATTTTGCCAACTTGATGAATTTGGTTCTAAGTAGTTTAAAAATTTAAGGACATACTATGTCAGTATTTACAGGTGCTTCTTATTTATTCTTCAGTATTCTCAAATGTTCAATTTGAGGTCAAGTTTTGCTAAAAACAACTCATTGCAAATAGTAGATGTTTTATAAATATAAGATAAATTTCTTAAAATTCGTGCTGAGTTCTAAAGAGAAAACTTAGGTTACCAAGTAACATGATTTTCAGAACACCACCAATTTGCTATTTCAAGTCTAATTTTATATTAGACCGATTCCCAAAGCTTTTCCATTGTTACAAAATTTTCAAAATACTGTACTTTTATTATACAAGGTTTGTGGCCTAGTTTTATTAATATTCCAAAAGACAAAATATTCAAACATTCAATTGTTTCATCAATAATTTAAACTAAATTTACTATTTTGATTAAAGATACAATGAGTATCTTTGCATGAAATAGATTACTAAATTCTATTTGAAAACTAATGTACACTTTTATTCTAGTTTTTAAGGCAACATATGTTTATTTTGAACTTTATTTTAAGAAAACATACCAAAACAATGCCAAATTGTTTGGTAAGAAACAATACCAAAGCATTTGAAAAAATAAATTATTAACAATAATAATTTTGTTGTGTAAAATTGTGAGTTATTTCATCATTTTATTAATTTATATTTCCCTTTTGCTTTATGTATTACTTTTGCTTTATGTATTACTTTTGTCATAAGAAAAATAAGATGTAATATTCTATTTAAATTTTTTTTTTGTTTTATGCACTTTATGTTCCTTTTTTATGTACTTTATGTTCCTTTTCCTTTATGTATTACTTTTATTATAAGAAAAAATAAGATGTAATATTCTATTTTTAAAACAAAAACTTTATAAAGAAGAAAACAGAAATCCTAATTCTATAAACCAGAGATAACTATTATATTATCTTCAGGGCTTTTTCTAAGGAAAAACATGTTTGTTTTTTTTCCGTAATTGGGGCCATCCTAGATATATATGTTTGTAAGGTACTTTTTAATATACTATTATAACCTGGGCAATTTTATATAGAATTAAATATTCATTGAAACATTATGTTTAATGGTACTATAATATTTCATCATTTGCCTAGACTATGATTTATTTAGCCATTCTTTCAACCTTCCAGCATTGTGTATGTAGACTGTTTTCTTTTTTCTTTTCTCTTTTTTTTTTTTTTTTTTTTTTTTTTTTGAGACAGAGTCTTGCTCTGTCATCCAGACGCCAGGCCGGAGTGCAGTGGCATGATCTCGGCTTGCTGCAACCTCCACCTCCCGGGTTCAAGTGACTCTCCTGGCTCAGCCTCCTGAGTAGCTGGGACTGCAGGTGCACACCACCATGCCTGGCTAATTTTTTTGTATTTTTAGTAGAGACGGGGTTTCACCATGTTGGCCAGGCTGGTCCCAAACTCCTGACCTCAGGTGATCTGCCCACCTTGGCCTTCCAAAGTGCTGGAATTACAGGTTTGAGCCACTGTATCTGGCCTATGTAGACTATTAATCTCTCCAATTTTGTTTGGGTTGAATTAGTTTTCCTATATGGGGATAGTTTGGTGGAAATGTCAGTCAAGGAACTGTTAGTTAAGTTTACTCTTAACTAAAAGGATCAGATTCATGACCCAAACTTGACCAACCAGATGTTTACTTCCTGGAATTTTGGTGTTAAACATGAATGTCAGGAAAAAAAAGAAAAAAAAAAAAAAAGAAAAAGAAAGAAAGACAAAGAGCCTGAAAGCAGTTGAGCTGATTCATTCTAGATTACAGCACCTTACAGAAACCACCAAAAGTCTACCAACTGGGCTATCTGCTCTTATAGTTTTCTCTGCTCCTGGCATTTTTCAGTCTAGATTGTAGCTATCCCTTAACTCTGTGAACTATAATATCTTTTGAAGACATTGCTTTTATACTTAAATTAACCTGAGTCAGTTTCAGTTACTTATTGTAATACTTTAATTTTTTTTTACCAATTCCCCATGAATTCCTAATTTTATATCCTTTTCTGTCACTTTCCTCACTGAAATAAATGAGCATCTTAATTCTTATCACAGATCATGAATGTAAATGTGACATTATAGGCACAGCAGTGGAATCAGTGTCACCATCATTTTATTTCTGCCCCCACTTTGTTAGTCATCATGCCTGTAATTACAAACCTAATTAATTGCCTTTATTAGAATCTTAACACATACACAGATAACTCATTATTATCCAGTAGGAGGAGGGTATGAATAATGAAAATCCATCATTTATAAAATAACCACAACAGTTTCATCAACAACAAAAAAATATCAATTTAACCTTCTTTGCTTATGATTTTAGTAGTCATAAGTATTGCCAGAGACAACTGTTAGAGGCTGAATTGTATCCTCCCCAAATCCATATGTTGGAGTCTCAAACTCCGGTACCTCAGAATGTGACTGTGTTAGGAGTTAGAGCCTTTGAAGAAGTGGTTTAGTGAAATGAGACTTTTAGGGTGAACCACAATCCAATATGACTTGTGTCCTTAAAAGAAGATGAAATTTAGACAGAAAAGAGACACCAGGAATGCACATGCACAGAGGAAAAGACAGACATCAGCAAGCCAAGGAGACGGGCTTTAGAAGACACCAAACTTCCCAGTACCTTGTTCTTGGACTTCGAGCCTCCAGAACTGTGATAAATACTGTTATTTAAGCCACCCTGTCTGTGGTACTTTGTCATGGTAGCCCAAGTTAACTAATACAGAAACCAACCCTATTTGAATGGCACACCTCTATCTCAAGTTCAGTAGTTTCCCCAATGGTATCTGTGAAACAAAAGCATACTAGCAACATATATTACAAAGAACATGGATAATATTTGTGTAACTTTGGGAAAGCATGTGCAATACAGTAAATATGTTTCTTTGGAATAAATATAACCTTTCCCTGGAAATATTTGCTCATTATCTCCTTAAATTTTCAGTGGAGTCACAAATGAATATGTTTCCAATAATGAGAAGAAACATTTTGTTGTGAAGTTAGATCAATAAAGTGTTTAATAGTTAAGGGTATATGGATCAGTTTTCTGATTCTTTAAAGTTATGTGGATTCTCAAGAACAAAGAATCTCACTGACCTTTTCTTAAAAGATATATCCCTAGTACCCACTGTAAGAAATAATTGATGCTAAAATCATAAACGCATGGACAACAATGTTAATAAGACAATTCACCGGGGAAAGAATTGTCTTTTCAACACGTGGTGCTGGGACAACTAGATATGAACAAACAAAAGAGTAATGCTGAACCCCTACCTCACATTATATGCAAAAAGTTGACTCAGAATGAATCCTAGATCTAAATGCAAGAGCTAAAATTATACAACTAGTTGAAAAATAATAGAAGTAAATTTTTATGACCTCAGATTAGGCAACGGTTTCTTATACATGAGACTAAAAGCACAAGTGACAAAAGAAAAAAGTTAGAGTAGATTCTTCATCAAAATTAAATCTAAGTTTGTAGGTAGAGCACCAAAGGAGAAACAGGCAATATGATAAGGCAAAGACTTTTGACCATTTACAGAGAAAAGCTAAAATGTCAGGTTGATTCTAAGTTAGAAGAGAAGCAAATTCACATTTTCTAGAGAAGAACTACAGTGTCCATAGGTAACTGAGAATGAGGGGAAGCAAATAGTGAAAAAAATATAAAAAGATAAACCATTGGAATATGAGTCTTGAAGGAATAAAAATATGGTAACAAAAGTTTTAACATAGATGAAAATGAAAGCTGATGTTTATCAAATTATTTTGAAATCACATTCCTACTCATTCATTTGCAAAAAAAAAAAAAAAAAAAAAAAAAAAAAAAAAAAAAAAGATTTGTTCAAATCCCTCCAAGCAGCTCCTGTGTCCTGGCCACTATGGGGGATGTAAACACTGGTTTTCATGCTTAGTGTCTCTTTCTTGCCTGCACCTGGTCAGTGTATCATTTCTGGAGGAAGAAAAACTGACTGGGTGACTATATCATTCTAACCAATGATCTCATTCAAACAATTTTTTTTTCATCAAATAGTACCTTTTCAATATTTTTTAATTTTTAAAAAAGTTTTTAGACAAGAGCAGTAGTGAGAAGAGGGGAAAGCGTAGAACAAGGAGTTTGATCTGTAACTGACTGTGAACAATCAACTGAGATAACTCACTACCTTTGGATCAGTTCTTTTCAACATTTTTGAGGCAATTTTTTTGCATTCTAGGAACTGCAACATTTTTTCAGAGAACTTTACAAACTCTCAAAACTTTTTTTTGTGAAAATGACTGATTTATGTTTTTTTTAAACCTAATAACTTGTTAACATTGAATGTTTTAAATTTATTTGACATAACTCTTTGATTTGTTTTTTTAAAAGTCGGGGGCAGTTAGAGCCCTAAGCCCAATCTCTGAGATTCCACAGATCTGGCTGCACACCTCTATGGTGCTATTTCTGTTCGTTTCTTTTACTTTCAGGATCACCCACAAGGTTTGTGCCACTCTTCATACCTGTGAGGCACTTCACCCTTTAGCACCTTTGATTCAATCCATCATTGGCCTCATTAGATTTCTGCTTAAAAAAACTTTTTCTCCACCTCTTTCATTATTTTCTGTTTGCATGCCCCTCTCATCCTCACTATCTCTTTATCTTGCAGTATTTTTCTTCAAAGAACTTACATTTACTGACATTTCTTTGCACATTGATTTGCCTACTGTCCAACTCTATCACCAGACTGAAAGCTGCATGTGGGTAGGAATTTTGCTTTATTCACCACATTCCTGCACTTAGAACGCAGACCCTTCTATCTTCTATTGTACAGGAGAGCTTTTTTTTTTTTAATTTTTTAACAAATAGCCCGGTGTGATGGCTCACTCCTGTAATCCCAGCACTTTGGGAGGCTGAGGCAGGCAGATCACTTGAGGTCAGGAGATCGAGACTAGCCGGGCCAACATAGTGAAACCCCATCTCTACAAAATACAAAAATTAGCCAGGCATGGTGACACTCGCCTGTAGTCCCAGCTACTGGGGAGGCTGAGGCAGGAGAATCACTTCAACCCGGGAGGCAGAAATTGCAGTGAGCCAAGAACGTGCCACTGCACTGCAGCCTGGGTGACAGAGTGAGACTCTGTCTCAAAAAAACAACAAACAAACAAACAAACAAATGGAGTGGATTTGGGTAATCATTCTAAACCAAACTGTTTTTGGAATTTTGGCATGTCAGAAAGCAGATGAATTACAGCTCACATGTACGACTGCACCCAACTTCAGTCCTGAGTCTCTTGGCTAAGCTGTAGCTCTACCATCACATGGATGATGAGCAAACATCAAGAACACAGACGCCATGGCCACGGTGTGGCTGGACTGCTTGGATTCTGCCACTTACTAACTGTATAACCCAGCAAGTTAATTGAACCTCACTGTGCCTTGGTTTTGTCACCTGTAAAATTAACAATAGTATCTACCTCATAGGATTAAATGAGATCATATTTGCAAAGTACTGCTTAGGATAGTGGCTGGCACAGAGTAAATGCTATATGTTTTTGATAAATAAAACAATTAATAAATGGAAATCTAGGAATGTGGACAAAATTTAAAAGTTGGAAAAGCAAACTTTGGGGCAGCTTGGGGAATTCTGTCACAACTTATTTTTCTGATCACAAGTGCAATGAGAATAAATTTCTTCCCACCCTACCCTAAACTAATGCAATCTCAATTGAGCGGTGGAACATGCTTCATTCACTAATTAGAATTTAAAAAGGAAGTGATAACCTCACGGAGCACAGCCCCATTGACCCTGAGGGTGACTATACAGGACCTTCAATTGCTGATTCTCTCCCATCCTTCTCTGGGATCTGTTTCTCCCACCCTCCCCATTCTGAGGTAGCTGGAAGAGAGTAGGCTTTGTGCCCTTTGGCGAGTACAGGGAGAAAATAGTAGGTTCAGCCTCTCCAACTGCCCAGGGAGAAAGCAATACCTTTCAAGGTCCCCAGGCTAAATTTTGGAGGGATGCTTTTGTGTGTCACTGTCAGGCTCACACCGACATAAACCCTTGAGAAATGCCTGGTTGGTGACGTCCTAGAGGTAACACCAAGCAAGCCCCAGATTTTCTCTTCTTCGTCAGCAATTCCCAGATGAGGTGCTCTTGTGTTTACCCTCTCTGATTGTCTGGATTCCCTGATAGTACCCTCTATACAAGGAACTAGAATGTTTCTTACTGGATTCCTCTGTTGGTGGTGATAGAGTTTACTTTGGGTATCTAGTCGGTCTGGTTGCCCCTGGTATCTCTGGTTGGTACAACAGAATCCTGACTGAGCTCCTTAGTGCCTTCTTGAATACTGTATAATTAACTAGGCCTCCAATTGTGCCCCGCCTTGCCCCAGCCCATAGATGGACAATCCCTCCTGCCATGTCTTAAAGAGAAATTACCATAATAAATGACTCTCCAGACAGCACATTTCCCAGCAAGAGGGGGCATGTAAACCAAGTCTATTAGTATTGGCAGCAAAATCCAATGTGTTATTGTTACCAGTATGAACACTCTGGGTATCCTGGCCTCCTATATAGATATTTGAAACAAAACAGACAAACAATGTGAAGGAAGGAGGAAAAACAGCCACACAAATGAGTTACAGTGAGTTTAATGAAAACTAATTCCATTGCTGGGTCCATGTGATATAACCAGCCACTTGTGCTCTGTTCTAGTGGTTTATAATGTTACCTCACCCTCTCCAAGAAATTGGTTTCCCGTAAATCTCTGTGGCCATTCATTCCTGTCTACACATTATGTTCCTAAAATAGACACCAGCTAAAAATCTCTTCCAGGAGCTTTGTGAAGGAAGGCCTAAATTGCAAAACTCCTCCTAGAAGAGAGATGTGATTTTGTAATTGCTTCATTGCAATTACAAAAGCAACAATCATAAAAGAGAGTTTTAAAAGAGTTTTTCACCACAGTCATTCTCCTGAAATGCACAGCTGAGGGAAAGAAGAATGTCAGATGCCCCGCGAACGTGCAGAAGCTCCCAGTTGCATCACCCTGGCGTGCCAGGTATTGCAGCAAATAGGAAAGGTAAGCTACCCACTTCTCTGGGCAGGAGAAACTAAAGCAGGAATCACCAACCTCAGCATGGAATTTTCCTATTTCTGTCTGGCAACATCCTCTTGGGATGATTTAAAGTGCTTTTTGGAGAAATATGTTCTGTTACTATACTAGCGCATCAGAAATACCACGTGAACCTGTAAATCCATAGAAGAAGAAGACACATTTTATAGGTGTGATAGCAACAGCAATTGGCAATTTGCAAGTTTGCTACTGCACTCAGAAATATTTAGTCACATGCACATATTGACAGTAATATACCCTGCCTTGACTTAATTGTTGCATTGGACAGGTGAAAAGCACATACCCACCACTCCAGACCGATTTGTTAACAATCACCAGTGAGTAATCAAAGAGAACAAAAAGAAATGAGAAGTAAATGCAGCAAGTGGGTCGGGTCTTTAAACACATACCTCAAACAGGTAGGAGTCAGGAAATCCATGATAGCAAAGACATTTGGACAAGCCTCACCTCCACTCAGAAATAATTCTTATGCTGTTCTGAAAAGCAAGACGGTTCACACTAGGAACTGAGCAGTATCTGCAGTATCATTGCTGGTTGTGACCTCTGTCTAAGTAAAAGTAAGTCAATGTTTCCTATTTGGCATTGGATAGAAAAGGGGACTCTTTACCACTCTGCTCAAGCTCTTTTTTAGTGTGGCTCAATAGGAGTTGGCAGAGGTGGGGGGCGGAAATCATTGCCCCTTCCTTGTTCAAGGCATGAGGCATTTCTTCTCAAAAGCCCAGCCTCAGCCTCAGGAAGCTGAATACCCCTGCAATGCTAGGCTCCAGCAGCAGCCCCGCTGCCTTCTTTCTTCCTGTGGAGTTAAAACTGAGATCTAATTTTTGCTCCGTCCTTAAGAACAATATGACCTCTATTCCCAGCCAGCTAGTCCACTTCCAAAGCACCAGTGAAGGAGGGGGCTTCAACAGGATCAAAAGGGACCTTGAATAGGATGAAGGCAAGCAAAGGCAAGAACTGGCCAGATGCCAAGCTATTTCAGGCCAAAGAATCCCATCTTCTATCAAAATGCTGAACTGCAAAACAAACCTGATTTCAGTTCATGGAAGGTTGAGAGAGGAGGGGGGAGGGGAGGGGAGGAGAAGAGGAGGAGAGGGAGGAGGGGGACAGTTGGTCTGAATACACATACAAAAATGGACTTCCTGCTCTGCCCAAACTGAATTTCCATGGACTCTTTTTCCAAAGGAATAACTGGAATGAATAAACTTAAAATCAAGATGAAACAATTAGATGGCTTACCTGATTAAAAGGAAAATTATCCATCTGCAGTGAGGAACAGCATCACCCAAAGACGAGATGATAACAATGTGCCTTCAGTTGCAATTGTTCAGATTCCTTCTTGCAAAAGGTGTCAAAGTATTTACAAGGGCTGCAGTCTCACTGGGGCAGAACACACAGACACACAAACACACACAAACGCACACATACACACATGCACCAGAGACCTCTGCAGTATCCTCTCGGCTTCATCCTCGCCTCACTCTATGGTACCTAATACAAATCAGCAAATAGCTTGTTTCAAAAAAAAAAAAAAAAAGTCAAGACAGCACCTTACATTACATCGCCATCTAGTGGCTAAATATTAAACACTTTCTCACAATCCAGATTTATGATTTCTTCCTCAACCTCTTTTCTCTCAGCCTTTTTTCCTTTCTTCTCTGTAATCTCCCAGTATTGCTTCTCCTTGCTTCTCTTTCATTCCCTATTGCTATATAATATCATGAACCTAATGACTCAAAGAGGAAAAGGTTTGAAAGTAAATATAGCTATTTTCAAGTAGTACTTGAAAAACTTTAGCATTATTTTAGTTTGAAACTGTTACTTTATTCCTAATATGAATCATTGTTATCTATAAAAATGATATATCTTATAAATAAAACTGTCTTTTTATTCCACCAGGAAACAATCAGGTGGCCCTTTATTACAGATCTATGGCTTCACATTTTTCTGTTTTAATATTGTGTTTTAGGATTAGGTTTCATATTATAGTGAACAGCTCAGAGTCACAAAATGTGAGTTTTACTTCAACACTGATGAACACATGCCTTTAACAAAGCCACTGAAGTCTTCTATGGACATTTACATTCTTACTATCTTCATCTGTAATTACAGATTAAACAAGACTTTCAACCCACTCTCAATTTCTATGGTTTTACTATATTTTACTCCAATGTTTTCCCATCTTGTGGACACAGCCTAAAGCTTAATTATAATAACACATTTTAATAAGCAAATATATATAGAAAGAGAGTCCAATTGCCTATTACCCAAAGATAGAATTATAAAAACCATGAATATCAGTTTTTTCTAAGACAATAAAAATCCATGCCAAACTAATTATAACTCTTGGAACTGAGAGTAGAGCTTTTTATGTTATATATTGTATTCTAAAATGGAATCAGCCTTAAACATTCAGTCATACATAAAATCACGATTATGTGTAGATTAGTCATTGGAAGTAAATATTTCATCCTCATTATTTTTCTTTTGCCATCTAACACACTTATTACAATCATTGCATGTGTTTTATCATTTATCAATATAACCTTCAATATTTAATCCTTCTCTTCCTTATTACAGGATGGTGAGATAAATACTATTAATGTTATTATATTATAATTATTCCTATTTATACTTGAGAACACTGAAGCTTTCTGAGCCTTACTGAGGTTTATTCAAGACCACATAGCTTGCAAAGCAATAAAACTAAGGCTGTTGGTCCCAAGAGCCCAAAGAATAATCCACTGTTCTTTGCAACATACCTAAAAGTTCACCATTTTTTCCTGTTCTAGAATCACAGAAAAGTAATTTTGATTTCTATGTTTACAAAACATTTACTAGCCCTTAATTATGGACCAATGGGTCCATCTTGTGGATCCATCTTTTTATCTATAAAAGAAAGAAATTAAGTAAGATAATTTCCTGTTCCAGCTCAAAAACTCTATCCAGTGCTTTCCCAAAAGCCAGTTGGAGTAGCATGAACACATTCATTTGAAGTTACTCAATGTCTGGGAAATGATGTTGCCCAGTATCTGGTAGAGTCAGGGCAAAGTTGAAAGAAGATGAGGAGACAGGTGATCAACAACTGGTAAACGATTGCCAAGATGTTAGAGATGAAAAGAGAGTGGGAACTGCATGAACTAACAGGCAATTTTTTTAGAATAATACATTCCATATGAATAGTACTTAGAGATTAGATATGTAAAAACACAAAATAAGAACATACCTGGCCACATGTTTTAATGAATTCTAATTGCATATTATAGGTGCCAATTTTTCTGAGTGTCTGCTCTTAACAATTCCCCCAATAGTTCTTCTCCCCTGATCCTTAGTGGTAAACCTACCCTCTTGCTACAGAGGACTGGAGCAAGAGAGGGTATCTACGCAGCTGACCTGGTCAAAGAGAGCCACTACATGTGATTCTGGCAGCTATGGAGTCAGCTTTCCCTCACCATGGGGACTCAGGACCAGGTGGACCAGGATACTGAAATAGCAGCCAGCCACACAGATGTGGAGGAAGAAGTGACAAAAGACAGAGACAGACTGTTTCCATCTCCAGTCTACTCAAGATCCAAACACTTTCTTGATGTTGAGTCCCATGATAAACTCAAACTCCATGTTTGCTTAAGTGAACTTGGTTTCTGTTGAACTATGGAGTCCTAACCACTTCATTAGCTTCAAGAAAGTTGCCAGTACTGCATCTATCAAGTATTATTCATATTCTGGGCATCTGACACTTCATTTATTCACTTCTTCATGCACCTGATATATGCCAGGCACTTTTCCAGATACTTAAGTAACATCGGCAAACAAACCAGATCAAAACCCTCCCTTTGTGGAGTTTACATTGACATGTCAGTCATATGGAAAGGCACAACGCATTCAGTGTGCACACTACCTTTCTTCCGCCTCCATGTCTTTGTTCACAACCTTCACTTCTCTTGGCAGACCTTTCATCCATCTACACATAGCAAATTCGGCGGATATTTTAAATGTCTGGGTCAAATATTCTCTCTTCTCCAACGTCTTTTCTATTTTCTCAGCAGATAGAATTCTTTTTTCTTTTGTTAATTATAGAACAATTTTATGTTGTATCTTATGAAACATGGTCATTTGACAAGTTGAAAGCATTGAGCATAAGGAGATAAATGACTATTCTCATACAGACTCCTAGAAAAGGCCAATATCCCAAGCATGGCCCAAAGAGTACTATTAACTAACAACTCATCATTCTGTACACAGATACTTCATTCGTCAGAGCTGAAGCAGTTTTACAGTATTAGTAACTTTAAATCTTCCATGTTTCAGACTGAGCATAAAGGCAAAATATGAGATTTTTATTAAATTAGTGTAATATGCACTTAAAATCACATATTTATTTTTTAAAGTTAGCAGAAGATATTAAAACAAAACTCTGTGCTACCCTATGTCACTACTACACTTATCCCATTTGACCTTGTTCTAAGAGTTTTATATATGTATCTTATTTGGCTCCCAGAATGTAAACTCCCTGTGGAACCAGCTTTGCATTTTATTTATTTTTTTGTAGATTAATTTATTGAGAGATAATTTTGTCTCTTTCTCACTGTTACGTTTCCAACTTCAAAAAATGAAAAACTAATCTTCCTCTGCCCCCGTTGGTAAAGTTAGCCATTCCAGGAACCCCTTTGTAATCTTGTTTCAGAAGCTGGAAAAAATTAGCTGCCTACTTCCTAGGTGACAATACTTCAATCTGTAATGCATGAACCTGCTAAACAGGCTGAGGGGGCATGGCTGTGGCTTTTTTATGAGAGTTCCTAACAAGGAAAAGAGAATGAAGGCGTAAGATGTCATTTAGTCTTTGTAAGACTCCGTCTCTGTAAGACTCCGTCTCTGTCCTGTGAATGTGGTTGTTACTTTGTTATAGCTCTGTCAGTTGCACTGCTCAGTGCCAAAACATAAAAGGGAATATTATAATGGGACATAATCTCTGTCAATAGATTTTGGGTATTAAAGAGAGCGTGAGGTCACTCAGGTGGAAAAAGCTGGGCCAGGTAATTTTGTCTGTTAGTTTTACGACATAAAGGAGAGTCTCTCGATGCCATTAGATCTTGAAAGAGTTCAAAGAGAGAACTATCTCATTATCAGAAGGCTGAGGAATTAGTGTAATTAGTATCTGAATATTCTTTAATATTTTCTTGCATAGAAAATAAAGGTAATTGGTTATCAAAAATATTCTTTCAAATGTGTATCTCCTGGAGTTGTGGAGTTCTGAAACTTTAACCAGCTGCCTTATGAAGAGAATTTATTAATTAACTTTATGCCTGCCAAGGAGAAGGAAACCATTCTTAATTTTTAGCCAAAAATTTCCCAAAGTGATGACCAAATCATTATGTTTTGAGTTCCAGATTCCCTTGTTTAGAGTTATAAATGACATTTGAGTTTTAAGGCAGAAATGTTTCTAAATTCCCCTGTCATTTGTTTGGGAATCTATAGTCACTGAGCAACATGAAGCTGGGTCTCCCCTCTCTTCCCACCGCAGGAAAGGAATTGGAGGCTGGAGGCGAACTTGAGTACCTTGAGGTGGTATCCCAAAGGAGATGGTGGTGACAACAGACAAGTCTAGATGTTAGCAGGTCTTCTGATGAAGTCGGGGAGTGATCCCAACACAGATAGCAAATGCTAGAGTTTGGATTTAAACTCAGACCTTAAGATTTTAGATCTACAGGACCACTGTATCACTACAAATCCTGACTTTGCCCCCTTTTGATTGGAATAATCAGATAAAGCACACTACTGATGTGATCCTTGGTAAATGTAATTTACTACTTAAGTACTTTGCTTTTGTAGATGTCAATTTCCTAGTGGTTTTTTTTTTTCTTTTGGTAAATGCAGCATTCTGCAAAAATCTACTACCAATTCCTTGCTCTCACAAAGCATTCACCAACACTGTGCCACTATTTTAGAAATAGAAACCATATCCTAGCCGAAAATGATAAACTCATATATTTCCTTTTGAGATTAACCTGCCCTTTTGAAAGGGAGTCAGAAATGAATGTGAAATTTATTTGCTATTAGACAAATAAATGCAGAAACTGCAATTAAGAACTCTCTTTTAGGACTAGAGCCAACTAGTTTTTCTGCAAGTTTAAAGTTACAATTTTTTGATGGCAAGAATTGGCCAACTGATTTCAAAATATCTTATAGGTACTAAAGTGGACTTTTGAAACTCTGGTAAAGTCCATACATTCCATAAATTAAAAAAATAATAATCAGCCATTTTTTTCAAATATGATATAAAAATATCTGAGGGCTCCTCCCCTCCCCGCAACTGGAATTCACTGAATCAGAGCTGCTATAGGCTTGCATTTTTTGATGCACAGATAACCAGTTTTTAAATCACTTGTAATATAATGAACATAAATAATTGAATTTTTTTTTCTTACAGATTTGATTCTGAAGTATTTTTGAAGTATCTTTAGAACCAATGTGCTTGTGGGCACACATTACACTATTTAAAATTTTATTAAAAGTATTTTAAAAATCCTTAGAGAGAGAATGCCAGTTATCTCTCTCTCTTTCTGGTAGTGGAGAAGAAAAAATAGTATAGGCTTTTCTTAACTCACCACAATGCAGTAATTAAAAGCAAAAGAGAAAGGAGGGAAGTTGTGGGATTATGATGGAGATAATCAGATTCCCCAGTTGCCCTCTGCCTTCCCTGCTATCGAGACAACGCACAGAAGCCAGAATTATGTCTGCAGGTGATTATTTCAGGGAAGCAGTTACTCCTTGTTGGAAGATTCACTGCAATTTCCTTTCAATTACATAGGCAGACATTGGTGTTGGAGAGGGAAATAACAATATTCCTAAACCAAATAAGTAGCTTTTATAAACAAGACAGAATAATACATGAACCTGATTTCTCAAAGGGAAATTAAGTATATGAATGTCAATCATCTGATGAGATTAGCATTACAATATAGGTTCAGAATGAGTATTAAATCACAAAATTACTTTTTATCACTTGATGTAATAGCATTATTCCTCTGATTATATCACCAACTGAACAGCACTTCAAAAATTACTATAGTGCTCTGTATATATCTTTAATTTTAAATCCTTTATTATTTGGGGGCCTGGTTTATTTTTGATCTTTTCTTCTTTAGCTAACGTGTAAGAAGACATTATTAATATTTAGTGAAGATGACACTAAATGTCGTTTTTCAAAACAACAAACTCTGCCTTTTCCTAAACAAGCAGGGAGCCATTATGCCTTCACTGTTCCGCTTCCTTTGTTTCCTCTGTTTTCAGGACCTTCTCTTCTTTGACCGCATCTTCCTCCACCCTCTATCGGTGCACCTCTCCACGGTCTGACCCCACTCAATAATCTCTTTGAAAGTAAGAACTATGACTTATTTTTTTTGTCATTGTTCCCCAAACATATCCCAAGTCTGTGGTAGAATTAAGGTAGTTTCTGGAGAGAACCTGATAACATCTGCTGAGTATTGATGAATAAAAATTCCGTAATAGACTTCCAACAAAACCCTGGAGTAGAATAAAATAACTTTGTAAACCTCATAAAAAAGAATGTCAATTTACATAAATCATTACCATTGCTTTATCGATAGGGTTTTGCTAATCATTGAGAAATTGTGGAGCTGGAAAAGTCTCAGAGATAAACCAGGCAAGTGTTCTTATTTTGGATATGAGGAAACTGATGCCAAGAGAGGTGCAGTGACTTGTCCAAGGTCACATAGATAGTTTTATACCACAAAGGTCCATTCAAGTTTTCCCACAGTTTAACTCTAAAGGAAATTAATATTGAGTAAGGTACATCAGCACATAAGAAGCAAAATGGAAGTGAGTGAAGTATTTCTAGATATGCCACAATTGATTTTCACTCATGTTTTGACAGAGAGATGGATGTGATGAAGGGTATGAATGCAGTTACTGTTTAAGAAGGTGATGGACTAACCAACATTGGTTTTAGCAAAGAATAAAGAAAGTGACTGTCCTTCAATCTAGCTCCACATGCGGTTCTTAAATATTAACCACAAAGTACTCAAGCCCAAGGGCACGAGCTCTGGGTATGCAGAGTGTAGCATTGACAGCTTTCAGGAATGCAGGCCCAAAGACAGCTCCAGAAAATATCCAGGAAGCAAACTATCTTGAAGTTCTATACTTTCTTTGAAATGCCAAGATGTAATCTAAAAATATGTGTTCTACTTTTTTAGTCTAATAAACCACATTTATATGATGGTTATCTGTCATATGGGGAGACAAAATTCAACATTTCACATGCCTGAGCTTTATACCCCTCCTTTAAATGTATCAAGATTTCATAAAGCTTTGGTTCTTCAGAAAAGATCAAGGTACATCACAATATTTAAAGCATTATCTCCATATCTATTGCCACAGGAGGATAAAGAGAAAATAAACATAAATGCAAATAATGAAAATGCCTGAGCAATCATAAAGAATGAAGTTACTGTGTGGATTCTATTCTGTGTTTATGTGTTCTTTCCTTTGCTCTTAAGTCAGTTAAACATAATGCTTGGGTTCTTTCCTGATTTATTTCATTCAGCAATCCCCCCTACCCCCCGACATCCCTTGCAAAGATGAATCAACAAAAGCTATTACCAAGAACAATATGATTGATTACTTATTGGAACTCGAATACCAATTTTCCACTTAAGTATATCTTTATATCAATCACCTCACTTGCCTACCTATTGAAGAGTTTCAATTAGATTTTTTTAATAAAGAGGACTTTCTTTACTCTAAAGGATATAGCTGATATTTATGAAGACAACGCTTTATTTACAGAATAAAACTGAACTTTGCCATAACTTAGCATAAGCAAATATGTAGTTTCTGTTTCCCTAAAGAATTCCTGTCAACATCTTTTTCCTTTCATGTTCAAAGGCAGAAAGTCATTGACTTTACCAGGAGCACAGCAAAGCCATCTGTAAAGTATACAAGTGTCGCTAGAATTAGGTGCTACCATATTTCTTGGGGAAATTAACATTTTTGACACATCTGTATGCAGTTCCAATCTTCGGATATCAATTTACAAACTCACATAAATTACATTTGGTTACATCTTTTCTTTTTGTTTCTTTCCTTGAGAAAAGCAAGAATTCTACTCTAGGCCAAATAATGGACAGAAATCATTAGGGTCCACTCCAGGGACTGAGGCCCTTTAGAAGAGATTGGCAAGTGACTAGGGAAAAGGTACATCGAAGGTCAGAAAATAATGACATTTAGCCTAGTTCTCCTCGTGATTCCTTGGAAATTTTGGGGCCCATGAGCTCAGTTGCTGCTTCTGGGATTGCCCCTATTCATATCAAATAGCAGAGAACTGAGATGTCTTACCCACACCTGAGAAGATTCGGATGTGAGCATGGGATAGAGGTGCTAGGCAGCGGCACTTTCATGCCTAAGTGCAGTCTCTCATACCTGTTCATCTGCAGTGGCATGAAAGGCAAACAGATTCTTCTGCTCATTATGGGTTGTTGAAATGACAGAACCACTTTGTCTCAACATTTTCTATGACACTTGATACATAAGGAAGCTCAGAGACTAAAGTCCTTGTTTCCATGTTGCACTAGGTCTTTTTGAAAGTCTCTTTTACATTCTGATTGCTATCATGACATCAAAGTCACCTGTATTCCTCATCTTTGTGGGGAAGAGCAGGCTAAATAAAGTAGGTAAGGACACCTTCTGAGTCTGCACCCCTTTAATTGACACATAGGGGATGTGACCCCTGACGTTTCTGCTTCCCTTATTCTTTCTGCAACTAAGCAAACATAGAATGTGGATTTTCCCATGCTCTTAGCAAGGATGAAACTCAGCGATCATTTGCTCTACTTCACATGGTAGTTGTTTCTAAGATTACATATCATATATATGCATATATATATATGTTATGTTATGCTACACACACACAACTGCTAATGAGTGTTCTCTCTCCCCTTTTCTTGTCCCTCTGCTCTCTAGGACAGCAGTAGCTTTATATGTATCTCTATCTGCCCTAAGTCTCCTCTCTTGGGCATCACAAACAGAGTTACCCTTCCATGAACCATTTGTTGCTTTAAAATTATACCTCAGATGCAGTCATGGTCCTAGCAGAAAGTAGATGGTACATTCAAAATGGTTAAAATAAAAATAATTATGGAGAAACTATTGACCAAGTGGGTTAAGATGGTTGATGAGTGCCCAGGAACTAGCAATAGAGAGAGCCAATGCCATTCCAGGCAAGAGTGAAAGTGGCACCAGATTCCGGTGAGAGCTAGAGCTTTAGAAGACCCAACTGAGAGGTTTAACTAAAGAGGAATGCAGCTGCTTTTTTAAGCTAGGAAGTGAGGTGTGGTCGGGGAGACTCTCCAATTTTCTGCTAATGCCTGTCTTGGGCTGCATTCAAAGCCAACGGATGAAGGACCCCAAGTTTCTCAATCCCTGGAAAGTGGACTTGAAAGTCTTTCCCTCTACTTGTCCATTATTCCACTTCTAACCTACATTTTAATACTCCCAACACTCTCTTCCCTGGTCTGCATTCCTTGGAGTCCAGTGCTCCTGCTAGTAGCCCTTCTTCCAGGGCTCCAGCATTTGTTGGGCTCTGGGAATGTTTTTTCCAGGTTGGCAGTTGTGAAGGGCTGGTGGGAACTGGGGAAAATAACAATGTGTCTCATCTTATCTCTAAAAACATCTCTTTTTCTTTGTTTAAAAAGCAAAACACATGTGTCTAAAATATTTTACAGAGATGAACAAAAATCTTTATGATAAAAGATTCTATTTAATACCCTAACCCTTAATACAGTGCCTAGTATATGGTAGTGTATGATATGGTTTGGCTGTGTCCCCACTCAAATCTCATCTTGAATTGTAACTCCCACAATTCCCATATGTAGTAGGAGGAACCTGGTGGGAGGTAATTGAATCATGGTGGCGAGTCTTTCCTGTGTTGTTCTCATGATAGTGCATAAGTCTCATCAGATATGATGGCTTTAAAAATGGGATTTTGCTGACACAGCTCTCTTTTTGCCTGCTGCCATCCATGTGAGATGTGACTTGCTCCTCGTTGCCTTCTGCCATGATTGTGAAGCCTCCCCAGCCATTTGGAACTGTAAGTTCAATAAACCTCTTTCTTTTGTAAATTGTCATGTCTCAGGTATGTCATTATCAGCAGCTTGAAAATGGACTACTCAGTAAATTGGTACTGGGAGTGGGGCACTGCTAAAAAGATTCCCAAAAATGTGGAAGCCACTTTGGAACTGGGTAACAGGCAGAGGTTGGAACAATTTGGAGGGCTCAGAAGAAGAAAGGAAAATGTGGGAAAGTTTGGAACTCCCTAGAGACTTGTTGAATGGCTTTGACCAAAATGCTGATAATGATATGAACAACGAAATCCAGGCTGAGGTGATCTCAGATGGAGATGAATAACTTGTTGGGAACTGGAGCAAAGGTGACTCTTGTTATATTTTAGCAAAGAGACTGGTGGCATTTTGTCCCTGCCCTAGACATTTGTGGAACTTTGAACTTGGGAGAGATGATTTAGGGTATGTGGTGGAAGAAATTTCTAAGTGGCAAAGCATTCAAGGGGTGACTTGGGTGCTATTAAAGGCATTCAATTTTAAAAGGGAAACAGAGCATAAAAGTTTGGAAAATTTGCAGCCTGACAATGCAATAGAAAAGAAAATCCCATTTTCTGAGGAGAAAGTCAAGCTAGCTGCAGAAATTTGCATAAGCAATGAGGATCTGAATGTTAATCCCCAAGACAATGAAGAAAATGTCTCCAGGGCATTCAGAGGCCTTCATAGCAGCTCCTCCCATCACAAGCCTGGAGGCCTAGGATGAAAATGTGGTTTCATGGGCCAGGCCCAGAGTTCCCATGCTGTATGCAGCCTAGGGACTTTGTGCCCTTTGCCTCAGCCATTCCAGCTATGGCTGAAAGGGGCCAACATAGTGCATGGGTCATAGCTTCAGAGGGTGCAAGCCTCAAGCCTTGGCAGCTCCCACGTGGTGTTGAGCCGGCAAGTGCACAGAAGTCAAAAACTGGGGTTTGAGAACCTCTGCCTAGATTTCAGAAGATGTATGGAAACGCCTGGATGCCCAGCAAAAGTTTGCTGCAGGGGTGGGGCCCTCATGGAGAACCTCTGTTAAGGCAGTATGGAAGGGAAATGTGGGGTCAGAGCCCCCACACAGATTCCCTACTAGTGTACCACTTGGTGGAGCTATGAGAAGAGGGTCACCATCCTCCAGACCCCAGAATGGTAGATCCACTGACAGCTTGCACTGTGTTCCTGGAAAAGCCACACTTAATGCCAGCCTGTGAAAGCAACTAGGAGGGAGTCTGTACCCTGCAAAGCAACAGGTGTGGAGCTTCCCAAGACCATGGGAACCCACCTCTTGCATCAACGTGACTTGGATGTGAGACATGGAATCAAAGATCATTTTGGAGCTTAAAGATTTGACTGCCCTGCTGGATTTCAGACTTGCACAGGGTCTGTAGTTCCTCTGTTTTGGCCAATTTCTCCCATTTTGAATGGCTGTATTTGCCCAATGCCTGTACTCCCATTGTATCTAGGAGGTAACTAACTTGCTATTGATTTTATAGCCTCATAGGCAGAAGGGACTTGCCTTGAGACTTTGGATTGTGGACTTTTCAGTTAATGCTGAAATGAGTTAAGACTTTGGAGGACTGTTGGGAAGGCAAGATTGGTTTTGAAATGTGAGGACATGAGATTTGGGAGGGGCCAGGAGTGGAATGATATGGTTTGGCTGTGTCCCCACTGAAATCTCATCTTGAATTGTAACTCCCACCATTCCCATGTGTCATGGGAGGAACCCAGTGGGAGGTAATTGAATCATGTGGGTGGGTTTTTCCTGTGCTGTTCTCATGATAGTGAATAAGTCTCACAAGATCTGATGGCTTTAAAAATGGGAGTTTGCCTGCAAAAACTCTCTTTTTGCCTGCTGCCATCCATGTGAGATGTGACTTGCTACTCCTTGCCTCCAGCATGATTGTGAGGCCTCCCCAGCCACGTGGAACTATGAGTTCAAGAAACTTGTTTTTCTTTTGTAAATTGCCCAGTGTATTAGTTCATTTTCATGCTGCTGATAAAGACATACCTGAGACTGGGTAATCATGGCAGAAGATGAAAGGCACATCTTACATGGCAGCAGGCAAGAGAGAATGAGAGCCAAGTGAAAGGGGAAACCCCTTATAAAACCATCTCGTGAGACTTATACACCACCACAAGAACAGTATGGGGAAAACTGCTCCCACGATTCAGTTATCTCTCACCAGGTCCCTCCCACAACACATGGGAATTATGGGAGCTACAATTCAAGATGAGATTTGAGTGGGGCACAGCCAAATCATAGCAGGTAGAGACTCAGGAATAAACATATGGATATTCAAGCAGTACTATTTTTAGATAAATTCTAAGAATAATTTTAGAATAATAATAATTGTTGTTAATTTTATTGAGGACTTAATATATTTTGGGACCTTCAAACCTCACAACAGTCTCATAAAATAGTTGCTATTACCATGTTATCTTCATGAATTTATAAATGAGGCAACTGAGGCTCAGAGTAGTTGAGCATCTTGGCCAAGATCACACAGTAACGAGGTGACTAAGTGTGATTCTGAAACCAGCAGTGTATCTCCAAAGTACCTAATCTTACCATAAGGCCATACTAAAACTCTCCACAATATCACATTATTAAAATTATGGTGGAAAGTCTCTGCAATTCGAGTTCACAGGCAAACAAACAGAAGACAATAGTCTTTCTTTACTGCTAAGGATTACATCACATTAAGCTCATATAAGGACATAATGGGGGAGAGACATTTCTACAAGTAGCTGACCGAAGATAGTTTTTAGGTGTATGATCAGTCTGTAGCCTGGATTCTTGTCAAACATGTTAGGGGGCAGCATGTGGCAGGGTGGGAGGGAGGCAAATGGAGATCTTCCTTCTTACTTGTCTCAGATTCTTCAATCTTCCATAGCAAGTGAAAGAATATAACTATGTTTGGACGTACTCTCACCAAGTTAACAAATACACTAAACACATGAGTAGTGAGGGGAGAAGCATGCCTCAATCTGGCAAAGCTTCAATCTCCAGAAGTCTAAATTTGTTAGAAATGAAAAAGCTAGCAAAGCAGAACTGCTGATCGTGAACACTTAACAGTAAGCTTCCTTTGGTGGAAGCTTCATGTTGCAAACATCGTATTTAATTAGGTGTTTTTTTCTCAGCTCATTTTCTAAAAACAAGTGCTTTTCGGCTCTGCTTGATGTTTGTGAAGACACGGACCGCGCAAAACCAGGATACTTTCAGAATTTTAAAACCTTGCTTCTGAAAGTGTGGCCACATACTGGCAGCATCCCCACTTCTTGGGAGCTTGTTGAAAATGTGGACTCTTTGGCTCCACCCAGACCTTCTAAATAAGAAAGTGCATTTTAACAAGATTTCCCCAGGTGATTCTGTGCACATTGGTGTTTGAGAAGCCCTGGCTGTCACATCTGGCCTCAGCTCTTAAAGCCTACTCACTTCCTTCTGCACCTTGAACATGTAAATCAGCCATTCTGCCCTGCTCACCACTCCCCGGGTGTTCCCATTCCCCTTTGCAGCCCTGCTTGTACATACTATTTAGATACACCAAGCAAACCCAATCTACTCTTCTAAGTCACATTTCTAATGTCAATTGACTTGAGTGGCTCTTGAAGTAAAAATTAACTTTCCAGTTTCTCTTCCCTCAGGCCCAGTCTGCAGTGGCAATCGCTGTTAATTTTTTTTTTTTTATCTTCTTTAGAATTCTTGTGTATATCCAAGCATCTGAAATATACGTGTTTTATATTTTTCTTTTTTTTATAAATAACATTGTACCAGACACCAGGCATGGTGTTTCACACTTGTAATCCCAACAATTTGGGAGGCTGAGGTGGGAGGATTGCTTGGGGCCAGGAGTTCAAGACCAGCCTGGGCAACATACTGAGAACCCATCTCCACAAATATTTTTTTAAAAAGAAAGAAAAACATCACACAATATATATGGCTGTAAACCTAGTTTAAGTTACATAATTTATCTCTAATTAGTTCACTTATTATTGCTTAAAATATTTTGTTCTGTATATAGATGGATATACCAAAGTTTATTTAATCAGTTCTCAGATGATAAACACTTATGTTATTTTCTTTCTTTCTTCCTTTTCTTTTTTTTTTTTCTATTTCAAACAATGCGGATGTATACATTTCTTTACAATTGCATTTCCCACTTGTGCAAATTTTCCTTTAAGATCTAGTCTCAGGAAATGGATCTGTCAGGTGGAAGGGTATGTGCCTTTTAACCCAGTAGGTATCAATAGATTTCCCTCCAAAGGTGTGGCACCATTTTATATTCCAGAACAGCATAAGAAACTGTTTCCATCACCAGAAATTATCAAACTTTTTTCTTTGTTGACTGGGAAGTAGAATCTAGACTGTCTTAAACTTATCTAGGAATTTCTCTGAGGCATTTATGAGTAGACACAAAGAGGGTGGAGGAGAAAGAGGAGGTGCATTCTAAGAAGAGGAGATACATGTAGGATATATGTAAAGTTGGGTCTGTGGAAGTGGCTAGAGTCTGGAGAGGTAGGCAGACAGCCAGATCAGAAGGGCCTGGCACACCTGCTAAAGAGGGAAAACTGGAACCGCATTCCCAAGGAATCCATGAAAATATCGTGTTGAGAAGATAAAACCAAATAGTTTGCTTTTTATTTCCACAAGTTTGGAGGAGCCATCTGTTTCTTGTCAGGGCATTGACTGATAATAGTTGTGTCTTTATAATTGGGTTGTTTTCTCCTAAAACTCAATTTAGACAAAGTAAGTGTCAGTGTGGGAGGGTTGGCTAATTGTTAGGAAGCAACATTTGGTAAATCTGGAGGCCAAACCCAAAACTTTTATATTTTTATATTCCTGGTTGTGCTTACTACTATAAAGTTAATTATAATGCTTTTACTAGAAGCTGTACATTTGAAATCAAAACACTCTATCACTGCTACTTTCCCTTCTCCCAGCATGAGGTAACAATAATATTCTTTAGGAAATTTCATATGGAAGGTTGACACCTGTTGTACTTTCCTTACCTCTCTGAATAAAATAATTCCAACAGAACACTGACAACTTTTAGAAATCCAATTTCACTGTTTCACTTGCTGATATGGTTTGGCCGTGTCCCCACCCAAATCTCACCTTGAATTATAATAATCCCCATGTGTCAAGGGTGAGGCCAGGTGGAGATACTTGAATCACGGGGGCAGTTTCCCCCATACTGTTCTAGTAAGTGAATAAGCCTCATGAGATCTGTTGGTTTTATAAATGGGAGTTCTCCTGCACAAGCTCTCTTGCCTGCAGCCATGTAAGGCGTGTCTTTTCTTTTCCTTTGTCTTCTGCCATGATTATGAGGCCTTCCCAGTCATGTGGAACTGTGAGTCCATTAAACCTCTTTCCTTTATAAATTACCCAATCTTGGGTATGTCTTTATTACCAGCACAAAAACGGACTAATACACTCGTTGAATATAAAACAGAAAAAGGAATGCCACTTTATCAGAGAGCTATAATTTCATTTGAAACAAAACAAGAAAGATTTATTTTTTCAGAACTCAGCATTTTTTTTTTTTTTTTTGAGATGGAGTTTCGCTCTGTCGCCCAGGCTGGAGTGCGGTGGCAGGATCTCGGCTCACTGCAAGCTCCGCCTCCCGGGTTCAAGCCATTCTCCTGCCTCAGCCTCCCGAGTAGCTGGGACTACAGGCGCCTGCCACCACGCCCGGCTAATTTTTTGTATTTTTAATAGAGACGGGGTTTCACTGTGTTAGCCAGGATGGTCTCGATCTCCTGACCTCATGATCTGCCCACCTCAGCCTCCCAAAGTGCTGGGATTACAGGCATGAGCCACTGCGCCTGGCCAGAACTCAGCATTTTTATCAAACAAATTCCAGATCCTAAGACATGTGTGACTAAGGATGTATTTTGGGGTAAATGAGGAAAACAAAAATGTTGAGACCTTTACTTATCTTCAATAATCAATGCATCTCCAAAATGGCGCTATTAAATCTAATCATCTTGGATTTGGTTGATATTTGGATGGTCATATTGCCGAGCTAAACTCCTTTACCTAGAATATTATAATTAGAAAAAAGTCTGAGGAATCATCTAATTCAGGCTCTCAGTTGACAAAGAATTTACCTTACTTTGGTAAAAATTTGTTTGGCTTTATGTGGAGGTTTCTCAAAAAACTTTGAATAATTATTTTCTGAAATAATATTCTAAATTGGAAATTGGAATAAAAGATCATTCACGTTCATCTTGAGTATTCACTTTAAGACTAAAGAGGGAAGTGACTTTGTGATCCAGGTTTGTGACATTGTATTTTAAAGGAGGAATTTATATTTGATCTTGGGAACAATTTTTCACATTCAAAGTCTGAGAACATCTCCGTATCAAACCCAAAGAGATTTTCTCAAGTGAAATAAAGTGAAACAAAGAAAGTAGCATTAGCAGTTCCGAGTTGCAGACAGTTCTTTTTAAAATTTGTTTTTTGGTTCTTCCAGGCCTCATTTGCAAGTTGCTACTTAATTAACTAGGGTGGTTAATGTTAGGTAAAGTCCAAAATGTAAAGGAACTACATAGCAATAACAATATTTCAGTATTTCTTCAATAAAAGTTACTGACACTCTCTATATGTCAAGCACTGGAGGGTGCCAGTGAAAAGAGATGGTCTGTTGCTATGTTCTGCATTTTCGTTGGTGAAAACAGAGAAGTTGGCTGGGTCATCAGTGTGGTACCTCTGGTAAAGCTCAAGTATAGGGAAATTTAATTCAATCTCATGTTTGAATTATTCCCTCTTAAGGGGGTAATAATCCTATTCCCATGGAGTTTTTTGAGGGCACTAAGTGATAGAACACATGTGACTATGACTAGTATAATAAATGATGTATTAAAATCATTCTATAATACATATACCGGAAAATTAATTAAGCATATGATACGAATAAATGTATGATAAGTCAGGTAAAATGCATTAATCCTAGGAATAAAACAAAGCACTGGTAATCTCTCTGAAGGTCTTAGAGCAGGAAGACTCTTGAGACAGGTCTTTATAAAAAATCACTTAGAAATTATACTTACCAATGTGTTCAAACTACATGAACTATTGAGTTTTGCTTTGTAGGATAGTGGAACGAGAAGTGAATTTGGCATTTGGAGACCTTGAGCCTTTATTTTCTCACTGCAAAATGACAGAGATAATGGGGCCTATCTTTTAGAGTTGCTATGGGTCTCAGAAAGGATCATGGTTTTTTTTTTTTTTTTGAGACAGAGTCTCACTCTGTCGCCCAGGCTAGAGTGCAGTGGCGTGATCTCGGCTCGCTGCAACCTCCGCCTCCCGGGTTCAAGCGATTCTCCTGCCTCTGCCTTCTGAGTAGCGCACCACCATGCCTAGCTAATTTTTGTATTTTTTAGTAGAGATGGGGTTTCACCATGTTGGTCAGGCTGGTCTCAAACTCCTGACCTCATGATCTGCCAGCCTTGGTCTCCCAAAGTGTTGGGATTACAGGCGTGAGCCACTGCACCTGGCCTAAGTAATTTTTTTTTTTTTTTTTTTTTTTTTTTTTTTGTGGGGGACAGAGTCTCGCTCTGTCGTCCAGGCTGGAGTGCAGTGGTGCGATCTCAGGATTTCACTGTGTTAGCCACCTGGTCTCGATCTCCTGACCTCGTGATCTGCCCGCTTCGGCCTCCCCAAGTGCTGGGATTACAGGCATGAGCCACCACTCCCGGCAGGGATCATGTTTTTAAAATTACTTGAAAATACATATATAGTCATTCAAGTATGAGGTATTATTATTTTAACAGAAATATAGCTACCTATATCTTATATTAGGTTCCTTAATCCACATATATCTCAGAATAGCACCTAATTTGAATTGTAGAATAGTATATTGAAAAGAATCTTTAACTGTTGGAGAAAAATTTGTGTGTGTGTGTGTGTGTAGGCGCACATGCATGTGTGTGAGGCTTGTCTACTTCTATCGCACATATCAGGTCGAGAAAATGTCTGTACTAAATTGCCAAGTGGTTTAGGTAAAAATTCATGGGAAGGTATAATTTAAAATTCTGAGACTCTAGCTTGTAACATTTGTAATTTTAAGGCTAAAGACATGAAAATGAACTTAAATTCAATATTCCTTCCAACAGCCTATGATTTTATAACTTTATGATTATACCATATGACCCCAACTGCCTTCTATGTATGGTGAATGGTTCTAAATTGAAGGCCCTTTATCTTCTAAACTCTTTGATGAGTTTGGGCATCTACGTCTGGATATAAGAGCTGTGGAGAGATGGACTACTTTCCATACTAAGAAGAGAAAAATTTGGAGTGTTCAGATCTCTCAGGGAGGGGATGAGGAGCAGAGATGGGATGGGGAAGGGAGAAAATGCGGGTAGAAGCCCACATCTTTAATAAAATTTATTAAATTGAAAAGGTGATTGGTGTAGGTAAGTCTCTGTTAAAAACTAGGGACAGACAGACACTGGGTCACTTGACAGAGTGGTTAGGTGTAGTATACATGAAACCACGATGCCAGGACACAGAGGATGATGTAAGACTAAGTCCCTGATAAGTTGCAGAAGGTTTTGGACTTCCACTGACTGTGGTATTGGTAGATACCTGAGCAAGATATCTGCCAACAGATATCTACCAATAGATCGTCACCTAGATCTTCAAGGGTGCAAACAGGTCCCACCTTATACCTGAGTTATACAAGTAAAACATGTCTTCATTTATTTATAAGTTTTAACCTACCTACTTCCAAAAGGATAAATGATATATTTGTTGTATTATTTATTATGATGGAACTTTTCATAGCGGAGCTAATCTAGGTCAGTGGTTCTCAAATGAGGAGGAGGTCAGTTTTGCCTTTGGTAGACAGGTATCAATGTCTGGAAATATCTTTGGTCATCACAACTGAGGGTTTCTATGGACACTTTGTGGGTAGAGGCAAGGACCCTGCTCAAAATTCCACAATGTCTGGGACAGACCCCACAGCGAAGAATATCTGACCCAAATGTCAATAGTACTGAGTTGAGAAACCCTGATGTAAGCCAACCTCTCATCTTAATAAATGAGAAGCTGAACATCAAAGAGGGTCAGTGATATGTGCCAAATCACACAGTGAACAAACAGATAAGTCCTCTAGTATTTTTCCCATTACAGTATTTAACTTCTAAGAGCTAAAGTTCTAAAATGGAACTGTTGGAAAATAGACCTTCTTATGGACATATTTAGACTTAAGGTATACTCAATAATTGCATAAATCTTTAAAACATAGTACTGCTTACAGTAGGATATCTAGGCAAAGATGAACATAGAAAATTTAATGACAATATGTATTTAACTATATACAGTAAAAACCATTTTTATAATATTTAACCAAATTACTTCCCAGCACAGTGGTTCTCAGACTTCAGCATGCCTCACAGTCACCTGGAGGAAAGGCTTACACAAACACAGATTGCCAGGACCCATCCCTAGAGCTTCTGACTCAGTAAGTCTGTCATGAGGCCCGAAAACATGCATTCCTAGCAAGTTCCCAGGTAGTACTGATGTTGCTGGTTAGGAGACCCCACTTTGAAAACCACTGTCCTAGAATTTAGTAGGTACTTAGTAAATTTTGGCTTAATATTGTAAATATTCAAACAATATAATCTCACCAAAAAATGTAATCTCACTTTAACATAGATTAGTTAATAATGTTAATTCCCATTTAGAGGAATACAAAGATATATATGGTAGAATCAAAACTAATTTAAACCTCATTTAATTCAAATTCCCCATTTTAAAATGAAAAAATTAATATATTTTAAGCTTATTACAACAAAGAAGAATCCCTTTTAGCAATAGCCAAAAGAAACAATATTAAATGCAAATCAATTATAGACAATTTGAACACTGACATTGTTATCTGAAAGATATATAAACTCAAAGATTATAAGTACAATTAAGTATGTATCCATCATTTTTTAACTTATGAGGAATAGTCTGAATGCCAAACTGAGTAAAACCTGGTCTGATGGGGCTCTTATCTCAAGCTATGTCTAGGGAAAATGCCTATTGACTTCAGTAATATAAAATCAGGCCCCGAGGGACCATAATTGTCTCTTTAAATTATTTGGGAAATCATGTACATGTTTAATCAACTAAATACAGCATACAATTGTAAGTGGTATATTTTCATCATAAATAATCAATGTGCTGCTGTTAATATGGTTAATAGAATGAAAAGTACCTTCAGGGGAATTTATTTTACGATCACTCATTTTCATTCCTTTAATTTAATTTTTAAAATGCAAGAAATTTTAGATACTTTAAAACTACCTGTTTACCTAGAAAGTATGTGCTAAGTAACCTGCCTAATGCCAGTCATCACTGAGAGACACCAAAACAAATGATTGATAGTTAACTTTCCATTTTGCTCTTTGAGATCACGTAGACAGTTTATGCAGACTTTACTTTCCTAACTCATGTCATCCTGTCCAAGGTACTGAACTTCACTTGCCAAGGACACACAGGAAGATAAACCCTCTCAAATGTGCTACATTTGTCTTCAACTTTTTAAATATCCATCTATTTTTTAGATTAGATGCCATCTGTTGTATTATCATATCTGGTTAAATCTTATTAAAATTCCTGGCCAATATATCACTCTGCTGCGGCAATCTTACCCTGCTACCTCTCTAGGCTTTTCTGCAGCATTCAATAAAGAGCCTGCTATTTTAACTAATTGCTGAGGCAGGACACAGTGTGAGAGTCTAAAACAGAATCAGCGCTATATTGTTTCTACTTTTACCCATAGAGTGAACAACTGTTCATATCAAACCTGGAATCATCCCTTCAAGTCTCCTAAACACAGCACAGTTTGAGCCAATGCAGTTAATCCACCCTCCTTCAGTGCTAGTGTCGAATGGCGCTTTTGCTGCAGTATTCACCTTGAAACTAAGTAGGCAGGATTCATTATTTGTTGAAGTCACCTAACTGCCAGTTTATTCTTATACGATCACAAACAATCACAACAGAAGACAAATACAGGCATATATATAACTCACTTACAAGGGAAGCAAATTTGCAGCCAGAGACAAGGGCAACGTAACAGCCAAGAACTGCAGTAAATCTCTTTGAGCTAATAGCCACCTCTAATAATGCTCTCCTACAACACCTCCAATCAAATAAATTGTATTCAGAGTTTAAATATCAAATCAACATTCATTCCTTGATGGTTACAGATGATGTCCGATAAGCAAATTTGAATTTATGATTTATTTACTCCTTAAGTGTCTCAAAGCCAGGATTACTGGAAGACTTACTATGCTTATTCAAGCATGCTGACAGAACTGTAATCTCAGTAATTTCTCCCTGCACCTCTCAGCATGACTGACAGGCATCTGCCAAGACTGTAGTACATAAACTGCTGAAACATGCAAAAATATTTACCCCCAAAAGATGTAGTAAAAGCTCAGCTTCCTCCAGCTTCCATAACCCCTGAAGTGTTAATCTGGAGGAACAGTTCCATGAGTTTCCACAGGCCAGCAGTGTGTCTCCTACACTTGACCTAGACAGCCTTACATAACGAAGCACCAGTGCTGGGGAGCTCTCTGAATGTCATCACCAGCAAGAGCAAGAAGTATTGGCAGCAGCAGGCAGCCAGGCAGGCTGGGAGTTTGCATGGAAATCATGAAGTCTTTCTTGTCTTCCTCTTTTGAAATATTTTGGAAGGCGAGTTAAGAATAGCTCAGAAACTGGTCTCATTCTTTTTGTGGGAAGAATGACCAGAAGCATAAAAGCTAAGTCTTCCAGCAAGTGCAAGACACCTCTTTTGGTGTTTGCAGTAAACCTAACAAGAATGAATTGCTATCAGTAAAGTCCTGTACCATGACACCTAAAAGGAAGGAAATGGTAAAGCAAAGTAATAACTCAAAGACAGTCACCGAGGGCTTTTGTCCACCTTTAACTCATTGTGGTGAGTAGAGGGAAATATGTATATATGTAATGAGATTATTATTGGGGGTGTGAGTTGTTTTGCAGGATGGTAACTAAAGGATTTGTAAAGAGTGTTTATGTTCCTTAAAGATCTTGTTTGTGAGCAAGGTAATAGGATATCAAATTCAGAACGTGGTGGGTTAAACTGGTTGTATTTAATGTATTTCAACTTCTGAAAATCTTATGCAACTAATAAGAAAGCAGATCTCTGCCTATGGTGGGTTGCCGATAAATGTCAGATGTGTTAATTAATTACTTCTATTGTCTATACTGAAAAATAAGATCTTAATTTTAGCTTTCAGATTTTGCATATAATCAATCTTTTAGACTCTGAAAATAATTTCTTATAATGGAGCAAGAGGATTGCTGTGCTTTTGAGATAATCTGTGTTAGACTTACTCCTAGATATCTGGGGGATAATGTGAACAGCAAATTTAAAACAATGTACACTCCATCTAATTTTCTTTCAATTATCCCAAATGTGTGCAATGCAAGTTATGCTTTTAAAAGCTAGAAATAATAAAACCAGTCTTCTATTCTGATTTTGAGTATGGTGATATAGTATTATTAATAAAAGATGACATTATATTGTTTAATTATATATAAAATTGTGGTTTGATATGAGTTGTTGGCTAATATGTATAATTCCTGAGGTAACAGAAATAGAGAAGGAACCACACATCATTTAAAAATAATCTTAATGTTCTGCTCTTAGCTGGGAAACCTATCTGCTAATGCATCACACTAAGTAGAGTGAGGAAATAAGAGAATTTAGATCTATGAGGGAACACAGTGATCTAATTCCAACCCATTACTTAACTCATAAGGAAACTGAGGTAGAAAGAAGTTAGATGATATGCCTGACATAGAGGAAGAGGTGAGTGAAAAATGGTTTTCCTGACACTAACTTGTTATTTTGTCAGCTATACTGCAATGAATAATTGTCTTTTGATACTGGAGTAAAGGCTTGATGTACAGTGATTTTTTTATATCATACAAATGACAGAAAAAAAAAGTGGAGTAGTACTAAATATCTGCTTTTAGCAGTAGTCTGATTTTGGAAAAACAAGTTCTGTACTGATTGGAATGAGAAACTTTCTTCAGTTATTTCTCACAACAGTAATGAACACATTGGTGCAACATTTAATTAAATATTCAATGATGAATTTGTGTTCTGAACATTAAGCTATGTACACCAATTTGTTGGCTCAGATCCTTTTATTTTATTGATGTTGATTATGGTGCTAGGCTTCTCTATCCCTTGGAGAGCTAATGTATGTGAAACAAACAACCCTCAGGAAGCAAAGAACTGGAAAATAGAATGTTTTTAAAAAATATTCTGTCTTATTCTTTTCAAATAAACTAAGCCTTTTGTAATCAGGTGTGTGTTTTTCATTCTTGCATCCCTGCCCCTAGCACAATGCTTTCTGGGCCTCCAATAAGTGTTTGCTGAATGAATCAATGGAGGGATGAAAAGTATTCATAATGTGTCCCTCCCTGTATAGGAAGTGCATAGAGTATGGCCTAGTAGAGTTATTTGGAGGAGTCATTTTAAGAAGTGTATAAAAATGTTTTACTAATATATATCAGTTTAATAATTGCCAAAGTAAATGAATGCTTCTGAAATGCACGTTTGGAAACGGTTAAAAGATTTTTTTGGCACATTCTTCTAATTGGATCAACTTGGTATAGGTTTGGCTGCTTGTAAGAGATAATCAAACATATACTAACTTAACCAAAATAGAAGTTCGTTTTTCTTAAGTGACATTAGTCTGAAGGTAGGACTTCACAGTCTTCAGAGGCCTAAGCTCATTTTTCTTCCTCTCAAACATCCTCAGCTTGTGACTTTCATCCTTCTATTTGTTGCTTCATGGTCTTGAGATGGCTGCCTCACTTCCAGCATCCTAACTACATGCTAGGGAGAAGGATAGGAAGACCAAAAGGCATAAGACACATGCCAGCTAAATCAGGTTCCTCCAAGAGCTTTCCCAAACCCCCTAGAGATTTTAACTTATAGCCTATGGGTCATAACTGTGAAAAATGGCTGCTCCCTCCTGCAAGGGAATGTGGAATCACTGTGTTTTTAGCTGAGCCCATTGCCACCCCTAAATAAAGTTGGGGTTCTGTTTTTAAGACAAAGGATGTATTTCCCCCATATCCATTTTCCATTAATATATAGTTTTGGTTACTGGTAAAATCTTTAAAAATTCAGTGTGATTGGTTAGTCTAAGCTGATTTGTATTCCTAAAGAGCAAAAAGTCTCCTCATTTTATATCTGAGCTTTCTATGGAAAAAAATTATCCTACTTTTAGAAGAGAATGTTACTTGGGAAACAGATGGGTTTATAACTATATTGTAGTCAGATAGATGTGAAGAGAAAACTGTAGACAGACTTTTCATAATGAAAAATGAAAATAATCCCATGCCCTATTTCATCTCACATTCACCCTACAAAATAAGGTTGTCTGAAGTTTTTTTCTGAAAAGATTCTCACTGGAAGAATAGATAGGCATTGAATTAAAGCTTCAACCTTTGGAATCTCTTCAATTACTAAGCAAAATTTTATCTCACTAATTTAGAAAGGAGGCCTTTAATGAGTTTTTTTTTTTTTCCTTTCTTTTCCACTTGTTATCTTGCTGGAGTCAGCTACACTGAATAGCATGTGGCTCCCCCTGGCTGGTCCATGGAAGGTCTTTGTAAGTTCTCCTAATTCAGTCTCAACAATGCCTCTGTAGACCAGAATCTGTTCTTCACATTGGCACAAGAAATAATTTGAAAGGTCCTAGAACATGATAGTCCCTCTATCCAAAAACTTACTTTAGACTTGGAGAATGTTTATGGGCAGGCTGGAATAGCAGCTCTCTAATTTTAGAGGAGCAAATGATGGTCTTCTTAGTGTCTATTAAACCCAATTTTTCTATGGAAGATAGTTGACTTCTGAATCCAGATCGCCATCACCTTGGAATATCCTATTCAAAACCAATTGCATATTACTTCACTAAAAAGCTCTACTTCACTAAAAAGCTTCATAGAACATAGCATTCATTTCACCCTCTTAAAGAAATAAATAGGGAAAATTCTTTGTCAAAAATCAGACTATATCAAGACTAACTGGAGACTGCAATATTAAAAAATACTTAGTAACTGGCAGGTATAGATTTTGTAAGTCACAAACTCAAGGTAGAACAAAGTATTAACTTTCATCTTTTTTTATAAATTAATTTGGTTTATATTCTTTTTTACCTAATTGTGGAAAATCTTATTTAATTATTTGTGAGCCCACTGAATGACATTCTGCTTTTTCAGTTATTTCATGTTGAATACACTAAAATGTGAGATTTTTATTTTTGCCCTTTATATTAATTGGAACAACCCTTGTTTCAGCAACAAATACACTCCCAAATCTTGGTGGCTTGATACAATGAAATTGTATTTCTTGCTCATGAAAAGTTCTACGTGGTTGTTCCCAGTTGGCAGGTGGCATTCCATGTGATCATTTATGGATTCAGGATTCTTCAGTCTTGTGGCACCTCTTGCTTCTAGGTACTCAGAGTCAGCTGATGATGGAAAAAGACATCATGAAGAATTACACCTACCTCTTCAGCCCAGAAGTGACATACATGGCTGGCTTATATTTCAATGGTGAGAAATAGTCATATAGCCCCGTTAGATGCAACGGAAGGCTGAGATATTCCCCTAGCTGGGCAGCCACTTCCTAGAAGGCAACATGAATTTTGGTGGTCACCAAGCTGTCTTTGCCTACCTTTTATCTTTGCAGTTGAAGCAATTTAAAAACATATGTTATCTTTTTGCCAATTATTGTTTAAAAATTAAATTAGAGAACTGAGAGGATTTAATTTTAGGGGGGAGTAAATTCCATTATGTTGGTGCTATGATTGATTCTATTTTGCACATACTTTTTCTTCTACTCACAGAGCCAAGAGAAACTTCAGTATAGATTTTCCAGTTGTTACATCATAGTATCTAGGATTCCAGTCTCTTTTACATTTTAAACAAAGCATCCTAAATTGCAACAGTTCTACATACTAGGAGGAGCATGGATGATCAATATGAACTTTAAAAGGGTTAGTTCTGAACCCATTCTGATGGTAGCATCCAGCTAATATCCAGCTAACATTTCTGTATTTCAGGTAGGATATAAGAAGGGACAAGGAGAAAGGGGTAGAGTCTATATCAAGAAAGAAAGCTGGTTGTGGTGGCTCACACCCACATCCCAGCACTTTGGGTGGCCAAGGTGGGAGGACGGCTTGAGCCCAAAAATTTGAGACCAGCCTGGGCAACATAAAGAGTTCCTATCTCTACCAAAACAACAAAAAAAGTCAGGCATAGTGGTGCATGCCTCTGGTCCCAGTTACTTGGGAGGCTAAGGTGGGTGAATTATTTGTGCCCAGGAGTTCAAGGATGCAGTGAGCCATGATCACGCCACTGCTCTCCAGCCTAGGTGACAACAGAGCAAGACCCTCTCTCTCAGTAAAAAATAAATTTAAAAAAGTTCTCATAAATCCTTAGTTAACATCTTACTATGTATCTAATTGCCTGGAATTGTTATATGGCTATTTACAGCAGCAAGGGAGGAGGCTGGAGAAACATAGCTTTTAAATTGGATTCATAGATGTTTCAAACAAAACTCAGTTCTCTTGGTAAGGAAGAAGGAAGGAAAGATATGTGGCAGGCAAATAACAATTTCGGCCTCAATATTAACAGCCCAATTAATCAGCCTGAAGTGATTATAAACTTGTTTTACACTTTCCAGAGGATTTAGTATTGTGGGTATGTGTGTGTGTGTGAGACAGAGAAAGAGAGAGAGACATACACACACACACACACACAGAGAGAGAGAGAGAGAGAGAGAGAGGAAACAATGGAAGAGACTTGATATTATAAGAAAATTGGGGATGGAGAGGACAAAGAATAAGCTCTAGAAAAAGACAATTTCAGAATATTTTGAGATAAACCCCAAATAAACGATGAAGGATATTCTAGAATAATGGAGAAATAGATTACAGTTCAATAGAAACACAAAGTGGTCTGAAAAATATATCACTGGAGCAGGTATGTTTATGATTAGTGCCCTGTGTTGGAACTGAGAAGGACGAGGCTCAGGCAGGATACTGTCCTTAGTAATAATGCCTGAGGAATCTGCTTATTCCAAGTGATCTATTTCATAAGGGAGCTGAGGAAAAGCAACTGTTCTTTAGTGATTCCACAATCCAAAGTCCAGTTTGTCTATCTAAATATATGGACAATAAATAAAAAGATCAAAGAGGATGTTTTACCAGACAGGCCAGCTAATGCGGTGACTAAGGTGGATGGCCAACACAGATGAGGTCCTCTAGCTCTAGTCAGTGTTGGGGTTTTAAGTGTCAGTTGCTGTTTTACACTACATATGTTGCTTTGAATCCGACATCTAGCAAGAAAGAGGAAGGGAAGGGGGGAGAGGGAGGGAGGGAGGGAGAGAGAGAGAGAGAGAGAGAGAGAGAGAGAGAATGTTAATTGGTGTTGAGGATGAACCCCTAGGCAATCTAGAAACTGCTTTCATTTAAAAGAGTTATGTAACCTAGTGTTTAATGAGTCAGGGGTTTTGTAGATTTATAATTTTGCCTTTCTGCATTTTTCAGTCTTGGATTCTCTTCTGAACCTGCAGGGATATGTACAAAGTAGTTGTTCTACTTAGTCCAGGAAGAAGCACCCCCAAAATTTTCTGTTCTCCTTACCAGCTGCCTGACTTCGTTATGCACACGCACACCCACCACTAGAACTTCTCAGTTTTGAAATTAAAAGAGAATCATCTAGGTCAGGACATGAGTGTGGATGGGAGGATGCAGGGAGGCAGGCAACTGGAAAGAAGGAAGAGCTAAGTGTTCAATTTTTGTCCTTTCTGGCATTTTCTCTTTTCCAAGTTGGTTTCCCAAGTGAGATCTCAGAACACACAGTCCCTGGTTAACTCTCCAGTACATTAGATTATCTCTGATTTCACCCTAAAAGGCCTAAATGGCTGGCACAAATGTACTGTCGTTTCTTTTCTGGGATCCCCACATCTAATTTTTAGTCAATCTCCACATAGTTAGCTTTCTCAGGAACTCCCTTCTAGATCTGTGGATAAGTCTCAGACCAGATCAAGAGTTTACTTTTACACCCACTTATTTTGGCCAGTGTTCTAGTATCATTGAATTGCTTACAGGCATGAGAGATCTTTATGCTATTTCAAGCCTCTGTGAATATGCTCAGGCTGCTTTCCATCAAGGGCATTCATCTTCCCTCGTTCCACCAAGACCTGGCTTCACCATTCCATCCTCAGTCCTTTCCCAAAAGTCAAAGGACACTGATACACTACTAAGTGTCAATTACACCTATTATTGATTAGGTTTAAGAACCAGTTCTTTCAGACTGCCTTTCCTGATTCCTCTACCCCCATCTTAGTGGAAAGGATTCCCGCTCACTGGGATGGTGCTGTGGACTATAATAAAATTCTAATGTGCTTATACTTTGTTAAACATATTTGCCTATATGTCACCAATCTCAAGTAATTAGCTAATTATTTGAAAGCAAAGATTGTGGATTATTCATCTTTGAATTTTCAGCACCTAAAACAGAGCCTTACAAGAACACAGTATGCATTCAACTATAGTTCTTTGCCATTAAAATTGTAATTATTGATAGAAATGAAGATGAACCCTATCTATTTTAAGAAAGCCAAATACATGCAAGCATAGATTTATTGAATAGAAAATACTAGGGATAATGATATGTCCTATAAAAAGATGCTCACTTTGTAAGAGATCACCAGGTTATCATAGAAAATATCATCTAAAAATTATCTTTACACTCAGTTCACTCCAGAAAAAAATTATTTCTTAAAATAAGCAACATCAATACTTCAAAAATCCAATTGAAGGCAATTGTTTGTTTTTTTAAAAAAAATTATATCTGGTTATAGTAGCAGCTCCAGTTTGACTATTATCTGCCTATTTTATTAAATCCATGTATAAGAATTTAAAATTACCTCTCTTTTGAGAAGCTAGACATTGGTAGTCTATTTTATAAAATACGCTAAAAATTATAGAAATGACATGTAGACTTTATGACATATCTTTAAATTCAATATTTTTGTCCTATATTATATATGATGTTTTAGTTTCTCAAAACTCTGACATTTGGTTTATTATTTTATTGCTATAGCAATCCTGTAATAGGTGTTGAACATATTTCATGACTCTACCCCACAGTTCCCTTTAAAAACACATGGAGGAAGAGTGCACATGACTCTTCCCAAATCTCACAGTTAGATTACTGACTGTTCCCTTCTAATTTATTTACTTACTTTTGGAATTTATGTTTGCCCATGATAGGCCTCCATTCTGTTCAATGTGCTCAGTACATTTATTAGTGTATCAGCAATTCAAGCAGTCAACAAACACTTCTTCTGTGTCACCCTTTGTTTATTGTTTCTGCAAAATCTTCAGGCATTTTTAGTCAGATTTTCAAATTAAGCTATTGTACTTTGAACCCAGCTTTAGCAGTGCTATACTCAAATAGCAAATCTTAGCTCCCTCCTACATTTTTGTGTTAATATCTATGAGTACATAGAACTCTAAACCAGCAGAGTGCTCTCTGCTTAAGGCCAGAGTTCTCCTGGAGGTGGAGAACTAAGGTTATATTTTCTGTACTGCTTAATCCAGACCGAACTTTTTCTGTTTGTTCTTTTGGCCTCATCTCTTTCCCACCCCCTCTTCACAGCCCATGCCCCTCGCCCCGCTCCCAGGTTTTCAGTTGAAGAAAAGACCTGGAAAAATTAGATAACTTGCATGAGGTCACAAAGCTAGTTGGCAGCAGGGCTGGGCCAATAAATAGGATTTCTTGACTAGAGTCAAATAAATGAAAAATCAATATAACTGAAATGAACAACAAACAATCAAGATTTGTTTTTGTGGATACAGCTGGATTACAAAAATTTTAAAATGTATTCCACTTAGCAAAACCTCTAAACATGTTCTTTATAGTGACAGTATATATTCTGAGACTTCCTCTTCTTGTTCTTGTAAAAGAAGTTGATGAGAACGTTGGGCTAATGGCAGATAAATGTGAATCATAATTTATATTTGTATAAGTATGTCAATAGTTTAGAAAGATTATTTGATCCTCTAGAAGCTTGGATTCTTACCAAATCCATGTGAGGTGGCGCTATGGTTTGGATATTTGACCCTCCAGATCTCAGGTTGAAATCTGATTCCCAATGTTGGAGGTAGGGCCTAATGGGAGGTGTTTGGGTCATGGGTGGATCCCTCATGAATGGCTTGGTGCCATCCTTGCAGTAATGAGTGAGTTCTCATGCTATTAATTCCCAGAGAGAGCTGATTGTTAAAAAGAGCCTGGAACCCTCTGCTCTCTCTTGTTTTCTCTCTTACTATGTGATCTTTGCACACACTGGCTCCCCTTCACCTTCCACCATGAGTGGAAGTTTCTCAAGACCCTCACCAGAAGAAGGTGCCAGCACCATGCTTCTTGTACAGCCAGCAGAACCATGAGCCCAATAAACCTTTTTTGAAAAATAAATTACCTACCCTCAGGCATTATTTTATAGCAACATAAAGAGACTAAGACAGGCGAGTAAGGCAGTCATTTACCTGATTCCATGCTCCTGTTAAGATGGAACCCAGGATTCATTCCAGGTAGTGGAACCCTGTGTGTTGCACTCTATGCAACATTTCACACTGTAGGATTCTACTAACCCAGTGCAGTGCTACAAGGATGTGAGGTGAAAAATAAGAGAGAAGAACATCAAATTCTAACCCAACCCTGCCACAGAGAATCTCTGTTACCACTCAGGCTCCCACTTTGAATTTTGAAAGTGAAGATCATGATTTCAAAGATGGGCTCAGACTTGTGAAATCTAGTGATGAACAGATATTCAGAAATGCCAAGCTCTGATATTATTGTGAGTAACAATTAGTTCCCAGATGATTTTTATTTTGGGGAAGAAAATCTCAGAAGTGATTAGTCAACTAGCCGAACAGCTGCAAAAGTCTTCATATTTGAAGACATTGCCCTCTTTTCAGAGGACAGGCAATAGAGCTCCAAATGCAAGCAGATTTTGCACACACCAGGAATTACTCTGTCAGCAGGCTTAATTAGGTAGAAAAAGTTTCCTCTGATTCCAATAGTAAGGCACATTATAAATCAATGACTCACAGAATTTAGAGGTTGGAGGAAACCCCGATTTTGCTATTGCCCCACTTGGCTAACTTAGCAAGTACAGAAGATGGAATTTGACTTCCATTAGTGTTCCTTTTAAAGAAAAAATATTTCTAGAACACACCCAATCTTTCTTTAGTAATGTAAAACATTTTAAATTTAACACGTTAGTGGTTTGACGTTTAATATTTTGAGCCCTAATGAATTCTGTTTTATTTAATAGACAATAACATTTGATATATTATACTTATGAATGCTTAAAACACGTAAGTTAGGCCATTTTTTAACACAAACTTATTATACAGAACAAAGCAGAAAAAAATATCACTTATAACACCACATGCTGACCATATTCTCTCTATAATCCTGGTTCCTTAGCATTCAGGGCAAATTTTGTAGGGGAAAGTGGGACTAATGATATTTCCCTCAGGGAATTGTTGTAAACTTTACTGGGAAAATATATGTTAATAACTGGCACATGATAGGTGGTCAATAATGTTCATTTCTAACCTTCTTGCTGCCCTCATGTAAAGACAGGAATTTTTATCCCTAGTAAGCCAAAGGAGGACTACTTTTAGCCAGGTAAATCTTCAGATTCAACTAGATTAGAAATTTTTTCTTTGAGTTTTTTTTAGAAAATTCTTTTGTATTATGATTTATCTGTTAAAGGAAAGGTAGGAAGGTTGGAAGTGTTCCTTATTCATATAGAAAGCCCACTTTCAGTGTATGTGCTAGCCAGTGATCCACTGATTGATTGAGCTTCCCAAGTATCCTTACTTCTGATGTACTTAGCCATCTGCTGTGTCCTAGCTAACCCTAGCTAAAAGCAAGGAATATTCACTGACCACCCAGTTCTTCTTCTCCTTCTCCCCCCATCTTCTAGAAGTAAGCACTCAACTCAATCCTTGTGGATAATTGAAGGTCTGGGAAATATATAACATGGACAATATTACACTGTATGATCAGTGTTGTATTAAGCCTTAAAAATGTAGCATATAAATTTGTTTTTGTCAAATGGAAAGACAGAATAAAACGGATACATTGGATTTTAAAGGAGAATAACACCACCTCCTTCTCTGGTGGACTGAGACATGTTTTTGGGAAAAGTGGGATTTGGATAGAAAAATGGAGGTGGGGACATCACTGAGAAGAATGTATAGTAAAGGGAAAGAGTGAACTGGTTAATCCTCCTTGAAAGAAAAAGAAAAGGAGAGGAGTATCCCAGAAAGAAGGAAATGGTCAGTTTATCTGGAGTTAAGCATTTGTGTATTATCATGATTAATCACAGGAACAGTTGCCAAGCTTTCATTATAAAAATATTCTCCAGGAGAATTCATCAAGTTCCATTGCCTATTAATTTCTGTCCATGCATTTTATTTGGCATCTTCAATGACAGAGGACACTTTTAAAAAAAAGAAATGAAGACAAAAGAAAAAGTTCATTAGAGAAATAATGTATGTGTGATATTTAAAAATTAAGCCACATCATCATCCTAAGAAAACTACGAGACTTTAGTTTTAGTATAAACTTGCAGTGTGTTCTTGAGATTTCTAAATATAAGGCTTAACATTTTTTCCTTAATACACATCGATTTGGCATCTCATATGTATTATTTATCAGGAAATTATAAAACAAAGTAAAATGATGTTTTACTAAAATGCACATCATTTTTAGATATGGGATTTTAAAACTTGATTTATAATACTACTTTTACCATGAAATACTCTTTTGTTGTATGACCTTGAGTACATTTCCCATCTGTGAATCTGTGTAATCATGTACAAAAATAAATGAGACAAAACCTAAGTGCATTTTAACCTCTTCAAATTGTAAAAAGTGTATAATATTACATTTTCAAAAGAAAACACAATCCTTTTTTATTTATAGCCTTTTTGAAAACCGTGTTAATAATAAACAGAATCTGCAAAGTTCAAATCATTTTTTTTTTTGTTAGGTGGCATGAGACTTTTTTTAGGACTACAAACCAGCATCTAGCCTAGTTAAATCTTAATTTCAAAACCAACTTCCTAAAGAAACTTAATGAGATAAAGGAAGATTTTAGAAGGAGATCTTCTTTCTGTTCCTGGTGGGGAATAGCAAGGACTCCTGAAATATGTATAATTTAACACTGATAACAACACAAGGCTTAGCAGTTCCAAAGTGTATCACAGATAAAATCACACTTGACCTAAATGACCTTATAAAAGCTAATGTTGTATTCAAGCCTCACCACTGAAACTGGTAAAAGTATGGCTCTCTTAGGAATGTGTGCCATCTTCCATGTGGAGGACATACCCACTGAGGGACAACTGCTGATGAATGGTTACTCCACTTCTGAGCATAGCCAAAGAGTCCCTCCGGTCAGGTTATCATCTCTTCTCAGTTCCTCAGTAGGAAGACTGAGCTCCAACTCTGAATCAAAGTGAGTTAGAGAGAACATTTGCAGATATAAACTAGCTCAGACTACTGATTAAGCAGACTACTGATTAAGCATTACTGTTTCATCTCTAGCAATAGAAGTGATGGTTTGTGTGTTTTTCTTTTTTAGAATCCCTGCAATAAAGCCTATGGCAAGTTTCTGCATATTACTGGTTTCTCACAGCCCTGAGAAACTCTTTCAGACATTTTCTTAAGCCTGGGACCTATATGGGCATGAAATTCTAGCTACACATGAATAAATAATATCAGTGCTAATAGTGCATACACTTTTTGTTGTGAGGTAATTTTGTCCTAAATACCAATTGCTATACATTTTTAATTTCCCAGAATAAATCAAACTTTCCTTTACAAAGTGGCTAATGAAAGAGTAAGCCCTTATTCTGTTTTTCCATTTGACAAAAACAAATTTATATGCTACATTTTTAAGGCTTAAGAACATAGAAGACTCTCTATTTCCCAAAGTAGATGTGAATTTTCTAGTTTCCAGTACAACTTTTTAATATTTAAAGTTTAGTAAATTGTGGAAGCCAAAATAAAGCTATGATTTTACAAAACATAATTCATAATAAATCTTTATTCCAAATCATTTGTAGTTAACGATAATATAGTGAAAAAATCATAGGAAAACTCAGACAGATCTGGAGTGAGATTCTGGCTCTACCAATTAATAGTATTATGGCTTGCAGAACTTGCTTAAATTTCATGAGTCTTTGATCTTATCTGTTAAATGGAGATGATATTCTAAAATCATAGGATTGTAAAATAAGATAATGAGGTAATGTGTTCAGCATATCAAAGGCATTCAGAAAATACTACTCTTCTTTTCCACTGTCCTTAATCAAGTTGAAAGCATAGAGTGGGAATTTAATGAATGCATCACTGAAAAACAAAAACAATAAAACCTTTATGATTTTATCCTAGGCCTTCTATTTTTCTCACTTTATAAACTTCTAGGCCATATTGATCACTTTGTTGGATACAGTTACCACCTATGTGCTGATGGTCTCCAAATTCCTATTTCTGGTTCAAATACATTTCCTGTTCTTTAGACCCTTATGTGTGCTTTTTAGTATATGTCTCTGTTAAACTTACTTTAAATTCAACATTTCCAGAGCTGAGTTTCACATTCACACAATTGCACTCCCTCCTACCTTTAAAAAAATACAATGGCAAACAATTGGCTTCTCTTGCTTTGTTTCCTAGCATAGGTGCCAAAGCCAGAAATTTGGGTTACAACTTAGACTACTCCCTGTCTAAATTTTTTACATTCAGTCATTAAGTCCTGCCCCTTCTACTTCTTTCAGGTCCATTTAAAACTCTCCATTCTTCCTGTCACTACCCCACTGCAGGCCACCACAATCTGTTGCCTGGATTTTTGCAACCAATTTTCAGCTAGTCGGTCTGCCTCTAGTCATGCTTCTCTCCAGTCTATTGCTCATATTACAGCCAGAAAGACCTTTCTTTCTTTCTTTCTTTCTTTCTTTCTTCCTTCCTTCCTTCCTTCCTTCCTTCCTTCCTTTCTCTCTTTCTCTCTTTCTTTCTCTCTTTCTCTTTTTTACAGAGTCTCGCTCTGTAGCCCAGGCTGGAGTGCAGTGGCACAATCTTGGCTCACTGCAAGCTCCGCCTCTCGGGTTCACGCCATTCTCCTGCCTCAGCCTCCCGAGTAGCTGGGACTACAGGTGCCCACCACCACTCCTGGCTAATTTTTTTGTATTTTTAGTAGAGACGGGTTTTCACTGTGTTAGCCAGGATGGTCTCGATCTCCTGACCTCATGATCCGCCCACCTCGGCCTCCCAAAGTGCTGGGATTACAGGCATGAGCCACCGCGCCCGGCCCCCAGAGAGACCTTTCTAAATATAAAACAGGTTGTGTCTCTTCCATGCCTAAAGCCCAGGCCTTTCATTGTCGTAACCTGATTTATTAAGACATATCTTTAACATGCTTTACTTACAACAAGGTGCACTTTCTAGATGCTACCCTCACCCACAGGAACTCAAACATTCATTGTGGTATTGCAGCCAAGAGCTCTTAATTGTGGCCCTTCCTGGGACTTTTCCTAGGCAGAAGAGGACCTGCTTGCCCAAGGTCACGTCCTTCCTGGTGGGTAGCCTATATAGACTATGTCCAATGCATGCACCACTTGGGGTATAAAATTCTAGCCCCCATCCCAAATGGGAACAACTCTGAAGGTCCATTCCAATGTCAGAGTTCTCCATGAAATTGTCGGAATCCTTTGTTGCGACTATATTATAGCCAAATTTCTGCCCCTGCACTTACAGAGAGAAGGTGAGCAGTTGGCTTTCATTGCTTCCCCACAGGTATAGACCTTGGAAGCTCTGCCCATAAACATCCCATATGAAAACCTCAACCTCTGAGTCTGTTTCCAAGAGACTCTGCCTTTGACTCAAGACTTTAGACTTTTCTATGGACTATTTAGCATTTAAGCATCACACTGCATCACTTCTTCCCTTTGCATTCTATATTCTGCCCAATCTGAGCTAATTTCACTTCTTCAAATATATGGTGCTCTACCTGTAGGCCTTAGCACTTGTCCTTTCTTCTATCTGAGCACTCCCCTACCTCACTCTTCTGGTTTCTGCTTAACTGGTTTCAGGAGGCTCAGACCCAGGTACTAGTTAAGTGCCTCTCCTTCGTGCTTTCCTGGTACTTCCTTCTTTAGAGCACTCACCACTTGCATGTTGTATTGGCCATTTCTAGGCTGTATTATTGACTGGCTGTAGGCTCTGTGAGGAAAGGGAATTGTTTGCATTATATCTTAGTACATTTCACAACGTTTGGCAAATGCTAGTCTCTCAAAAATATTTGCTGAATGACTGAAAGGGTGAATGTTTTATTTAAGACTGGATTTACATTGGTTGTAATTAAGAAATTTATGGAAGAGGAATTTACATGTTTATTTAAGAATGATCATGCATATTTTGCTTGAGAACTTTAGTCTTTGTTGAATATATGTGTGAGTGCTTATACGTTTGTGTATTAATTCAGACACAAATAATCATTAGCCCATATATTATTCAAACACAGGTATTAAAACAAATCTCATAATGCATAATCCTTCATAGAAGTTGCTCAAAATGTCAATTCAGTTTCTGCTAAGAGCTTAGTTTTAACTATATTAATTGTATTTTAAAAATAGCTCTTCCATTAAAACCTGACTTTAGAAAGTGTCAGAACTTATAGTTGTACTCTCTTTCTACTCTCCTTCTGCTGTTCCTAACAATAGATTTCTGGGAAATTAAGGGCCAAAATAGATAAAATCCTGTCAAGGAGGTTATACAGTGGTCCAAGAAATTAAATGGCCCAGTAAAGATGTTTGAATTAGTATGTCCCTAGTCTTATGCTATAAAATGGAAAAAAATAGGCAATTATATATAAATGCCATCCTCCAACCTGATTATCACAGTTGGGTTACCTAGAAGCAGGGCAGATTCTTGTACCAAACACCAGTTGGATTTTGAGACATCAGATGCTCCCCTAGGGAAAAGGGAAGGACTTTCTACGCATTTCTAGGTGACAAGGTTGCTCCTATTGGCCTATGGCAATTTTACAGAAGAGGGGAAGCTCTGAGCTATTGATATCAACATTGACAGGAGGGGGAAATTTGCACACTGTTCTAATAAAGGGGATTTAAATGGAGACCAACATACATTATGCTATTCCCATGCCTCTGTGCTGTGTCTTTTGATAACTACAGCCTATTCTTGCTAATTGCTGGCTCCCTTATTTAGACTTTGGATTAGTCAAGGTTCTCCAGAGAAACAGAACCTATATCTATGTATTTAAATATCTATTTATTTATTATTGATTGACTTATTATGAGATTATGAGGCTGAGAAGTCCTATAATTTGCCGTCTGTAAGCTGGAGACCCAGGAAAGCTGGTGGTGTAATTTTGCCTGAGTCTGAAGGCTTGAGAACCAAAGGAGCCAATGATGTAAATCCCAGTCCAAGCACAGGAGAAGATGAAATGTTACAGCTCAAGCACTGAGGCAGGAAAAGAGGGGCAAGTTCCTCATTCTCTCCACCTTTTGTTCTATTCAGGCCTTCAAAAGGATTGGATGCCGCTCAACCACATTAGAGAGGGAAATGTACTTCACTGATTCTATAGGTTCAATGCTAATCTCATCCAGAAACACCTTACAGAAACACCCAGAAACAATGTTTAATGTGGACACCCCTGGACTACTCAAGTTTACATATGTAATTAACCATCAAAGTCCTTAAATTTTTCTTTTGAACAGAGATAAATCTTTACCAGAATTTTCTCCACTGGCAGAAATTATCACTAATTTTCTTAAAATGTGTAAGTAGTCTCTATATTGTTGACAATACCTTATTTCTAAATTAAAAATAGAAAATAGTGATTCTAGTCCAGGATTTAATGATAATAACATATGATTTAATATTATTAAATTTCTCATTTAGATATGAGAAGAGAATATTCAAATCTGGCAGATTCTTACAAGATGTGTTATTAAAAACAGAAGTTATTTCCTTAAGTCTCAATATTATCCTTATTTTTAAAATACTTGGGGACACTGTTGGTGTCAGTGGGAAATTGGCACATAATTATATGTTCATTTCCAACTCAAGAGAAAAGGAATGAATTGGTAGCAAGGCTGTTAGAAGGTTCTAGAGGGAGGAAGTCATATACCATAGATCCTCCTCCCATGAAGAGCTTTGCTTAAGACATTGTACACTTGTTCACAAAAATATGTCAACCTTTCAATCCACACATTTGATATTGAAAGCATAAGAATTTGCCCTTAACCATGATCCCAGAATACTTATACTTTGGACCCTTGTTAGAAACTATAACATCAATTATCTGTTTTCTGACTCTTACCAAAAGTTAGAAAAGCAGAGTTTATAAGAGGATATTTTGAGGGCATGCACTTCAGTCTTTTCAAAAGTTGTCCCACCATTATTGGATAAGCAGAAAGGTTTATCCTGGCATCACACTAGTTTTCTTCTCGCTGAGTATAGAAATTAGAAGTATACAATGGACAAATTCTGGAGAGACCCACTGCAGGTTGGATTTGATTATGATCTAATTGTTTTCACTGATATAGAATAAGAGGCTTTAGTTGAAAGCACATAAGTTTCTGTTAATAGTCTGGCCAAACAGTTGTAGTTTAAAACTAAAGACCATCTAAATATGCATCTTTTGGATAGGAGAGAAGGAAAAAAATCTAAATTAAAAATTGGCTTCAAACTAAAGTTTAGAAAGGATTTTAAGTGAGATCATGTGGTTCAAACTAAACGTACACACAAATCACTATCTAAATTGTGACTATGAATCTTAGCACACAAATTACTAAACTAGAAAGTAGTTGGACAATTCTTTGCTCTCCGGGGAGTGCAAAAACCTCCAGGCCTGTGTCCAGTGGGCTGGATGCCTGGTTACCTTCAGACTGGCTGGACACTTGCTGTCATTACTGAAAGCCTATCAAGTGGGTCAGAGCTAGCTCTGGCAGGTGGGATCTGGGGAAGAGAGAAGACCATGTGACCAAGTTTGTTCATTCCAGAAGGCTACTCCACCTTTGCCAAGATAAAGTATAGCTTATCTCTAGGAGGAAAAGAAAACTGTTTTAAGAATTGCTTATTAGGAAAAAAAAAGTTAGACCATTTACAGATTTTTAACAATATATTTGTATTATATATAGAATATGTATGTGTATTTGTTTGTATATATGCCATATACATATATATTTTTCAAATTTTAAAGCATTTTTGTTCTTAGAGATGAAACATCTTTAAATTTTTTTATAATAAAACATCCAAGTTGACTCAAAAAGAACACTAGACCCTTAGGTTTTGTCAGAAAATGCTAAAAGTAGTTGGCTTCAGGGCTGTATTGCATGATTGACCCTTATAGTCATTTTATGTCCCCTTGTGTCATGAAACCTCAGCTGCTTGCTTCTTTAGGCTATTGCAGCTGCTACTGACACAGGATGGTAACGGAACATTGATACTACTGCAGGAAATCTCTTGCTCTGCTCACTACTTCTGGTCTCCTATGAAGAATTGGGCCACAGGGGCAAAATCTGGCTTCTTTTGAGGCTGCCAAAACACCAGTAGGCCCAGCCCCAAAGTGAGGCAAAGTATTAAATTTCCATGGAAAAATGTTTACCATGGGGAGACAGGAGGGAAGTGGGAAGCAGCAGGATGATTTTTCTCCTTTTCCTCCACTTATGAACAGTTCCAAAGCATGGTGTTATTATATAGCCTGATCAAAGACATCCTTATGGATGTGCCTCTTCATGAAGCAGGCCAGCTTCATCATGCACTACTTGAATTTGTTTAACCTCTTCTCCAACCCACCTCACATTTCCCACTCATTTGTTGCTTTTGTGATTGCCTCAGGCTTTGTTTTCTAGTCAACCGTGGCCAAGGCTGGGGCATAATCCTTTAGCTACTGCTTGATAAAATAATTACCAAATCCTTTAAATTCCAACCACATACCAACATTTCCTAACTATACTTTTTTCCCCAGGCTTTATTATCATTAAGAAAACACTAGATACAAGCGAGAGAAAAAATGGGGAAGACTTAGTTGAAAAGAAGTACCAGTGGTTTTCTTTCATATATTTATTGATGATTTCTAATTTCTGGGTTTTTTTTCTTGCATATTTTTAGTTTCATTTTTTTTCCTGTAGTGCAGGTATATTCTTTATTTTAAAAACTGTTAAGAGAAAGCAAGTGAAAATATTTTATGCTTCATTTTTAAATATTAGATCTATTATTTATTTTTTCTAATGTACTTTAAAATATGTTTTACAAGACGTTTTGTTTTTCACTGTGGTATCTCTCAAGTACAAAACCAGAACTTAGTAGACATTCAACAAATGTTTGAATATGGAAATGTATTGAAGGAAGCTTATGAAATAGGTATTTTACTCATTTCCAAACTATAATTTTGGTCTCAACATCTCTGCCATATTACCTCTTCTTCTATTTTAACACCCTAGTCCAAATCCCTATCATCTCTTGTCTAGACAAAAGCATCCTAATTTCAATCACTGCTTCTACACTTGTCCTGCTCCTACTCCAGCTGGCAATCAGAATAATTCGTTAAAAGTTTAAATTAAGGCATCCATAGAGGAAAAAAAGTAAAACCATCTTTTTTTTACTGAAAATGATTCTATATGCAGAAAACCCTAAAGACTCTAACAAAAGGCTACTAGAAATGATAAATGATTTTAGCAGGGTTTCAATATACCAAATCAATATCAGTAGCATTTCTATACCCCAATAACACACAGGCTGAGAGCCAAACCAGGAACACAATCCCATTTATAATAGCCACAAAAAAAATGAAATAAGTGGGAAGACAGCTAGCCAAGGAGGTAAAAGAGCTCTACAAGGAGAACTACAAAACACTGCTGGAAGAAATCAGTGATGACAGAAATAAATGGAAAAATGTTCCATGCTCATGGATTAGAAAAATTAATATTGTTAAAATGCCCATACTGCCCAAATAAATTTAAAGATTCAACATTATTCCTATCAAATTAACAATGTCATTCTTCACATAATTAGAAAAAAAAGACTCTAAAATTCATACGAAACCAAAAAAGAGCCAAATTAGCCAAAGCAATACAAAGCAAAAAGAACAAAGCCAGAGGCATCACACTAGCCAACTTCAAACTATACTATAAGGCTACCATAAGTAATCAAAACAGCACGGTACTGGACAAAAACAGATATATAGACCAATGGAACAGAATATAAAACTCAGAAATAAAGCAACACACCTACAACCATGTGATCCTGAACAAGGTCCAACAAAAATGAGAACAAGCAATGGGGGAAAAACTCTCTATGCAATAAATGGTGCTGGGCTAACTGGCTAGTCATATGCAGAAGAATGAAACTGGACACTTACCTTTCACCACATACAAAAATTAACACAATAGCGGTTGAAGATTTAAATGTAAGACTAAAATTATAAAAAATCCTAGAAGAAAACCTAGAAAATGCCCTTCCTGACATCAGCCTTGGTGAAGAATTTATGATTAAGTTCACGAAAGCAATTGCAACAAAAACAGAACTTGACGAGTGGGACCTAATTAAAGAGTTTCTGCACAGCAAAAGAAACTACCAACAGAATAAACAAACAACCTACAGAATGGTAGAAAATAGGCACAAACTGTGCATCAGACCAAGGTCTAACATCCAGAATCTATAAGGAACTTAAATCAATCAACAGGCAAAAATTAACCCCATTAAAAAGTGGGCAAAATAGATGAACAGACACTTCTCAAGAGAAGACATATAAGTGGCTAACAAACGTGAAAAAATGCTCATGATCACTAATCATCAGAGAAAAGCAAATGAAAACCACAATGAGATACCATCTCACACCAGTCAGAATGGATATTATTAAAAAGTCAAAAAACAACACATGCTGTTGAGTCTGTGGAGAAAAGGGAATGCTTATACACTATTGGTGGGAATGTAAATTAGTTCACTATGAAAAGCAGTTTGGATATTTCTCAAAGAACTTAAAACAGTATGCTACCATTTGACTCAGAAATCCCATTGCTGAGTATATACTCAAAGGAAAACAGATCATTAGATCATTAGAAGTACATGCACTCATGTTCATCGCCACACTATTTATAATAGCAAAGACATGGAATCAACCTAGGGGTCCATCAGTGGTGGATTGAATAAAGAAAATGTGGTACATGTACACCATGGAATACCATGCAGCCATAAAAAATAATAAAATCATTTCCTTTGAAGCAGCATGGATGGAGCTGGAGGTCACGATCCTAAGCAAATTAATGCAGGAACAGAAAATCAAATAAGGCATGTTCTCGCTTATAAGTTAGAGCTAAACATTAAGCACACATGGACATAAACATGGGAACAATAGACATAGTGGACTAGTAGAGTCGGGAGAAAGGGAGGTGGATTGAAAAAGTACCTATTGGGTATTATGCTCGCTACTGGAATGCAATATACCCATGTAACAAACCTGCATTTGTACCTCTGTATTCAAAATAAAAGTTGACATTTTAAAAAAAGTAAATTCAAGTATGCCATTGCACTGCTTAATACGTCCAGAAAAAACTCAAGCCCCTTATCAAAGCCCATGCAATCTAGCCCCTGCTTGCCTCTGATCTTATTTCCCCCCATTCACACCAGGTTTTCTTTCCTCCAATGGGTGGCGTTCATTTCCATCTGAAGAGATTTGCACATACTGTTCCTTTTGTCTGCAGTGCTCAGACTCTGGGTCTTGAAATGACTCATTTTTGTGGTCATTTCAGCCTTACATTAGATATGACATCCTCAGCAAGGTTTTTCCCTAGCAAACCAATCCAATTTAACCCTCTCCCATCCTGTTCCTTATGGTCATTTCTTCTTGTAGTACCCTGGCTTCCTTTCATCCTAGAATTTACTGCTATCTGAAATTATATTGTTCATCTATTTGTTTAGCTTTTTAAGTATTCGGACATGGCTTTTGTTTCCTCACCCAGCATACAGACACTAGAATGTACACTCTGGGCAGGTGGGCATTATTTGAGTTTTGTACAACACCTGGAACAGTGCCCTGCATGCACCAGCCGCTGAATATATACTTGTCTCTATTGGTTAAGGTAGCACTGGTATTTTGTAATTTCCTTTTAAAGTTCTTTCATCTTAGAAATGTTATTCTGAAACCTCACACAGCTTTAATCTGAATCCAGTGAAAGATAAAGAAACGCTAATGAAACCCTTCCTTAAGAAGTGTGCTGCATCACAAAACTAAATAATATTCAGCTATTTATTTGGGGAAAAATGGGCTAAGTAGTAAGAAGACCCTTAGGAAGAACTAACTGTTCACTGCTTAAAAATCTCACATTGTTTTGCTTGTTGATAACCTTTTTAAAATGCACATACAAATCTTTCTGGAATTTCAAAATGCATTAGTACTTTTACATTTTGTGGTCAGTGTTTTCTATGTCTAGTGAAAATCCTCAAGTTGAGATAATCCTGGTTCAGGTTTTCTTGGAAGCAAATACTTGATATATTTCTCTGTAACATAAGACTGAGTTTCCCCAAAGCAATTTCATCAAGTTAATTGCTCCACCGTCATCTAAAAGATCTTTCTTCCCCATTGCTTTTATCAGGAACTTGACATCATCAGACAGTAAATCAAGAGGTACTGACAACTGAGACTGAGTGATGGTCCCTGCCTAGGATTTGGAATCTTTGCATGAAATAGGGACTCTAGCCACCAGCGACAAAGAAGTCAGGGAGACTGCGGTCTCTAGGAAGCACTTCCAGGAAACAGGAATTCAGGTCAGTGATCAAAATTATTAATAGCTTTGGAAGCTACATTAACATTTTAGTTTCTTCTAACTTATTTGCTTGCCACTCTCCCAAAACATACAGAACTTTCATGCACCCTTAAAAGTAACACAAAATAGAATTATATATATCCCAGTTCCCAGTTCATTGCCATGGGAATTTGCTATAAGAACATTCTCCTTAGTAGAAATAATTTTTTTATTGTGAAACCATCACTACAAAACTTCTTTATAATGTTTCCTTTATTTTTCTGTGGAAGAAGGTGCTCTATAGAGAGTCAGTAAAATTACTAGCCTTCATATTGGTTTAATATCTGCAAATGGAATTAAGACACTTTAGTGTGCCCTTCAGTCCAATGCTACCACTTCCTGGTCATGTTTAAATTGGTTTTAATTGCTTCAATGTCTGCTGATGGCAATATCCATGTTAAACAATGATTTTGGGACATGTGAAAATGCTTTTACCAATGTTTTTGTCTTGAGTCTCCAATGCTGCCTTGATGGAGGGGAAATAAGTATAAGATATTGGACATGTTCTGTGTGCACTGAAGAAAACATTTAAATGTAGTTGTTTTGGAGAAGGCATAATGTTCAGATGTCTTAATTGCTTTGTATTTTTACTTTTCTTTAGTGTACTCTGACTGTAGTGAGCTTCACTTTGCAGTAGAGCACTACTTTTAAATTTCCTTTTATATCACAGCTAGTTGGTAGGAAGGAAAGACAGATATGGATCCATCTTTCTATTTAATCCTTGGAGTACCATAAAAATAAAAACTCCCTAGTCTTATTCTTTAGTCCCTTTGCTCCACAAAGTAAAATAATTTCATACACATTTGATCACTCCACAACAATAAATTAACAGGTACAAATATCATTTTTAGAAGTCAAGTTCCAGATATTTAATTAGGGATTTAAAGATTTCTGATCAACCAGTTTAATGATGTCTGTTCTCTAACTGAAGTACCATATTTACCTATAAAAATGGGACTTATTTATTATCTTCTTGTTTCTTGTGTTTATTTAAAAAATTGAGCAAATGCTCACTGTTTTCTGACTTTGTTTCCCCTACAAAGAAAAAAAAGTACTGATATTTTTGGTCTTCACTTCATGTTCTAGTAATCTTAAATTTTTTGGCCTAGGTTTATTATACTCACTAGTAAGATAAATTATCTTGCTCAGTTCTGAGCAGCATATGCAACCACAATTATTCTTTAAAATATGTAAATACTGAGACTAGCTCTCCTCACTCTAAAATAATCTTACTTTCTCAATAACTTTTCTCTGTCTCCAAGAAGACACGAGAATTTTGGGCCCCACTGCTAAGAGTAGAATAATTAGAATTTTCTTGCAGAGTAAGCTTCATACTTACTATCCTTTAAAATAATAGAAGCAGTGAAAAGTAATGCAAGCATGAGAAATACATACTGCAGATAAATTATTCTTTGTAAAAACTTTATATGATCAAATTCTGCTTTATTTATTCTTAGTCTTAAGGTATTATTCTTTTCCCGAAGTAAAATCAGTTGGCAAATGTTTTGTAGATTTATTAGTATATCTAGATACTGAATTTTAAAAACAACCATTTTTAAGTACTTAGGATTTGCTTAGAGATGCCTGATGCATAACTGTGCAGCTTTATATCACCCAGTGCCTGTATCCTTGAGTACATTTCTGTGTAACCCACATGCCACTTGGTTTCACCAACTCTGGGCATTAGGGATTTATGTTAGTTACAGCATTGCTATATTTTATTAATTTGACTTTTTCCCATCTACACTGTAAAACACTTACCTTCCCCATACAAAGCTCTCATTCAATGTGAACCAGTAGGAATAATTACCAATGTGACCTCAGAGGAGAATCTAAGTAGACAGTGAGGCTTGGATCCTGGAGGCATCCTCACCTGGCAAACTGCCCACTCCGCATTCATAATTGACTTGATTGTGCCTTCTGCCCAAAAGGTCATATCTATACTATGGAGCTGCCTACATCTACCTTAAAGCCTCAGTAGAGTATTCCAATTTTAAATAAACCCTTCGCCCTATGCTCATTCCACCTGCTTTATTTCTAAACTGATGATAGGATTCATTCACCAGAATGAACACTGATCCATAAAACCTCACAGATATATGAATTGGACTATAATTTACATCAGTTCTTCCTGTTGTGCCTTCTTTGGAAGCCTTGTTTCCATTATTCCCCTTTTGATGAGTGCCAGATTTACTTTGGGAAAATTACTTCTTCTCATTTTTGTATAGTCAAGATGTCTTGCTCTCTGCTGCCTGAGGGGAAGAGAAAACAACTCAGGTGGGGCCACCTTGATTTTTTTTTTTTCTCTCTGAAGACTAAGAACTTGAGCAGAGTGAATACAAGGAAAAAAGTGGTGGCACTCAAACTGGTCTGCTACCTGGAATCTTTACAGCCTTGTTTTTATCTTTTTTTTTTTTCTGAGTCATCTTCTTTAGCTCTCCCATGAATTTTGAACTACAAAATATTCTTGCAGTACATTATTTTCTGCTTAAGCAAGTCAGAGTTGATTTTTATTGTTCATATCCAAATTATCCAAGCTTAAATATATGCTTTCTTGAATGTAACTCTGAACTGCATATATATTCTTTATGGAATTTATTCAATATAATTATTTATGAATGAGCACTTTGGGGTAATTTTTGACAGTTTTCAGAGATGGTTTCACAGACGGAACTGCCAACTTAGATTTTAGGCCTACTTAAAGAGAAGAGTGAATTAACAGAACATATTTCTGGTCATGCAATAAATAATTTTTGTTGTTGAGAATGATGGTAAGAGGAGTTTAAAAATATAAATAAATAAATAAATGATAAATAAATATTTTGGGTGCCCATAAAGAGTATATTTTTATGTTTGATTAAGAGGGAGATATTATGTGATAAAAGAGATAAATCTCCATACTGAAGAAAGTATTAGACACAACTGTAGAAAGTTAAATAAAATGTATGTCCTTATAAATTATAGTACAAAAATGCAAAAAACAATCATAGGCCATCATATGATCCATTGCCAAATGAAGGCTAGAGATAACAGATGCTGTGATGTCAGAGGGAGCTATGACACCCGTGTGCTAAAGTTATCTGGAAAAGTTTCATAGCAGCCTAGAGGAGATTGGATTAAACTAGGCCCAAAAGGATAAGGTTTCCAGTGAGTATCCCCCAGTCCTGCAAAGGATGCCAAACCACAAGAAGGGGACAGCTCTAAAGGGTACATAATATTATAACAATACCCTTGAACTGGCCTTTCTGATGACAAAGTGATACCTCATTTAATTTTTTCTTCATCCACCAACTAAACTCTCACATTTGCTTTCTGACTTGCTCAGATTGTCTGATTTGGTAAGTCATTTTATCAAATCTCAGAGTTCTTAATCCTCCCACTTTAGCTGCAAGTTAAGAATTGCCTTCTTCTTGCAATATTGATTTTGGAGTGTCCTCCTAGTAATGCCCTTCTCACTGGCTCCTCTCCTGAAATAATTGGCTCCTCTCTTTTTTGAGCAGCATCTTCTGGGCACATGCCAAGCTTCTCTCCTTGACAGTCTCCAAGGGCTGTACTCAGATAACTGGGAGGACTTGGGTAGACTGAGGGAAAGACACTTCAGAGTGATAAAGTAAAGGGAAAACTGCATAAGCCAGAGGGTAGATGCATAAAAGTATATAATACATTCAGGGGAGCAGCTCTGACTGATTGGAGTGACAGGATGGAATGGGGGAATAGCAGAGGATTAAAATAATAAAACAGGGTTAGAGTTAGTTTATGAGTCTAGCACCCAAATGATGTCTGGTTTTCATTCTGTAGGTAATGGGAGCATAGTCAATGTCTTTAATCAGCACCATCTATATGAACATTGGGCTTTAGAAAGATTCATTTGGAAATGTTATGGCAAATAGATTGAAAACAGGAAGCTCTTGCAACAACCTAGATAGGAAGAGATGAGGACCTTGGCTGAGATAGTGACAATGAGGATGAAAATAAATGACTGACAGTCAAAGGCATACTAATGTTCTTAAGAGCCCCAAATGGTTTTTATTGTGCTGTGCTTACATAGAATAAATTACCAGTAACTATTCTGAAGCTAGTTATTTTGTAGTTTTAATTAAAGCTTTTCAAGATCCATTTATTAAGGCAAGGAAGGTACACAAATCACTGAAGTGAGCCTTGGAAAATAAGATAGTGTTCATGTTGCTGCCATATACAGAAAGACAAATGCCATATAATTTTCCATTGATCCTGAACAGGGGAGAGTTGGCAAATAAGCCTTACACAATAGAGACAGGCCTGGGTGTGCCCCTCCCTGTATTGTCATCATCACTCTCATCTTCCACCTCCCACTTTTGGGTGCATGGGCATAATGTCCAGGGGAGATGGTCTGGTTTGTTTAATGTAATCCTGTAAAGTTTTTTCTTTTTCTTTCTTTCTTTTTTTTTTTTTGATAAGCTAGAGTATATCTCCTTTCTCTGCTGATAAAAGCAACTCATAATTAGTTTAATTTTAAAAAGTTTAGACAAAAATGAAATTCATAAAAGTATAAAAAATTAGAAAAAAAATAGCCAATCCTACCACCTAGACATATTAGTATATGGTATATATGTTTCTAGATATTTTAAATGGATTTACATATACATGAACTTATAAGATTTTTTAAAAGATGAAAAGTGCTTAAAATACATAGAAATATTTTCAACCCCCTTTTGGGAAATATTTTCAAAAACATATACATACACTTATTCTAATTATGATCATATGAAGAGTACATAAATGTGAGGTAGCTTAGGATGGAACTTTGAATCTCATGGGGGCCTGCCCTTAGGACCAGAGAGCTGTTTTAATAAATGTTTGTGATTGAGGTTTTCTGTATACATTTTGTTTAGGAGTGTCTTCTCCAGCAGAATTGACATTTGGAAGTAGGACCATCTAATGGTTTTATCTTTGGTACTGCTAAGAAGCAGCATGCAAAAGCCAGCTTTATTGTTCTGTTTGCCCAGTGAAATAAATAAAATAGCATACACCGCATCCATATCTGGCCCTGGGAATGGGACTCTTTAATCAACATCAATGCCTTCGCTGCTGATAGAGCGAGCGAGAGACAGAGAGAGAGAGACAGAGAGAGAGAGAGACAGAGAGAGAAAGAGAGATATCTGTAAGATGAACCAAATATAGCACTGAGCTAACTGACAGCTGACAGTTTTAATAAATAAATTCTTTTAGGTTACTGTATTACACCACAACCCTAACCAGACCACATGAAAACACAAACATCAAATTTATCTACATAGAAAAAAAAATGACTGGAAGGAAATGCAATCCTTTTTTTTCTCAAGGGAATATGACTTCATTTTTTTCTTCTTTTTGGGTTTCTGTGTTTTTCAAATTTCAACAGAGAACATGTTATGCTTGCAATCTGTAGAATTAATGGTTGACATTAAGGGAATAACAATAGACATTATGGAAATGTGTGTTTCTGCACTGCAATATGTTCTCCAAATAGGCAATTCAGATCCCTTTGAAATGACTAGTATGCTTTGTCTGGCCTGGTGTAATGTGTTTAAGAAGCATGCCTGAGCTGGCCAGACTGCAGCGGACTGGTTTGTGATCAAAGACTAGTGAACCTGTACTGAGATTTGATTCATGGATGCTCTAACTTTAGTTTATATCAAACCAGCAACAAACAGTATAAAGGATAGAAAGCTGATACAGATACAAGTGAGTGAGAAGATGCAGCTCCTCACAGCCTTTTTCATTCTGGGCACACACACAATGAGCCACCTACAAGCTGAGTGTGCAACCCATGAGGTCGCAGGAGTCCAGAGCTGTGGGCTGGCCGCCTCTCATATCTTTGGAAGCCAAATCACAATTTAAGACTTACCTACTGTCATATAGCACGTTCCTTCCTGTTGACAGTTACATACTTTCTAGATCAATTTCTTATATTTTCCATTTTTAATTTTTGTGAGGACATAGTAAGTATATATATTTATGCAGTACATGAGATGTTCTGATACAGACATACAATGCATAATTATCACATCATGGCAGATGGGTTATCCAACTCCTCGAGCATATATCCTTTGTGTTACAAACAATCTAATCACATTCTTTTAGTTATTTTAAAATGTACAATTAAATTATTATTGACTACAGTCACCCTGTTGTGCTATCAAACACTAGGTCTTATTCATTCATTTTAACTATTTGTCTCTTCCCCTCAGACTCCTCACTCCCCACTGTCCTTCCCAGCCTCTAGTAACCATCCTTCTACTCTCAAACTTCGTGGGTACAGTAGTTTTCATTTTTATATCCCACAAATAAGTGACAACATGGATGTTTGTCTTTCTGTGCCTGGCTTATTCATTTAACATAATGACCTCCAGTTCCATCCATGTTGCTGCAAATGACTGAATTCATTCTCTTTTTTTTTTGTGGCTGAAGAGTACCCCTTTGTGTATAAGAATCATACTTTCTTAATCCATTTATCTGTTTAAAGACATTTGGGTTGCTTCCAAATCATGGCTATTGTGAACAGAGCTGTAGCAAACATGGGAGTGCAGGTATCTCTTTGATATATTAATTTTCTTTCTTTTGCATGTATACCCAACAGTGGGGTTGCTGGATCGTATGGTAGCTTTATTTTTAGTTTTCTGAGGAATTTTCAAATGGTTCTCCATAGTGATTGTACTAATTTACATTCCCACCAACAGTGTATGAAGGTGTCCTTTTCTCCACAGCTAACATTTGTTATTGCCTGTCTTTTGGATGTAAGCCATTTTAACTGGGGTGAGATATCATCTCATTGCAGTTTTTGATTTGCAGTTTTCTGATGATCAGTGATGTTGAGTACATTTTCATGTACCTGTTTGTCATTTGTATGTCTTCTTTTGAGAAATTTCTATTCAAATATTTTGTCTATTTTTTATTCAGTTTATTAGACTTTTTCAAACAGAGATATTTAAGTTCCTTGTATATTCTGATTATTAATCCCTTGTTAGATGGGTAGTTTGCAGAATAGAGAGCTCAGAACCAAATACACACACCTACAGTAAACTCATTTTCGATAAAGGTGCCAAGAACATGCAATGTGGAAAAGGCAGTCTCTTCAATAGACGGTGTTGAGAAAACTGGATATCTATATGCAGACAAATAAAACTAGACCCCTATTCTTCACTATATCTAAAAATCAAATTAAAATCAATTAAATAATTAAATATATGAATTCAAGCTATGGAACTGCTACAAGAAAACGTTAAGGAAACTCTCCAAGACTTTGGTACGGGCAAAGATTTCTTGAGGAATACCCCACAAGAACAGGCAACCAAATCAAAGACGGACAAATGGGATCACATCAAGCTAAAAAAAAAACTGCACAGCAAAGGAAACAGTGAACAAAGTGGAGAGACTACCCGCAGAGTAGATCCGTTTCTCTTCAACAATCCTACAGGTGGCCTTTTACAGTGAGGTCCATGGAACTTAAATGTGTTTACTGAGATGTTCCTGACTTGGCTTCTCTCACTGTTCTTTTAAGTACAGATACCTGTACTGTGTAAGTATTGTGTCAATATAAAATAAATCCCCAGAAAACCAAACATTGTTAAAATGTGTCCTAACAATTCGGGGTGAGGAGAAGGATTCAGACACATGAAATTTAAACAATGACCAAAGTAAAATTCTCAGTGAAGAAGTTAGTCAAGTTTGTGAAAGTTTCTGAATAAAAAGTTATGTTATTCTTTTTGACTCGTACTGATTTATTTCTGCAGTATGAGACTTAACTGCATTTTGTAACATGGTAAGTCTATTTCAATGGCCAGAAGATGGAGCCATTATATAAAGAATTTTAAAAACTTACATCCCCAAAAAAACTACGTTTCTCTTTTTACTAAATAATTATTTTAAAACATCTTATGGAATCAGAGTAGTCTGAGTATCTTTTTGCTTTTAACAATGAAAAAGAAGTAATATTTTATCCTCACATATGCAGAGAAGTAATATATTTTTAGGCAATTAGCACCTACATAAGTGAGCATATTCATAGAGGATTCATTGCTTCTGTCCTCAATGAGTGAATTATATTAGGAGAGATACCCGTAAGGTAATAATAGAATAAGCTGTTGCATGTTTATACTGTAGAATTATAATCACATTGGTTACTTTGGACCCTGGAAAACTTTATCAAGCAGGTGGCATATGAGCTGCTACTCTTTAACAATATTATTTGGGATTCTCGTATAACAGGTAATCTGGGACTGTATTTTGACAATGAGAGGTGCTCTAATTAAAAAATAATCTATTATGTACCATCTATAAACACCATCTTCCTATACATTAATAATAATTCTTCTCTATGACCTTTTGAGCGTTTCCAAGCATTTTCCAAGTTCTTTCATATACTGCTCATAATAATCTATACTTACCTACAACAGGAGACAAAACAAAGAAGTTAAATGTCATATTTAACTAAGATCACACAGTCAGTAAGTAGCAGAGACTGAGACCCAAAGAGGCACTGACATAGAGGAGAAACTCATAGAGGCACTGACATAGAGGAGAAACTCATAGAGGCACTGTCTACTGGATTTCTCAGCTGGCACTCTAACTTCTACAGTTCAGCACATGCTTGAAACGAACTAGCAACTTAAGGAAATGAGTGCTTTCTGGATGGGTAAGTTTTAGGAGGACACATTGAAAGTTATGTGTAAAGAATATAGAACCTATGAATTAAAATCCAGAGCGGATTGAGGGGAGAATATGGCCAACTAGAGGGGAGAAGATGGCCAACTAGATTGAGCCGGGAAGCTACGCTCCCAGCAAGAGAAATCAAAATATGAAATAAGCCATCGCACTTTGAACAGATCTTTTGAGAGAAAACACTGAAAGTAAATAGAGAGGCGATGCAGACAACGAGGTGGAAGAGGGAGGAAGCTGGGACCCTGCACGGAGTTGCCAAATGTCAGAACCGGCTCCCAGCCCTTAACTGGTCCTAATGAAGTGAAAGGACCAGGTCCTAAGGAAGTGAAAGAACACTTCCAGGTCCTAAGTGTTCTAGGCTTCCAGGTCCTAAGGAAGTGAAAGAACACTCCCGCCACTGACCTCTGAAATCCTAGCTACAAGAGATCCCACGACCCCTACAGGCATTGGAAAGCTTGTTTGGAGGTCCTAGCAGGGGAGCGCAGCTACTTGTATATCCTTGACCGAAGACTGGTTCTCCTCTATCCTTCTGTTGGAGATGGTCATCCTCTTCGGCAGAGCGGGCAGCTTTGGGAGGTTCGCACCTGGGGCGGTGAAGGAGGAAGGGGACACCTGCCTAGCCAGCGAGATCAGCCAAATCAACCCTGGCGATCAATGGGCCTGGTCCCAATACCCAAACATTTGAGCACACAGCTAAGGAATATGGAGCTGAAATCTGTCGCTGAAGCTCAAGCGGAGGAGGAGCCCCCACTCTCAGAGCACTGAGAGAGGCATATATGCTCAAGGGCCGGCGCCGGAGCTGGGTGTGCCTCCCTCCACAAGACCAGCCCGGGAAGGGTGTAGCCTGCTTGCGAGCTCTGCCTGAGGGAGCCCCACAGATGGGAACAATTAACCCAGTGATCCGGGTGCAGAATGCTTGGGACAAAACTAGCTGGTTTGGTCCAGCTACTGGGGCAGACCCCGGAAAGAGACCTGGTTGGGGGAGCGTGAGCTGCGCAGACCCCACAACTGTCTGCTGGGCAAAGAACCCTGGGCCATGGGGGCCACACCGGTTGCACAACCATGGCAATCCTGCCCTACCCAGGGATCCTCCACCTTTGACCCACTGCATCAAAACATAAACCACAGATGTATCCTACAAACTGCCCTGACTCTGCAAAGTACAGGGGACCAGTGGGCACCTAAGGTTGTTAGGTTGCTATGAGATCCAGGGAGCTGGATCATAACAACCTAACAACCATGGGTTAGGGCCACCCCTAAGGAACGGAGAAGTGCAGGCAACCAGGGCCCCTCGGGCTAAGGAAAGGCTAGTGCCGCCCAATGATTGGAGGGGGTCCCCGCAAGGCCCATGGACTTGGTGACAGGGTCATCTCGTGCCTCCCCCATCTCCCACACCCGAGAGTACCGCTGCAAATGCACTGAAATACAAAACAGGTGAGCGCCTAAGAGCCTATCTGCCAGCCCTTACTATTAATATTACGCGCCGTCGCCATCTACTGGATCAAGCCTGGATTACACCACCAAATAAAAATTCTCCCAGTGCACATTGCTGGTGAAATCCAATGCAGGAATCTAGCCACAAAAAAAAAGATCAGGCACAGAGCCTCGGCCTTTGAAAGTACAAAAAAAAAAAAAAAAAAAATGAAGACAGTAGATCATACTCAACATAAACCAAAGTCAAACCCTCTAGGGATATAATATAAAAACAAAAGCTTTGTCTAAGTGACAGCAACTTCCAAAAGCTATAGGAACACCAGCCCTGACAGATACAGAATTCAGAATCTGGATGGCAAAGAAGGTCAACGAGATTCTGGAGACGCTGAAACACAATCCAAGGAAGCAAGTAAAACATTCCAAGAGTGGAAAGATGATATAACCATTTTAAGAAAGAACCAAACGGAATTTCTGGAATTGAAAAACTTACTACAGGAATTTTATAATATACTTGGAACTATTAACAACCTAATAGACCAACATGAGGAAAGAATGTCAGATCCTGAAGACTTGTCCTTCAAATAAACCCAGTCAGACAAAAACAAAGAAAAAAAAAAAGAATTTCAAAAGTTAACAAAACCTCTGAGAAATATGGGATTTTGTAAAGAGACCAAACCTGTGACTCATTGGCATTTCTGAAAGAAAAGGAGAGTGTAAGCAACTTGGAAAACACATTTGAGGATGTAGTTCACAAAATTTTCCGCAATCACTACAGGCTGATATGCAAATTCAAGACATCCAGAGAACGCCTGTGAGATACTATACAACAGTGGCCCCCAACCTCTTTGGCTCCAGGAACCGGTTTAGTGGAAGGTAATCTTTCCATGGACTGGGGAGGTGGGTATGGTTTTGGGATGATGGGAAACACATTATATTTATTGTGCACCTTATTTCTATTATTATTACATTCTAATACATAGTGAAATAATTATATAACTCACCATAATGTAGATTCAGTGAGAGCCCTCAGCTTGTTTGCCTGCAACCAGAGGTCCTATCTGGGGATGATGGGAGACAGTAACAGATCATCAGGCATTAGAGTCTTATATGGACCATGCAATCTAGATCCCTAGCAAGCACAGTTCACTTCTGGTGACAGGTTCAATCGTACTCTAAACTTCAGCATCACAAAATATACCTTTGTAACAAAACTTTGTGCCCTCAGAATCTAAAATAAAAGTTGAAAAAGACAAAAAAATTAGAGCAATTTCCATGGGTTATCAAACTTAGCTGCTCATTACAATCACCCCTGGAGCTTCTAAAAATTTCAATACACTCAGCTACACCCCAGATTAATTTAAGTAGTATCTATGGGAAGAGACACAGGCATGGGTTTTAAGGTCTCCAGGTGATTGTAACATGCAGTAAAGTTTGAGAAACAGGGCTCTTAACCAGCATTTTCTCAGTTGTCATGCATATACAAATCCTTGGCATCTAGAGAGCCCCTCCTAAGTGTGGTTACTAGACAAAAAGCCTCAGCATTACCTGGAGATTGTTAGTTAGAAATGCAAATTTTGAGCCCCACTGTATATTTATTGAATCTGAATCAGAACCCCTGGGGTACATGCCAGCATTCTGTGTGTTAAAGTTCTCCAGCTGATTCTAATGTGTGCAAATGTTTGAGAATTAATGGTCTCACCTGGGACCATTCTCCTCCTCCTCCTTTTTATTGCTGTCAGGTGGAAGTGACACCATCTTCCAAAGGCATGGAACTTTATTACTTCATTGACAGTTTTATCCTGGAAACTGATCTAGCTTTTGTTTTTCACCAGAATTTCTAAACAAATAGGCACAAGCTGTTTGATATTGGGTCACTTTTTCTTTCAATGGCTGGTCCCCTTGATGTCTAAAACTTTCGTGTTTTAGGAGGGTGTCGAAAAAGGGAATTAGCAAAGAAGGGAAAAAAGAGGAGAGAGCATTTCCAAGACTTTGTTGGTGCACTGAACTTTTAGAATTCTCATTCCAACTAATTATGTACTACACATATAGTTAACACTAAAAATAAAATTTGCATCATCTGTGAGACATCTAGGATGTTCGGAAAGTAACTATGATCTTACAAAGCAGCTTGACACTGACAATACTCTTGTTTGTTGCTTTGTTTTTGGTGGTTTTTTTTACTACTACTCCCTGAAACAAATGAAAGATGTGGTATCTGGAGTCAGATCTGAATTTGAACCTTGATTTTACCCCTTTTGTGATGTGTATCTGAGCATGTTACCCAAGTTTATTTCCTCATCTCTCACAGATAACTGACAAATTAGTTTTTAGCATTGTGCTAAGATAGGAGAGCCTGAACATAAAATACCTCCCATTATTCTTGGCACCTAGTAGATGTCAGTGGTGTGCTGGAGCCTTCTTGGGCCAGCTGGAGAGAGCAATGGTGCACGGCTCCTTCCAAGTCTATGTTCAGTGACTTCAGATTGTTTGCTGGAATTTAGCCATGGGATGAGTGTTTACACCACAGAAATAGGCAAAAGATACATAGAGAAAAGGTCTTATCCTCCAGGAGAGCCAGTTGCTTTACATTTACCAGTACACCATTGGTAGACATTTCTTTCGTGGTTATCTGTTGATGGGTAGATTTTAGAAGGTAATTTGTTTTTCTCTCATGAAACAAAAGTAGCAAAGCATAGCCCAAATGGGAGGACGTCACAGAAGGGCTCCAGGAAAGCCCTTCCTGAGATCACTCTCTTACCATGTATCTATTATGTATTCTCAGAATTTCTCTCAAATTCCCAGACTCACGGAAAAGGTGACACTCAATTATGAGCAGACACTGACATTTTTTGTGAGATTAGTTCATCAGAGGTTTTCCTTCTAAGCCAAACTGACTGAGTTCAGGGATCTGAAAAACACAATTTAACTAATGAGGATCTGTTGGCTGTAAGGCCATCTAGGGATGAAGATAGCTAAAGCAAACAATGTCTGTAGCTCATGGGGTAACATTTATCAATGCAGAGGAGACAAATAAACACATAATCAACTTTCCATAATTTTAGATAATAGTAAATGGTAGATGAAAGTAAAACAGTTTAATTTGGTAAACAGTGAGCAGGGCAGTGGAATTGCTTTAAGTAGGCTCACCAGGAAAGGCTTCTCTAATAAGGAAATATTTCAACTGAAATCTAAAAGGATGCAGCTGTGTTCTGAATCAGAGAACATTCCAGGTGACAAAGAGCAAGAGAAAGGCCCTGAGGCAAGAATAAACTTGTTTTCAAGAACAGAAAGCAGGTTAGTAGAGCTGAGGCACTGTGAGTTTAAGAAGAGGTTGGTGTTACATGGAGCAGCAGCACAGTCAAGCAGGGAACAGATCACGTAAAGCCCTTTAGAGAGTGAAGTCGGCTTTTTATGCTAGGTGCAACTGGGAGTTCTGAACACGGTAAGAAGCACTGGTGGTCATGGAGACAGTAGCCTGATCGCCAATGGAGTTTTTTTTTTTTATTATTATTATACTTTAAGTTTTAGGGTACATGTGCACAATGTGCAGGTTTGTTATGTATATATACATGTGCCATGTTGGTGTGCTGCACCCATTAACTCGTCATTTAACATTACGTATGTCTCCTAATGCTATCCCTCCCCCCTCCCCCCACCCCATAACAGGTCCCGGTGTGTGATGTTCCCCTTCCTGTGTCCATGTGTTCTCATTGTTCAATTCCCACCTAGGAGTGAGAACATGCGGTGTTTGGTTTTTTGTCCAATAGAGTTTTAAAGGATCACTCTGATCACTCTGTGAAGAATACATTTTAGAAAGTCAAAAGTGGAGCCAAAAGACCAGTTAAGTGGCTACTACGATAGTGTAGGTAAAAGATATAATAGTGGCTTGGACAAGGGGGCAGGTGGTCTAGATGAATAGAAAAGGGTAGATTTGGGATATATTTTACAGGTTGAATCAGTAGCGTTTGTTGATGGATTCGATGTTTATGTAAGGGAAGAAAACAAGAATGTGCATATATATATACATAAAATATTAGTTTTAGAAACAGTGTAGATACTATGCCCATCAGTTAATTTCTAGTCTGAGGTAAGTCATAAAGGAAATGAGCTATCTAAGCAATAAGGGAAAGAAAAATGTTTAGACTTATTGCAAGTTAGAAAAAATAAAGCTGTTCATAGTGCATCCTGTTTCAAGCCATGTCTCCAAATATAAATGATTAATGCATTTGTGGTGTATTTAAGTTCTCTGATGGTGTTGTATTGTTGGTAAAATGCAATTACAATGCAGTAGGAAAATAATGTTTCAATTAGATTAGCAAATAAATTAGTCTTACATAAAATAATTAAAACATTATCTAAGTTTGCAAACTTAGGTCTCAGGTTTAATGAATCTTTTTGAATATTTATTTTCTGTTTCCCTGCTACTTTTTTTTGTCTTTCATAGTTTTGCTCTGGGAGGCTCTAGAAAAGAAGAAGAAAATATTTTGGAAGCCTAAATTTTATTAAAATGATCTTAGTTTTTATGACTCTCAAGCAAAGCTATAGGAGATTCCTAGCCAGGAGATCATTTAGTGTACATTTAGTACCTAACAATTAGGTGTTCAAGTATCCTGAAAAAAGTCCTGATAAACTGTTTGTTGGGTAAAATTTAATAAATAATTTTACGAGTGCAAAGCTGAGCTTATAAAAATTAAAGAAAATTTCCAGGAACAAAAAAGCAAAAGAGAAGCAAGAAACAGAGTGGTAAGATGACATTATAGCTGTAACTCCCTGGGGATGGTGGCTGATTTCAGTAACTCAGGAGTTTGTTTGTTATTGTTGTTTATTACTTTATTGGGATATAATAAGTACATAGTACATTAAGAAAATTGTACAGTTCAAATATACATATTTATACTCCTAAATAAACACTACCTAGGTTAGGATACAAAACATTCCTATTACCTAAGAATTGTCCCTTATGCCCCTCTATGCCAATAACTCCCCCAAAGTTACCACTCTTCTATTAGCATAAATACTTATTTTGCCTGCCTGTCATTAAGCTTCATAAATTAATTCAAACAATATGTAATCTTTTGTGTCTGGCTTCTTTTGCTCATAATTATGTTTGTGAGATTCCCTATGTTTTTGCATGTTTTACGTGTATCAGTAAAATGTCTTTTCTTACTGTTGTATACCAGTTTTCTTAAGAGCTAGGATCACGGCCCGGCGTGGTGGCTCACACCTGTAATCCCAGCACTTTGGGAGGCCGAGGCAGGCGGATTGCCTGAGCTCAGGAGTTCGCAACCAGCCTAGGCAACATGGTGAAACCCCATCTCTACTTAAAAAAAAAAAAAAAATTAGCCAGGCGTGGTGGTGTGTGCCTGTAGTCCAAGCTATTCAGGAGGCTGAGGCAGGAGAATTGCTTGAACCCGGGAGGCGGAGGTTGCAGTGAGTGGAGATATTGCCACTGCACTCCAGTCTGGGCAACAGAGTGAGACTCTGTCTTAAAATAAATAAACAAATTAATGAATTAAAAAAATAAAGAGCTAGGATCACATTCTGTCACTCAGGCTGGAGTGCAGTGGCATGATCATAGCTAACTGCAGCTTCAAACTCCTGGGCTCAAGCAATCCTCTTGCCTCAGCCTTCTGAGCAGCTGGGATTATAGGCACAAGCCTGGATTCCCTTGTTGTATACCTATACCTCAATATTTATTCTTTCTAATCTTGATGGATGTTTGGATTGTTGCCAGTTTGAGACCATAATGAATATATCATCTGTGAACATTCACATACATGTTTTTGATGACTATAAATACTCCTTTCTGTGCATATATACCAGTGATAGAATTTCTGGTCATGAATATATATGGCTAGCATTAATAGATACTGACAAACATATCTTCAAAGTAGTTGTCCAGGTATATATTCTTACCAGGAATATGTGAGAGTTTCTTTTGCTCCACATCTTTGAAAACACTTATTGTCAGTTTTTTTTTTTTAATTTAGTTATTCTGGTGGTGGTCTAGCAATATTTCATTACTATTTTAACTTGCATTTCTCTGATGAATAACTCAAAAAATAAGAAAAAGACTGACATCCCAATGCACTAAGTTAGCATTTATGTTTGTCATTTTACTAAATATTGTCTTTGTGTCTTGGTTCTTTTTCCTTCTCTAGTTCCCCCATTCTTGATATTATATAAAAAGATACTGCTATGTATATGTTTGTATATTGACATTTTTTAACAATTCCTAAAGACAAAAGATTGCATTCCAAAAAGCAGGGCTTAAATTTTTAAGTACTTTCAATATCATGTCTAATTTGCTTTATTGATCTCATAAAAAGGAAGAGATTAGTTTTGTTGACTTTAGGTCCCAAGGAGACAGAAGCAGGGAGGAAGTTCTCTTACACTAGGAGGAAATAACTTGACAGGAAGAAATGCAATAGGGGAAAAATGCTGAAGGCTACCATTTGAAGCTGCCAGAATGGTTCCTCAGCTTTGTGCACATCAAAGTGCTCCAGCTCAGTGTCACGAAGCTGAAGTCAATTGCTTCTCTTATTTTTCCTGGCTCCCTTCCGGATTCCTTTTTGCCTATAACGCTGCTCTAAGTAGTATTCTGGCTGAGGCTTGTAGGGGGCAGACCTACTTGTCTTTAAAATAAATGGACAATGCATGATTCTTTAGAGATAAGCATATCTTTTAATTGCAAGCACCAGGCCAAATTAGGTGACTCTAAACCATTTATTAATCTTTGTTCTGAATTTAAGATAGAAATGAGGTGATTAGGATGAGTAAATAAAAGAAAATAAATTGGGCAGAAAATGAAGCATGGAAGAATTCTTTTCCCACTTCTGTTTCCTCCTCCTCGTCTTTTATCAGAGCTTTATCAGACTGATTCTATTAAGGTCGTGGACAAGAATCAATATATCAAGATGAGCTGAGTTGTTCAGGTGTTACAATTTTATCTTTATTATTTTTTAGAGGGAGTCAAAATTAGATTTGATATTTAGAAGTTTGGCAGTTGTAAACTTTACAGGATTTTTTTAAGAGAAAAAGATATTTTCTGTGGCATTTCATACTTTCTTTTCATCCATAAAATTTTGTTAGCTCATAATTTCTCAAAATGAGAAGAGCATCACAGAAAATTATAATAAACTATCTTCAGTCAGAAGCATACACTTATATTTTAACGTAAATTTTAATCCTTGTCTCATTCATTGTCTTTGGCCAGAAATATTAAAACAAGATGAGTATTTTTTTTTAAATTTTTTTTAATTGTACTTTAAGTTTTAGGGTACATGTGCACAACGTGCAGGTTAGTTACATATGTATACATGTGCAATGTTGGTGTGCTGCACCCATTAACTAGTCATTTAACATATCTCCTAATGCTATCCCTCCCCCCTCCCCCCACCATAGACTGGATTAAGAAAATGTGGCACATATACACCATGGAATACTATGCAGCATAAAAAAGGATGAGCTCATGTCCTTTGTAGGGACATGGATGAAGCTGGAAACCATAATTCTCAGCAAACTATGGCAAGGACAAAAAACCAAACACCGCATGTTCTCACTCATAGGTGGGAATTGAACAATGAGAACACATGGACACAGGAAGTATTTTAATATTTAAAAAAAATACACTTAAGGGAGTGAGAAATCAAATAACTATTAAGAATAAAAAAAGTTAGTTGATGAGTGATGTTTCTCTGGAAAAACACCTTATATATTATTGAAACAAATTTCTAGAGGAGAGTACATCTGAATTAGAGAATTGTGTAAGTCTCAGGCCCTAGAAAACTTTTATCTGCCTCCTTCTCCAATGTAGAATTTCCTCTGACTTGTTTTGAATCACAGCACACTCAGTTTAAGGGATGTCTGCTTGGTGGGCCTATGCTTAATATAAAATTCTATTCAGAGAAAGTTGAGGAGAAAGTTACAATTTTTTTTCAACTAGCAGCATGAGAAAACTTAAATGTAATGAAATGAATGTAATGAAATAAAGTCCCACTTATTATTCATTCAGGATATGATCTGAAAAAGCTGACCTGAAATATTATGTCTGAATTATTTTTCTTGGAAAAACGTTCTTTGTTTCAAAATGCAAATTGTAACAATGCACTAACACTTAGCGTGTCGAAGAAACTCCACTTGAACAAGTGATCCCATCTCTGTGACTGCTCCATGTAATTATGATAAGAATGGCAACCCAAACTCTTGAATAACAATAGGAAGAAATATCATGTCTGAATGTACCCAAAGCTTACCTAGTAGCCAAAAAGAAACACCTGAACTTAAAGATAATTGACTCAATTTCTCACCGAAAGACATCATTTTGAATTTGCAGCAATATTTTAAAAGAGAAAATCAAGAGTACTTAATATCCCTAGGACAACTAGTTAGTCATTTTTGGGGTAATGGTCTTCACTGTTGCTATGTGATTATTTTGGGGCTCTATCCAATTCAATAGATCTTGGGTAAGTCTCAGTATTTTTTAAACTAATAGCTAAGGTAATGTCGGTTATCCATGATTCATACTTTTATAGACATTGTCAGAGATCAGTCGTTGTCAACTGGGGAAGATTTTGTCCCCCTGAGAACATTTAGCAAAGATGGGGACATTTTTATTTGTCATAACTGTGGAATTAGGAATGTTTATTGATATCTAGAGGTTAGAGACCAGTGATCGTGCTAAACATCCCACCATGCACAGGACAGCCACTCACAACAAAGAATTATCCAGCTCAAATATCAAGATTGCCAATATTGAGAAACTCAGGCCTTAGAGAAATAAATGTCTGATTTTAATGTAGAATGTATATGAAAGTTTTCATTTTTCAGTCTTTATTTCCTACTTGACATTATCTCTGTTTTTTTTCTACTTTGTTAAAGCTATAGAGGAAAAACACTTTTAACTTAGTCCTTCAAAAATGCCAGTTTTCTATACTAATTTTATTTTGTGAGCAGTGGGACAGTTTCAAACATCCACTCAACTTACCATGTGAAAGACATGTATAGTCTCTCTCAGGCCAGAAAGCACTGGCACTGTATAAGAATGTAAGAATACACTATACTTTTGTTGAGAAGATCCTGCAAACAGAAAGAAAACTATTGAGGCTGAAGCACACAGATTAAGATAGGGAAAGAGGGAAGATAAGAGCAGTGAGGCTGACATGGTGTAGGGCTGGAAAGCTTGTAGAACTTGTAGACAGTAATAGTATAGAGTTTGTAAAATCTTTGCTGAGGATTTTAGAATTTATCATCATAATAATGGAGAAATATTACAGAATTTTATGCCGGAAAATGACCCAAAATTTTAAGCAGGGAAATGTCACAACCTCATAAAATCCACTCTGGCTACTGTACTGAGAATAGATTTGGAAGTGAGGCAAGAATGGATTTAGTAAGATAAAACAAGTAGGTTATTACATTGTCTTATAAAGAGGTTAAAGGTGGTAATGGATTGGATTAGGTGTTGACAGTGGAAATTAAGAGAAGTTGATGTATTTACATTACATTAGGTGGTAGAATGAACTGGTCTTGGTGAATAAATGCGGAGGGTTAATGAAGAGGATTAGTTTGGAAAACTGGATGAATGGTGGTACTAATCAATGAGAAGGAAGATGTAATTTATTTACCATGATATACAGTTGTCCCTTAGTATCTGCTGGGGATTGGCTTCTGGACTCCCTGAGAATACCAAAATCCACAGATGCTCAAATCTCTTATACAAATGGCATAGTGTTTGCTTATAACCTACACACATCCTCCTATATAGTTTAAAATTACCTACACATCACTTCATTTGTATGGATTCAATGTAGTACTCAGCATATGGAAAATTCAAGTTTTGCCTTTTGGGGCTTTGTGGATTTTTTCCCCAACTATTTCTGATCCAGAATTGGTTGAATCCACAGATCAGAAACCATGGATATGGAGGACTGAATGCATATATATATATATATATATATATATATATATATACACACACATATATATATATGTATATATATATATATACACACATATATATATACATATATATATATATATATATATATATATCTTCCACCATGAGATTAGTATTCCTATAGAAAAAAGAAGAGAGACCAGAGCTCACTGCCTCCTCCATTTGAAGACACAGTGAGAATGCTGCCCTCTGCCAGCCAGGAAATGAGCCCTCACTGGGGAACGAAATTGGCTGGCGCCTTAATCTTGGACTCCTCAGCCTCGGGAACTGTTAGAAATAAATTTCTGTTGTTCTAGCCACCCAGTCTATGGTATATTATTATGACAGCCCCAGCTTTCTAAGACCAACACAAAAATGATAATACTCTGGCTCCTGCTATTGCTTTAAGTAATAATCTATTATTATCTCTGACTCCTGAGTCTCATGTCTTCTGCAAGCATGTAACATGCTAAAGTGAATTATGTTACTCTAAGAGTGAAATATATAATGCACCCTTCCTTAAATGTATTGACATAGAAACTTTTTATGTTCCAAATGAAACGTTTTAGAAGACATTTGCTGTAGATTCTCTTGGCCTACATTTTAAAGGCATGAGTGGGACAAGTATACTTCAGATTCTCTTTGACTTTGAGAAAATTACTTAAGATTGCCCATTTTCTTTGGCTTCTGGGTAAAAATTTGTAAGGTGCTTTGCCAAGAATAAGGTGCACTGAATGGTAAACACGATTAGGATAGTCAACAGGGAGGAAAATCTCCTCCTTTAAATTTTTGATAAGATAACAATTAACATTTGCTTTCTACATCAGTCTTTTGCGGGCGAGATCAGTGTGCCAAACTGTCTCACCAGTGTCCCTCTCTTTTTACCTCCACAGTCTGTATGAGCCATTGTGGTTTGATAAAATAACCTTTCTAGTAGCGTTGCTCATCTGTATTTCTACCTTAACATGGTACATTGGAAAACAGGAGCATGCATTTGTGTTTGATCCTTTGTAACAAATGATCACAAATTTAGCAGCTTAAAATAATACAAATGTATTATCTCACAATTTTTGTGAGGCAGGAGCCTGGGTATAGTTATCTGTGTTTTGTATAAAGACACATGTAACCCCATCCACTTATTTTTTCTGTTCTGTTAGAAGGAATTAGTGTATCACAGTTGGTTTATATCCTTTTCTTATATGAGCAAGATATCATTCTTTCTCATATAAAAATGAGCAGTTCTCAAGAGTAGCCTAAGAACAGGAGAAAGCACATTTTAACATATTGTCAATGTACAGAGTAGAAGACACAAGATATTTAAAGAGAGTAAATCTGGAGGCTCCTCAGATGAAGGGCCAGCCATAAGTAAAAGAATGTATTTGTTTAAAGCAGCACATGCAAATCCAGATTATGTTCTCACATATTTAGAAATAGTAATTTAATGGGAGTGTATTCTTAATATTCACTGGATATAATTTTCCCATAAATTCTAAATTTTACACATCACTAAAAATAAAAATGAATTATGATGGTATATTAGAGAAGAATTATATTTTTATAGAAAGAATATGACTGAACTAACTTGAAGACATATTGTTTTGTAGGAAATAAAATAAAAACTAGGTCATGCCAGCAAATATTACAACTTACGAATAACTTTTGCTCAGTTCTACTAGATTTGCAAAATTTTTAACAAGCTCTGAACATTTTCTGTATACTTATTGTGCATTGCTTTTATCTTTTGTTTCTAAAGATATATTTAAAAAGATTCAAGCTAAAGTGCAATGATGCAGTTATTACCAATGTCTCATAAATCTCTTCAAATTACCTTTTCGCAGACAGATCAATTATTAATGTAGGTATGGCTCGCAGAGTAATAGGGAGTCAAGCTAAGTGTAGCATGTGAGCTCTATTGCTTGTTTATAACTATCAATTATTCATGTTTCATTTCCTGTGTGCATCAAATACTATTGCAGCAAAATCCCCTCTGCTCTAGCTAGTATGTAATTTCTCCCTCCCTTGAGAGAGATTACCATGTATCCTGCAGCTCATTTTGCTTGGGTTATGGCATAGCATTATCTACAATGTGAAAGAATTTAGCTTTGTTGTTGTAAAAAATTTGCATGTATCACAATCACTTATGTTGAAATGGATTACAGTATTATTCAGTGATTATAATTCTATTTTGCAGAGTGGCTATTGCAACTATCAGTACAAAAGTCCCAAGGACTATTTTACACCTTTTACATGCTATTAAGATAACATAAAAGTTGAAATAATGGCCTAGTATGGCAATTATTTTTAGAATATCTTACCTAATGACCATCAACAGGACTTGATGCTTATAGCTAAAGTAGAGGGTTGTATTAATTACTCAGCTAAAAATGGTAAGAACCACCTCCACTTTTTGGAAATAAGCTAGACCTTTATAAATGTGCATATTTCCTGATTTTAATATGTTGTTTGAATTCATAAATCTCAAAAGTAGCTAAATTTTGAAATATTTGGTGTATATGCCACATCACTAAATATTTACTACCTACCAATGGGTGCATAAAACTCTTTTGGGCACTATAGTTATACTTACCCATATAAAATAGAGAAAATATTGTCATTATTTAACATTCATGAAGAGTGCATTGTTCCTGTATGATACAGAGGTAGCCTGGGTTCTTACATTTTTAGTAGCAAATTAATTGCCATACTAACTACTCTTACTACTAATATAAATTTTCAATGTGTTTTCAGTCATTGTTTTAATTTCTTCATGAAGCTTGTCTCATTCTATCATTACAACCACATAATGAAGTAGTACTCTTCTCCTCATTTTATAGATAAGAAAGTTGAGGCCCATATAGGTTAAAGAATGTATTCAGCAAACTCATAGGGTCATGGCTTAACTGGGATACAAATATAGTTCTAGTCTTAGAACCCATGCTCTTAGCCATTATGTATGCTATATCACCTCTTAAGAGCTGGTACAGCTTTCCCATCTGTAAAATGAGAAAAAGAGTAATACTCCATGTGGTTGTAAGGGTAGAATGAGACAAGCTACACAAAGAAATTAGAACAATGACAATACAGAATCAAGAATTTATATTAGTAGTAATAGTAGTTAGTATGACAACCAATTTGCTACTAAAAATGTAAGAATCCAGGCTACTTCTGTGTCATACAGGAACAATGCAGTCTCCATGAACCAAAGCTCTTAGCCATTATGTATGCTACACCACCTCTTAATGCTATTACACAAAAATGTAGACATCGCTGTGTGGCTAGATGTTTGCATATTTTTGCTTCCTGTCTCAATTTTCTCCCTTTGCACAAACCTTGATGTGGATTTCAAGAAATTACTTTGGAACTCTAGATTCTTTGTCCTTGTCTTTGTTTCCCGGGAACACTTCTTATGGAGGACATTTGAAGCTGTCCTTTCAATGAAAAGGAAAAAGCTATCAGTTGTTGCAACTTATTTAGATATCCACTGACTTTACCCACCTATGGTTATTCTAACTGAAACAGAAAATACGTGTAAACATAATTTTATTTTGTATAACTTTTATTCTTAGATTATATTACAATGTGTCAGTCTCAAGTATAACTACAATATAACTACAATATAATTTATGGCAAACTCAAACATTTTGAGCATTCATAGATCTATGAAATTTGTAAAGAATCCTATGTAAACAGCTTTATGATATTCATGGCTATTTATTTATTTTCATGAAGCAATTCTTGATTGTTTTCCTCAAGAAGATAATAACATAATAAACCACAGATATTTTTAAAAAATTGGTGGCCTTCATACATAGGTCCTAAACCCAGGCCAATTCCCTGGCCATCCTAATTTAGTTGGCCCTTCTTTCAGCACTTCTATTAACATTTCTCTGAAATAGCTATTTAGAACTGCTTTATTTACATATGCATTTTATTTTCACTCTTTTTAATAAAGCTATCAAAACTCTATAAAATCATGCTAAGTATTTTGGGTTGTGATGTTCAACAATCAGCATTTAAAAACAGCTCACAAGTCACCCAAATCTTTTGCAAACTAGGTAACTATCAAAAAGCTAAAATTAGGTTCTCTAATTTTCATCCGAAAGATTTGTGTTCAAACCTGTTTGGGGCATGGTGGCTCATGCCTGTAACCCCAGCATGTTGGCAGGTCATGACAGTAGGAACACTTGAAGCCAGGAGTTTGAGACTAGCCTGGGCAACATAGCAAGACCCCTTATCTACAAAAATTTAAATATTAGCCAGGCATGGTGGCATGTACCTGTAGTCTTAGCTACTTGGGAGGCTGAGGCAGGAGGGTTGCTTGAGCCCAGAGTTGAGGCTGCAGAGAGCTATGATCATGCCATTGCACTCTAGCCTGGGTGACAGAGCGAGACCTGGTCACTTAAAAAAGTTTTTAGAAAACCTGTTTGCTTCCATTTTATTCTAAGTTAAGTTCTTCAGTGTAACTGCCTTTCTGTATTGTTGGGTGTAATAAGTTCAGCGATTATAAAATTTAAATATTAATATGACAGTGCCTTCTGAAGGGTGAAACCATCAGTACAAACAGTAATCTACATGGAAAGAGAGGTCTAATTTTACTTCAAGCTTATACTTAATAAGCTCTTTCTTCCAAATATTATTTTTAATTGATAAAAAGTCACAAGTAGACATTCCTGAAACAAACGTAAATATATATAAAACTTAACCATGTTATTTTAAAAAAAAACATAGTTCATGAAATAGGAAAAAGAACAACTTTATATATATTTTTGAAATGCTAAGAAGAAATTGTGTTGTTAACAAACCAGTTGCCCATATTTTTTATTTTACATAAAAACAAGGCAATGTAAAAACATTAATAGAAAATTACACACGAACCTGTCAAACATCTTGTCTTACTACATTATGTAAGTATTCATAATGCAGTTATATTTGTGAGTTTGAAATAACGGTAGATTGAATTCAAATTTAAGGTGATGTTAAATTCTTAATTGAATGTATTTAAAAATCTGATAAATGTAATATATTTTGTATAGGTCCCTACTTAAATTATCAAAACCTATTTCCAACAGGCTTGGTAGGTATGTGATAAAATGATCTATGTAGTCTCGGAAAACACTGCATGGTGTCTTTCATATTAAATTAAAAAGTGGTTCAAATAGCCTAAGATGAATGAACCTAAGATGGTATAAAGAATCTTTAGCCCTAGATTGAGTTTTATACGTAGATTAGGACAAATGTCTCAAAGTAATAACGGATGTTGTAAAATATATCACAATTTAAAAACATTCTAGACTTCTGATCTCATTCTTTAACCATAAATCTTTGTTTCTATAGGTACGTTTAAATCCTCTTTCTTTTTAAATTGCCAGAACAACAAAAAATATGTGCTTTAAACATTTATTATATAAATGTAATTTATTATTTTTTAAATATGGAAAGCAAATTAGTGAAAGTTGTTTTATATATTTGCTTCAAAACCTCCCACAAAAATCTTCTAAGTAAAACTACATTCTACCTGTGTAGCTCAATTTTTGCCTGTGCATGAATAACTTTATAGAAGAAAGATCTCATATTCCTGAAATAAACTCACGAAAAAAAGCATTATGGTTATTTCTTTTCAAATTACTATTAATAGGTGTTTTCAAAAAACTAGATGTCTACAGCTAATGCAAAATGAATATGTGCTTGATAAATTAGAAGCCCATGGTACTGTGTTGATTGAGGCAAAATATATTTCACATCATAGAATTTTAAGGAGAAGGTGACATCTTCCTCATTGTATACATTGAAGTATATCCAAAAAAGATTACTTCCATAATTTAGGAAAGTAAGTTGGTGGCAAGAGAGCAAGTTGGCAAGAATCCCTATTTCAATGCTTTTTTATTCATACTAAACACATATCTGTGTAAAGTCTGTCATATTACATGATTTGAAAGCTTGCCAAACACGGGATTGTATACAAGTGATGCAATAAATACTGTGCCCAAGTTATTATCTGCTCAAGTATGTACCGTGGTCAAACAACTAACTGCATATCAGGAAGGATTTCATCAACTTTGCTTACAGCGAAAGGATGACTAAACAATACTGCATAAGAAAGCAGGAAAATTTGACAAAAGAGTTTAAGAGACTATTATCAGTATTTTGGGCAGCACAGTCAAATGTTAGGCTATGTAAATAATAGCAAATAGAACTTCTGTCAATAACTTTTTTCTCAGTTATCTTTGTTTTTTTTGAGGAGTGTAATATGTACTTAGAATAATTTTTCAAGTTCTGTGGTTATTCTATGAACAAAAAGGGATATGAAAGAAGAAAGGCTATGAAACACAATACTCTAAAGGTAAGTCTTATCCTTGTTGGCATGTGAGTCAAGATGAATGAAAAACATTTGTAGAAATGAATAGCCTACATATATTTTTAATCCCATGGCATTTTATAGGCACATATAAATTGGTTCTGATGCAATGTAGAATAAATTTAAGCACCTCAAAATATAGAATAACCTCTGTACATTGATAAAAAGTCAAGCTCCCTAATAATGCATTTTAACTAAACATTCATAACTAATGTCCATTACTTCTATCAAGCATTTCATTGCAAAGCCAAGGCAAATACTTTTGTTGATTTCCAAATAATAGATAAATAATAGATTTTTCTGTATGCGTGTGTTGTTTATTTACATGGGAAACAAGACTAATTACAATCCTGTGAAAAGATGACAAGGCAGATGTAAAAGTTTTCTACATGGTCTTCTGATTTATTAAAAACCAAAAAACTGAATCACTTTTGTATGCTATAATCAATAATTCCTACAGAGTTCTCTTACGATTCTTAAAGAATCATCAGTGCAAAAATAACCATCTGCTAATGCTGCCCACCTTTCTTAGGAAATCAGAGTTAGTGACTGCACTGCCTTCGAGAATATTTTGATAAAAAGGATTTTGGCATAGACTTCCTCAAAAGAGTTTTATTAACACAAATAAATCACTTTCACAGGCTGTAAACAATATATCAAAAATGAAGCTCTATTTTTTGCTTTCCTTGCTGTCTTTCCCTTTGTCTTCCTTTTCTGTTCTGTCTTGTTCATATTTCTCTTTGTCTGGCTTTGTTACACTATCATATGAAGGTGGAGAGGTGGTGGATGAAGTGGCATCTGTTTTTTCTGGACTTGAGTTCTCATTAACATTATCAAAAGCCATATCTTTTTTATTGAGTAAATCATCATCTCTGTCTCCATCTTTTATGTATATACTTGATATATTTTTGACATTTTGCCTTAAGCGGTAACGTCTATAAGCACGCTGAATGACAGTAGCAGACACATCCTCTTGTTTCCGTTTTAGTGTGGTTGTGATGGGTTCATAGGACACTTTGGAAGGATTTGCAGACATGAACCTTTCTTCCATCTGTGAACGAAGAGAATCCATCTCCCCACTCTCACCCAAAACACGCTTTGTAAAAGCAAATAAGATGTCAAGACAATGGATCCGGTCACCACTAACCATGGGCAGATCCATGGCAATGAGCTGGACTTTGTTGGGTTTTGCTATGAGAAGAGGAGGATCCAGGGCAGCTGCAAAATCAGAGAGTTTAGAGAACTCTATAAACTGGGTCGCATCGGGATCAAACTTCTCCCAAACCTCATAGAACATCTCAAAGTCATCCTCACTCAGAGGTTCAGTACTTTCTTCAGTGGCAACACTAAAATTCTCCAGTATGACTGCAATGTACATGTTCACCACAACCAGGAAGGATATGATGATATAACTAACAAAGTAGAATATTCCAACAGATGGGTTACCACAGTCTCCTTCAACTGAACTTCCAGGATGAACTTTTTTTGGGTCACAGTCGGGTGGCTTACTGTTAAGAATAGGTGCTAGCAATCCATCCCAGCCAGCAGAGGTTGTAATTTGGAACAGGCAAATCATACTGTTGCCAAAGGTCTCAAAATTGAACATGTCATTAATTCCATCTTCCTTTTTAACATAGGCAAAGTTGGACATTCCAAAGATGGCGTAGATGAACATGACCAGGAAGAGCAGGAGGCCGATGTTAAACAACGCAGGAAGGGACATCATCAAAGCAAAGAGCAGCGTGCGGATCCCCTTTGCTCCTTTGACTAGACGTAGGATTCGGCCAATCCTGGCAAGACGGATCACTCGGAACAGGGTAGGGGACACAAAATACGTTTCAATCAAATCAGCTAGAAACATACCTGTATGTGGAGGAAAATAATAGAAATAAAATATTTAAAGATGTATGCTACCTGAAATGATGACTCTAAACAGTTTTATCTGTCAACTCATTTCTTATGAATTCAAGACAGTTTTTTTTTTTTTTTTTTTTTTTTTTTTTTTTTTTTTTTTGAGACGGAGTCTCGCTCTGTCGCCCAGGCTGGAGTGCAGTGGCGCGATCTCGGCTCACTGCAAGCTCCGCCTCCCGGGTTCACGCCATTCTCCTGCCTCAGCCTCCCGAGTAGCTGGGACTACAGGCGCCCGCTACCACGCCCGGCTAATTTTTTGTATTTTTAGTAGAGACGGGGTTTCACCTTGTTAGCCAGGATGGTCTCGATCTCCTGACCTCGTGATCCGCCCGCCTCGGCCTCCCAAAGTGCTGGGATTACAGGCGTGAGCCACCGTGCCCGGCCAAGACAGTTATTTTATACTGAATGCAATTACTTAAAAAAGGATTAAGAAATTCCAAAGAGAAATGACTAACATTACCATTGTGACATTTTCTCCTTTTTACTAAGTTCATGGGCCATTTTTTCCCTCCATAATAGTGTTTTACATTTTAAGAATGATACCTACTCACATAGAAAATTCAAGCAATACCGTTAAATGCTAAAAAGAAAATATAAATCACCTGAAATGTCAACAATAACTATTATCAATATTTTTTTGAGTATCACTTCAGACATTTTTCTGTGCAAGCACATGTACACACACAAACAAATGTATTCATGTTATATAAGCTTTTTTTGTAACCTATTTATTTATTTTTCAAGACAGAGTCTTGCTCTGTCGCCAAAGCTGGAGTGCGGTGGTGTGATCTTGGCCTACTGCAATCTCTGCATCCCGGGATCAAATGATTCTCCAGCCTCAGCCTCCAGAGTAGCTGGGACTACAGGCATGCGCCACCACACCTGGTTAATTTTTGTGTTTTTGGTAGGGACGGTTTTCACCTTGTTGGCCAGGCTGGTCTCAAACTTCTGACTTCAAGTGATTTCGCCCACCTCGGCCTCCCAATGTGCTGGGATTATAGGCGTGAGCCACAGTGCCCAGCCTGTAACCTATTTTATTTACTTTATATGTCATGGAGATAGTTTCATAAAAATGACAACGAAATAATTTATTATAGTGGTATAATGTTCTCTCAAAATAACCACAAATTGAAGACTAGCATTTATACTGTTTCCATTTTTGTTACTGAAATGAATATCTAAATAGCTATGTTCTCCTAATTGCATGAGTACTTTTTAATAATATGTTAATAGAACTTGGGTCAACAGTATATATATGTTTATATATATACACACACTATATATACACACATACTATATATATACACATACTATATATACTATATACAGTATATAGTATACATATACTATACATATACATATACTATACATATACATATACATATACTAAGTATACGTATATACAGTACATAGTATATGTATACTATATAGTATGTATATATAGCATATAGTATGCGTATACTCTATATAGCATATAGTATGCATATACGCTATATAGCATATAGTATGCATATACTATATATAGTATAGAGTATGCGTATACTATATATATAGTATAGAGTATGCGTATACTATATATATAGTATAGAGTATGCGTATACTATATATATAGTATAGAGTATGCGTATACTATATATATAGTATAGAGTATGCGTATACTATATATATAGTATAGAGTATGCGTATACTATATATATAGTATAGAGTATGCGTATACTATATATATAGTATAGAGTATGTATATATATAGTATACATATATACATACTCTATACTATATACATAGTATGTGTGTGTATGTGTATATATATACACACAATATATAGCTGAACCTATCTCCAGAAAGCCTGTACTAATTAACATTTCTAATGGCAGTATATGATAGTGCTCATACTTTACACATTCAACAGTATTGAGTGCTACCATTCTTCTTTATAGTTTTTTACCAAAAAATTTTCATGACATTTGAAAACATCTACTATTGTAATTTATTTGCATTTTTTGTGAAAATAATCCACAATTTTCCTTGTGTTTTGTTATTTTGTATCCTTATTGGTTGTTTTTAACTTCTGTTTTTGGCTTAGTTTGGTATTTGCCCATGTGTCTATTGGGATTTTTACTATATTCTTATTAATTTATAAGAACAATTTTCTATTTAAAGTATTGATCCTTTCTCGGCCTTAACTGTTATGTAAACATTTCACCTATTTTTTGTCTTTCAACCTTTTATTTATGATGATTTTTTCCCCAAAGAATATTTTGTTTTTTTGTGCAGTCATTTCTTCTTCATTTTTTTTTTTGGCTTTACAAATTTGTGTTTTGCATAGAAAGGACTATAAGAGTATATGGTTATATGTCTATTTCCACATATTTCCTACTAGAATCTTTTTTTTTAACTTTAGATTTTGATTCATGTGATCTTTTCACACAGTAAATTGGTAATTATACATTAAAGTTTAATTTGGACTCTCTTCAAACCCACTGAGCTTTTATATTTGAACAGTTTTATTTAACATCTATATGTCTTAATATTTTGCAGAATAAGCCACCTCTTGTCACCCTAATTTTCTTCCAGATGAATTTAGAATCATTTAGACTTATATTGTTTTTGTCTATTTATTACCCACACTACATAAAAAGACTCATTGATATTTTCCTTGAATTTATAGATTAATAAATTTGAAAGTCTTAATTACAATGAGAGAAGCTTATCTAAGTACATGACAATCCTTTCAATTATTTTAGCTTTCTTTTATATCCTAAAGTTTTCTTCAGAAGTCTCATATGATAAAGTTATTATTAGATAATTTACTTTATTTTTATTGCAATTGTGAATCAGATTTTCTAATTTTTTTCATGTATAAGATAATTATTAGTGTTGGCACATGTAATTTAAAATTTGTACCTTTTGAACTCTAATTGAATTTATTTTTAGTTGATTCTCTTTCAATATATGAACAAGTTCTTTCATTATATGAAGAAGGTCATTATATTAAGGATCATTTACTCCATTGTTTTTATATATGTACCTCTCTGTTTTCTTATCTAATTGCATTGGCCAACAACACTAAAAACAGGGATGATACAGGCACACTCTTTTTTTTTTCCTGACTTAATAGGAATGCTTTCAGAATCATTTTTGTTAGTGTGAAATTCTCACCTAAATTTTAATACATTTTCTTATATCAATTTTGGTATGACTTCTGGTGATAATATGCTTTTCCAAAATTATTGATTTTAAATGCTTACTCTGTTATGTGGCACTCAATTTTATGATTCTAAGTCATGCAACCTTGAACCTTTTCAGATTGATAACCTGTTGATTAAACTTGTAGTAATCTCTATAATCTCTCTCTCTTAAAAGTTTATAATTCTAAAAAGAAATACAATCCTAAAATACTTTGCAAGATATGTGAAAATAACAACAACAACAAAAACAAGAAGATAGAAAAACAACCATGGCAATGAATGTATAGGAAGTATAAAATCATGTGCTGTTATTCACAGACATGAACACCATGGCTGGTTGAGGAATGATTGGCATTTTATACACTTGTGAAGTATTAAGCTGTAAAAAATAAAACTGGCATTTCTAGAGATCTTAACTTCACTTTAAATTCTGGAAGAATTTTCACAAATTCACAGATATTCTGGCTATTAATATTATCATTAATCAAATGACAAGTCTCACATGTGCTAAAACCAGAAGTTATTTCAGATTCAACATTGGTTTTCCAAGACACAGCTATATATAAACATGGTAACTAGTTTTGCAAAGGTAATATTGGAAACTAAATATCAACAAGTATAATTTCCTTCTAATAGATAGAAATATTTGGCTTTGGGGCCTGTAGTGTAAACCCAGAAACACTGTAGTATGAGAGACAGATATTTGTTTTGCTTTTTAGGATTTTTTCATTCTTTCATTGTACTGACTTACTCAAGAGTAAATTTGTGTTCAAGAATTCAGCATATACTTCCTTGAGCATAAGTGAAGTTTAGCTTTACTCAAAAAATAAAATCTGAAAAATAAATATTCTTACCTACAATGGAGATAATCACAACCACAAAATCAAAAATATTCCATCCTACAGTGAAGTAGTAGTGTCTGAGGGAGATCAGTTTTAGCACACATTCTCCAGTGAAAAGGATTATAAAAACCACATTTATCCAATATAAAACTTCAGTCATATGTTGACTTTGACCCTCCTTTTCTACCATCATGGTTACCATGTTGAGACAGATAAGAACCATGATACTAATATCAAAGGCTTGATTTGTCACTAGGTCAAATATACATCCTTGGATTTTGTTCTGCAAAGAAATAAGAATAATATCGAATGCAGAGTAAACTTTTCAAGTATTATCCAGAAATTAAAGATGTGCATTAAAAATGAATTAGAAATAATTTGAAAATCTATATGCTAAAGATATATATATTTTTTTACCCCTGGTCGAGGAATTGGCTTTTGTGGCTTCTTGGACCCCAGCTTTTTCATTGCATTATAGTATTTCTTCTGTTCTTCTGTCATAAAGATGTCTTGACCTCCAAGGTAAAGAAACAAACAAAAAATAAATGTAGTTAAAACCAGAATCATTGTCTACATCTTTCTATAGATTACTAAAATAGGTTAAAATGTGTTAATATAGAAATAAAATGTATTTTATTATGTTCATGATAGCTATACATAAAATATATCTTAAATAATTACATATGTGTAGAAACATGGGTCTCCAAACACAGTTAAATGTGCATATATAAATATTTGTATTACATATAATAAGGATTGGCTCAATATTCTTTTGGTGTGCTAATCAGTGTTGTTTTAAACTATGTACTTTTATCTTTTTTATCTGCTAGCTGTCTTACTGTGACTTTTATTGCTAAGAAAATTTGTAAGAATTAAAAGTAATGAATATCTTCTTTGATGATTTGGCAAATATTTAGAACTTTTATAAAGAATAGGGAGCCAAATCATGAGTGAACTCCCATTCACAATTACTACAAAGAGAATAAAATACCTAGGAATCCAACTTACAAGGGATGTGAAGGACCTCTTCAAGGAGAACTACAAACCACTGCTCAGCGAAATAAAAGAGGACACAAACAAATGGAAGAATATTCCATGCTCATGGATAGGAAGACTCAATATCATGAAAATGGCATTACTGCCCAAGGTAATTTATAAATTCAATGCTATCCCCATCAAGCTACCACTGACTTTCTTCACAAAATTGGAAAAAAACTACTTTAAAGTTCATATGGAACCAAAAAAGAGCCTGCATAGCCAAGATAATCCTAAGCAAAAAGAACAAAGCTGGAGGCGTCACACTACCTGACTTCAAACTATACTACAAGGCTACAGTAACCAAAACAGCATGGTACTGGTACCAAAACAGATACATACACCAACAGAACAGAACAGAGGCCTCAGAAATAACACTACACATCTACAACCATCTGATCCTTGACAAACCTCACAAAAACAAGCAACGGGGAAAGGCTTCCCTATTTAATAAATGATGCTGGGAAAACTGGCTAGCCATATGTAGAAAGTTGAAACTGGATCCCTTCCTTACACCTTGTACAAAAATTAACTCAAGATGGATTAAAGACTTAAATGTAAGACCTAAAACCATAAAAACCCTAGAAGAAACTCTAGGCAATATCATTCAGGACATAGGCATGGGCAAAGACTTCATGACTAAAACACCAAAAGCAATGGCAACAAAAGCCAAAACAGACAAATGGGATCTAATTAAACTAAAGAGCTTCTGCAAAGCAAAAGAAACTATCATCAGAGTGAACAGGCAACCTACAGAATGGGAGAAAATTTTTGCAATTTATCCATCTGACAAAAGGGCTAATATCCAGAATCTACAAAGAACTTAAACAAATTTACAAGAAAAAAACAAACAACTCCATCAAAAAGTGGGCAAAGGATATGAACAGGTACTTCTCAAAAGAAGACATTTATGCAGCCAACAGACATATGAAAAAATGCTCATCATCACTGGTCATCAGAGAAACACAAATCAAAACCACAATGAGATACCACCTCATGCCAATTAGAATGGCAATCACTAAAAAGTCAGGAAACAACAGATGTTGGAGAGGATGTGGAGAAATAGCAACGCTTTTACACTGTTGGTGAGAGTGTAAAATAGTTCAACCATTGTGGAAGACAGTGTGATGATTCCTCAAGAATCTAAAACTAGAAATACCATTTGACCCAGCAATCTCATTACTGGGTATATACTCAAGGGATTGTAAATCATGCTACTATAAAGACACATGCATATGTATATTTATTGCAGCACTATTCACAATAGCAAAGACTTGGAACCAACCCAAATGTCCATCAATAATAGACTGGATAAAGAAAATGTGGCATATATACACCATGGAATACTATGCAGCCATAAAAAAGGATGAGTTCATGTCCTTTGTAGGGACATGCATGAAGCTGGAAACCATCATTCTCAGCAAAATATCACAAGGACGGAAAACCAAACTCTGCATGTTCTCACTCATAAGTGGGAGTTGAACAATGAGAACACATGGACACAGGGAGGGGAACATCACACACCAGGGGCAGTTAGGGGGTTGGGAGCTTTGGGAGGGATTACTTAGGAGAAATACCTAATGTAAATGATGAGTTGATTGGTGCAGCAAACCAACATGGTACATGTATACCTATGTAACAAACCTGCATGTTTTGCACATGTACCCTAGAACTTAAAGTATAATAATAAAAAAAGAATAGGGGCTACATACAATAACCAAAATTGTATTAATTTTATATTCATTTTAATATACCATTATTCCTTTACATAAAAAATGAATATAAACTAAAATGATAATATACATTTCTATATCTCTATTTCAAGAAACTCTTTGACTACCTTTTTAATTCTAAATAAAGGATTTCAACATAAACACTTTATTGGATGTCAACATTATCCTTGATAGATTTCTAGGTACTGAGGAAGTTATCAATTATCATACCCAAACTGAAGGACTTTCCAATTGATTACATAAAAGAAAATATAACTTTTAAAATTCAACAGTAAATAACATAACATCTAAATGAGGTTTTTGACTGGAAAAGCCTAAATCTTACAAAGGGGGGCTAGAAGCTTCAGTTGCTCCCTTTGTTCTCTGCTAATTTCTTAAGTTAGCTGTAAGTTTTACAGATTTATGTATATTCTACATTAGTCTATAATTTCACCTTTTTAAGTCACAGCATAAATTAGTATAATCCATATAATTAAGAATTTATTTTCAAGGATTTATAGTTCTGAGATCATTACTTAACTTGTAGGGTGCTGGAATTAAAGATGACCTGGTTATGGTTTCCCTTTATTCTCTTGGATTTGGTAATATTCAGCTTCCTCTTATTTACTTATTTTTTTAATTGTTTGCTATTGAATGGGAAGCTTCCCATTATATTGAATTTTCTTATTCATCAAACACCTAATGGTAACCAGACTTCCCTTTCTGCCTTAGAGTGTTTTTGTTGTTGTTGTTGTTGTTGTTGTTGTTTTTGATGGAGTCTTGCTCTGAGGCACAGGCTGGAGTGCAGTGCCACCATCTTGGCTCACTGCAACCTCCACCTCCTGGGTTCAAGTAATTCTCATGTCTCAGCCTCCCAAGTAGCTGGGATTACAGGTGCATGCCACCACATCAGGCTAATTTTTGTATTTTTAGTAGAGACAGGGTTTCACCATGTTGGCTGGTCTGGTTTTGAACTCCTGGCCTCAAGTGATCTGCCAGCCTTGGCCTCCCAAAGTGCTGGGATTACAGGCGTGAGCCACCATATCCGGCCACCTTAGAGTGTTTTAATTCAGCTTTCCTCTATTTAATATGCAGTCTTTATGTAATTTTCATATTCATCTCACCTACTGGCAAGGCATGAGAGAGACAGACTTCATGTCAATGTCAAGAGAAACCCAGATCCTTTACTGTTCATTAATGGGGACTGAAAATTACAGCATGCCAAGAACTTGACAGAAGAAGCTGGAGAAAAACTGAGGAGAAAACTCCAACTTTGAAGAGAAAATCAAAGTAATAGATTTTGTTTTCCCCTAATGATATCCTGGTTGTCAATATGATGAAGAATGGGATAAAACTAATAGGAGATTATGAATTAATTCAATAGAGAAACTTGCGTGGGTGTTTTGTTTTCCTATAGCTTATTTAGGCCTTGTGCAAAATGTATCCCTTTAAAACCTAGGTGGAAGGAATTCTGTAAGTCAGGCTAGTTTTTTTCTGTGTTACAATCTACATTGAGGCTGTATTACATAGTAATAAAGACTTCTTCACTTCTGGTGTCAGATCATCTTTGTTCAAGTCCTTTCTTTTGTCCTTGGGTAAGTTTCTTAATTCTTTAAGTAAAACCACCTCATCATTATAAGAGTAGTCACTGCATTTGTGTTTGCTGAGAAGATAAATTGAGGTAATGCATGAAGAATACTTAGCATAATATCTGGCACATGGTAAGTCTTCATTAAATTTTAGTTACTATTACTGTTGGTGCTATTAAACTTCCTGATAAGATGAGAGTTAATGAAATGAGGTTATTGTTAACATTTACTCCATAGTTGCTCAAATTTGTAATTATATATTTGTATATCATGTAATCTTCCTTTTTATAACTTGAACTCATTAATGACTTTTGTTCTAATAGTAGTATGTTTTATGATTATTAAAAACTAATTTCACATGAAATCATTAGAGGTGAAAAAAGTACTTATGAGGATGATGAATAGTTGGAAAAACTAGTAAAATAGGGTTGGTTATTAGAAAGAGGCATGGGTAGTTGATAGAGCCATAAGCTTTGATCAAATTATTGAAGTTAAAAAGCAGTAAGTGGCAACATTGCATTGTGGAAAAGATATGGGTTTTCAAATCAAACAGGCATTTCAATCATAACTGTGCTGGTATCCTGTTACTTGGTTTGAAACAATTTATCCATCCTTTCTAGGGGCTAATTTATTCATTTTCATCAAGATACCACTTTCAAGGGAGGGAGAGGAGTGGAGCACATCAAATGTCCTTGCCATTCAGTGTGCTGCACTAGGGTCCAGTTTCACTCTTGCCTCATATGGAGCACTGAAAGAACCAGTATGATTAGAACAATTGATACAGCTACAAACATAGGAAAAGGGGACGGTAGATTAGCTGTTTGAGAGACTCTCAGTATCTCTAGCCAGGCTGACTGGCAAAGGTCTTGCCCTGTCAAAGTCAGTCCATAAATCTTGGTGGCTGTTTTGTGTCCTTTGTGACATTGTGTCGGATGGCTGACAGGTGGCTATTCTTCCAATGCACAGACACCAATGCAAAGCACAAGGAACACAAAGAATTAGGGAAACAACAAAAAGGGATAAAAGAAATCCGCAGTTACTGACCCTAAAGAAATAGAGATTTATAAATTGCCTAAAAAAGAATTCAAAATAATTATCCTAATGAAGTTTAGCAAAGTACCAGAGAACAGAGATAGACAACTAAACAAAATCAGGAAGATGATACATGAACACAATGAGGATATCAATGAAGGGAAAGAAACTATACACACACACACAAAAAGTCAAATATCAGTAAAAACTCTGGAATTGAAGAATACAATAATTGAACTAAAAAACTCCCTAGAGGATTCAATAGCAGACTTGATCAAACTGGAGAAAGAATCAACAAACCAAGAAAAAAACAACCCCATCAAAAACTGGGTAAAGGATATGAACAGACACTTCTCAAAAGAAGACATTTATGCAGCCAAAAAACACATGAAAAAATGCTCATCATCACTGGCCATCAGAGAAATGCAAATCAAAACCGCAATGAGATACCATCTCATACCAGTTAGAATGGTGATCATTAAAAAGTCAGGAAACAACAGGTGCTGGAGAGGATGTGGAGAAATAGGAACACTTTTACACTGTTGGTGGGACTGTAAACTAGTTCAACCACTGTGGAAGTCCGTGTGGCGATTCCTCAAGGATCTAGAACTAGAAATACCATTTGACCCAGCCATCCCATGACTGGGTATATACCCAAAGGATTATAAATCATGCTGCTATAAAGACGCATGCACACGTATGTTTATTGCGGCACTATTCACAATAGCAAAGACTTGGAACCAAGCCAAATGTCCAACAATGATAGACTGGATTAAGAAAATATGGCACATATACACCATGGAATACTATGCAGCCATAAAAAAGGATGAGCTCAAGTCCTTTGCAGGGACATGCATGAAGCTGGAAACCATCATTCTCAGCAAACTATCGCAAGGAAAAAAACCAAACACTGCACTTTCTCACTCATAGGTGGGAATTGAACAATGAGAACACATGGACACAGGAAGGGGACCATCACACACCAGGGCCTGTTGTGGGGTGGGGGGAGGAGGGGGATATACCTAACATTAGGAGATATACCTAATGTTAAATGATGAGTTAATGGGTGTAGCACACCAACATGGCACATGTATACATATGTAACTAACCTGCACGTTGTGCACATGTACCCTAAAACTTAAAGTATAATAAAAAATAAAAATAAAAAAATAAAAAATAAAATTAAAAAACCCTCAAAAGATGGACACCAAAAAAAAAAAAAAAGGTAGATCATTTAAAATTATCCAGTCAGTGGAGCAAGAAGAAATAAAAAAAAAAATGAGTGAAGGTTCATGGGACATCATTAAGTGGAACAATATATGCATTATGAAATCACAGAGAAGACAGAAAGGGGTGTAAAAATATTTTTTAAATGACTAAAATATGTTCAAATTTGGGGAGAGATATGAACATCTAAATTCAGGAAACTCAAAGAATCCCAAATAGGACAAATCTAAAGAAGTCTCGGCTGGGCATGGTGGCTCACACCTGTAATCCCAGCACTTTGAGGGGCTGAGCGGGAGTGGATCACCTGAGGTCAGGAGTTCAAGACCAGCCTGGCCAACATGGCAAAACCACATCTCTACCAAAAATTACAAAAATCAGCTGGGTGTGGTGGTGGGTGCCTATAATCCCAGCTACTCGGGAGGCTGAGGCAGAGAGAATTGCTTGAACCCACGAGGTGGAAGTTGCAGTGAGCCAAGATCATGCTACTGCACTCCAGCCTGGGCAACACGGTGAAACTCTATCTCGGAAAAAAAAGAAAGAAAGTCTCCACTAGAGACATAATATCATCAAATTGCCAAAAGTGAAAGGGAAGTTTGAAAGCAGCAAGAAAAAAACTGAATTGTCATGTCCAAAAGAGCTCTCTTAAGATGAACAGCAGATTTCTCAGTGGAAACTTTAAAAGAGCAAATAAAGTGAAAGTATATATTCAAAATACTTAAAGAAAAAAACTGCTGACCAAGAATAATATACCTGGAAAAACTGTCCTTTAAAATTAAGGAAGGATAAAAACTTTCTCATACAAGCAAATGCTGAGGGAGTTCATCACCACTAGATTTATCTTATAGGAAATGCTAAAGTGAGTTCTTCAAGTTGAAACGAAAGCATGGTAAAGAGCAACACAAGAGCATATGAAAGCACAAATCTCACTAGTAAAGGTAAATACATGGACAAATAGAGAATACTGTAATACTCTAATAGTATTATATAAATCATTTATAATTCTAATATAAAAGTTAAATGTCAAAATAATTAAGAATAACTAAAATTACAAAAATGTGTTTGTAGAAACACATTATAAAAAGATGTAAATTGTGACATAACAAAAAGTGTGAGGGAGGTATTAAAAGTGAAGATTTTTGATATATGATTGAAGTTAAGTTGTTATCAGCTTAAAGTAGACTATTATAAGATATTTGTGATTGCCTCATGATAACCACAAGGAAAATCCACGTAAAAATACAGAAATAAAAAAGAGAAATCATAGCATATCACAATAAAATATCATCCAATCACAAAAGAAGACAGTTAAGAGAGAAAAAGACAGAAAAAAAGAATTACAAAACAGAAAAATTTAACAAAAAGGCAATAGTAAGTCATTACCTACCAATGATTATTTCAAATACAAATGGATTAAACTTCCCAATCAAAAGACCTACAATGGCTGCATAGATTTATGAAAACAAGATCCAGTTATATGCTGTCTCCAGATACTCGTTTCAGATTTAAGAAAACATAGTTTGAAAGTTAATTGATAAAAAAGATACATTTTGTAGAAATGGTAACCAAAAGAGAGCAATGGGGCTATACAGTCGTCCTTCAGTATCTACAGGGTCATGGTTTCAGAACCCCAAGGGATACCAAAATTGAGGATGCTTAAGTCCCACAGTCAGTCTTGCAGGACCTGTGGATAAAAAAATTTGACCCTCTGTATCTGTGGATTTCACATTCCATGAATACAGTGTTTTCAATCAGCATTGGCTGAATCTACAGATGTAAAACCCACAGACACAGAGGACACCCTGTAATTATATCAGCCAAAATAGATTTTAAATAAAAAACTGTCACAAGAGACAAAGTAGGTCATAAAATAAGATAAAAGAGTTAATTCATCAAGAAGATATAACAATTATAAATATATGTGAATCCATCATCAAAGCATGTAAATACGTAAAGCAATCATTGACAGATCTGAAGGGATAAACATGCAGCAACACCATAACAGTAGGATACATCAATACCCGACTTGCAATAATGAACAGAACAGCCAGATATGGAATCTATAAACAAACTGTGGATTTGAACAACGCTATAGACCAAATGGATCACAAACACACAGAATATGCTACCCAACAGCATCTTAATATACCATCTTTTCAAGTGCGCACAGAATATTCTCAGGATAGATCACATATCAGGTCATGAAGTTTGTTTTGACAACTGTTAAGAAGTTGAAATCATACCAGATATCTTTTATGACCACAATGGAAGGAAACTGGAAGTCAGTAATAGAAGGAAAACTGAAAAATTCACAAATATGTGGAAATTAAACAACACTCTCTTGAAAAAGCAATGGGTCAAAGAAAAAAAATCAATAGGAAAATTTAAAAGTATCTTGAAACAAACAAAAATGAAAGCACAATTTCCAAAATTTATGAGATGCAGCAAAAGCAGTAATAAAAGCAAATCTTATTGAGATACATGTCTACATTATAAAAAGAAATATCTCATATAAACAATATAGATTTACATGTCTAGGAACTAGAAAAAGAACAAACTAAGCCCAACATCAGCAAAAGGAAGGAAATAATAAGTATTAGAGCTAAGTAAGTGAAATAGAGAATAAAAAAGCAATAGAAAAAGTCAACAAAACTAAGAATTGGTTTTTTCGAAAGATAAAATAGACAAATCCTTAGCAAGCATAACTAAGAAAAAAGATAGAGGACTCAAATATGTAAAACCAGAAATGAAAGAGGAGAATTTACAACTGATTTTATGGGAATAAGAAGGATCAAAGAGACTACCATGAACAATTATACACCAACAAATTGGATAACTTAGAAGGAATAGGTAAATTCCAAAAATATACAACCTACCAAGACTGAATCATGAGGAAATAGAATAACTGAATAGACAAATTGAACCAATAATAATAATAATAATAATAATAATAATAATAATGATAATGATAGTAACTCCCAAAAAAGAAATGTACAGGACCAGACGGCTTCTCTGGAGAAGTCCAACCAAACATTTAAAGAAGAAACAACATTAATTCTTCTCAAACTCTCTTAAAACTTTGAAGAGGAAAGAACACTTCGAAAGTCATTTTATGGGGCCAGAATTATTCTCATATCAAAGCCAGACAAAGACACTGTAAGAAAAGAAAATTACAGCTTTTGAAGGAAGTGACTTCAGCAACATTGTGGAATAGGAGGTTTATGACTATTTTTTCTCTCATGGACGTACCAAGTAAACATCTACATACACATGGATCAGTTCTCTCCAGAGAAACCCAGAATCCAGTAGAAAAACTCATGCACACCAGAGGACAGAAAATACCCATATCAAAATGGGTAGAAAAAGTGGAAAGACACTCATGCACTAACCCCACCCTGAGCACAGTGCCTTACATTTGGGAAGAAAACCAAATTTGCAGCTACTTCCCAAGGGTTGAGAAACTATAGCACACATATAGAACCCAACTTTTTTTTAATTTAAGGAAATGTATTTATTTCTAGAAAATGCTTTTTCTAGAGTGTAAAGAGAGAAGAGATGAACTATATTATAAAATCATCTTCATAATTGCCTTGGTTTTCCATTTTGTAGAACCCAACTTTTATAGGCCCTGACACAGAGCTTGGCTTTTAGATCACCATGCTTGAGGAATGGCAGAGATAAGCCATTGGAGTTTTCTCTCAAGTACAAAAAACGATGGGGGGTTTTGAACTGCCTGAGCACTCTCAGAAGCTTTAATTCCTGGGATCAGACCATCTTCCAACTTCCCCATGGAAACCATTAGGCTACACGTTTTCCAGCCGCTCCCTGTGGTTCTGGCCTCTTCCAGTACTTGGAAATCTACATAGCAAATGAAGAATAAACCTTCTTCAGCCTAAACAAGAGGAATAACATTCCCCACGCCTTCTTCCCTGGCTTCCTCCAGAGACAATCCCAACTCTACAATCTTTCTTTTTTTTTTTTTTTTTTTTTGAGATGGAGTCTCGCTGTCTCGCTCTGTCGCCCAGGCTGGAGTGCAGTGGCGCAATCTCGGCTCACTGCAAGCTCCGCCTCCCGGGTTCATGCCATTCTCCTGCCTCAGCCTCCCGAGTAGCTGGGACTACAGGCGCCCGCTACCACGCCCGGCTAATTTTTTGTATTTTTAGTAGAGACGGGGTTTCACCGTGTTAGCCAGGATGGTCTCGATCTCCTGACCTCGTGATCCGCCCGCCTCGGCCTCCCAAAGTGCTGGGATTACAGGCGTGAGCCACCGCGCCCGGCCACAATCTTTCTTTTAAAAGATGTGGAAGGTCTCTACCACCAAGAACAGGAAGGTGGCTTCTTCCCTGGCTTGCTCCTGACATAATTTATGCAGTTTCTTATTAGAGGAAGGCTTGAACTACACTTTAATCCAATAGATCTAACAGATATTTATAGAACAGTTCATCCAACAGCAACAAAATACATATTCTTCTCAAATCACATGAAACACTCTCCAGGATAGATCACATGTTAGGCCACCAAACAAGTTTTAACAAATTTAAGAAGATTAAAATCATATCGAGTATGTTTTCTGTTCATGATGACATGAAACTAGAAGTCAATAAGAATAACCTTGAACAACTCATAATTACGTGGAAATTAAACAACATGCTCCTGAACAGGCAATGGGTCAAAGAAGAAATTATACGGAAAAACAGAAAATATTTTGGGATCAATGACAATGGAAACACAAGATAACAAATAGTATGGAATGTAGAAAAAGAAGCCCTGAGAGAAAAATTTATAGTAATAAATGCCTACATTAAAGAAAGAAGGAAAATCTCAAATAAACAACCTAATATTACATCTTAGAGATTAGAAAAAGAAGAACAGAATATCCCCAAACTTTGCAGAAGGAAGAAAATAACAAAGATAATGATAGAAATAAACAAAGCAAATACTAAAAAGTTGTTTTTTTGAAAAGATAAAATCGAAAAACCTTTAACTAGACTAACCAAGGGAAAAAAGACAACTCAAACAATATCTGAAATGAAAGAAGGGAGACTAACACTGATAACACATAAATACAAGGAATCATAAACTATTAATGTGAACAACCATACACCATCAAATTGAATAACCTAGAAGGAATGAACTAATCTTTAGAAACATGCAACCTACCAAGACTAAATCAAGAAATATTACATCTGAACAAACCAATACTGGATAAAGAAAATAGATCAGTAATAAATTAAGTCTCCTAACCAAAAAAAAAAAAAAGGAAAAGGTCACTGGTGAATTCTATTTAAAGAAGTAATATGAATTCTTCTCAAATTCTTCCAAAAAATTGAAAAGGAGGTCAAATTCATTTTATGAGGCCAGTATTATACTGATATGAAAACCCTAAGAGTATGCTACCAGAAAAGAAAACTGCAGGCCAATATTCTTGATGAACATAGATCCAAAAATTCACAACAATATATTAGCAAACTGAATTCCCTAGCACATTTAAAACATCATTCACCATGATTACTTGGGATTTATCTGAGGGATGCAAAAATGGTTAAACATACATAAATCAATAAATGTGATATGCTACATTAACAAAATAAGAACAAAAATCATATGATCATCTTACTAGATGCAGACAAAGCATTTGATAAAATCCAGCATATGTTCATAATAAAATCTCAACAAAGCAGATATGGAAGGAATGTACCTTAACAAAATAAAGCCATATATGACAAGCCCACGGCTAACATTATGCAAAAACTGAAAAGTTGGGAGCTTTTCTTCTAAGATCAGGAACAAGACAAGGATATCGACTATTACCACTTCTTTTTGACATAGTACTAGAAATCCCATCCATAGCAATTAGGCAGGAAAAAGAAATAAAATACATCCATGTAAGAAAGCAAGAAATAAAATTATCTCTGTTTGCTAATGACATGATCTTTATATGTAGAAAACCCTGAACACTCTACTGAGAACTGTTAAAACTGATACATAAATTCAGTAAAGTTGCAGTTTGCAAAATCAACATAGAAAAATCAGTAGCATTTCTATACATTAACAATGAGGTATCCAACAAAGAAATTAAGAAATTAATCCTATTTAAAACAGCATCAAAATAAATAAATAAAATACTTTGAAGTAAATTTAACCAGGAAAGTTGAAGATCTGTACACTGAAAACTATAAGTTGATTTAAAAAAACTGAGGAAGACACAAATAAATTGTAATATATTTCATGTTCATGTGTTGGAAGAATTAATATTGTTAAAATGTCCATACTACCCAAAATAATCTACAGATTCAATGCAATCCCTATCAAAATTCTAATGTCAGTTTTCACAGAAATAGTAAAAAATCCTAACATTTGAATAAAATAAAAAAGATGCTAAATGGCCAAAGCAATCTGAGCAAAAAGAACAAAGCTAGAGGTGCAATACTCTGTCATTTCAAAATATAAAGCTATGCTATTGGCATAAACACAGATATATTGGCTAATGGAAAAGGATAAAAAGCCCAGAAATAAACCCAATTATTTATAGTCAATTGATTTTCAGCAAAGGTGCAAAGAATAAACAATGGGGGAAAGGACGATCTCTTCAATAAATGGTGTTGGGAAAACTGAATATTCCTTATGCAAAAGAATGAAATTGGGCCCTTTCTCATACCATATGTTTATAAAACCAAACAAGTAAAAGACTTAAATATAAGAAATGAAACTATAAAGCTACTAGAAGAAAACATAAAAGAAAAGCTGTATGACATTTATCTGGGCAAGGATTTCTTGGCTAGGACTCTAAAAGCACAGGTAACAAAAGACAATAAGAGACAAGTTGGATTAGATCAAACTAAAAATGTTCTTTACAGCAAACGAAGCAATAACAGAGTGGAGAGAGAGATCATGGATTGAAATAAAATATCTGCAAACCATACATCTGATAAAGGGCTAATATCCAACATTATACATAAAAAGCTCAAGCAACTCAACACCTAGAAAATCAATAAACCAATTGTAGAATGGGCAAATAATCTGAACAGACATTTCTCAAAAGAAGAGATATGAATGGCCAATAGATATATTAAAAAATGCTCAACATCTCTAATCATCAGAAAAATGCAAATTAAAATCCCAATGAAATATTACCTCACACCTCCTAGAATGGCTGTTATCAAAAAGATGAATGATAACAAGTGTTGATGAGGATGTGGAGAAATAGGAACCCTTATACATTGTTAGTGAAAATGTAAATTAGTACAGCTGTTTGAGAAAAATAGCATGGAAGTTCCCAAAACAAATACAATTACCATATAATTCAGCAATTCCACTTCTAGGTATATAGTGGTATATATTTAATTCCTTTAGAGGAATTAAAATCGTTCTGTCAAAGGTATACCTGCACTCCCATGTTCATTTCAGCATTATTTACAAGAACCAAGACATATTAGGTTGGTGCAAATGTAATTGCAGTTTTTACCATTACTTTTGCTGCAATTAAAAGTAATGGCCAAAACCGCAATTACTTTTGCACTAACCCATACATGCAACCTGTACCCATCAACAGGTGAATGAATAAAGAAAATGTGATAGGTATGCACAGTGCACTACTATACAAAACTTTAAAAGAACAAATTTTGTCATTCATCCCAACATGAATGAAACTAAAGGACGTTATGCTAAGCAAAATTAGCCAGGTACAGAAAGACAAATACCACATGATCTCACTTACATGTAAAATGGGGTGGGGGGAGGGGGGAGGGATAGCATTAGGAGATATACCTAATGTAAATGACGAGTTAATGGGTGCCGCACACCAACATGGCACATGTATACATATGTAACAAACCTGCACGTTGTGCACATGTACCCTAGAACTTAAAGTAAAATAAAAAAATAAATAAATAAAAAATAAAAAAGTGAGAAGTCAACATTACAGAAACAGCATATAAAGGTGGTTGCCATAGGACTGGGGGAAGACGATGTGGAGAAAGTATAAATCTTGATCAAAGGATGTACATTTTTCATTTAGAGTAGAGGAATAAATCTTAAGATGGATTAAAGACTTAAATGTAAAATCTAAAACTATAAAAACCCTGGAAGACAGCCTAGGCAATACCATTCAGGACATAGGCATGGGCAAAGATTTCATGATGAAGACACCAAAAGCAACTGCAACAAAAACAAAAATTAACAAATGGGATCTAATTAAACTAAAGAGCTTCTGCACAGCAAAAGAAACTATCAACAGAGTAAGCAGACAGTCTACAGAATGGGAGAAAATTTTTGCAGACTATGCATCTGACAAAGGTCTAATATCCAGAATCTATAAGGAACTTAAATGAGTTTACAAGAAATAAACAACCCCATTAAAAAGTGGGCAAAGGATATGAACAGACACTTCTGAAAAGAAGACACACATGCAACAAACAAGCATATGAAAAAAAGCTCAATGTCACTGACCATTAGAGAAATGCAAATCAAAACCACAATGAGATACCATCTCACACCAGTCAGAATGGCTATTATGAAAAAGTCAAAAAATAACAGATGCTGGCGAGGGTGTGGAGAAAAAAAGAATGCCTACACACTGTTGATGGGAGTGTAAATTAATTCAACCATAATGGAAGACTGTGTGGCAATTCCTCAAAGACCTAAAGACAGAAATGCCATTCAACCCAGCAATCCCATTACTGGGTATATACCTAAAGGGAAATACATTTTTCTATTATAAAGACACATGCACACATATGTTTATTGGAGCACTATTCACAATGGCAAAGACATAGAATCAACTCAAATGACCATCAGTGATAGACTGGATAAAGATAATGTGGTAAATATATACCATATAATACTATGCAGCCATTCAAAAAAAAACGAGATCATATCCTTTGCAGGGACATGAATGGAGCTGGAGGCCATTTTCATTAGTAAACTAAGGCAGGAACAGAAAACCAAATACCACATGTTCTCACTTATAAGTGGGAGCTAAATGATGAGAACACATGGACACATAAAGGGTAACAACACACACTGGGGCCTATGGGAGGGTGAAGGGTGGGAGGAAGGAGAGGGTCAGGAAAAATAACCAATGCATACTGGGATTAATACCTCAGGGATGAAATAATCTGTACAACAAACCCCTATGACATGTTTACCTATGTAACAAGACTGCACATCCTGTACATGTACCCCTGAACTTAAAATAAAAGTCAAAAAAGTCACACAATAGGAAATGAAAAAAATAAATGTATATTTCAAAATTGCTAAAAGAATAGCTTTTTAACTTTCTTACCACAAAAAAATGATAAGTGGGTGAAGTGATGGTTATGTTAATTAGCGTGACTGAAAATTTCTACAATGTTTATGTAGATCAAAACATTGTTTTGTACCCCATAAATAAGCACAATTTTTGTCAATTAAAAATGAACAAATATTTAAACAGAAAAAAACATACTACAGAACAAGATCCCTGATGAACATAGATGCAAATAACTTCATCAAAATATTAGCAAACTGAATGCAACAGCCCATTAAATGATCATGTACTACGACCAAGTGGGAGTTGTCCCTAGGATGCAAGGATGGTTCAACATATGCAGACCAATAATGTGATACACCACATGATCTGAGAAGGATAAAAATCACATGATCATCAGAAGAGATTCAGAAGAAGCATTTGACAAATTTCAACAACCTTTCATGGTAAAAACTAAAAAAAGAAAACAAAAGCTAGGTATAGAAGTTGCTATAACTTGAAGGTTTGTCCCCTCCAAAGCTCATGTTGCAATTTAATTGCAATTGTGACAGAATTGGGAGGTGAGACCTTTAAGAGGTGTTTAAGTTATGAGAATTTTACCCTTTTAAATGCATTAATGCTGTTATCTCAGGATTGAGTTCATTATAAACAGGCAGGTTCTGCCTCCTTTTCTCACTTATTCTCTCTTTGTGCCATGTGTATCATAACATGATACCTTACAGCATGTTATGACACAACAAATAAGACCTCACCAGACAGCCCCTCAGTCATGAACTTTCCATCCTCCAGTACTGTGATCCCATAAGGTTTATGTTCATTATAAATTACCCAGTCTGTGGTATTCTGTTATAGTAGCACAAATGGATGAGAACAGAGGAAATATACTTCATGATAACAAAGACTACTTGAAAATCCCACAGCTAACATCGTATTCAATGGTGAAAAACTGAAAAACTTTCCTGTAAGATCAGGAATAAGACAAATATGGCTACTCTTGCCACTTGTATTTAACACAGCACTAGAAGTCCTAGCCAGAGAAATTAGGCAAGAAAAACAAGTAAAAGACATCCCAATCTGAAAGAAAAAAGTGTTTACAGATGACATTATTTTATATGGAGAGTACCCTAAAGACTCCACACATCAGGAAAATCTGTTAGAACTAATAAACAAATTTACTAGATGTTGAAGGATATAAAATCAACATACAAAAATCACCTGCGTTTCTATACACTAACAATAAACAATCTGAAGAGAAAATTAGGAAAGAAATCCCATTTATGATAACATCAAAAGAAATAAAATACTTAGGATATGCTTAACCAAGGCATTGAAAATGTATGCACTGAAAACTACAAAATGTTCATGAAGGAAATTAAAGAAGACACAAATAAATGGAAAGACCCAGTATTCACGAATTAAATGACTTAATATTGTTAAAATGCCCATACTACCCTAAGTGATCTGTGAATTCAATACAGTACATATCAAAATCCCAATAGCATTATTTACTAAAATAAAAAAAGATCCTAAAATTCATATGGAACCACAAAAGACTCTGAATAGCCAAAGCAATCTTAAGAAAAAAGAACAAAATGGAAGAATCACATTTTCTCATTTCTTATTTATTTATTTATTGAGAGAGAAGATCTCACCCTGTTGCCCAGGCCAGAGTGCAGTGGCATGATCATAGCTCACTGCAGCCTCATACTCTTGGGCTTCAGTGATCCTCCCACCTCAGGCTCCTAAGTAGCTAGGACTATAGGTGTGTGCCATCATGCTTGGCTACTTTTCAAATATCTTCGTAAAGAAGGAGTCTATCTTGCCCAGGCTGGTCTCAAACTCTTGGCCACAAGTGATCCTCCAGCCTTAGCCTCCCGAGTTGCTGGGATTATAAGCATGAGCCATTGCACCCAGTCCCCACAGGTCCTCATTTCAAAATGTATAACAAAGCTACAACAATTAAAATAGTATGGTCCTGGCATAAAACAAATATATAGGCCAATGAAACAGGATAGAGAGCCCAGAAATAAACCCATGCATAAATAGTTAACTCATATTCAACAGGGGTGCCAAGAATACACAATAGAAAAGAGGCCACTCAACAAATAATGTTGGGAAAACTGGATATTCACATATAAAAAAATAAAATTGAATTCTTATATTATACCATACACAAAAATAAACTCAAAATAGATTAAACATTTAAACCTAAGACCTGAAAACTGTAAAACTTGTAGAAGAAAACATAGCAGGAAAGCTTCATGATACTGTTCTTGACAATGATTTCTTGGCAATGACTCCAAAATTCAAACAAGAGCAAAAATAGACAATTGAGACCATATCAAACTAAAAAGCTTTGGGAAAAAAAGGAAGCATTCAAGAGGGTGAAAAAGCAACCTATAGAATGGGAGAAAATATTTCCAACTATATATCTAATAAATGGTTAATATCCAAAATATATAGGGAACTCCTGCAACTTAAGAAGGCATGCAAATGACCAACATGTATATTAAAAGATGCTCAGTATCACTAATCATCAGAAAATTCAAATAAAAACTGTAATGAGGGCCAGGTGCAGTGGCTCATGCCTGTTATCCCAGCACTTTGGGAGGCCAAGGTGGGTGGATCATGAGGTCAGGAGATCAAGACCATCCTGGCCAAAATGGTGAAACTCCATCTCTACTGAAAATACAAAAATTAGCTGGGCATGGTGGCACATGCCTGTAATCCCAGCTACTTGGGAAGCTGAGGCAGGAGAATCACTTGAACCAGGGAGTCGGAGGTTGCAGTGAGCTGAGATCGCGCCACTGCACTCCAGCCTGGTGACAGAGTGAGACTCCTTCAAAAACAAACAAACAAACAGCAACAAGGCCGGGCGTGGTGGCTCACGCCTGTAATCCCAGCACTTTGGGAGGCCGAGACGGGCGGATCACGAGGTCAGGAGATCGAGACCATCCTGGCTAACAGGGTGAAACCCCGTCTCTACTAAAAATACAAAAATTAGCCGGGCATGGTGGCGCACGCCTGTAGTCCCAGCTACACGGGAGGCTGAGGCAGGAGAATGGCGTGAACCCGGGAGGCGGAGCTTGCAGTGAGTCGAGATCGCGCCACTGCACTCCAGCCTGGGCGACAGAGCGAAACTCCGTCTCAAAAAAAAAAACAACAAAAAAAAAAAAAAAAAAAAAAAAAAACAGCAACAAAAAACCGTAAAGAGATATCATTTCATACCTGCTAGGATGGCTATTACCAAAACAAAAACAAAAACCACCCAAATCAAAAGATAATAGGTGTTGGCAAGGATATGGAGAAATTAGAACCTTTGTACATTGTTGGAATGTAAAATGATGTAGCTGCCATAGAAAACAGTATGAAAGTTCCTGAAAAAATTAAAAATATAACTACCATTTGATCTAGCAATGCCACATCTGAGCATATTTTAAAAATTTGAACTCAGGATCTCAGAGTCCTTACTTCCATGTTCACTTCAGCACTATTTACTGTATCCAAATATGAAAACAACCTAAATGTCTATTGATGAATGATGGGATAGAAAATGTGGTATTTGTATACCTGCATGTGCGTGTGCACGTACACACACACACACAAACACACACTATTCAGCCTTATAAAGAAGGAAATCCTGCCATATGCAGCAACTTGAATGAACCTGGATAAATTTATGCTGAGTGAAGTAACAGAAAAAATATTGCATAATTCCACTTCGGTGAAGTAACTAAAATGGTCAAACTCATGGAAACAGAGAGAAGAATGGTGATTGCCAGGGCATGAAAGGATGGGAGAATGGAGAATTGCTATTCAATGGGAATAAAGTTTCAATTATGCAAGATGAATAAGTTCTAGGGACTTCCTGTAGTACTTCGTAACTATAGTTAACAATATATATAGTATACTTAAAAATTTTGTTAAGCAGGTAGATCTCATATTAAGTTTCCTTACCACAATAATTAAAATTAGGAAAGGCAAAGAAAAGGATACCACTTTCATTTGTTTTTTTTCTTTGGAATAAATGAGTTCATCACAAAGCATCTACTACGTACTTCTACATAGCATGTGTTAACTAATTGAAGTGTTGGTCATGTTTTTTCAGGGAAGAGTGGAAAGAAATTCTAAATCATTCAGAAAAGGTCAGAAAATAAAAGCTATACTTAGATTGCAAGATGAAATACTGGAAGAATGATAGGGGATATGAGTTTTTGATGCTTCTAAATCAGTAACTGTTTCCTGACTTTGGTGGTGATAGTATCAACCCATCCTATTTTACTTCCTGCAGTAGAAATGTTGTAAGAATAACATTAACAAGCAGGAAGATTAAAGTCAATTGGATGTTGGCTGTTTTATTTATGCTCATACTGCTCTTTCTAGACACGCTTAATTTATCCTATGCAGGGAAGACTGAGGAATTACTTGTGTGTGCTTATATATTACATGTATGTATATATAATGCTTAAGTTGAGAAAAATAAATTGAAAATCAGTGTACACTTTATAAATGTAAAATGGAACATGAAATTTAAAAATCTTTAAAAATAAACATCTGTATTTGTAAATGTCAGGATAAATAATGCAATATTTACTAAATTTTTGTCTACTTGCAAATAGTCAATCATGCACACTAATGACATTTTGGTACATGTACATCTGTCTTCTTAGATGCTAAGCCAGTACCCAAAATTATTATTCTCTTTTGTAATTCTACCATTTAGTCTCCAAAGATCTCTTTTTGTATAGGTGGTACCACAACCAGAGTATCTCAGTTAGTTGACAAGAAACTCCAGAATTAGACTCCTTTATCTCTTGCAAATCACAAGCAATACTGTAGATTCTACCCTCTAAAATGTTTTAATGGAACATATTTCCTATTCTCCATTGACACACAGGACTAATTTGGAGACTTAGTGTGGTCCAGGTGGCAGGTCAAGCAGGGTCTGAAATAGTCTTTGGTCCTTCCCTAGTCATTTTGTGCATCACTGCTAGATTAATTTTTTGTAAAGCTCAGTCTCTAGAAAAAGCAATTCTGGAGCTAGATCCATAATGAAACTACTTTTTAGCTGTCAGGCCATGTGCAAATAAGATAATTTTTCTGAGAGGTTAAATGAGGATACTATGTCTTTTAGATTTGTTGTAAAATTTGACTACAATTATGTTAGAAGTATTTTACACAGGATCTGACATATCATGGAGTCTTAATAAACATCAATCTCCTGCTTCCATATTCTTCCCTACTCAACATATATGAATGAAACACCAGCTGCTATTAAAAAAGGTCTAATACGGCTTTTTATATCTACTCTCAGGCAGGTTAAAACCTCATCTTTTACTATTTCTCCAAATCTTAAATTTCTTCAAAACCGAAAGCATTGCTATCCCCCCTGAATTGCTGCCTCTTTTATCAACACAATTCATTTGCTCATTCATTTCTGTTTCACTCCATGTGGGTTAGCCATTCTTTTGCCTCTCCGTTGCTACATGTCTTCTTTCCCACCTTCCAAAGCCTTCTCAATTGTCACGTATTTCATAAACCATTCTATAGCAGCATCTATTTTTACTCTGACTGTCATGTATATTTTTTGTGCTTGTTAATTTTTCTTATTGTATTTATCATGATTATAGTATTTGGGGATAGAGCATAGTAGAGAGTTTAATAGAGTACAAGATACATCGAATTTACTACTGACTCTATCTAACCTTCATCACATACTCGATATATGACCTTGGGTAAGTCACTTAACCTCTGTGTGCCTTTCCTCATTTGTGAAAGAGACTCTGTAATAATACTTTTGTGATTGATGTTATGGGTTGGATTGTGTGCCCTAAGAAGGTACATATAAGTCCTAACCCTTAGCACTTCAGAATGTGACCTTATTTGAAAATAATGTCATTGCAGATGTAATTAAGATGAAGTCATACTGGAGTGGAGTGGGCTCTTAATCCAGTGTGACTGGCATCCTTACTAGTAGAGGAGAAAGACACACAGAGGGAAAATGGCATGTCACTATAATGGGAGAGATTGGAGTTCTGTTGCCATAAACCAAGAAACACCTGGGCTACCAGAAGCTGGAAGAGGCAATAAAATATATTTTCTTAGAGGCTTTAAAGAGAACATGGACCTGCTGACACTTTGAATTTGGACTTCTAACCTCCAAAAGTGTGAGAGAATATATTTCTCTTGTTTTAAGCCCTCAGGTTTGTATTATCCTGTTCTCGTAGGTCAAAGAAACTAATACAGTTGATGTGAAGATTAATTAATTAAAAATTTCAGAAGATTGCTCAAATTACAGTATTCAACAAGTCTTAATTTTCATTACCTGTGTTATTTATTCTGCTATGACATAAACTCCTTGAGCTCAGGAACCATATCTTACGTTGGTCTCCCCAAGCTCCAACCCAATATATATTACACAAAATAAAATAAATAACTACTTATAAAATGTGTTTTGAATAAATAGTGTATTGATTTTTCTTAATTATTCAATCCTCTATAGGAAACATTGGAAAAAACAGAATAGTTGATATATTGCTCAAAACCTATGGGTTTAACCTAAATCATAAGTTAGCCAGAACCTATTATTTAGAAAATTGTTTTCTGTGCAAAAATGAATAAGATTAAGCATATTTGTAATTGTATACTAGTCAATTATTTGAAAAATAAATGAAGTTCTAATAAAATTAATCATGAATTGATATCAAATTAAACTTTACATTATCTTTTTTGGAAAATAATTGTTCATCCCTTTCATTACAATGAAAAATATTTGAAATACTTATCTTCTTTTTCTGTTGGTTGAAATTATCTATGATGACACCAATGAACAAGTTCAAAGTGAAGAATGACCCAAAGATGATAAAGACGACAAAATAAATATACATGTAGAGGCTATATTCATATTTGGGCTGCTTGTCTACCTATAAAATTTACAAAAGTTAGCATTATATGGACAGTAACATTCATTATTTTCTTTTTCACATGGTTTGACCAGGTAATTCAAACAGTGCTATCCTAGGTAAACATAGGATTTAAGAAGCCATAGCATTGTTGAGGTTTAACATAATCACTCTTAACAATTTATTCAACATGTATTCATTACATACTTATTATTTAATTTATTACATACTTATGTAATAAATAATATAATCTTCAAATAACTACAAAGGGCTTAATCATATGCATATTTGTGCTCATATTGGTAGGAAAATTCAATAACTAAGTGACATACTATGTATATGTTATTTCCAAAAGTACTGTAAATGAGACATTATCATATTTATACACATTTTGCCATGTATTTTCTTTTGATTCCGAATACATCTTTATTATATTTTGTAAAAATATTACCTAGGGAGTAATCATTAAAGTTTCTTAGCATGGAACTTATTTCACATAAACTCATCCAAGGTGTTTTAAACTGTAAAAACAGTAAAAGCTATACATTAAAATTATTTTATTTTTATTTTGATAAGCGCATATTTACTGAGCATTTAGTAATGCCAGCCTGCACTAAGTGCCCTGCTTCTATTTTCTTGTTGGGTCCTCACAACACTATGGAGTAGGCATTGGATGATTGTAGACATTTATTAGACAAATGATAGATTCATTAAATTATAGATTAGACAAATAAACTAAGTCTCAAGAAGGTAAGGTAATTTGCCCGAAGTCAGTTGTAGAGCTTGGATGATATGGTACAGCTAGAATTTGAATCAGGCTCTATCTCCAACTGCTGTACTCACAACCACTAGGCTACTATCAGGTGGATGTTCTTCATTGTCTATGTGAGTCCCAAGGGCTTCATGAAGTTATAGTTTGGAAATCACTGAAATAAACTAAGAAGCTTTTAAAAATAAAGTTTAGTGCTAAGATAATCAATACTTACATTAACAGAATCCACTGCTGCATACATAATAATCGTCCATCCCTTAAAAGTTGCCTTTAAGAATAACATTAATAGAATTTGAATGTTAAGCTCATATTCTAAAATAGCCATAAACAGAGTTTTGTCTGTTTAATGTTACCACAATTATTAAGTAATACTAGTAAGTTTTGCTGTATTCAACATGTCCATTTAATGTAAAGATTTTTTTAAAAAGGACATATTCCCAAGTAACATTCTAAATCTTAGTCCCAGTTAATTATTTCTAAATTGTTACAGTTGCCTGTGAATTTCGCACATAACCTTTTATTTTTTAAAGGTGAAGGAAAATTTTATGAATAAGACAGGAAACATCTTTTCTCCATTTTTTAAAGGGTTCTCCATGCCTGTGGGAAGTTCCTCTCATCCCTTCATAGTGTGAAGCAGGAAGTTCAAAAACGTTCATTTTTGAAGCAATATTTGAATGGTGCAAGATGGGAGTCCACATGACACCAAAGAGTCAATTATAAATTAATAACTCAAATGCAACAGAACCCATGCTTCTTATTCATGTAGGAACATGTTCTAGGAAAGACCAACACTTTTTTTTTTTTTTTTTTTTTTTTTTGAGACAAGAGTCTCGCTCTGTAGCCCAGGCTGGAGTGCAGTGGCACGATCTTGGCCCACTGCAACCTCCGCCTCCCAGGTTCACGTGATTCTCCTGCCTCAGCCTCCCAAGCAGCTAGGATTACAGGCGCCTGCCACCACACCCAGCTAATTTTTTTGTATTTTTAGTAGAGATGGGGTTTCACTATGTTGGCCAGACTGGTCTCGAACTCCTGACCTCATGATCTGCCCACCTTGGCCTCCCAAAGTGAAGAGACTACAGGCATGAGCCACTGCGCCCGGCCAAGACTGGCACTGTTTTAAAAACCACACAGTATTTTATCTTCAATTTATAATTAATATACTATTTAAAGAATAACTTATATCCTTCGTCCAATATCTATTAAAATACCAAGCACTCATGAAATGGGACACTTACAACTTGAAGCAGAGATAGGTAACCAAGTCCGACATTATCAAAGTTCACTTTCAGGTTTTTCCATCGCACATTTTGACTAACATTCATAAGGGCAAAACATTCGGAACGATTTGGAACTTGACTTGCAGGAAACCGTGACCCATCTGTGGTGTTAATACACTCATAGAACTTGCCAGCAAACAAATTTACTCCCATGATGCTGAATATCAGCCAGAATATAAGACACACAAGTAGCACATTCATGATGGAAGGAATTGCTCCTATGAGTGCATTCACAACGACCTAGTATTCAAAAGAAAGAAAAGCATGATTAGGATTAGTAAGATGTTAAATAGGCAACATGAAAGAAATGCCATGCAGACATAAATAAATTAGAAAAGCCGCCCTTAAATATCTAAGACATCAAACCAACCAGCCGACTCATGTTTATTAAATGCCTACTCTACACTCAGCAGTGTGCCAAGCAAGACAAAATAAGACATGAACTCTGTGATCACCAGGCTTACAAATTACATGATTATCACACAATAAAATTGTTAGCAAAATATAAGACAAAATAACTAAGATAATATAATAGCTTAAATAAATGTAAAATAAATAAAAATAATAAACCAAAACCTGTTATTGATAAGGTAAACTTGTAAAATCTGTACACTCTGGAAAAAAAAGAAATGTATAAACATAAATGAAAAATATATATTTATATACATTTAAATGTTCATGATCCTATTATTACCAGCATTAAAGATTCCCCCATAGAGAAACTATTGGTGTATATCAGGTAGGTGGAATTATGACTGGACATCATTTTAATTTAATTTAATTATTTTCTTTTCTTATTCTCTTTTTTTGAGACATTCTCCACAAAAGGATTGAGAATCTTTAAATGGTTTAAATCCTTTAGATTTGGCTGGTTCTACGAAATAAGAGCAATCGTTTTAAATTTATTATTATTACTCTAAATACTTTATATGTAAGCCTTTGACTAAATATATATAGTGCTGGCCTCAGTTAAGACAAAAATTAGGAACAGTTTTTCTTTAATCCTTTCTTTATTTCTGCTTTTCAGCATTTGTACTGCTATTGATCACCAGTTTGTCTTTGCCACTCCAGTTTTCATCCAGGGCAATTCCTGTGGCATTTAACACTCTCCAGATTTTCTTATTTACTTAATCTTTCAAAACCTACCTGTCATCTTACACTTCAGCTTGAGCACCCATTCAAGTACAAATGTGTTAAAGATTAACCTGTTAGGGAAGGAGCACTGGGATCCTTCTTTTCTGCAATGTATTAAGCAGGTTCTCAAGATGCTTTAAAATAGAGAAATACTAAGGATCTCTGACTACTAATCAGATCATCTAGGGAGAAGGTTTGCAAACATTTTTATAAATATTTTTAGGCTTTGTGGGTTATATCTCCGTTGCAACTATTCAACTCTGCCATGGTAGTCATGGGTCATACATAAACAAACTGGTATGGCTGTGTTCCAAGAACATTTTTACAAAAACAGGCTGGGGTTTGTTGACCTTTGGTCCAGAGCAATGATTATTTGGAGTTCATGGACCTGTAGAGGTTTCCTGGGGGCATGAAATTATATAACAAACATTATGGTTGTGCTGTCTTTCCGGAAAGACAATTCTAACTTTCATCAGATTCTTACAGTCTATGTGACCTCAAAAAAGATTAGGAGGAATAGGAATAGAGAATGAAGTTCAAAGTAGCCAGCTCTTAATAGAGCCTACCTTTTCATGCTCATTTCCTGCTGCCCTCCCTACTATGTTTATCACGTAGGCACTCTGATACATCTAGTCACTGACCAAGCACACCTTGCACAATCTATTCTGTGCCTCCCTACCATGTGGTATCACTGCCTTGAATGCCTATCTGCCTATGATTTGGGGCTTACTCTTCAGTCATGAAATGTCTGAAATGTCACCTCCTTGTGATGTCTTCCCAGACTTCCCCGGATAGCCACTCCCTACTGTATATTCCTGTATCATTATGTGCCCTTGTCTGTCTCTCTTGTAACCATTGACCCTACTCACTCTTTGGGGACCGGGGTCTATGTACCACTGTACTCTGTGTTTTTTATATCACAACACCTGACACATAGTTGGTGTTTAAAATGTTTTTCTAAAAAATGTGAGTAATGATGGAATCATGGGTCTCTGAGAAAGACAGGCACCTATTGGTCTGATGAGAAGCCAGTTGGGAAAGCTAAAGAGCCTAAGGACTCAAACAAGCTGACTACAATATGCCTCAAATGCATTATTTCATTATTTCATTTATCCTTCAAAATAGCCCTGCGGCATGAATAAATGTCTCTTTTTGCATGGTTAACAAATGTAACTAAATAGACATTTGCCTCTCAAAATATACTAAACTATTCTCCTGCATCCAATTCACCTGTAATACAGATAAAGAACAAAGAGCAAACAGAGTTAAATAGTGGGCTGGCTTAATCACTGAAGGAAGTGGTTTTGTAGGGGAAAGTTGTGATAGATTGTAACATTCTATTAATGCTCAAAAAATTAAGTTAATGTCAATGAATTCTAATACCACCTTTCTGCACAAAATGAAACTTGTAATTTTCAACTTGTAGATAGAATATTTTTGAATTGTGCTTATGAACTTTTTTGTATAATCATGATCTTTCTTTTATACTTGGAAACCGTTATACACTGGATAATTAAAATAGCAGAGATTGCAGTCATAATTAGGTTTGTAGGGATAACAGTGAAGATTTGGTAGGCTGAAAGATCTCTAATGTTCACTTGAGGCTGGTTAAAACCCAAGTTTCTTATCCCCATCCTGGAGTTTCTGACTCAGTAGGTCTGGGGTGAGATCCAAGAATTTGCTTTTTTTTTTTTTTTTTTTTTGATACAGAGTCTTGCTCTGTTCCCCAGGCTGGAGTGCAGTTGCATGATCTCGGCTCACTGCAACCTCTGCCTCCCGGGTTCAAGCGATTCTTCTGCCTCAGCCTCCCTAGTAGCTGAGACTACAGGTGAGCACCACTATGCCCGGGTAATTTTTTGCATTTTTAGTAGAGATGGGGTTTCACCATATTGGCCAGGCTGGTCTCGAACTCCTGACCTCATGATCCGTCCGTCTTTTTAATAAGTTTGTAGATAATGCTAATAGCTGGTCAGTAAACCACACTTAAAGTATCAGTAAGCTGGACTAATCTCCGTGTTAAATTGCTCAGAGAAGGTAAGGTAGGGAGGCAGTTAAGTAAACAAATAAGTAAAATACAATATAATGAGGATTTTAGGTGTCTGAACAGAGAGAGAATATCCAGTTATGTCTCCTGGTGGACGGACAAGGCAACTTTAAATTGAGCCTTAAAGGACAGATAGGTGTTTGTCTGCTATACAAACGGGTTAGGGTCGGGACAGGGCAGGGGAAGCATTCCAGAACAGAGGCATAAAATAGCAGGTATAAATCTGGAGAAGAAATTTTAGAGGAGTACCAACACATGAGGATATGGACTAATTACAGAAAATAGAGTTGTTGTCCTCCATGTGTGTTACAAAGTTGCTGGTTTAATACAATCCTTAAAGCTAGGTTATGGTAGTTGTTATTCATTATAACTTGTTTGTCTCTGCTAATTGAGTATCTTTTCAGGCACTCTGCAGCCTAAGTGCAAATTAAGTAAACTCTCTGAGCTTTAGTTTTCTCAAATATAATTTAGTTATAATTCCACTTACTTTGCAATGTTATTTTAAAGGTGAAATTAAATGTGATGGCTGATGCTGTCTCACTTACCTATCTTTTCTAATGCTCCTTACCCAGGTAGTTTCTTAAACAAATATTATTTGAACACCTGATATAAGTAGGTCCTTGATTACTTATGTATGAGAGATGATGTTAGGAACAATAGTTTCCCCTTTCACTTGGACTTCCTAGCACAGGGAAGATTTCCATTTAATATGAAAAAAGTCACTCATTTGGATCATTCTATTGTTTGACAATATTAGATAAAGGCAGGATTACTGTGATTAACTTATTCCCTTGTTAAACAATATGCACTGAAATACTGTGTGTGTATATATATATATATATAGAGAGAGAGAGAGTATGCATATATATACTAATATGTACAGTAAATGAAATAATATATATACTATACTATATATGCATATTTTATATATAGTCTTTCATATTCTGTATATATTAATATATAATAGTATATACTAATTAGTATTATACTTTTTTAGTAATATACTAGTATATACTAATGAGTATTATACTATTTTTAGTAATATACTATTTAATTAATGCTATAATTAGTATTTATATATTAGTATGCATATATACCATTAGTATATATAATATGCATATATACTATTAGTATATGTAATATGCATATATATACTATTAGTGTATATAATATGCATATATATACCATATATGCATACTATATATAGTATATATGCATACTGTATATAGTATGTAAATGCATACTATATAGTATACATATGCATATATACATATATGCATATGTATATATGTATATGTACACACACATACATAAACAGCCTATGTATTTATGTAAACAGAAACAACTCATAATTTCTACATACCCATTGTTTTTATATTTTAAACCCCATTAAAAAATAAGAACATTATAAAGTTTAGTATTTTCTTACCCTCATTCCTTCAAATCTAGATAAGGCTCTTAGAGGTCTTAAAGCTCTCAGTGTCCGAAGGGATTTAATGGGGCCAAGATCTGAGTAGCCAAGAGTGTTTGCCACTAAAGTAACCAAAGAAACCTATAAAAATAACATTTTCATTAATTGTGTCAATAAAATGATGAAGCATAAAAGGAAAAAGTCAATTCTGAAACTCACTAAAAGCAACTCAACAGGAACAATAAGATGGTATATACGGAGTTGTGTAGTCAATGCCTAAAAATAGGGTAAGATGGATGTTTCTGTAAGGAAATAGATTTAAAAGAAGGTTAACCAAAATAAGAAGAAATAATGTAAGCAAAGTAAGTTGTTTATTCTATTTGAATAGAAATCATGCATATGCTTTTCACACTTTTGTAATCAATTGCTTTGTAATTCCTTATTAAATCTAAAAATTTAATTAGAACAATGGTGAACATTTTAATTATAAAACTCAGGTCAAAATGAAGTGTGTGATTCTGAAGCTAAGCCCTAAAAGTGTGGTATTCACTCAACTAAATCTATGTCTTAGTATAAATCTTATTAAAAAACATTTTGAAGACTCATGATTTTGAGTTGGGGCAAATTCTCAACAAGATTGCTTCTGCCCTACAATTTCTAAAGATTAGCACCAAAGATCTACCAAATAGTTTTTCATGGGAGAAAAATCACAATTGTACTGAAGAGAGAATGAGAGTAGCTGATCTCATTGGCTTCACAATCAATATAGATATAATAAGAGCTTCATCATGTTAGATAGATCAGCCACAATTACCATAACCAGTATCCAAAAGAAATTTGAGTTCTTATCGTAAATTATCTTAAGAAAGAACATGAACAGCAATACAATCAATACACATTTTAGTTACAAAGCAATGAGCTCCTCCATGACCTTAGATCTGGATCTATAAATATGTTTACTCTCTGAATTAGTTCCATGGAAAATATTCATTTGCCTCACATCCTGTGTAGCAGGAGACGATGTCTAAGAAAAATGTCTGGAATGCAGTTCTTCATTACGAATAAGTTAGTGACTGAGAGATTCAATTTTTCGAGGGAAGAATAGGAACAGATGAGAGCCAACTTTATATATTTATCTATTTCAGGCGTAGAAAAAGTCATTGTTCACAAAAAGTTCATTGCTGTTACCATCAGAGACAGGTAAACTGACTGATGAAGCGGGAAGTGTTTTAAAGTGCTCATCCTCATGTAGTATTTCCAGATGTCTCACTAAATGTAACATGGCTTTTTTTTTTAAATTCCTAAAGCTACGTATTTAGCAGAATAAATTACTCCTCATGCCACTCTTAAATTTGCCCAGTCATTCACATCCATTATTTTCCACTTAAGAACACTTGAAAATATGTATGCTCCCTCTTTAATCAGAAAATTTTTTTTTTAATGTTTTGCTGTGGTTTGAATGTTTGTCCCTTTTGAAACTCATGTTGGAACTTAATTCCCAATGTAACAGTATTAAGAGGCAGAGCCTTTAAAAGGTGATGAGGTCATGAAGGTTCTGCCTTCATGAATGGAATATAGAGTAAGGGCTTAATGGGTTATCATGGGAGTGAGTTAGATATCACAAGAGTGGGTTTATTATAAAACCCAGTTTGGCTCTCAGTGAACACCCCTCGCCATGTGATGCCATGAGCTGCCTTGGGACTCTCTGGTGTGCCCACCAGCAAGAAAGTTCCCACCAGATGTGGACCCTTCACCTTAGACTTCCCAGCTTCCAGAACTTTAAGAAATAAATTTCTTTATTGAATACTTTAACCAGTCTCAGGTATTCAGTTACAGCAATAAAAGGTAGACTAAGACATGTCTGTTATAATTGATACAGCCCCTAAAATACTAATAGGTCTGTTCTCCAAGCCACTGTTAAGTGAGTTTTATGACACGGAATATATGCATATTATTAAGACTATGGTATAGTTTGTAACTGAGAATATATATGCATATATATTCACATCTTTCTATAAACACACACGTATATATACAAATATACGCCTGTACTGAAGAACACTGTTTAATCAAGTAAGTTTCAAATAACCCAGAAGCCTGCAGAAATCAGACAAGTCCATTCTCTGAGTAGCAAATAATATAAGTAGTTCTGAAATCTGAATATACAACAGAATCATCTGTAGGGCTTGTTACAATGATTTGCCACATCCAACCCCAGAGTTTCTGATTCAGTATGTCTTGGGGTTGGGGGCAGAATTTGCATCTCTTATGAGTTCTCACCTACATGTGCCAACGTTTTCAGTTTTGAGACCATCCTTCAAGAACAACTGCTGTAGATAAGTTTCTATACTTTTCAGAAAAAAAAAAAATCAGCCACTCCCCCAAATCTGTGTCCCAAAATTTGCATCTCTGTCAGCAAGAATATTGTGTGGAGCTTTACTCTCTGTGCTTTGCATTATATTTGTTCGTTTCCAAAATATTAAATAATATTTCAAATTGGAGTTGTTTATCTCCCTGATTTCTGCACATTACATACCCCTGAACAGGAGGTTATACTCACTGAGAATCATCACTTTAAATTTTCAAATAAAACAATTTCCATTATTAAACAGCCATATCTCTTAATTTAAAATAAGTTCAATTTTACTTGTAAACCTTCATTTCTTACACTGAATGATGAAAATGAGTGTATTTGTGATAATATTTTAAAGATTTTAAAATATCTAAAATATTGTATAATTTTTTAAGAGAGAGACCCCGTCATATTTACAGTTTAAGAGAAAAGAAAATCTACATTCCTTCTATAATTTCTTCTTATTTGGGGCAGCCTTTCTTCAAAACTACTATATTACAAAAATACCCATTTTATCATTTTTCATTTTTTAGGCAGTAACTAGATAACTTGATATATGAATGATTAATTGAAAAATAGCAAGAAATCATTACTATATCCGAAGTTAGAATTCTCATAGAGGAAACCTAAGATAACACATATAAGGTGTAATATATAGCTATGTTAAAAATTTTTTCACATTACATATTATAGAAAAAAGTTATTGTTTTTAACATTTAATATGTTGTGTGATTAAGAAAACGAAAATTATTATTATTTTTTTTGAGATGGAGTCTCACCCTGTCGCCCAAGCTGGAGTGCAGTGGCACGATCTCGACTCACTGAAACCTCTGCCTACCGGGTTCAAGCGATTCTTCTGCCTCAGCCTCCTGAGTAGCTGGGATTACAGGCACCTGCCACCATGTCTGGCTAATTTTTTGTATTTTTTAGTAGAGACGGGGTTTCACCATGTTGGCCAGGCTGGTCTCAAACTCCTGACCTCAGGTGATCCACCTGCCTCGGACTCTCAAAGTGCTGGGATTACAGGCGTGAGCTACCGCGCCTGGCCAGAAGCCAAAAGTTTATGAAGCTTTGAATAACAGTTGAGAAATTGAACTTTTGAGTAAATATGACTAATTTGGTAACATTTTGCAGTCAGATTTTACTATGTATGATCATGCTTACTTGTGATTTTCTAATCCACATATGATGCTGTATGAATTCAACTTTTCTTAAAAGCTCGATAATGCAAACCCTTGGTTAAATTTTAAAGCACTTATTGGCATATACAAATTTGCGTGTTGACCTCTAATTATGTCAGGCATCATATGGAAAACAAATCTCTAAAAACTATGACTGATTATAGGATGTTTCTTCCCTAAACACAAAGGTTAGGTTTCTGAAAATCTAGAAGAATTAGTAAAAGATAAAGAACATATCATTCTGAGAAAAATAAGACTGGGAGATTGAGGTTATAAAATAATGTAAGAAAGCCATTTTAATTAATACAAAATATGTCATATATATTATTAAGTTATATTATTAAAATATAAAATAATTAGAGTACATTCAATGAAATGATAATAATGGGTATTGTACCGTTAGTTTCTATTTGAGAGTCCTTGATCTCACCGACTATTTTAAGATTTCTTCTCTATCTCAATCAGAAGCCTGTAAAAATATTTCTACTTCGTTAAAATAATATGTAAACTAAAGAATTATTATGTATTTTCCATCATCCAAGTATTCAACAGTTCTTTGAATTTATTATCTAAAATTATTACATTAATAATAATGCCTACTCCTCTGCCCCACTGCCATTCTGGAGATGAAGGGCAAGTCGCATATTTGAGATAGAGACAATTGTGTCTCATTTTGGTTTTTCCTATAATTGGGTCTGAGATAGATATTTTAAAATTTCATGACTTCTCTCTCCCCAAATACAAAGTTAACTTTGTATTTGTATAATGATTTTTAGAAAAATTTTAGCTCACATATCAGCCAACTTGATGTGCCCCTCATCCTCTCTTATCTTCCAATTTTACATTATGAATAATCATCATTTCCTCTCTTTAATCTGTGTCTCTGCCCTTTTATCATCTCCTACTTCTAAATTTTGTTTTATTCTTAACAAGAATGACATTCAAATCATATTTTTTAAAAAATCACATCTCCTTTGCAGAAAACATAAAAAACTCAATTATAAATGTTACAATGTCACAGAAATAATTTACATTTGTTGAACGATTTCTGTTCTAATATTCCTCACAGATATATTTCCACTGGCTGTGTTAATATTTCTAAAAGAATAAACCTATAGCCTGAAAATATATGAAGCTTAACAAAATTAAAATATGATAATATGCAATAGTGGTGAAGGTTTTTTCACAACACACAGTAAGAATAAATCCTCTTTTAAAATGTACTCAAAAGTACCTACATCAACAATTAGGAAATCCAGCCAACACCAGGCATTGGTGAAATATGTTTTATAACCATATGCTATCCATTTTAGAAGCATTTCCAGAATGAAGATGTAAGTGAAGATCTTGTCTGCATACTCCAGGATAATCTTAATGGTCTTTTTCCTTTCAATATAAATATCTTCAAAAGCCTGTGGAAATAATATTCAAGTTTCAATCATGCACAACTTAAGCTTCATGATTCATTTAAAAAAAACAGGAAAAATACAATTCTAATGCTAAGACTGCTGAAACATAATATTGACATGGGCCAGCTGACATTTTTTCTGGTTTACAGTTATCATATAACAGTTAGTTCTAGCCTTCTCACCAGTGCTGCTGCTGGTCTTCAGAGGTCAAGAGAAAGTGCAAAAGAATGAAATTACTTATAATCCACAAAAAGACTCATGATCTCTGACACCTGATCATTTCCACCTCCATCTGATTCCTCCTCTTTCTCCATTAAAATTGGATAAGTCCTAGCAATTTAAGACATGATCCCATGGCCAGCCACTGTTATAAACTTTTCACATCCTACACTCCCCTTTTTCCCCACCAGTAGGATGTGGAGCCTGTCTTTCAGCTCTCAAATGCTTGTGCATCCCAGTGCCTAGTACCATGTTAATAACAGCAGCAGGAAAGGAAAGATTTGCTAAATGAATGACTGCAGTAGCTTAATAGGCCTATAGAACACAGAGGGTGCTTTTTCCTTTGACTATTCATCCATATATTATCCTTCAAAGCTTCAGCTCTAAAAATCACTGTTCTATTCTCTCCATTAATGCGGTGCTTCCTATGCTTTCCAAGAAATTTTAGTAAGTGACACACAACATTATGTGACAACATTAGGTGAGCTCTATCTAATGTAGGGCTTACGCTTTACTGTTACTAATTTTGGTTATCACTCATTTACTCCTATTTTGTGTATGCTCTTCTGTCTGAGGAGCCACAACACAGTGAAAGGACAGGGTGACTTTGACTTTAGACTTCAGCCACATGTCCCTTGACAAAGAATTTGAAAGGACTGAAAAATTGGGCTCATTGTTGCAGTGAGCCAAGATCACGCCACTGCACTCCAGCCTGGGCAACAGAGCAAGACTCTGTCTCAAAAAAAAAAAAAAAAAAAAGGCTCATTGAGACACTGAAAATGATTGCTGATCTCAACAGGTCTAAAGTGTTAGAACTTTCTCTTTCAGATCGAAACACTATTAACCCTGTTGGATAAAATGAAAGTCAAAGACCTGTATCCTTCGTGGTTAATATTATATTTATTACCTGTCTACAGTCATGAACTTGTGCCATTCAGATTCTTCTTATTCTACGTTCTGCTTTCAATACTCTAAAATTATCCTTAGCAGTTTTGGGAAACTGTTGGTATCAATATTGAAGAAAAGAGACAAGTTGGGGCAGAAAGACTGAATGGACCTACTAAGATGCAAAAAGAAGGTCCCAGCAGTTGGCAGAGGTTCTGAAATTCAATGGAATTGAAGTGCAGAGGGAGGC